>NC_000006.12:82648261-83273261 GCF_000001405.40 Homo sapiens | reverse complement strand
TTCTTAAAAGGGACAATTTGAAATTCTCATTTTAGAAACTAGTATTACAGCTTTATACAGTGTCTTTTTTTTTTTTTTTTTTTTTGAGGCAGAGTCTCATTCTGTCACCCAGGCTGGAGTGCAGTGGCACCATGTTGGCTCACTGCAGCCTCCATCTCCTGGGTTCAAGCAATTCTTCTGCCTCAGCCTCCCGAGTAGCTGGGATTACAGGTGCCCACCACCATGCCCGGCTAATTTTTTTATATTTTTAGTAGAGACGAGGTTTCACCATACTGGCCAGGCTGGTCTTGAACTCCTGACTTCAGGTGATCCACCTGCCTCAGCCTCCCAAAGTGCTGGGATTATAGGCGTGAGCTACCACGCCTGGCCCTTTTGCCTATATTCTAAGGAGCTATTAGTTGCTTTTAGAGAATTAGTTTACATGTAAAGATTAATTCCATAAATACACATATAAATATCAATATAAATGTATACGCATATAAATATTATCTGCATATATACCTGCTAAGTCTATAAAGAGAGACTAATTCTGTGAATGTGAGATGTATGTCCTCAGTTTTAGAGGAAGCTTTATCTTGCATTTAGTTGTTTGAATCTAATCCTTGGACTTAGGGGGTAAGTAGCTGACTGCATTGCCTTTCCAATCACCCGTAAAAGAAAAAAAGCACAGCTTTCCTGAAGTATAGAACCGTGGGAATATTTGCAAGCATAATATGTGAGTCTCCCTGACTTTAACCTGGATATCCTTTGTTTCAACTTCTCTTTCATATGGTTTTTAAAAATATTATATACCTCAATTTTAAGGCCTAGAATGTTGTTTTTAGATACAATTAAAGTATGTTACACACAAATTATCTTCTGTAACACTTGAAATTGGTATCTTTAAAAACTTAACACACACCAATATGGAAATTCAAGATAGCACATTATATTTCAGAAAAAAAAATGCTTCTCTGTTAGGATTTCATGAGAGTGTTTAGGCTTTTTTGTGTCTATTGTTTTACAGTAAATTTTTATAGATTTGTTTATTTGGTAGCCCTGTTAAGGATATTTCATAGTCATATCTCTAGGATCCTTTAATATATCAGGTGAGTTGGTTTAATGATGTCCACATTTTAAAACGGGTACAAAAAATAGAATGAGTAGTATTTAACAGCAAAACAGGGTGACTATAGTCACCTGTGCATTTTGTGCATGAAAACTTGAAATGCAAAATTGTGCAGTTTTAAATAACTAAGAGAGTATAATTGGATTGTTTGTAACACGAAGGATAAATGCTTGAGGGGATGGATATCTCATCTTCCATGATGTGATTATTATGCATTGCATGCCTGTGTCAAAATATCTCATGTACCCCATAAATATATACACCTACTATGTACCCACAATTTTTTAAAAAAAGTAATAAAAAATAATATGTTGCCCTTAGTGTCTTACATTTTTATTATGAAATTGAATATTTTTACTTGAAGTTATAACTTGCTATGTCTTTACATTCCTTGGTATGTGGAGAATTTGGAATGTCCCATACTTAATATTTTGATTTGCCACCAAGATTGCTCTGAATCTGTATTCGCCTTTATTGCCAAGTTTCTTCTTAACTGGGAGTTTGAAAATATAAACTTTAACCATTTTTTCTGGATACCACAGAACCCACAACGTATTACTGTTATCAGTTTACAGAAAAACACAATGACTAATACGTGACTAATGACTGATGTAGTTGATATGAGAAAGACTAATCATATCAATGACTAATATAGGTTCATATGAGAAAGAGGAATGGGAACCTCTTTATTCCACATATGCTTATTATTCAACATTGCCAAATTTCAAAAAACCAATTGCAGCCTCCATGTGACTCAGTTGTAGCCACATTCTCCCCTTTTCCATTAAACTGCCACACAGCTCTTTTCACTTATGACCTGATAGAGCCACCCCAGGAAAAGAGAAAATGGTTTTCAGACAATTTGTGTCTGTAAATTGTCATTTAACTTACTTTGTTTTTAAATTTTTATCCCTTTCGAATTTTCTGGAGCTTTGTGAAGTTAGTTACTACTTAATAATCCTATCTTTGAAAAGAGTTAGTGCTGTATCAGCAAGTAATCTGAGGTGGGAATAGTCCCAAATTATGGGCCCATTCGTCTTGAGACCTTTTCATTTTATATTACCGGAAAGTAAAAGCCCCTTTCCTGACATTGTAGTGTCAGTTTTCTAGTTAGATTTTTTTTTTTTTTTTACTCCTTCACCTAGCCACAACTTTACTTCATTTGAAATTAACTAAATTTGTTTGGCTTTGATTATAAATTTATCTTGTTTGTTTAAATTTTCTTCTCCCAAAATGACATTCTTATGTTATTTATTAGTGTGGAACAGTTATGAATCCTTTCCTTTTTATTATAAACTGTTGAACAACTTAGAACTTTTCTTACTCTGTTTTAAGAATTGCATGTGTAGTCTTTTCAGTAATCTTTTCAACTCCTGTGGACTGTGAAAAGGTATTTTCTAGCAAAATAAGAATGAGAAATTCCACATATTATGCATCCTCTTCTCAGAGATTATTAGTTTATAGAAGCATGTTAGGGTTCAGAGAACTTGAATGCTGAGTGAAGAAACCCCTCTGTTTTGCTTTGCCAAGTGTTTCCAAAATCAGTTAGTCAGGATTGCTATTTTTGCAAAATCCCAGTTAATGCCCTCCATTAGCGTGCCACTACTGCATGCAGTAGTGTGCAGTTCTGAGAAACCCAGTTTCTCAGCTGTTTCTAATCACTATAGGATATGGTGATCACTTTTGTCAGAGGAAAGTATAATAATTAAATAGGATTTGTCCTATAGAAATATCAAATTTTTTTTTTATTTTTGAGAAGGCGTTAGGGAGAAAAGAGATTTTTATGTGGAGTAGATCGTTTAACAAGAAATCTGGGACCTGATTTGTTGTGCAGTTTAGCTAACAACTTCAAAAAGAAAAGGAATGAAGAGTGGCAATTTAGAACATATAGAATGTAAAAGCAGATATGGTCTGATAAGAAATATGTTTTTTAAATGTATAATGTCTTAGAAAAATCAAATAGGAATTTATTACACAAATCAACTGAAGTATGGTAATATCATTCA
Source organism: Homo sapiens (assembly GCF_000001405.40). Lineage (NCBI taxonomy): Eukaryota > Metazoa > Chordata > Mammalia > Primates > Hominidae > Homo > Homo sapiens. Next base: position 83,270,147 of record NC_000006.12, on the reverse strand, counting down.
TTTTACTTACACGAGTACAGGTCACCCCACCCCTTGCTGCAGCACCATTTTTTGATGTACTATGTTTTTTCCCATTAGATGGATTAAAGAATGAGATATATGATATATTTGTAAAAAAGCATTACAGAGACCTATAAATCCAGACCTCTGGGTCTATATTTCACAAGAAGTTTTAGAGCAATACAGAGGTTATTTTTCTTGCTATGGAGTAATACAGAATTTTGGAATGAGACAAAGATATTTTTAGAAGTTAATGAAGACTTTTATTTTTATAAACACCTACATATTCCAGAAGTTTACATTTGGACAGCCTCCTAGTTTAAAAACTGAAGATAGGCACTAGAATCTCATTGTAATAAATCCGTTTGGGTCATTTTGGAAGACTTAATCCTCTTCCAAATTCTCATTAACCTAGTCTCCGAGGACAAGAGCACAACCAGAATGCGTTAGTTACTAACTTCTTTCCCAATCTCTTTTTATAGCTAGATTCATTTAGGCCTGTAATTATTTCAAATTTTATTAAATTATTGATATAAAAAGGGGGAACAGTTGGGTATATCTGAAAAAATGCATTTCAGGAGGGAAAGCCAATTAGACAATTTAGAAAACTGGCTATATTTTGACTTATGCATTGTCTTAGTAATGTTTTATGTTATTGTTTAACTACTTCATAATACCTCCACTAAAGTAAACTAACAGAACAGTCTCAAGATTTGTGTATTATGAAATCCAAATATGGTGTACTTTATGATGGAAAAGGCATATAATCAAAGCCTCCCAAGAATATTTCTTAAATGTCACAATTAATATCCCTTAATGTTACTTGCATATATACTTTATTATATATGTCTTGTCTATGTATTATATACTTGCATGTACAGTTTATTATAGAAAAAAAACAAACATAAATGATAGAGGAACAAGATTTAGAAAATAAATGAATCAATAACTGAAAGGTAATTAGACTGAAACTGTTTATTAGCACTGAGTATTTCATTTGGGATCATACTACCTTTACCCACATACTATAGTAACACTTACCTAAATATACACAGATATCTAAGGAAAGGACCAATAAATATTCCTGGGTCATTGCTTACTCAATCATGGTTTAATATACCACCAAGCTTACTCGTGGCTCTTGTGATAAACAACAAAATCCCACTGAGCAAACAATAACTAATATTTAGTGAATCCTTATTATGTGCCAGAGTTTATTCCAAAGGCTTGTATTAATTTAACCTCTCAAAAGTGTGAGCTGGATACAGTGGCTCATGCCTATAACCCCCGCACTTTGGGAGGCCGAGGCTGGCAGATTGCTTGAGCTCAGGAGTTCAAGACCAGCCTGGGCAACATAGTGAAACCCCATCTCTACCAAAAATACAATAATAATAATAATAATAATAATAATAATAATAACGGGGCATGGTGATGCGCGCCTGTGGTCCCAGATACTTATGGGGCTAAGGCTGGAGGATCGCTTGAGCCCGGGAGGTGGAGACTGCAGTGAGCTGAGATTGTACCATTGCACTCCAGCCTGGGTGACAAAGTGAGACTCTGTCTCGAAAAAGTTTAATCTCCAGTACTAGAAAGCAGATCAGTGACTTTCTGGGGCCCGTGCTGGACTGGGGATTGACTGAGTTGGGCCACAAGAGAACTTTTGGGAATGTTGTGAATATTCTATACCTTACCTTTATAAAGGTGAGACATAAGATACATTTATCGGAACTTACCCTAATTGTATACTTAATAGGAGTACTTTTATTGTATGTAAATAACACATCATTTAAGTTAATTTAAAAGAAAGCAAGGCACAGAAAAAGTCTTACCCTGAAATAAAGCTACTATAATACCTTATTGTTTATCTAGGCAACTTTATAGATTTTATTATCAATATTTAGATTTTCCAGGCATTTTCTTTATAGGATTTGTCCTATATAAATATCAATTTTTTTATTTTTGAGAAGGCCTTAGGCAGAAAAGAGATGAGTAGATCATTTAACAAGAAATCTGGGACCTGATCTGTTCTGCAGTTCAGCTAACAACTTCAAAAAGAAAAGGAATGAAAAGTGGCAATTTAGAACATATAGAATGTAAAAGCAGATGTATTTTCTTTATAGAGCATGCCACCTTTTTTCAGTTTCATTATTCAGTATAAACTCTAATGGAGTATGAAAAAAAGAAGAATGTGACACTTGAATTGATCACTTAGGCTGTTTAAGTGAGGAGAATGTTGGACCTATTGGCTTTTAATAAATGACTATCAAATATCATATATCTGTGTTCTTGTTCTGCTAATATTTTTCAATGGATTGTCAATGGATATCACATATACAGAATATCTATGTTTATATATAAAAGGAAAACAATATATGAGAGATTTATTCAGTATTTCTTTTGACCATATTAGTCTATTAGTATCAGAAGTGAGTGGAATTCTAAGGCATTTGCAAACATGAACCATAATTATCTGTTTCAGAAGTTACTTATGTTTCTTGCACATCTCTGGAAAACAGTTGGACCAAAATACTCCTATCTAGAAAATGCAAAGTTTATACATCTTGTCATGTATGCCTCCTTAAGAGACATAGTTTTATTTAGACATTTTTCATCAGAGAGGCTAAAACTGTTCTCCTCTGACTGGGCTGCACTGAGAGCAAAATTATCAGATTTTTATTTCCTCTTTGACTAATCAGGTTACTGACAGGGTCAGACTTTTTCAAAACCTGAGTATTTTGCTTAGTAGTAAGTGGCCTGGGGTTGTTCATTTGATCTCTGTTGAGTATACTTTTTCCAGTTCTTTTTATTGATTTAGAATTGCACAAGGAATTCTTAGAAGGGCAGTGGATAGACTTGAGATTTTAACCCAAAAGGCTCAATTTGTTTGTAATAATCTGCTGGATTATTGGGTTCTTTTTAGTAAGTATTGTTTTAGGTGCAGAAATTTCTTGTGTTGTTTTATATTTCTCAGTGATACCAGAATAAAATTATTAGTTTAAAAATAATAAATTATTGAGCTTCCACACATCCCTATGTTAGTAAACTCAGTAAACTACCAAAATTACCCTTCCTAAAAGATAAACTACCTACAATATAGCTTTGTTAATCAGATTATGGAAATTTGTCAATTTTGCAGAGACGAAGTTGCATTCTTGAAAATTTAGGCTGAAATATAAGCATACTTGTTAATTCAAAAAAAGTTCCAGAGTCATTCATAAATGGTTTAATGTGAAAGGAAGTCAAAACAATTATTAGAACTACATAGACGGCATCATGTTTTGTCCCTAAAAATTGTTAGGAATGAAGCAGAGACTCTGCCAGTAGAATTCTAATTTTAGTAGTATGTCAGATTAAATCAACTAATTATTGCACTATTTTAAGGGTGGGTAGAGATTGGCATGCAGGTAATTGCACCCATACCGGTGCCAATGGAAGCAATTCTAAAACAGTTTGGGCTTAAATATCTTCAATACCACTGGACGTATGATGGCTTAGTTCATGATGTCCTCAGTATATGAGAGGAAACGAGCTTATTTATAAAACAGGGAACATAATATTTTAATTAGTATTTAATTTTGATTAGTGTTAGACAATAATACTGGCATTTAATTAGTATTAGACAATAATACTGCCATAAGAAACTATTAATTTGGAATTATAAATAGACATAACTCAGGACATGTTATTGATAAGTGAGTGCTAATTATGGAAGATGGTTAGTATTCAGACTTTGACATTATTCCAGATGATTGTGCCAGAGAAGCTAGATTTGTACTTTACATTGGATTTGTGCTTTCAGCTATTTCTAAATGTACCATTCTGATTATTCTTGAATAATATGCATGGATTTCCATTACTCTGTGGCCTAAGAATGGATATTGGCTTTCAAAGTTTTTATTTTAAGCAGTTATACATGCAAAGTCCTTTTTAAATTTTTCTTTTGATTTTGAGGTCTCACTATAAAATAGTTTGATTTTTTTAAAAACGAAGATCTGAATGATTGTTATCTTTTTCTAAGTAGTATTCTGGAACGCTGTACAATGATAACTGCTAATGTTTATAATGCTTTTGGAATGCCTCTTTGAAGATTATGTATAGAGCCTACAAGCAATTATTTTAAGTATCATAATGGTGACATTTCAGGAAAAATCCTTTGAAGTGGATATTGACTTTTGAGAATAATCAGAATGAGAATATGATCCAATTAGTATTCATATTCAATTATAGTTCACAAAATACTTGTTCAAATCTGTTATTGCCAATGAGGAAAAAGGATAGAAAGTTACCTGCAAGATATAACTATCAAGCAATAAAATTGATTTTAAATTCACCTTGTAGTTGAAAGTAGTTGAGCAGTTGCAGCATCATTGCATAAATATATGGTCTGAAAGTGTGCACAGAAAGATAAATAACATTCATATTCATTTGAATACAGGCATACCTCAAAGATATTGCAGCTTTGGTTCCAGACAACCACAATAAAACAAATACTACAATAAAGCAAGTCACATGAATTTTTTGGTTTCTCAGTGAAAAGTTGTGTTTAAGGCCAGGCCCGGTGACTCATACCTGTAATCCCAGCACTTTGGGAGGCTAAGGCGGGTGAATAGTTTGAGCTGAGGAGTTTGAGACTAGCCTGGGCAATGTAGTGAGCCCTTGTCTCTACAAAACATTAAAAGAAAAATTAGCCAGGCATGGTGGCACACTCCTGTGGTCCCAGCCACTAGGGAGGCTGAAATGGGAAAATTACTTGACCCTGGGATGTTGAGGCTGCTGTGAGTTGTGATCATGCCACTGCACTCCAGTCTGGATGATGGAGTGAGACCCTGTCTCCAAAAAATAAAATAAAATAAAATAAAACTCACTTGTGTTTACACTATACTGTAGGATACTAAGTATGCAATAGCATTATGTTTAAAAAATTTGTCTACCTTAATTAAGAAATAACTTTATTGCTATTGAATGTTAATGATCATCTGAGCCTTCAGAGAGTCATAATCTTTTTGCTGGTGGAGGGTCTTGCTTTGATGTTGATAGCTGCTGACTGATTACAATGGTGGTTACTGAAGGTTGGGTGAGGTGGTAATTTCTGAAAATAGGACAGTAATGGAGTTTGCAACATCAATTGACTCTTCCTTTCATGAGAGATCTGTCTGTAGCATGCAATGCTATTTGACAGCATTATATCCACAGTAGAACTTCTTTCAATATTGGAGTCAATCCTTTCAAACCAGGTTGTTCCTTTATCAACTGAGTTTATGTGATATTCCAAATCTAAATATTCTAAATTGTTGTCGTTTCAACAGTATTCATAGCATCTCCACCAGAAGTAAATTTCATCTCAAAAAAACACTTTCTTTGCTCATCCAGAAAAAGCAATTCCTCAGCCATTCAGGTTTTATAATGAGATTGCAGCAATTCAGTCCCATCTTCAAGCTCCACTTCTAATTCTAGTTCTACTTGTTATTTCCACCACATCTGCAGTGACTTCCTCTGCTAACATCTTGAACCCCTCAAAGTCATCCATGAGGGTTGGAATTAGCTTCTTCCAAACTCCCATTAATGTTGATGTTTTGACCTCCTTCCATGAATCACAAATGTTCTTAGGGACATCTAGAATGGTAAACCCTTTCCAGAGGTTTTCAATTTACTTTGCCCAAATTCATAAGAGGAATTATTGTCTAGGGTAGCAATAACTTTAGGAAGTGCATTTTCTATATAATAAGACTTGAAAGTTTAAATTGCCTCTCTATGTATGGGCTGCAGAATAGATGTTGTGTTCGCAGGCATGAAAACATTTTTCTAGTACAGCTCCATCAGAGCTCTTCAGCTGACTAGGTGCATTGCCAATAAGCAGCAATATTTTGAAAGGAATCTAATTTTTTGAGCAGTAGGTCTCATTAGCAGACTTAAGATATTCAGTAAACCATGCTGTAAACAGATATGTTGTTACCCAGGCTTTGTTGTTTCATTTATAGAGCACAGACAGAGTCTATTTAGCATAATTCTTAAGGGACCTATGTTTTTCAAAATGGTGAATGAGCATTGGCTTCAGATTAATGTCACCAGCTGCATTAGACCTTAACAAGGGTGTCAGCCTATTCTTTGAAGCTTTGAAGCCAGACGTTGACTTCTCCTTTCTAGCTATGAAAGCCCTAGATGCCATCATCTTTCTACAGAAGGCTATTTTGTCTCCATTTTAAATCTGGTCTTTAATGTAACCACCTTCATTTATGAGCTTAGGTAGATCTTCTGGATAACTTGCTGCAGCTTCTACATCAGTACTTTCTGCTTCACCTTGCAGGTTATGTTATGTTATGTTATGTTATGTTATGTTATGTTATGTTATGTTATGTTATGTTATGTTATGTTATGTTATGTTATGTTATGTTATGTTATGTTGACAGCTGTTTTCCTTAAACTTCACGGATCAGACTCTGCTAGCATCAAACTTTTCTTCTGCATTTTCTTTACCTTTCTCAGCCTTTATAGAATTGAAGAGAGTTAGGGCCTTGCTATGGATTAGGCTTTGGCTTAAGGAAATGTTGTGACTGGCTTAATCTATCCAGATCACTCAAACGTTCTCCCTATCAAAAGACTCCCAAAAAAAGACTTTTTTTGCTTTCTTATCATTTATGTGGTCACTAGTGTAGCACTTTTAGTTTACTTCAAGAACTTTTCCTTTGCATTCACAACTTGGCTAACTGCTTCGTACAACAGGTCTAACTTTTGTCCTGTCTCAGCTTTCAACATTCCTTTCTCACTAAACTTAACCATTTCAAGCTTTTGATTTAAAGAGATGTGTGACTTTTCCTTTGACTTGAACACTTAAAGGCTATTGTGGGGTTGTTAATTGGCCTAATTTCAATAGTGTTGTGTCTCAGGGAATAGGGAGGTTTGAGGAGAAGGAGAGAGTCATGGGTGTGGCCAGTCAGTGGAGCAGTCAGAACATACACAACATTTATTGCTTAAGTTTGCCATCTTATATGCAATTATAATGGTAACATAAAAGATCACTGATCACAGGTCATCATAACACATATAATAATAATGCAAAAGTTTGAAATATTGGGAGCATTACCAAAATGTGACAGAGACACAAAGTGAGCACATTCTGTTGGAAAAAATGGTCCCAATAGATTTGCTCAACAAGGGTTGTCACAAATCTTCAATTTGTAAAAAAATGGCAGTATCTTCAAAGTGCAGTAAAGCAAAGCACAATAAAATGAGATGTGCTGGTAATAAATTCTGATAAACTTACCTGAAAATATTCTGTATTCTTGTAGTATGAAATAAGATAGAAGGTATCTTACTACATTACCAAAAAGGTCTGCTCTACCGTACGTGGCTATTGGACTTAGTCCCTCTGGCTTTTCTCTTAGATGGCAACACTCACTACCATATATTTTTCTGGAACCTTGGGTGTTTTTTAACCTTCCTGGTCATTAGTTATTGCTAAATCATCTCTGAGGACATTTCTAGATCTAAAATTTTATGACTGTAATATTCTTCAGTAAAATAATATACAATTCTCTTTTCTGCTGAATATGTGACCCTTAGTGTTCATAGAAGTTGCTGGCTTTTAGAAATAAACAGTTTGATTCAGGCTAAATGGAGAAAAAGTCACAGATTTAGTGATTCAAACTACAGAAGTAAATGACATGATTGAGGTTGGAGATGAGGTATTTACTGGAACATGCTTTGAGGAGACCTTTAATTCTCTATTGTAAGTTTGCACATGGAGTTTATAAAAGCATTTTCTAAATTTCTGCATCCCTTATATGAAGGCATTTTAGGCATAAGGAATGGTACAAACTAGAAATAGGAGAATACAGTGGTATGTTGAAGCACAGATAAGTCCTTTAGAGCCAAAGCTTCTCTGAGGATTTGAGCCTGTACCCATGCTGCCTTCAGCTCAGAGGCCATGATGTTCCCTCTTTCACATACTCATCTCCCCATGTTCCACCTTTGCCGTCCATCAGATGGCCTGTGCACATAATTAGAAAGTCTTGCTTCACATTATTGTTATACTTGGTTGCCTATTAAAATGTAAAAATAACATGTCATTTGTCTCTTTTCATGTATGCCTCCACATACTTCATGCTTTTTCTTTTTTCTTTTTTTTTTTTTTTTTGAGATGGATTCTCGCTCTGTTGCCCAGGCTGGAGTGCGGTGGTGCAATCACGGCTCACTGCAACCTCCACCACCTGGGTTCAAGTGATTCTCCTGCCTCAGCCTCCCAAGTAGCTGGGATTACAAGCGCCTGCCACCACGCCTAGCTAATTTTTGTATTTTTAGTAGAGACAGGGTTTCACCATGTTGGCCAGGCTGGTCTCGAACTCCTGACCTCAGGTGATCCATCTGCCTCGGCCTCCCAAAGTGCTGGGATTACAGGCGTGAGCCACCGCGCCCGGCCTATGCTTTTTCATACTTCACGTTTTGTGCTTCATCTTCCCTAAACCAGACTCCCAACACTTCTTCTTCTCAGATCTTTCCACTGTTTAACTGGAAACCCGCACTTTAACAACAGGCTACCTTACCTCCTCACTTCCTCACTGGATGTTCCCTTTACCTCCTTGCTTTACTGAGAAATGGCTCTCTGAACATAGGAACAGGCAAAGATTTCATGACAAAGATGGCAAAAACAATCACAACAAAAGCAAAAATGTACAAATGGGATCTAATTAAACTAAAAGCTTTTCCACAGCAAAAAAAAAAAAAAAAAAATTACCAACAGAGTAAACAAAGAACCTACAGAATGGGAGAAAATATTTGCAAACTATGGATTTGACAAAGTTCTAGTATCCAGAATTTTAAGGAACTTAAATCTACAAGAAAAAACAACCCCATTAAAAAGTAGGCAAAGAACATGAAGAGACACTTTTCAAAAGAACATGCATACGGCCAATAAGCATATGAAAAAAAGCTCAATATCACTGATCATTAGAGAAATGCAAATCTAAACCATAATGAGATACCATGTCATACCAGTCAGAATGGCTATTATTAAAAAGTCAAAAAATAACAGATCCTGGCAAGGGTGCAGAGCAAAGGAAATGCTTATACATAGCTGGTGGGAGTGTAAATTAGTTCAGCCATTGTGGAAGCAGTATGGAGATTCCTCAAAGAAATAAAAGCAGAAGTACCATTTGACCCAGCAATCCCATTAGTGGATATATACCCAAAAGAATATAAATTATTTTACCACAAAGATGCATGCACACATTTTTTTTGTTTATTGGAGCACTACTCACAATAGCAAAGACATGGAATCAACCTAAATGCCCATCAGTGATACACTGGATAAAGAAAATGTGGTACTGATACACCATGGAATATTATGCAGCCATAAAAAAGAGTGAGATCACATCCTTTGCAGGAACATGGATGGAGCTGGAGAGCTGGAGGCCATTATCCCTAGCAAACTAATGCAAGAACAGAAAACCAAGTACTGTGTGTTCTCACTTATAAGTGGGAGTTAAAATGATGAGAACACTTGAACACAAAGAGGGGCACAACAGACACTGGGGCCTAGTGTCCATGTGTTCTCATCACCACCCCAGAGGGTGGAGGATCAGAAGAGGAAGAGGAGCAGAACAAGTAACTATTGTGTACCAGGCTTAGCATCTAGGTGATAAAATAATCTGTACAACAAACCCCCATAACATGAATTTACCTATAGAACTACCTTGTATATGTACCCCTGAACCTAAAATAAAAGTTTAAAAACAACAACAAAATAATAAAATTAAAATCACAAGGGAAAAAGTTTCATGAATTTTGGAGACAAGGAGGATTTTTTAAATGCTTTTTATTAAAATATACTAAATAGCCACTTTAGTTATAAACCGAACTTCAAAATTTGTTGAATTTTAAGGAACTCAGAATCTCTTAGGTTTGCTATTTTTTTTGAAAAGCAGACAACACCTAAACATAGTGATTCTATTTTGCTTGTGATTCTTTTTTTTTTTGGTCCTTGCTATAAATGTTGTGTGATTTTTTGATTCTATAGATGCTTTTAGAGAAATAAATACTAAATAAAAATGGTTGGAAATACTGTTTTAATTATTTATCTCTCATTCTAAAAGAAAAAAGATTCATAGTATAAAATTTCTTCAAGTCCTTGGTATCATTTTGGAAACAGAGTTGTTTCTTTGAAAGATCAGCAGCAGAGATATAAATTTAGAAGTAATTTGTGTAAAACATGATTGTCAATTCCTTAAGAAGACAAGAAACTTGAGGGGATGAGAATATGGGGGAAAAGAATGGATGATTATGGCTGAATCTTCATCATTTCTACTGTCACAAAGAATAATTAAGAGGTAACAGTAAAATATAATAAAAGGAGTGGTAAGAGAAATGAAAGGACTGTCTAAATGTTACAAAATAATATGGAAGTAAAGTAGTAGGAGCAAAAGCCATATTGCTATGAAAGAAGTTAACACATCCATCTTCTTCGTTGTTACCTACAAAGAAGAATTGAATTTGAATGGTTCTTGGCCAGAGATAATTTGTGTCAACTTCGGATTACTTATTCTAGCATTCAAGACCATTCATCATCTGAAATTCAGCAACCAATACTGATCTTCTAAAGTCCTTGAAGCTAATATTTGTCATCTCCCCAGTACAAACTTTGAGACCTCTATTCTATCATTGGTTCTTTACTCCACTCTTTTCCTTATTTGAGTTCTACCAAGGGCCCATCTTAAGTCTCACCTAATTCATGTTGTTTTCCCTCAGTCCTTTAGTGATCAGTGTGCCACTGCTTTTGCTTTTAATCTGAACCTCCTTTAAGTTATTTGCTTACATCCTTTTGTCTTCCCAATGAGACTATTTTCCCAGTGAGCATTTCCAGGGCAAGATCCATGTTTCTTATTTGCTGCTTAATTCATTGAGCACTCTCAAGCTTCAATACATTATAAAAAATGGGTAATTTGGAATAAGTTATCCCTAAGGTACTCATCAGAGCTAAAGTGCACTAGATCTTGAATGTTCCATATGTAATAAATCCTATAAAAACATTTTACTATATCTCAGGAAAAATTAAAACATGCTTGGTTAACCTGGTTACAGTGAATTCTTGATCAGTTATAATCAAAGAAAGATTCATGTTCTCACCAATATCTGTTCATATATTTCCTATAATAAAAGGACCTGGTATGTTGAATGCATACAAATACTGTTTTGCTATTAATAGTTTTATGATAAAATTATAACACCCTTATTTTATCAGTGCAGTATTTTCAGATGTAAATATGCTATTCATTTCATTGACTTGATAACTCTGTTGGTGCTCTGTGGTAGCCAGTATATATAGCACTGGGCCCTGTGGTTCAGTGCAGACCTTACCACCTGCTAGCAGTATGAACTCAACCATGGCTTTTAATCTTACTGAGTTCATTTCTTTATCTGTTAAGTGGATAATACATTCTTCACTGGGTTGCTGACAGAATTGAGATAATCCCTGTAAAGTATGAAGCATAGTGCCTGACACATAGTGCTAGATATAGTGATTAGTCACTGTAATATGGTATTTGTCACATTTAACAATGCCACGGGAGCAAAATCTCTGCAGTTTTTACATGTTAATTTTATGGGTGTTATTTCTGTTAACTTTTAAAACCATTTGCACCTAGTATTTTATGTGGTATTTTGATCATAAAATAGTAGGTTCTTTTCATAGTTATGTAGAATTGAATTGGCTAACTTCTCAGTGTTCCACTACTTATAATTTTATAGTGACAAAGTGGGTTCAAATTGGAACTAATTATCCCTTACGTGGCTTTCTTTTATTATATGATGCAAGATGCTTGTATCACAAAATGAATTCAGAATTCCTCTCTCTAAATCTTTAGGAGTCAAATCAGAGTTAACTACCAGGTAGAGAAAAGTCATGAAACTAAAACTGATATATAGTTTCTAAGGGATACTTCTAAAATAAACTTTTGTAAATGATAAGGTATCCTGTACACCATTTTACTACCTATGCCTATTCCCAGATTTCACTTAAGAAACATTATAAATTTATAGCCTGACCACATTGTGTCCTAAACATTGAAGGCAAACCATATTGTAGGGATTTCATTTTAACCACAGAGAAATTCTAACAAGCGCAAAACCGCAGAACCAAGTAAGTAGTAGATCCGGGAATAGAATTGAGAAGGCTCTGATTCCTCCTCACATACTGAGACCACAGAGTTCTGCTCCTTCTGAACATAATGACAGCTCATCCAATGCTTCTAGACCACCAGTATATGATACATTGGGAGCAAACCATATGACAGCACTCTCCAAAGGCTCACAGTCTTTACTTTCTAAAGGCCTGCTTAGAAACCAGAGAAGTAGAAGAGCCATTACAAGCACCTCATGATTATTGACTGATATTTGTGTTTGGGGTACTTAGTTGCTATGATGAAGTTTGCTTCTCTGCTAGGTTATAAAAATGTAATAATTTGTAACCATAGAAATGATTTTACCAGTTTTTAGTAACATTTTTGTAATTATTAATACAGCTAGCTAAAGTGTTTCCTTGGAGGATAAACGGCATCATACATAAAAGGAGTAGAAAAAGTTTACGTTCCCTTCAGAATTGACCCCCCATCCCATTTTACTTTTAAATTGTTGCTTCTTTTTGTCTTTAGTGATTTACAGAGCACTGAAATGGTTGTTTTAAATATTTTGTCTTGCAATATCGTTGCTGTTTAGGGAATGAATTTGCCACCTTCTTCACTCTGTCATGCTAGAAGTAGACTTATTTTTATTACTATTTTATATGGATAAAAATTGCTTGTATTTCCCTACATTTTACTATTTTATTATACATAGGCCTTTTAAACTGGGATTATTTTTGTTCTTTCTGAAATATACCTTTTAGAAGTTTCTTTAGTAAAAGTCTTTTGATTTTTATTTATCTAAAGATGTCTTAATTTTATTTATTTTTTATTTATTTTTTTATTATTATACTTTAAGTTCTGGGGTACATGTGCTAAATGTGCAGGTTTGTTACATAGGTATACATGCGCCATGGTGGTTTGCTGCACCCATCAACCCATCATCTACATTAGGTATTTCTCCTAATGTTATCCCTCCCCTAGCCCCACACCCCCAAACAGGCCCCGGTGTGATGATGTTCCCCTCCCTGTGTCCATGTGTTCTCATTGTTCAGCTCCCACTTATGAGTGAGAACATGCTGTGTTTGGTTTTCTCTTCTTGTGTTAGTTTGCTGAGAATGATGGTTTCCAGCTTCATCCATGTCCTTGCAAAGGACATGAACTCATCCTTTTTTATGGCTGCATAGTATTTCACGGCATATATGTGCCTCATTTTCTTTATCCAGTCTATCACTGATGGGCATTTGGTTTGGTCCCAAGTCTTTGCTATTGTGAATAGTCCCACAATAAACATACATGTGCGTGTGTCTTTATAGTAGAATGGTTTATAATCCTTTGGGTATATACCCAGTAATGGGATTGCTGGGTCAAATGGGATTTCTGATTCTAGATCCTTGAGGAACCGTCACACTGTTTTCCACCATGGTTGAACTAATTAACACTCCCATTAACAGTGTAAAAGCGTTCCTATTTCTCCACATCCTTTGCAGCTTCTGTTGTTTCCTGACTTTTTAATGATCACCATTCTAACTGGTGTGAGACGGTATCTCACTGTGGTTTTGATTTGCATTTCTGTAATGACCAGTGATGATGAGCTTTTTTTTCATATGTTTATTGGCCACATAAACCTTACTGTTGAAGAATAGCTTTGTCTAGGATGACAGTTATTTTCTCTTAGCCCTTTGAGAACATTATTTACCTGCCTATGGCTTCTATTGTTACTATTAAATAATTTTTTAAAATCTGTAGATTTTTAAGTGGCTATAGAGTACTCATGTGCCAGTCATTGCATTGAGCACTTAACATTTATCACTTCATTTAATCCTGCTAACAGCCTTATGGTAATAGGCTGTTACTATTCTCATTTTTCTGATAGGAAATCAGAGGCACAGAACAGTTAAGGATGCACGGTATGTAAGGAGGACAAGATTGATCCCAGGAGCTCTGACTCCAGAGCCTATGCTTATAAACCAGTATGACAGCCAAGTAAATACTTAAAAAGAAGGATAAAAGATGATTAACAGTACTAAATATTAAAATTACTATAAAGCTGTAGGAATTAAAGCAGGGAGGTATTTTTTTCTTGATAGATTAGTAAGACTAATCATTACTGTTAGACTATCATTACTGAGCAATACCAATGTGGTATACCTGTGTGCCTGTTTCCTCATCTATTGGATGAGAATAATAATAGTGCTTACTTCATAGAGTGGTTGTGAAGAGTAAGTGTGTGTGTGTAATATCTTATAAAGGAAAACATATTTGTTGTCATCAGCAGTAGTAGAATAAAATGGGAAAGCACAGAAACAGACCCTACTATATATCAGAATATAGTATCTAATTATAGGTGATGAGGAGAAGGATGGACTGTTAAATAAATGGTGCTGACATAGTTGGGTGATTATATAGAAAACAGAAATTTTGGTATAGCTTGTTTTTTTAATCTATGGCCTAACAGTAAAAGTATACCAGATTTAGAGGTTAACTATTTTCTAAATCTATAATATAATTAGAGGAAATTTTCATTAATAGTTAAATAAATATATGTAGAGGAGACTGTTGTAAGCATTTCATCAAAGGAGAAACCATAAATAAAAGAATTGAAAGATCTAACCACATAAAAATTTAAAATTTATTTGGTGAAAACAATTAGGAACACTGTCTAAATAATTAATGGCACAGTGTACTAGATTAGAAAAGCCATTTGCAATATATATAACAGAAGGTACTATTCTTAATGAAATAATAAAGAAAACAACTATAACAATGGAAAAATGAACAAGTGAACATAGAATCTCCCAGAAAAAATTACAAATGACAAATAGACATAGAAAAAGATGCTAGGCTACACTAGTAATAAAACAAACAAACAAACAAAAAACGTTAACACCAGTTTTCACCTGTGAATTTTACAGTAATTTAAAAAGATAGTCTACCCAAGATAAATATGTAATTATATATAAATTAACATAATTGAAGGGAAATAACAAACTTACAGAGTTTTTTATTGTATCAGAAGAAAAAGAGAGAAAAATCATCTGCTTTGTGATATCAGGGGGTAGTGGTTTGAGACTGTCCTTGAATTATAATGTTGACAAGAAGTGAGAAATTAGTGCAAGGTTTAACATTCTCTGTTCTGAGAGGTTTGACATCAGAGGGAAGAAAGATAAGTAACTATAGCTTTGATTTTGTCATGGCCAAGGGAGGTGGTCTTAAAATCAGGTAGTCCTGAAAATGCTTGGGGACAGGAAAGGACCAGTAGTAAAGGAGAAATTGCAGCTGTTAGTATAGAGAGGTGCAGTTGATTCAGTTAGGTCCATGGGGAGGTTCGAAACAAGGAAGCAAGAATCATTCTCACAAGTTGAGGAAGAAAATAGACATAAAAGTACAAAATATTTTAATGTAGGGGAAAACTGAGAAGGTTAATAATGTTCTCTCTACCATTGATTTTAGTGAGGTAGTGACTGGTAAGAGACTTGGGAGACCAGGAGAATAAAAGGTTTGTAAAAGCTGCTGCTATGGTCTAATCATTACTATTACATGTTACGTTGTATATGTTGAAATGTAGTCACCATTGTGAAAGTATTAAGAGATGGGGCCTTTTGGGAAGTGATTAAGCCATGAGGACTCAACCTTCATGAATGTTTCATCAGTGCCCTAATAAAAGAGACTGAAGAAAGCATGTTTACCCATGAAGCTAGACGGGAGGAATGGAAGGGCCACAATGAAGATCTGGCCGTATCTTTCACTACACCCTTACATTTACTACCACATTATAGCCAAATAGGGCTTTTAAACCATTTTTTAAACAATTTTTCTTTTTTATCTTTCAGCTCAGTTATTTTGCTTCTATTTTTCCTCAGCTTATAAAACCCCACATCTCTACTTTTGAAATTATAACTATTCATTAAAACTCGTTCATTTGTTGCTTTGTCTTTGATCACAGCCAGAAGTGATATCTATCTTCGGAACACCTATCATTCCTTGTTTATACCACTTTTATATTACTTCTTATTTACTTCAAAAATTTTTGTTTCCACTAAAAGTTAAATTCCTTAAGGAAAGGGAACATATTTTGGTCATTTTATGTTATTTCACAGTGCCAACACAATGCCTTTTCTGTAGTCAGCATGTAAATATTTGCTGAACAGATATTATATTACATATTTATACTTAAGCAGCAAGATAGAACCTTTAAAAGGAAATAATGTTTTCCTATTTCTATGGGCTAATTTTAAAAGTTTATTTTTAAATAGCATTTTATTAACCTCTTCTAATATGAATGTTTTTGTCCCATAGGTATGGCATGAATTGCCTTATTCAGTTTGAAGATTTTGCCAATGTGAATGCATTTCGTCTCCTGAACAAGTATCGAAACCAGTATTGCACATTCAATGATGATATTCAAGGTAACAAAATTTTCACTGCATATGGATCAATAACATGTCTGAAATTAGTTCATAATTGTAATAATGATTCAAATTCAATCAATATATACTGAGTACCTTTTAAATTCCAGGAATTATGCTTGCTGATGTCACATACTATTTCTCATCTAGTTGCATATATTTGAGAAAAGTACTCTCTGACTGTATAATATACCATATTATCAATTAGCTAGAAAATGAGCTCCAAGAAATCTGACAAAATCCCTGGTGATTATGGCTAAACAAAGAATGAAATGTATGAGACCATATTATTCAATGCTTAAAAGTAAAAGTATACATACTTCTCTCTTCAGCCTATCTTAGCCACAATTTTTATGCTTTACCCCAGTAGGAGCTGCCTTTATGTAGTATGCTGCATTTTGCTATTTGTCTTTGATTGTAGATGCTTGGCTACCTGCTTTTGTCTAAGCTGCCAAATTTTTTCCTCTTTAAGCTCTAGTTTTTTAATCCTCTCCAGATCCATGCAGAGCCCACCCCCCAATACACATGTCTTACTATGAGAATCTTACAGGTTCTGTTTCATTATTGGAAGGTAGGGGGAAGCACAGGTAGATGAGCTGAGGAGAAATACCGTAAAGAGGTTTTGCAACTTGAAATGAGATTGCAAATGGCTTCCATTTCACTAATTCCAATGAATGTTTTTCAGTGTTTATCTTATTTGAATTTTCAGCAGCATTCCACATTGTTGACTCACCTTGTTTCTTGAAATACTCTTTTCTGTTGGCTTCCATGTCAGGGCATTCTGCTGGTTTCTTCTTACCTCTTTGGCTGTTTGCCTTTTCTTTTTCTTCTGCAGGTTCATCCTTTCCTGTCTAGCTATTAAATGACAAAACACTTCATTTTTAAATGACCTGCTCAGTGCCAGCTCCTTTTCTTTTTGTTCTGCTGTATGTTCTTAGGTATATACTCAGGTCCACACATTCAATT
Organism: Homo sapiens; assembly: GCF_000001405.40. NCBI lineage: Eukaryota > Metazoa > Chordata > Mammalia > Primates > Hominidae > Homo > Homo sapiens. The sequence continues at coordinate 83,252,662 of NC_000006.12, read as the reverse complement.
AGCAAATTTATATTGCCAGCCCAGACTTCTTTGTATTCCAGGTCTATACACCCATGTCTTTATTTAAAATCTCCACTTAGGCGCCTATAATCCCAGCACTTTGGGAGGCCAAGGCAGGCAGATCGCTTGAGCGTAGGAGTTTGAGACCATCCTGGGCAACATGGCAAAACTCTGTCTCTACAAGAAAATACAAAAATTAGCCTGGCATGATGGTGTGTGCCTGTAGTCCCAGATACTCGGGAGGCTGAGGTGGGAAGGATTGAATCCCTTGAGCCCAGGAGGTCGAAGTTGCAGTAAGCCATGATCATGCCACTGCACTCCAGCCTGTGTGACAGAGCCAGGCCCTGTCTCAAACAACAACAACAACAGCAACAACAACAACAGCAACAACAACAACAACAACAACAGAACTCCTGCTGGATATCTCAAAGTTATCTCCTACTTAACCTACTCCCAAATCAAACTCTTATTTCCCCACCAAACCTGACCTTCTTCCAGTGTTCTCCTTTTCAGTGAATTGCTGATAGCTCCCTCTTCAGCTTTCCCACCAAATACAGTCTATCACTAAACCTTTTGCATTTCCTATCATCAAAATCTGTGTTTTTCATAGATTTCTCCTCATCACCCCAGTGCAAATTGCTATCATCTAAGTAATCTATCCACATTTACTCTTGCTTCCCCTTCTTATATGTTTTCTGCATAATATCTCTACAATTTGTCAGATGTAGATCTAAGTGCTCAGGCTTTTGTGGTGAACAGAGATAGTTTTCTTTTTGCTATAGAAATCTGATCTTATTAGTTCTTCCTCAAAATAATTTGATGGATTTTCATTGTACTTAGGATAAAGATGAAAATCCTGAATGTGGCCCAAAATGCATGGTCTGATGCATGTTTCTCTCGTCACTCATTCTAGCCACACTTCCTTTCTCAGGTCCTGAAATGAGCCAGGTTTCTTCTTATTTAAGGGTCTAGCCAAATGTTGATCTCTCATCCTAGAATACCCTTTCTTCCCCTCTTCAAATCTCATCTCAATTATGACATTCATCATTAAACCCTTCTGAATTTCTGGGTCTGGGTCAATTCCACCTCATAGGCTGCCATAGCACTAATTATTTTTCTTTTTTCCTTATCATAGTAGCATTTTTATATATTTATGCAATTTTTTTTTTGAGACAGAGTCTTGCTCTATTGCCCGGGCTGGAGTGCAGTGGTGCAATCTTGGCTCACTGCAACCTCTGCTCCTGGGTTCCAGTGATTCTCTTGCCTCAGCCTGCTGAGTAGCTGGGATTACAGGTGCGTGCCACTGCGCCCGGCTAATTTTTGTATTTTTAGTAGAGATGGGTTTTTGCCACGTTGGTCAGGCTGGTCTCGAGCTCCTGAATGCAAGTGATCTGCCCGCCTCAGCCTCCTAAAGTGGTGGGATTACAGGCATAAGCCACCATGCCTGACCTATTTATGCAATTAAAAAAATCAGTGTCTCCATTCCAACTAAATTTTAAGCTCTGCGAAGGCAGAGAACGTGGGTATTTTGTTCATCACTGTATCATTAACTTGTCATTAACATAGCCCCAAGCCCACAGAAAGTATTTAACGTTAGTGGAACAAATCAATGTAATATGTCTAAAGCAGGGGTTGGCAAAGTACAGTCTGTGAGCCAAATCTAGCCACTGCCTGTTTTTGTAAAGTTATTGCAACAAAGCCATGCCCACTTGTTTATATATTGTTTACAGTGGCTTTCATGCCATAATAGCAGAATTAAGTCTGGGATAGACACTGAATGGCACACAAGCCCTAAAATATTTACTATATTGCCTTCTATGAAAAGAGTTTGCCAACCTTTGGTCTAAAGAATTAAACATGAAAGAGTTGGTGAGTGTTGAACTAAGGAGTTGGTAGGTTGACTTGGGTAGGTTTGCATTTGGAAAGATTATTCACACTGTCTTCAGTCTAGAGAACAGGATTGAATTGGAGCACATTTGAAGGCTGTTGCTGAAATCTATGATGGTGGCATCTTGCTCTAAGAAAGTGCCAGTGAAGTTAGAAGTAGACAGGTAATTAGTTGTTGATAGTGAAGGTGAGAAAGGAGCCAAGGATGGAGCCTAGGCTTTTGCCTTGAAGAACTAGAAGAATGGCAGGGCAGTAACTGAGATGGATAAAGTGAGAGACACTGTTAAATGCAGATGTTAAGAGCTTGGACTATAGAGTCACACTGATTTGCTTTGCCCTTTACTAGCTATGGACTTTGACCAATTTACATAACCTCTCTGTGTTTAATTTCTTACCTGTGGCAGAAAGTTATATAACAGCTTCTATTTTTTTTCTTTGAAACAATAGATCAGAAGTTTGAGGAAAACAAAAAATATATGTAATAGCCTTAAAGAAATATTTATTTCTTTGAAATAAATGTTATTTTCAAGGAAAATAACAATCCTGTTATTTTCTTTGAAATAACAGGATTGGAAGTTTGAGGAAAATAAAAAAAAACAGATCTGAAAGAACTATTGTAGAGAACTAGAGAGCCAACGGACTATGAAACATAAAAGGATTCAGTCAGCAGACATTGCAGATTCAGTTGAAATTAATACTGTAAATGTATCATGATGCTGGCTGAGCAGCTTGAGTTCAACAGTTCAGGAATAGGCAAGGCCACAATGAACAGCTGGATTCATCTATGTTAGATATTTTATTGTATTTGTGCAAAGAAAAGACAATGGGATAAAAGCTAAGGTTAAAATGATGACCATGACCCTAAGCTGGATAGGGAAGAAAGTGAAGATAAAAAGACTGTTAGATGGGGGAAAGGCCTAGACATTCCAATGGGGTTGAAGAATGGGTATAATAAGGATGATTGAATTAGAGGCCTGGGAAGATAGGAGACTGTACACCATGAGTAAAGTATTCTAATGTAGTACTTTCAAGGATTGGTTCCGAGTGATGGCAAGCACAAGATGAAATTTAGAAGGAAGTCAGTCGAAGTGGAATAAAGGTGAATGCTATTGGAAATGAGGTGATCAAAGAAAGTTTAAATGTAAAATGGGGATGATAATGTTTCTCTCATGGAGTTTACATTGAGGACAAAATAATTATTTGTAGAAATACCCTATAAACTGAAAGGTACTTTATAAATAATAATTTTTAGGCCAGGCACAGTGGCTCACACCTGTAATCCCAGCACTTTGGGAGGCCAAGGCGGGCGGATCACGAAGTCAGGAGTTCGAGACCAGCCTGGCCAATATGGTGAAGCCCCATCTCTACTAGAAATACAAAAATTAGCCCAGCATGGTGGCGCATACCCTTAGTCCCAGCTACTTGGGAGGCCCTTGAACCCGGGTGGTGGAGGTTTCAGCAAGCTGAGATCATGCCATGCATTCTAGCCTGGGCAACAGAGTGAGACTCCATCTCAAAAAAAAAGAAAAAAGAAAAAAAGTATATATATAATAATTTTTAAAATTCACCATGCTTAAGTATTTAGTATGGCAGCTATATACATTTAACGGCTTTAAAAATCCTGAGTCTTTATTTCTTTTGAGATACATGAAAGTAATTGGTCAAATCTTTCTTTTCCCCAAATTCTTTGTGATGTTAATTACATTGTTCCTTCAGTGCCAATTTTCATGACAAAGATGCCTAAGTTAAGTAAACTGTGTTTTATTCTTTTTTATATTAAATTTCTTTTTGAGTATTCATGAAAAGCAAATATAGGATTTCAGAAATGGAATAATCTGGAAATTTCCAGGTGTTAAGAATTGTGAGCTATAGAAAGATGGCCTGATTTTAATATTATTTGCATTAGTCTATTTTCACACTGCTACAGAGAACTTTCCTGAGACTGGGTAATTTATGTAAAGGAAAGAGGTTTAATTGACTCACACTTTCTTATGGCTGAGGAGGCCTCAGGAAACTTACAATCATCGTAGAAGGCAAAGAGGAAGCAAGCACCTTCTTCACAAGGCAGCAGGAGAGAGATGAGTGAAGGAAGAACTTCCAAACACTTATAAAACCATTAGGTCTTGTGAGAACTCACTCACTATCACAAGAACATCATGGGTAAAACCGCCCCCATGATCCAATTACCTCCCTCCCTCAACACGTGGGAACTACAGGTCCCTCCCTCAACATGTGGAGATTACAACTTGAGATGAGATTTGGGTGGGGACACAGAGCTAAACTGTATCAGTATTGCATACTAACTTGAAGATACCATGTATAATAATGATAAAGTGCCTTTGGCGCTACAAACACATGCTTTGTAGACCAGTGTTTTTAAGTCACTTGTCAATTCATTTTGCAGTGTTCTCTAAAACAGCCACCAGTAAACTGTTGAACAAAACTACAGAATTCCTTTAATATTGTATATCTTCTGATTTTGTGGGTCTGATGTAAATGTCCATACAAAGTTAAAGACCAGTATTAAATAATTTCTAATTATCATGCAGAGTTAATAGGAAACAGAGTTCAGTTTAAGAAAACGAATGCTAAATTCAAATTATCAAACAAAACAAGCAATTAGGGTCAGGATTTCTATCCATCAAGGCCAGGAATTTAGAGGTCAGGCTCTGGGGTACATCAGAATTAAAGGCGGGGGCACAGGATATCAGAAGCAAGAGCCAAGCCTAGGTCAAGAGCAGTGCAAGAAGGAGCCCTGAGGATCCACAGCATAATATGCCCCCCAAGCAGGTCACCACAATGGAGGCATTAAATAACTAGTTTTTCACGACTAATTCGGCCTAAAATATAATCTGCACATATATAGTCTTTTATTTCCATATAGGAATTTTAAAGTATTACTGCCTTAGGAAATAAAAAGATAGGTTTGAGAAAAATATGTCTAATCTCTGACTAGAGAAAACCTTTGGCAAGTTATTGGGGTTCTGACTAGAAATGACCAAACCGTTTTGTGCACATCATGCAAAATCGTGCCCTTATGACACAGTTTCTCCGTATGGTTCTTTTTTACCTTTTTAACCTTATGTTCTTACCATTATGCCCACAGATGTAATACTTTCCTCTCTGCAGGCACAGAAATTGCATTCCAGTGCCAACAAAAATAATTATCTAACCATTACAGCCTTACCATGTAAATAAATGTGTTTACACTGGACCCTTGGGTGGACTCTTTTCTTTTTTTTTTTAAACACATTTGTTATTTAAAGATATGATTTATGAAAAGTATTTGATTAAAATTGTATATACTTAGAATTCTACTGTTAGTTATCTAAAATAACCTTAAATAATATAGATTTTGATTCAAAATGTATTTTAGACATGAATGCATTCTCATTATAAATTATTTTAAACTGGAAAAAATGCATAAATTGAATCTATTAAGAAATTGGCCACATAATTATATAATCTGAAGACAAACAGAATTCAGCAAATTCAGACTGAAAAAAATAAGGTTTCAACCTCTAGTCATTTAAAATAAGCTACAAAAAGAAATTTTTCTTCTCATAGTAGCCTCTGGAATAGTTACTCTGTAACATGACACTCTAAATATTGCACATAGAAATTTTTGCCATAATAAACTAGTTTGACTTGTTAGTATTTTTAAAAAATACATTTAATATATTAGGCTACATTTTTGTAAATATAGTGAAATCTTATACTGAATGCTTTGATAATTGAAAAGATCAAAATCAGACATGGTAGAACAGATACTCACAAAAGGATACCATGGCCAGTAAACATATTTTTGGAGTTTAGCCTTACTATTAAGTTTTTAAAAATTTATTAAACAGCAAGTGAGAAACTGATTTTCTCTATCAAGCTAGCAAAGATTTTTGTTATAAACCCAACTGTTAATGATGCTTTTAGAAAATGAGCACTCGCATCCATTGATGGTAGAAGTATAGATTGATACAACTTTTGGGGAGCCAGTTTGTGTCAAAAACCTAAAAACATGCAGATCTTTACCTGATACAATTCTTTTGTACAAATTTATCCTGAAGAAATAGTGATGTGCAAATTAAATATACAAAGTATTGCAATGCTATTTTTAATAGCAAATAATCAGAATCCTCTAAATATCTAAAAATAGAGGTTTGGTTAAATGAATTACCATATACCCATAGTATGGAATATTATAACTGTACAAAATAATATTTTAAAATATATTATAGACATGGTTAGGTATTCACAAGATATTTTTAAGAGATAAAAAGCATGTTAAAATAGTAGGTATGGAATGAGGTATTTTTTGTAAATTAAAATTTTTTGAATATACACATATCAGTATGAGACAAAAATTTGTTAAGACTAAACATCAGAATGTTGAAAGTGGTTACAGCTACACAGTGGGATTACAGGTGACTTTTTTTGTCTTTATCTGGATTTTAACTGTTTAATGCATTTACCACAATGAGCATGTATTTATGAATAACTATTTCAACTGAAAAAGATCAAACATGGCACAATTGTTGAGCCATAATATCAAAAATACCTAATATATAATCTTTCATTAGCAAGATAACTTAGTACCAAAGCTTTTTACTTCCATTAGTATTCTTTCCAAAGTGGTATTGTTGTTGATGTTGTAATTTGGAATTTGCCATCATCTCATATCAATGACATTCTTCATTATGTCACCACTTATTTGACAAAATACTAGACATAACTGATCGTAGCAGACAAGTTATACAAAGAAAGAAAGAAAATAGCATTCTGACTATACTTCTTCCTCTTACTCATAGATTTTTCTGAGTTAATACTCATTTAAGACTTACAATTAATATTCTGAAACATTTTTATGTGTAGATCCTATATTTATATGTAGATCCTGTAAGATTTCTTTATATTAAAATGCAAAAAAAATTTAGACTATCTTATTGTATTAAAATGTGTTTTGTCAAATACTTATGAGAAAAAGCTCATGAATTAGAATGTAAGAATATTTTGTTGAATATTTTTATTACAAAAGAATGTAACATGGAAGAATTTTAAAATATTACTTTGCCTCGGCCAGGCACGGTGGCTCACGCCTGTAATCCCAGCACTTTGGGATGCCAAGGCAGGTGGATCACCTAAGGTCACGAGTTCAAGACCAGCCTGACCAACATGGAGAAACCCCGTCTCTACTAGAAATACAAAAAAATTAGCCGGGCATGATGGTGCATGCCTGTAATCCTAGCTATTTGGGACGCTGAGGCAGGAGAATCGCTTGAACCTGGGAGGCAGAGGTTGCAGTGAGCCGAGATCATGCCATTGCACTCCAGCATGAACAACAAGAGCGAAACCCTGTCTCAAAAAAAAATTATTTTGCCTCACTAATAATGACACCCCACTACTTTGGGAAAGAAGTTCATGGTTAAAAGATGGCTTGTTTTCCTGTAACTTCAACCTCTTTCTCTCTATTGCCTTCTTCCCTTTAGTCTATGACCATAGACCATATTTAAATTGATTTCAGTCTTAAAATTATTGCCTCCATTCTATTTTCTTCCCTCCATCAGTCAATGTCTTTCTTCCCTTAAAAACATAAAAATAAGATATTTGCCTCAACCTTGTTTCCCTCCCACCCCATCTCCATCCTCACCCCATTCTTCCTTTTCTTATCTAAGCTTCTCCAAGGAGTGTTCCACACCTGCTCTCCCTGTTCTTCACCTTTTATTTCTTCCTCGGAATACTGCCATCCATCTTCAGCCCTGACATGCATGCCACTAAAAACGGCTCTTTGATAGGTCACAGGTGATGTAATTGCAAGATCCAATAGCAATTTTTCATTTTCTTTCTTGATTGACCTTTGTTCTTTGTCATTACTTCTCTCTGTTTTCAGGTAAGTATATGCTCTTTTACCTCTTTGATAATTTTTTCTCTGTCAATGTGTGTTATAACAAAAATGTGTTATAACACATTTTTCTGCCCTCTGTTCCTTAAATGTTCATGTTCATTTAGGTTCTCTCCTTTAGCCACTCACTCTGAATAATGTTATCATTCCACACGACCTCAATACATGTTTTAAAATTCTAAATATCTGTGGCCCAGATTGTATGTAACTATTTCTTGATACTGCTATCAGAATAACACATGACAGGAAGCACAAGCTTTGTGCAAAAGCTCAAAATTGAACCTCCTAATTTGTTTGCATACCCCCAGCCTCAAATTTCTCAAAACCATCACCCACCACTATTCTCTGAATTTAAAATCTTTAAACACCATCTGCTACCTATAATATATTATAATTATATATACCCATATATACCTATAGGTACTATTAGTATATAGTAGAAGGCCCTACATGATCTGACCCCAAAACTTCTCTAGCCTCATATCACTTTGCATTCTAGTAAGGTGTGTTTGCTTCAGCAACACTGCACACAGTTTCACATGTGTTTTATGTTCTCTCTCCTTTTATATTTTAGAAGGCTGGGCATGCAGATGGAGGTAGTATTCTGAGTCTTTACTGTAAGGTGACTTGGTTGGGCCATTTCCTTAGGTAATCTTCCTTTTCAGTCTCTTTGGATTCCTTCTCTTACACTGCTGAGATTCCACAGAAAAGATTTTTCCAATCTCGCTCCTGATACTACCTTTCTGCCAGTGCTCTTTAAGTAGGAGAAGATTGGAGGGTCTCCGTATTGAGTATGTAAACTTCCAGTTAAGCTTGTTTCTAGTATGGAATCCTTGCCCCCAATTATGCCTGGTGTCTTATACTCCAATGACCCTTTCCAGAAAATGAGCCTCAAGTTTTCTTTCAAACTTCCAGAGTGTGGGGAAGTTGACTATCTTCTAGAAGGAGAGGGGGATGCAGATCTGGGTTTTAACTGATATATATATATATATATACACACACACATATAGAGAGAGAGTTATATATAATTATATATATAATTTATATTATATATTATATTATATAAATATAATATATAATATATAAATATAAGATAATTATATATAAATATAATATAATTATATAATATATAATATAATATAATTATATATTATATAAATACACAATTATTTAATAGATCAATATAATATAATTATAATAGATTATATCGATATAATGTAATTATAATAGATTATATCGATATAATGTAATTATAATAGATTATATCGATATAATGTAATTATAATAGATTATATCGATATAATGTAATTATAATAGATTATATCGATATAATATAATTATAATAGATTATATCGATATAATATAATTATAATAGATTATATCAATATAACATAATTATAATAGATTATATAAATATATAAATATAATCTAATTATATAATATATTATATAAATATATAAATATAATCTAATTATATAATATATTATATAAATATATAAATATAATCTATTATATAATATATTATATAAATATATAAATATAATATAATTATATTTTATATAATTACATATAATTGTATATTATATATAATTAAATATATATATTTAATTTTGAGACAGTATCTCTCTCTGTTGCCCAGGCTGGACTGGAGTGCAGCAGAGCAGTCATAGCTCACTGCAGCCTCAAACTCCTGGGTTCAAGTGATCCTACTGCCTCAGCCTCCCAAGTAGCTAGGAATACAGGCATGTACCATCACACCCAGCTAATTTAAAAAAAAAATTTTTGGGGGGTAGAGATGGGTATCTCTATGTTGCCCAGGCTGGTCTCAAATCCCTGGGTTCAAGCAACCCTCCTGCCTTGGCCTCCCAAAGTCCTGAGGTTACAGGACATAAACCTCTGCACCCTAGCCTTCTTAACAGACTTTTGACCAGCTTCCTGTTTTCACCCTCTCCTTTATCCCTACTTCCAGAGGCACTTGGTGCCTCCTATACCTGGGTTTTTGAGAGTTTTGCTGTATCAGTCTGGTCACTTATTCCCCACTGCCGGCCAACAATTCAGCTTTCTCAAGTCTGCTAAGTCAGTTGCCATTTGCTCATTTAGAAGCCTGTCAGCTTCTAAAATGTTGTTGCTACCCTTTTTTGCTACCCTTTTCTCTTAGTCTTTTTAATTTTTTTCTTTTCGAAAAAGCAGTTTTCTATTGTTTTAGTAGAGTTTGTTGGGGAAAGGAATACTAATTGTGTGTTCAACTTCCATTTCTAACAGGGAGTCATCCCTGCCTTCATGTCTTTGCATATGCTTTTCCTACTCATTGTGTCCTCTTGTCTGAGGTTCTGAAACTCTTACATTAATCAATACTGTGTTCAGGGAGTATGCACTCTAAATGCCTTGACCTTTGCCTAGATAAATTCACCCATCCCCCTGCTACTTCTAGTTCTTGTATTTTACCCAATCTATTTAGTAGCACATGAGGATTATAATTATTTGATTACATATTGATCTACCTTACTAAAATATATATGGTAATTTTAACCAGATTTAACAAATTATTGCATTAGTAGAGGCTATTCTTTGATAAAAGGTGAGACTTTTATTTAACAACCATATGTTGTTATGTTTATGTTTATGTTAAAGTCGTAAGTTTCTAAAATGTTAAGAAAAATTCGATCTGTTTAGTATCTTGCTAACAGTGTTAAGTCCTCTTTAAAACTGATAGTACAGGCGGGGCTCAGTGGCTCATCACGCCTGTAATCCCAGCACTTTGGGAGGCTGAGGCGGGCAGATCACCTGAGGTCAGGGGTGTGAGACCAGTCTGGCCAACATGGCAAAACGCTGTCTCTACTAAAAATACAAAAATTAGCCAGGCATGGTGGTGGGTGCCTGTAATCCTAGTTACTTGGGAGGTTGAGGCAGAAGAATCGCTTGAACCTGGGAGATGGACGCTGCAGTGAGCCAGGATCGCGCCACTGCACTCCAGCATGGGTGACAGAGTAAGACGCTGACTCAAAATAAAAAAATAAAAATAAATACAAAAACTGATAGTATGAAGATAAACCTAAGCACGAATTCTGTCTGACTTATAAAAAGCTTAGTTTTAAATCTTAAAGTAAAACTTATTATGGAATAATTTATTGTAAAAATTTACAGTTTTATGAAATTTCAATTTTCTACATGTATTCCCTTCTCTGCAATGAAATTTAAATCAAGGTAGTACCAGGCCATGTACAAGAATCATGTTCAAGTTAAATTTTTGATAGTGCTAAAAATATCTTTCTGATTTTATTAATTAATTCTATAAATGGAAGATTAGTGTTTTCATTGTGTTCTCAGGAAATATTATGAAATATATCTTTAAATATAATGTATGAACTTAACACATTTTGAGTTTTAAGTGATCTAGCATAACCATATGAAATTAAGGTACCAAATAGGATATTTTAGAATATTTTCTGTCTATCTGACCGTAAGTGTCCAATTCGATGTAAATAAAAATAATAATACAAATACAGTGATTGCTGATGATACTTCAACTTTGATGCTTCAATTGGTTAAATCTTATAGAAACCCTTAAAATCATAGAATCTCAGAGTTGGAAGGGAGCTTAGAGTTCCCCAGATCCAAACTTCTGGGCAGTTTACTTCAAAAGAACCCAAGAGAGAGATAGCTTGAGCTACTATTTCTGAATAACTTCTTATTTAGTAAGTGGATATCTATACCTCTCTTTCTAGTTTAAATTCTCTTTCATCTGTTTAATGACTCTAGTGAATATATCTTGCATGGGGAAAATATCATTCTAATCATGTCATGATATATTCTCTACATACACTAGCCATATTTTTTGCATAGATTTTCACCTTAAGTAATGTATAGAAGAGTGGCTTTTTCATAATATATGACTTAGCACAGTTCATAATTATTGCAATAGTGACTCTAAATTGCATGCATTTTATTTTTGTAGTACACATTGTGATCCTAAAGAAAAGGCACATATGGGACTAACAGGCCTTCAACAATTATTGTTTATTGTGTTCTTATTTGCGGCTACCTAATTATACAAGAAAGAAACTAAAAGATTGAATAGAACAAATTTACTGATTGTGAAATGTTGATTACCTTTGATACTTGACATACATAACGCTTCATCGTTGTGTCATTCATCAAACCTAGTCTAATCTTTGTTTTAACCATAATGTTAAATAAGGGTATTTAACGTTTAGCTAGGCTTTACTACCCAGCTGAGTGATGTAGGAAACATTATAGGTAGAATGTTACCTTGGAGGAGTAAAGTATAGATACAGCTGGAAAGTGTTGCAAGAAGCTGCTGCTTTATTAGCCATAAAGAAGTTGAGCTGTGTAATTACACTTAAAGCAAGAGAACTGCTTTGTGATCTGTGAATGCTTATATGGTAAAGTAATATAATTGGAACTGGTGAAGTTTTTATGCCTATGAGACATGATGAGGAAAATATAATTTTTATCTTAAGAAATTTTGCATTAGTTTTGTCTAGTACCTTTGGGATCCACCAGTGATTTTCATAGGTAAAAAGTCTATTAAATGATACAATATAATTAGATTTTACTTGCCATTAACATTAAATTCCAAATGTATCAAAAATATTATGAGCACCAATACCATCATCAGCAAGAATTTACTATTTGTGTCCTCCTATCTCAGGTTCTGAAACTCTTACATTAAGAGTTTCTTTGTGTGAAGAAGAGTTTCTTTGTGTGAAGCCTACTTTGTGTGAAGAAGAGTTTCTTTGTGTGAAGCCTTCTTTGTGTGAAGGGGATCATTAATAGATTTCAAAACCCCAAGAGTAATTAGACGGAAGAATCTAATAGCACTTATTACTCTTTTATATCATAAAGTAAAACTACTTTACAGATGAGGAAACTATCTATTTGATGTACACAATAATTTCTCTAAATTCTTTCAGCTAGTCAGTGGGTTGTTGAGCTAGAATCTGAGGAATCCAGATCCCATCCTTTCATTGATTATGTCACTAAGATAAGTCACAGAATCTTCTTTTAGGGAAGTTTTCAAGAATAGTAGTAAGCTGCTATCTTAAAATATTGATGTCAGTAGCCTGGGAATTTTACCACGTATGCAAGCATGGGATAAGACAACCACAGGTTTCTCTTCTGTACCAGTTAACCTGTTTTATGATTATTTCAAGTTGTGAATAAAAGCTTGAAAATTGGCAGGATCTGTTTGAGGATTACTCAAGGATATTTATTACTTGTTTCAGGAACAGCATCTGTTGCAGTTGCAGGTCTCCTTGCAGCTCTTCGAATAACCAAGAACAAACTGTCTGATCAAACAATACTATTCCAAGGAGCTGGAGAGGTATTTGCCTTGTGTAATACTTATGTTCTCCTAAACTAACATATAATTAGTGTTAATTGCTCATTAACTCAAGATTTGACGTATTCTTTCAAATTTTTAGTATATTATGACTGTAGGCTTTATGGAAGATTCCCAAATTAAGTACTGAGACATATTAATTATTCATAGGATAATTTAGTACAGAAGTAATGAGATATTTTTCACAGTTTTAAATTTGTGGTATTATCAAATGTTGCCGTAGGTATTTGTTATGCATATCTAAGGTGCCATACAGGAAAACTTTCCAATGTATGTGTATATATGCAAGCTTTTATGTATTTAAGCTGGTTTATCTGATACTGGCTTTTAGTATACTCCAGTGTTACAAAAACAAGTTTTTAAAATTTGACTCACAATTCAGTGTGTATGTATGTAACTACATATGTGTTTTTAAGAAAAAACATTTTGAATTAGGGATTTGTAGTATATTATTACTGTTCACATGCAAAAATCCCAAAATATTTTAAATTGTTGGAAAGAGACTGCAGCAAAACCAAATTATGCTTTGTTATTACTTGCTTAATTTAATAATCTGAAAGAAGAAAACTAGACTCCTGTAATAATAATTCATCCCCAAACTAGAAATTAAAATGTTAGTTGAGTTTGAGTTTCTTATGGGAAAACTGCCAAAATCTCTTTAGAATTATAGAATGTAAGTAATAGAGAAATATTTTGTGGCTATATATATATATATATATATTTTTCAAGAAACTTTAAATTTTCAAATTGAATATGATTATGAACACAACAATATGTTACACTGGTAGATCATTGTTTATGTCATATTGGTTTTCATTTTGCTTGTTTTTAGATAAAACAAAATATGTGAAGTTAGAATTCAAATGCCACGATACAAATATGTGAAAGTATTCAGAATGTAAATCACAAATTCACTTTCACATTGAAATAAAAATCAAGGCTAAATGACAGCTCATTAACATTTGAGTTCTCTATTTTGCGGATTATTACATGCTGTATTTAACTTTAGTAAACCTCTTTGAATTTTCAAAGGGTTTGATGAATGGCACAGGCCAGTTCTTGATACTCAACTAGGCAGAAGAATTCATGGTTGGATGATTCAAAACTAGCACTTGTTTGTCCCTGGAAAGATATTGGAAATTTCACAGATAATTATAAAATTTACCAAATACCAAGGAAGTTGATTCCTTTAATCTTGCAATAAATTTCACAGCACTTTTGGTATCCAAATTAGAAGAGTAAGTAGATGCTTGGAAACACAGATCTTTTATTTTTCATCAGTTTCATTCTGTTGCCTAATTGGTCAAGTTCCCATCCAAATGACCAAGCTTCTTTCTTCAAATTCAATTAGAGTAGCTTGAACCTAACAATAAACAATACAGTTCAATGAGCAAGGTTGACCAGTTCATTATTTTGAATTCAGTATTTTTTCTTGGAGCAAATCTTGGTTGTATTAACAGGATTAAATACACTGACAATCAAGGATATCACCAGTTTATCTGTGGCCAAATAGCAAGCCACATAATAGTGGCTCTGTTGTAGTAAAAAGGGTAAATAATTGTTATTTGGCTTAACCTAAATGTGACAAAAATATTTTGTTCCCACTAACAAAGACAAAATGGGGTGAAATGTAACCCTTAATAAGATATCATGTAGAACAACTTTAAAATTTTTTCTTTTCATCACTGAGGCTGCCCTAGGGATTGCACACCTGATTGTGATGGCCTTGGAAAAAGAAGGTTTACCAAAAGAGAAAGCCATCAAAAAGATATGGCTGGTTGATTCAAAAGGATTAATAGTTAAGGTAAGAATTTGTCATTTTTAACCAGAATAAAGATAACTATGCCATTCTGGATGGCCATCTCAAAGACAACTCTGTTTCTACCACCTCCCTTTACACTATATTAAAAGAGTAGCCATTAAATACAAATGATCATGTCATACAGAATACTGATACTCTTCTGAATAAAGAAAACTATGACTTAGGAACAGATTCCATCTGCAATGTGAGTCGGCTCCTTACACCCCTTTGAATTGACAGTCCATTTGAATTAGTTTAGTTTTCTTTCTTTCTTTCCTTCCTTTCTTTCCTTTCTCTTTCTTTCTTTCTTTTTCTTTCTTTCCTTCCTTCCTTCCTTTCCTTCCTTTTCTTTCTTTCTTTCTTTCTTTTTCTTTCTTTCCTTCCTTCCTTCCTTTCCTTCCTTTTCTTTCTTTCTTTTTCTTTCTTTCCTTCCTTCCTTCCTTTCTTTCTTTCTTTCTTTCTTTCTTTCTTTCTTTCTTTCTTTCTTTCTTTTCTCTCTCTGTCTCTCTCTCTCTCTCTGTTTTTGAGGTAGGGTCTCACTTTGTCACTCAGGCTGGAGTGCAGTGATGCCTCCATGGTCACTGTAGCCTTGACCTCCTGTTTTCAAGTGATCCCTATCCCACCTTAGCTTTCTGAGCAGTTGGGACCACAGGCCGCCATATCCGGCTAATTAAAAAAAAAAAAAACTGTACAGCTTTCACTGTGTTTCCCAAGCTGGTCTCAAACTCCTGAGCTCAAGTGATCCTCCTGCCTCAGCCTCCCAAAGTGCTGGGATTTACAGGCATGAACCACTGCACTTGGCCAGTTTAGTTTTAAATTTAGCAATTTGATATTGATACAGATGAAACACCTAGATATATCACTTTTTATTGAGAGTTGGTGATCAAATTGTACATTAGCTAGAAAGAAATGAGGAAAGAAATGAAATAGCTACCCTTTACCTGCTACTTCCTCTCAACCAAATTCTTAAGGGTTTGAATGGGAATTCCTGAGAGAAAACTTTGATAAATAGCTTGTTTGAATGTTATCTTACCTGAGCTTGAGTTTCTCCATCTTTAATAGTGATAATAGTATCTACTTCATAGTATTATTTTGAGAACTAAATAAAATTAGGTTTGTGGCCATATTGCTATATAGTTATAAGGCATTATTAATACTTGTGCCACCTGTGCATATCAATCATTCTTTAAACTGCTAGAAAAAAGTACATATAAATCCCCTTCCTATGTGAAGATGAATGATTAGGAATAAATAATGGTAAGCAGTGTCTTCCGGAATTTAGTATAGAAGTAAATGTGAATGTGTACATACAGACTTTCTGGAAAGCTGTTTTATGTGTATTCAAAGCCTTTAAAAGTTTATATTTTTGAGCCACTAGTTTCCATTCAAAGAATCTATCTCATGGAGATAGAGATGTATACAGTATTTTATGTATGAGGATATTATTGCAGCATTATTTACAATAATGATATGGTTTATCACACATTAATTATAATAGTGATATGTTACACTTACCTAAATAAAGGATGATTGTCAAATGAATTGTGGAATAGCCACATTAGTATATTGTATAGGCTTTAAATTGTTTTCAAAGAGCAATAAATGACATGGTAAAGGATTCATAATATAATGTTAGGTGAAAAAAACAAATACCATAGTATATATTATTTTTTATTTAAAATACAGTTGTATATGAAAGTCATAGAAGGAAATATATCAAATGCATATTACCTTAAAACATTTATTTCTAATGTCTTTTTTATATATTTTGAATTTTTAGTAATCTGTTCCTTTAAAGCTAGAAAAATATTTGTTTTTTAAAATTAATATACATAAATATGTTTCTTTAAATGAAGAAAAAATATATGCATAACTTTTGTAGTAAATAAGTATATATAAAGACAGAGGCTTTCAGTATGGATTTCTTGGCTTAAAAATTGCTATTGCTGGCTGTGCGTGGTGGCTCACGCCTATAATCCCAGCACTTTGGGAGGCCGAGGCGGGTGGATCACGAGGTCAGGAGATCGAGACCATCCTGGCTAACAGGGTGAAACCCCGTCTCTACTAAAAATACAAAAAAAATTAGCTGGGCATGGTGGTGGGCGCCTGTAGTCCCAGCCACTTGGGAGGCTGAGGCAGGAGAATGGTGTAAACCCAGGAGGTGGAGCTTGCAGTGAGCCGAGATCGCGCCACTGCACTCCATCCTGGGTGACAGAGCGAGACTCCATCTCAAAAAAAAAAAAAAAAAATAGCTATTGCTTTGAAGAATCAGCATAGTATGAAAATTTTGTACACTGTCATCATGTGACAAGTTGTGGGCATGAAATAAGAATGTTTATTGAATAAAACCACCTATGGATCGGGTGTTGTTCTAGACTCTGGGGATTCAATAAAGCCCTTGATCTTAGGAAGCTGATAGCCTAGTGAGAAAAATTCAAGCCACTAGTTACAGAACTAGAACCATATGAAAGTATTATAAAAAATATGTTCATGGTGTCAAGGTGCACAGGAGATGATGCTCCCAACTGCACTAAGGAAAAAGATGGGAGTACTGAGGAAGATATCAAGACAACGTGTCTATTAAGCTAAGTTGGAAAGCAAGAGTTAGGAGTTTATCTAGGGTCTCCATGGATATCTTAAATTTCCTATATACAAAACTGAAACAAAGGAAATATGATGGCAAGTTCACTGAGAGATCTTGATAGAAGCTAAAGATGATGCCTTTCATCTCTTTAGATCTTCAAAGTTCTATACAGTGTGTAGTACATGCCTGACAACAAATATTTTGTTAATAAATGAGTGAATAAGTCACTTTACAGACAGGAGAACCAGCATGTACAAAATAAAATATTTTGGTATAAGGGACATTTACAGATTATATTAGAAAGGAAGCAGATGATAAGAGATGAAGGGCTTTCCGAACCCTGAAGATGAGCAATTAAACAAACCTGTGCAGGGGGGTTTGCCTCTCCTTTACTCTGATGGCATTGTGGAGGATGGATTGCAATGAGGGGAAACTGAGAAAAAGAACTAGTTACAAAGCTGTTGCAATAATCCAGATAGAAATTAATTGGGGCATAACCAGAGGTGAGTGAAAGAAACTTAATTCAGTAGGTATTTAGGAAATAGAAGTGGCATACTTAGTAACTGATGAAATATGGAAGGAGGAATAGGGTGGAGTGGAGGAAGGAGTCTAGATGGACTCCTTGGGGTCTGTCTAGTAAGGAATAAAGAACAGACCAATTTAAGGGAAGTAACAGGATCAGTTTCACACATAGAAAGTTTAAGGTGATTGTGGAGACCTCAGACAGAGATGTCCCATTGGCAGTTGGAGATACGGGACTGATACAGAGGATAAGTGTCTGGGTTGGAGATAGGGATCTGGGGGTCATCACCATGTAAATAGTAGGAATAGTAGGAGCTGTGGAGAAAGCTATACAAATTGTTGTCCTTAGGGATATAAAATATTCAAAAGTCCAAAAAGTGGAAGTCTATGTGGTTTTATTTTGTTGTCTCTGATGACATTTTTACCTGAAATCTGTGTAAAAATACATAGATTTTAGCATCTTGAATAATTTTAACACACATTTACTGAGCTGAGATTCCAGAGTCCATGGATATAATACTTGGAATAACTGTGAAGTAGTTGGCTAGATCTAGTCAGTCTCTCTTACTTCGTGTCTTTTACTTGCCAAAATAAAGAAGTTCATATATTCTGCTTGCCAAGATAAAATTACATTTTAAAAGGTTGTTATATATTTAATAGCTTGTACACTATTTAATATAAAAGATACATATTAAGTTTCACTTTTTCTTTCATGCTTTTAAACAGTCAAAATCCTTATATTGACTTTTGTTGCAGAACTAAGCCTTAGAATAACCAGTAAATTAGTGTAATCCCATTTTCAAATTTACATGATTCTTTTGTGTTTTTTATCCTTCATTCTTAGTACTTTTATATCTCCTGAGAACCAATAATAATAATTTTATTAATTTTATTAACTTATAATATAATTGTTTATAAAATGTAAAAATACCATAAAGTTTTAAATAAAAAATTTTCTTGGTGAAACTCCACTTTTTAAAAACACCATGTCAAAAACTCAAACATGAACTGTGAAGTCAGCTCATCTTTGAAGTTATATCATCATCACGCTAGATAATTATTATTCCAGCATATTTTCTCTTTCAACTTTCAACATCACAGGCATAGCATTTTCCATCATTTACACCATATCCATATGTGCAGTGGAAAGAGTTAATGCTATAGAATACCAATATTGTAAATAATTCATCCATATCACCAAGGTTAATTGAAGTCAATTACTTGGTTATGGATCATACTCAAATATCTTTGTACTTTATAGTAATAAACATAAGATGCTTTAGTTTTTTATAGTGGAAAATAATTTATATATTAATTTTGTCAACTAATATTAATACATTTTAATGTAAAACTAATACTTAGTTTTAAAAAACCTTCCAAAACAAAAATTAAAGTAAGAATAAAGACAGTGAAAAGAGAATGAAAAGGGAATGTTGCCTAGTATTTGCATTTTGCAGTGAAGATTTGGAGCATTTTCAGGAGGATAAGAAGCCACAAAACAAACCAGGTTTAATCTTTGTCTTAAATAAATATTATATTTTCGCTCTCACTAATAAACGAAATTAATGCTGACAGAACTTCAAAATAAAAAGTAGGATATTAACAGACCTTACGAAGGATCGATTTCATCTAACCCAGAATGAAGCCATAGACTGGTTTGAATTTCGTTTTTATTTTTATTTTATTTTGTTTTGTTTTAAATAATTTTGCTGTACTGTATTTTTCTGACTTATAGTTAAATGTTTAGCTCCTGTAGAAAGAGATGGTCAATAAAGGTATATTGTATGTTATAAAGGTAGTTTTGACAATATAGTTATTTCATTCCTGAAAGTATAATCTCTAGGTCGAGGGCTTGAAACTACAGACTATATAGTTTATCTGCTATTTTATCAGAATTTTTGACTGGTGCTGCCTTCACCCTGAATGATGGTTAATACATTTCATACAATGTGGTTTAATAAAAAATTCTAACTCCAAATAGACTATGTAAGCTGGTAAAAAGTATCTGGCTTGATTGTTTTCTCCCTCTTTTTTATTTCAAATAGAGTATGATCAATGCATGTAGGTATTAAAAAGAACAGAGGCCAAAGATTATATGCATGAGTCTTAGAAAATTATGAATATTGATTTTTAACATACAAAATTAAATACTGATGGAGTTCACCACCTACTATCTTACATTAAAAACACTCCATGCCCCTTACTATACTTTTGTCACATAATTTATCTTAGTTTAATCTGTCCTGAGATGATGAAACACAGCTCTGGACTCTTTTAGCAAGTGCACATACCTGATTTGCAACAAATGCAGTGAAATGCTACTGACTATGTGCTGAGAAAGCCCTGTCCACAGATCCAAAGAGGGGCCAGGTTCAACTCTGATAAACTAATGACATGACAGCAAAAACAGGCCAGTAAATTGGGGGTAGGTAGTCCAACTGGGGCTTGTGGAAGAGTTTTTCTAGTCCCTGTATGTAGGAAGGAATAAATATTTATCACTGGTAATCTAGAATTAATTTACTTATTCCTATCCTGGGCTGTGGAATAATAGCCCAAAATCTTGGCAGCCTTTGCCCCCATTCTCCTCCCTATGCCCACTATAAACATGTGCTTTTGAAAAGGTAGTAATTAAATCTGGTTATATCTTCTACGATATAGTAAGAATCATCACAATATAAAGGGATAGGGGAGATTAAAGTAATAATATCACAAATAAAGTTTCAGCTATCCATAATATGTTTGAGGTAATTAGAGACTCTTGAAAAAAACAGAGAGAGAAAAGATGCATCATAGAATTTGGGATTTCTGAGGTGAGAGGTGCCCACATGCACTTTGCCAAAAGAAGGCAAAAGGATTTCAGCAAGGGATCCTGAAAAGGGAGAATGAAGGGAAAAGACATCTACTCATCTCCATACCAACTGAAGTTATTGGCATAACGAATATGTATTCCAAATCAGATTTTGAAAAATAAAGAAAAATAAGCCATTAGTCTAGAAAATAGAAGTCCAAAGGTACAGGTAGTTGCCTCAGTATTACCGGATTTAGAAAAGGTTGTCACATTCCAGTAGTTTCTTTAAACTAGGTCATCAAGTCAATTTTGAAAATGGTAGAGAACATACTTGGGAGACATTTTGTGTGTGTGTCTTTTGCTTCTTCTGTTTTGTCAAGTAAGACCTTCAGTATTGCTAGTATTACCATTTCGTGATTCCTGGACTTTTTTCAGCATTCTTTCAGCACTTGTAAGTCATACCAGGAATCAAGCCTTTGAAAGTGTTGCCATGGGTAATTTATGCTTCTTACTAGATGGAATGTCTTCTGGCTAAGTTCTGGCTTCAGTGTCTAGGAGCTGCCAGTGGGTATACTATGATTAATAAAGATGTTTATGATTAAGTATATATCTTTTTCTTTTCATACATTATTCATCTGTCTTTTTTATTATTTGTTTCCCATTCTAGGCAATTTAAATATTTTTCATTATATCTCAGCTTGACAGCCAAAAAAGCTGTGACTTCCAATTTATCTTATTCTATAGCTTTTCTTCTTTAGACTCATTATTGTATACTTTTTTGAAAACATAGCACATAACCTCTTAAAAACGCATGTGGTAGGGATATGATAGATCATTTAGTACACTGATTCTCAAAACTGGCTAATCATTTCTTTTTTTTATTTTTTATTTTTTTGAGACAGAGTCTCGCTGTCGCCCAGGCTGGAGTGCAGTGGTGTGATCTTGGCTTACTGCAAGCTCTGCCTCCTGGGTTTATGCCATTCTCCTGCCTCAGCCTCCTGAGTAGCTGGGACTACAGGCTCCTGCCACCACGCCCAGCTAATTTTTTGTATATTTTTAGTAGAGACGGGGTTTCACCGTGTTAACCAGGATGGTCTCGATCTCCTGACCTCGTGATCCGCCCGCCTCAGCCTCCCAAAGTGCTGGGATTACAGGCATGAGCCACTGCGCCTGGCCTACAGCAGATTATTAATAGGAGAAAATATACCAAAACTTTAAGTGCTGGAATTATGATTTTTTTCTTCTTCACAAAAATTTTAATTGCAACAACAACTAGCATAGAGCTCTTACTATAAACCAGGTACAGTCCTGAGTGTTTTACATGCATTACATTTCATTTACCCCACAAACAACCTGATGAGGTAGAAGTCCTTATTATCCTTATTTACAGATGAGGAGACAAGCACAAAGAGGTTCATATGTTTCAAATTTTTTAATAATTCAGTATATTGCTTTTAAAAACAGAGCCTGTCTCTACTAAAAATATAAAATTAGCCGGGCACATGCCTGTAATCCCAGCTACTTGGAAGGCTGAGGCAGGAGAATAGCTTTAACCCGGGAGGCGGAGGTTGCGGTGAGCCGAGATCGCGCCACTGCACTCCAGCCTGGGCAACATGAGCAAAAACTCTGTCTCAAAAAAAAAAGACAAACAAAACAAAATTAAAAACAACAACAACAACAACAACAACAAAAAAAAACAGAGCCTGGCATGGTGGCTCACGCCTATAATCCTAGTGACTCAGGAGGCTGAAGCGAAAAGATCACTCCTGAGGCCAGAAGTTCGAGACAACCCTGGGCAATATAGCGAGACCCCCATCTCTAAAAAAAAATGATAAATTAGCCAAGCATGGTGGTGCATGCCTGTAGTTCCAGCTACTAGAGAGGCTTAGGTGGGAGGATCCCTTGACCCCAGGAGTTCAAGGCTGCAGTGACCTCTGATCCACAGCACTCCAACTTGCATGACAAAATGAGACCTCATTTCAAACAAACAAAAGCAACAGAAATAAAATGATAATACCCTTTAAAGAAAGAAAATTGTACTATCTTCATTATTAACAATTTGCAAAGACTATGACATACTATTTGTTAAGTTTTTGCCCGGGGTGATTCTGTGCTATATTGAAAAGGCTTTGAGTTCTAGTACAATCTCTTGCCTTGAGCAAGTCCCTTAAAACCTCTGAACATGTTTCCGCATATGTAAAATGACTATACTTATACTTGTCCTGCTTCTCAGAATTGTTGAGGGGATCAAATGAAATATGTGAAAACAACTTGTAAGTCATCAAGTACCATATAAAATTAGGCAGTGATCCATTATGTAGTCAAATCTTTAAAATTTGCAGCTAGAATATTATAATTAGATGTTTACTAGATAACACATGGCGCATTCATAATCAGAACATTAAAAACAAAAACATATAAAATGCATACTTACTGAGAAAATCTAACAATGACATAAATATGACTTCAAATTCTTTTCTTAGTCAGTAGCATAAATTGGTAGGGCTAAAGCTGAAGCCAACTCCAAATTCTGAGACCTGCTATAAAACACAATGTGTGACGAACAATATAATTATTTAAATTATATTTTGCATGGCCATTTGTTAATGCTAGTTCTCACATGTCTGTAAAATTAGGATTTTTAATATCAATTAAATGAAGGACTTTGTTTTGTTCACTGTTACATCTCCATTGCCTAGAACATTGACATATAAATATTTGTTAAACGAATGAATGAAATAACATTCTGACAATTGAAGAAGAGATTTTAAGAATAGCTGTAACACATCATACATAAAAATGTTAAGCATAAATATTTGTAATATATGTACCGAAATTTATTGACCCTCACATGTTTGGCAGATTCTTAATTTTTTCTTACTGGCTTTACTTAGGGACGTGCTTCCTTAACACAAGAGAAAGAGAAGTTTGCCCATGAACATGAAGAAATGAAGAACCTAGAAGCCATTGTTCAAGAAATAAAACCAACTGCCCTCATAGGTAAGCATTTTCTCCTCTCCCTTCTCCCCTACCCCTTATTTTGACCTGATTGTTTTTTTTACTACCAATTTTTGAGGTATAATTTAGCCTTTTTGAATTCAAAAAACTACACGTTCGCTCAAGCGACAGTACCCTGTAGAGACCTAGATTTTTAACTTTAGTCCTGTCGTCTTTCTCTTACTGATCTGAGATGAAGCGTATGGCCCCCTCCTCTAACTCAGCCTGTTAATACCTGGCACGTTCAGCACTTTTCTAGGCTTGATTACTCCAGATAGACAGTGGTTCTCAAATAAGAGGGATTTTTGCCCTGCAGGAAACATTTGGCAATGTCTGGAAGCTTTGAGTTGTCTTAACTAGGGTAGCGGGGTTGGAAGGGAGTAAAGGGAGGGGCTACTGACATCTAGCAGATAGAGGCAGCGGAATGATTCTACTAAATATCCTGTAGTGCACTGGACAGCCCCTGCGACAAGGAATTATCCAGCCTAAAATGTCAATAGTGCTGAGGTTGAGAAATACTGCAGTAGATAAGACCCTCCTGGAAGACAGGGATCACATCTCACAAATCTTTATTTTCCTTATAGCACTTAATACAGTACTTACACAATGCATGTGCAGTGCAAGACTTTAAAGTGGTTTTAGAAAACTCAAAGGAATTTATGAAACTTTATTCTTTATTTTGTGCATATATAATTTTGATTTTTACCTTGTATTATACTCCATTCCTACAAGCTCTTGTGAAACAGATGACAACGTTGAAAATAATGATGATAACTACAATAAAAGAAGTACTTACTCCATGACAGGAACTTTACTAAGTGTTTAATATTGTTTTTACAAAATATATTCTGTCAATAATCTTATTGTTTTTCATTTCCATTATGCTAATTGCTTTATTCTTCTGTTAAAGTTACTTCAGTGGGTGGTACTTTACTTTTGCAGATGAATCAGATGGTTGTCTTAAGTGATAGCGTTGGTTTATAAAACTTAATTGCTTTGTAGCCTGACAAGACTGAAATATACTCATAGAATTGCTTATAAAGAAAGTTTACACATTAGATACAAATTTCCAAGTGATTGGTAACTAACTCAATGTACTATGGAAGCCAAATATTATCTTTAGTTTTTAATAGATATTTGTAGATTTGTGACCCTAAGGATTGTAAGGATTGTTGGCATTAACAAACTTGCCTCTTTTTGTCACTATACTTGAATACAAATAGTTTATATAGCATTTTGTTTAGGGTCTATTAGAAAATGAGCTGATAGATATCATTGATTTGAGGCATGGTCTTCTTGTGTGAATTAACCAATGATAGTGTTAATTACCAGCTTCATATTTCTTCATTAGGAGTTGCTGCAATTGGTGGTGCATTCTCAGAACAAATTCTCAAAGATATGGCTGCCTTCAATGAACGGCCTATTATTTTTGCTTTGAGTAATCCAACTAGCAAAGCAGAATGTTCTGCAGAGCAGTGCTACAAAATAACCAAGGTAAAGTAAAACTATAACAGATATTTTAATAATCAAATTTTTATTCATTATAGGGAGGCCTAGGATATCTAAGGTGCTTACTGTTTAAGTTTAAAAATTATACAACCAAAATGGAAAGAAAAGCACACAAATCAGAGGGATAAGAACTATTTCCTTTTCTAGAATGTTGTATAAATCCTCTTCTTCAACAAAATAAAATACATATTTTAATGTTTTACTGATAATTTTCCACAAGTGATTTGGAAATAGATATCTAAGATTTAAACATAAAAGTTAAATAGAAAGGAAGCAGCTTGGTTCTAGAGGCTTATTAAAATAGCTTTTAACTAGCTATTCCCAAACACTGAAGCATACAATGTAAAACCACAACCTTATTTTTGCTTTGCTAAATCCTGGGTTTGGGTTTTGGTACTATGGGTGGAACATTTGGGCAACTATCTTGACATCCAGCCAGACTGGGATAGGAGTCCTCAATGCTTCAACATTTTACTATGATTTATTTTATACCATGTTTGTACTAATATGTATTTGGCTGATATGCTGAAAGGAGCCTTTTTTCCCTTCAAAGACTTTAAAATATCATTACAACAAAATAGAGGTTGAGTCATATCTATCTAAAATGTTTATTTTGGAAAGAAATCCAAAATGAACTAGAGAGGTAAACATGAACGCTATGTCACTCTGCATTAACTGGAACTTAATGGCTCTATTTTAATCATATATCCTTAAATGCTCAATACTAGAATTAGTGATTTTTCTTTTTGGCAAGGAGCCACTCCATTGTTTATCTCTCTTATTTGGGATGGCATCAGTGTTCTCACTGATTTTAATTTTTATCTCATCTCTAGATTGGGGAATTTGCCTCACATTATTCAGTAGTCCTTAAATCCTTAAAGGAAAAAAAAGTCCTTTCAGCAACAACCAAGTCTTAGCATCATGCCTTGCACCTACTAGGCATATAATAAACAAGTGTTTAATTAATTATTTTGTCTTAATATATCTCAACAGGCCTCAAGGGTTAAGAGACTTATCTATAACACACATAAACAAAATTAGCCAAATTTATGTAGTTGTATTTTAAACTTTGAATGTGTCTGATATAAATGTATGCCTCAACTCTTTCTTATCATCTTGCCTAATGTTCTATGTTTTTCTACATAAAACATTGAAAGTTATTTTGAGGATGAAAATTTAGACACTGGTTTGGCTAAAGGATTGGAGAAAAAGGAAAGGTCTGCCTGTTGCTGGATGTGAGTTTCTGCTACTGTAGGCACAGGTGAAGATAGGAAAGGTTAAGTTACAATATACAGAAAGACTATTGAACCATAAAAATATAATCTAAAAATGGTATGGGAAGGTTCCCTTCACCATGTTAATAACATATATATATGAGAATATTTAGCTAGCTACAGTACTGTCATTTATTTAATGACATTTCTCCTTAAAATATGGTGATTATAGAAAGGCAGGAAGAGTGGGAGTGCAGGAGTGGGGGAGATATATATATATATATATATATATATATAATGTTACAGGCCTCTTTCTCAAATATAATTTTCCAAAACCTTTATATATGAAGTAATAATTTAGTTACATTAGAAAGTTGTTTATAACAAAATGTTTTATCTGCTAAAGAGCTTAAGGTATCAGACTTGTCTGAAAACAAAACCGAATTCTGTGCAAAACATAACAGTGTCTTATAAACAGCTAGATGAGAATTTGTTTTTCTGCCTCATCTATTTTCATCTTTTTGTCTCTCAAAGAAGGTTGAATTTCTGTTATACAACTTTAAGAACAACTAAAAGGTATATTATGACATTTGCTAAAAATAGGTTAATATTAATATCATTATTTAGACTCTAGATCCAAGAGATATGAAAGTTAAAACCCATTCTGTCATCGTTTAAACTATGCCTTGGGGATTTGATGCTTTAGACTTTTCAAATAGATTTCTTAGACTGTGATGCTTTATTTGTTTAGGGTTTCTGATTCCTACTTTGAAGCCTAAATACTCTCAACTAGATGTCCACTCTCACCATCACAGACAAATGTTCTTTTGATTAGCAATATGAAATGCAGCACCTAACAGGCCCTAGTTAATGCCTTTTTTTTTTTTTTTTTTTTTTTTTGAGATGGAGTCTCGCTCTGTCACCCAGGCTGGAGTGCAATGAATGGCACGATCTCGGCTCACTGCAACCTCCGCCTCCCAGTTTCAAGCAGTTCTCCTGCCTCAGCTTCCTGAGTAGCTGGGATTACAGGTGCCCACCACCACACCCAGCTAATTTTTGTATTTTTAGTAGAGATGGGCTTTCACCATGTTGGCCAGGCTGGTCTCCAACTCCTGACCTCAAGTCATCCACCCTCCTCGACCTCCCAAAGTGCTGGGATTACAGGCGTGAGCCACCGCGCCCAGCCAAGTTCATGCCTTTTTAAAGCAAGCAGTACATGAGATTCCTCAAAACAATTATGACAAAATATTAATACTAGGCAAAATGAAGACAATTGTTGAAAAATATTGATAACTTAATCTTCTTCTTCCTTGCCAATTCTACTCCTGCCAATGAGTTTGTTTCCTATGTGATTCTCCACATAACTATTTTATTTTATTTTATTTATTTATTATTATTATTATTTTTATTTTTTTTTTTTTTGAGCTGGAATCTTGCTTTGTCGCCCAGGCTGGAGTGCAGTGGTGTGATCTAGGCTCACTGCAACCTCTGCCTCCTGAGTTCAAGCGATTCTCCTGCCTCAGCCTCTCAAGTAGCTGGGCTTACAGGCACCCACCACCACTCCCCAGCCACTTTTTATATTTTTAGTAGAAATGGGGTTTCACCATGTTGGCCAGGCTGGTCTCAAACTCCTGACTTCAAGTGATCTGCCCCACTCGGCCTCCCAAAGTGCTGGGATTGCAGGCATGAGCCACTGTGCCTAGCCCACATAACTCTTTACAATATAGAAATAT
The DNA here is from genome assembly GCF_000001405.40 of Homo sapiens. Taxonomy (NCBI): domain Eukaryota; kingdom Metazoa; phylum Chordata; class Mammalia; order Primates; family Hominidae; genus Homo; species Homo sapiens. Next base: position 83,224,372 of record NC_000006.12, on the reverse strand, counting down.
ATATGATTTTCCCAGTTTTTATTTTGGAAATGTGTCGATTCCTAAACCCCAACCTAAAATATCATTATTTTCAATACTTAAATATTAGCCCATCATTTTTTATCTTCAGATGTCTATAATTGGAAGCCTATATAGAAATGGTTGATGAGCCTATCGGTTGAACCACTGCAGAGAATAGAGTGATGGTCTTAGGGCATCCTGTACTTTGCATGCTCCTCCTGGAAGTAAAGAGTAAGACAGAGAATAGTAATAATCACCCATTCCAGAACTGGTTGCACAACATCACAAAAGCTTGTCCAGACTTATTAGCAAGTTAATAAAAAACTAGACTTCTTTCTAAGTACTTATAATTTAGGCTGTGGGGTAGTTCTGTTATGATACATTTGTTTTAAAATATTCTGCTTCTTTTTAAAGTGAGTTGTATGTGTCTTTGTTGTAGGGACGTGCAATTTTTGCCAGTGGCAGTCCTTTTGATCCAGTCACTCTTCCAAATGGACAGACCCTATATCCTGGCCAAGGCAACAATTCCTATGTGTTCCCTGGAGTTGCTCTTGGTGTTGTGGCGTGTGGATTGAGGCAGATCACAGATAATATTTTCCTCACTACTGCTGAGGTATTGTAAAATCCTCTAAGTTTACCAAGGGTTTAAAATACCAAGTGTGCTCAGCCTAGGTTGTCTAATGTTTTATTTATCTAGCATCTCAGCTTACTCTCTGAAAGAAGTAAAGTCTGAAGAACTTCCCAGTGGAGTATAAGGGGTGGGTAGCATGTTCATACTGACTCACAAACGAAAGGTTCTTCTTCAGTAGTCATTAGAAAAATTGTGTTTTTGATTTCTTAAGAGGAACATTTTTGTGTCTTCACACATCAGATCAAGTTCTGTGACAGTGATGGGACAATTAAAAATATTGTTTCCAGGGCTGGGTGTGGTGGCTCATGCCCCTAATCCCAGCACTTTGGGAGGCTGAGGCAGGCAGATCACTTGAGCCCAGGAGTTCGAGGCCAGCTTGGCCAACATGGTGAAACTTCATCTCTACTAAAAATACAAACATTAGCCGGGCATGGTGGTGTGTGCCTGTGATCCCCCCTGACTCAAGAGGCTGAGGCAGGAGAATTGCTTGAATCCAGGAGGCAGAGGTTGCAGTGAGCTGCGATTGCACTACTGCACTGCATCCTGGGCTACAGAGCTAGATTGTTACCTAAAAAAAAGCAAAAACAAAATTGTTTCCAAATGATGATTAAGTGGTAAATATTTCCCTGTTGAGAACAGTGCTTAATAATGAATGGCATTTTGAAGGTTTAAAGTGAAAGTCTGATATGGTATAGTGGACATGTTTATTATTCAGGGTTCAGTACAGGAGACAGAAACCACCCTAGTATTTAAGCAGAAATTAGATCAAAATAGGAAATTAGTTGTTTATAAAATCATTAAAAGAATAGGAGAAGTGAGCTCTGTCTGGGCCTTGAGGAAAGATTCTCAGAACATCACAAAGCAGGCCCACTGGGGAATCTTGTACTGTCATGAAACTGTGAAAGATCTGAGATTTTACTCTACTTGCAAGCTAACAAGTTAGCCACAATTTCATAGATATTGACAGAAGACATGAAACTCTTAGGTCAGAGACAAAGGACTTTGATAATTCCTGGCACAAGAGATATCATGAGCTGCATGTTCCTATCAGTTTCCCTCCTCCTCCCAAGCCTCAGCAGGATGATACGGTGATTGGGCATATATTTATAAAATCATGAGCTTTTTGATAATCATCAGGTTGATGTTCATCAGGTTGATATCATGTTTCAGATTTGAACAGGTAACCATTTATGGATGAGAAACTTGAGTGAATTTCTTTTCTTACGATTAAACCTTTGCAGCTGAACTGATCCAAAGAACTTGATTGATATTCAAATATTTTTATCCTGCAAATATTTTTTCCATTGTGAAGAGGAACCCCAAGAATGTAGACAAAGATTCTTATGTTACTGATGTGATCTAAAGGAGCATAATCTTGGTGGCTAGCACCCGGTGTCATTCTATGAGAACAGATGCTTGGAAGCAATAATGTTCTCCTGTCGTTTTCTTCACTGCATTAAAAAGCATGCCAGCTGATGTCACAGGTTTTCTTTAACTCAGAAAATCTTGTTAAACATAAATGGATGTCTAATTACTAAGAGAGCATGTAAAAGTAGCTTTTGCATTAAGGAAAATGTAATCATTGTCTTTTAGAATAGGCACATCAGAGTTTTGGTTACCTGCAGTAGTCAGTGTTTTCTTTCTTAAATAACTCTAGCACCCTCTAGTGACAAATTCCGTGAAAAATATTTTCAGTTTACTCTCCAAGAAAAGTAATAATCACTACCAAAAAACACTTTGAAGGAAAAAAAAAATGTGGTGTTGTCAACATACCACATCACTAATTCTTATCATAGCTAGTGATCTCTCTGGCTGCATCTCTTGGCCTTTCTACTGGTTTTCTCTTAGGCTTCAACACAATATTCCTGTTTTTTATATCATCTAAATTATGTCCCACTCATTATTTTCCTTGTCTCCTTTTCATCTCCCTTTTAAGTAAGAGTTTTTTTTCTAGCATTCATTTTTTGTTACCAGTTTTTTCTTCTCTTTTTCTTATGCTTTCAAAGATCTCATTCATTCATTCATTTCTATTATCTTCATTCTAGTAGTGGCCAAATCTGTGTATCTCTATTCTCATCTTTTTCCATATCTCCAGTTGCCTGTTGGGTAATTCCACAGACATGCCCTACTGTGTCCTTAAACACAACATTATGAAAGCCTTCCTTATCTTTCCTCACTGTCAGCATTCACATTTTTATTAGTGATACCCCCTTTCCAAGCAGGCAGCAAAGCTTAGAAGCTTGACATTCTTTTCATTCTCCCTCATCCCATAGCCTTCAAACACACCATGCATATGTATGCCTGTGTAACTGCTTTATCTCTTATCCTGTCTGGAAAGACCTGAGAATTATTCTCCAATGATCTAAGCTTCTCCTTTAGGGTACTGCTTAAATACCACCACATCCTGGAATCTTTTTGTGACAAGTCTAGCTCATCTTGATCTTTCTCCGTAGCCATGACTGTCTTTATTACACACTTTGACATTTAATTTTATTTCTGGTTATGATACACTCCTGAGAGCTTCCTATTGTAAAAGATTAGGTGTTGCCTTTATAACTAAATTGTAGATTATCTTTTTTTTTTGAGACGGAGTCTCGCTCTGTTGCCAAGCTGGAGTGTAGTGGTGTGATCTTGGCCCACTGCAACCTCCAACTCCCTGGTTCAAGCAATACTCCTGCCTCAGCCTCCCAAGTATCTGGGATTACAGGCACAATGCCAATACGCCCAGCTAATTTTTGTATTTTTAGTAGAGACGGGGTTTCACCATGTTGGCCAGACTGGTCTCGATCTCTTGACCTTGTGATCAGCCTGACTCGGCCTCCCAAAGTGCTGGGATTATAGGCATGAGCCACCGCGCCTGGCCTGTAGATTATCTTTTTTAAAGACAGAGAGTCTTCCATATACTTCTTTTAAAACTTCAGTAGTATCTAGCACCATGCTAGGCACAAAGCAGAAAATTAGTAAATACTTTTTGAATAGGATTAAATAGAATGAGTCATGTATCTTAGCAAGAGGAATAAATACAATACCACAAACGTTCACTACCAGATGGCCCCAAAAAGAAGAAAAGTACTTCTTGTCTAGATTATATTTTGTAGTTAACAAAAGTAACATATAGGAGATATTTCTGAATATTTTGTTTTGCAACCACAAATTTAATAACTGTTAGGATTATTGTCAAAATACTAGTTGAATCTCTTATGGAACTAGAAATGTCATGGGTTAGCACCAATCTCAAAGAATATTTCTGGACATTTTTATATCATGAAGAGATTTTTGGCTTTCCTGGCACTATAGACAGTCTTCTGGACCTCTGGTGATCAGCCCTCCTGGCCCTGTGTGGTCTGTAGTGTATCCTGGGAATAGACTCCTCACATCCTGTTCACACCTGGGAGACAAATCTCAGCCTCCTATCTTCACACCACTTCTCCTGAATCACAGGCTGGTGTCTTCTCATCTGCCTTGCTCCACTCCTTTCTGATATCTGCTCAGAGGACCCTTTAGATAATCATCATGGACAGTCACACATGGAGAGTAAGGATTCAGAATGATTCTTCTTTACTCAGCTATCCTGTGACTGTCTCCAATCTCTTTAAAATGACATTTGTGTGACATCCTAGAGAAGAAACAATGAAATTGAATGCCAGCAGTGTCCTGGTGTTTATAGGTGGAATACACATATTATGTCATATAAATAGTTGAAAAAACTTGAAGTTGATTCGTTATAGAACTTGCCCCCAAATCAAATAGCTAACAATCTATACACTGTAGAGCCAGATCTGACACCAGAAGCTATTTTGCTTCCATTTGGCCATGTGGGCTGCCTATTGGTTCTTTTTTAAAACAAAATAGCTGGCCAGATGCAGTGGCTCACGTCTGTAATCCCAACACTTTGGAAAGCTGAGGTAGGTGGATCGCTTGAGCTCAGGAGTTTGAGACCAGCCTGGCCAACATGGTGAAACCCTATCTCTGCTAAAAATACAAAAAAAAAAAAAAAAAAATTAGTTGGGCATGATGGCACACAGCTGTTGTCTCAGCTACTCGGGAGTCTGAGGCGGCAGAATCACCCAAGCTAAGGGAGATTGCCTACACTCCAGCGTAGGCAATCTGAGTGAGACCCTGTTTCACATACATACATACATACATACATAAAACAAAATAGCTAAGTTTAATTGAATACTTTTCTGACAGACACTGTCTGTGGTAAATTGTTTGCTGGCATTTATTTCATTCAATCCTTATGAATTAGGAAGTATTATTAGTCCTGTATTACTGATGAGAAAACTGAGGTCTAAAAAGGTTAATTAATTTGCCCAAATACAAAACAGACAGTAATTGATGGAATTAGAATTCAAACATAGGTCTACCTCACACCAGAGCCTGAGCCTTCAACCACCATGCTCTGACATCTTTTTAACATTGTGCTATTCATTTTGTTCTATCCAATTAAATACCAATACCTGACACCCAGAAAAGTTTTTGCTTTAACATCTAAGAAATTATTATTTAAATCTGCCACATCTCCTTTGCAGAACAACAAGAATTAATAAAGTTTTTTAAAAGTTTCAATTCAGTGGAGCAATTAACATAAAATGGTTTTATTTTGCCCCAGTCATTGTTTTAAATCATTCTCCACCAGCTCTCCCTCTTGTTTCTCTTAGTGCCATTTCGGTAAGAGCCCATAACTTTCAGTTCACTCATTCTTTTAATATTCTTTTAATTAAATACCTAACATATGCTAGGCATTATTCTGAGTGCTGAGAATACATCAGTGAACAACAATTAAACATCTGTGCAGTTCAAAATGTTATATCCAATTCAAATGTCATGTCCTCTCCCTGCAGTAGGAGAGGCCTGCAGTAGCAGTTAGAGAAAACCCATCTGTTCTTTTACTCTTTCTCTGAAGCTAGCACTTTGAGGAATTTGGGGGGAAATGTTTGGCTCGACTCTGAGAAACCTCCTCCCTCTTTTTGTTAAAGACTACTTCTTCAAATACGTTGGAGAAAAGAAGGAAGGGCATGGAAAAGGGCAAACATCTCTTTTATTAACTCGATTATTAACTCCACTAATTCTCTCTGGCAGGGTCCAAATCTGGCCCTCTGATGTAGGATGTCTGGCTTCAGCCTAGCTTCCTTACACTTCTTCAGGTCCCCAGGGATGCAGAGGCCTCCTCTGCTATGGCCGCTTGACCTTGGAAACTCATGTACCCATACCAGATCCACTGATGGGAATGTATACAGCTTACAGCCACCCTGTCTGTCTGGCTCTCCCTTTCCCATTCTCTTCTCTGCTTAAGTACACATACCTATAACTGCTCACGCTGAGGAGGGGAAAAGAATGCCCCCCAGTCTTTCCTTGAGGACACCATAAGCCTTTAAGAAGGAGTAGCATGCACCAAGAAGAGGGGAGGAAAAAGCCACTACATTACCCAGTAGGCCAAACCATGGTTCCAGCAAATTTCCCTGCCTCTCACTAGCTCAGCCTTCTGGAAGGGGGTGGCTGTGGTTTGTGGGGTTGGCAGGGCTGATTCTACTTTCTGAGGTAGATGGCAAGCCCCACTTGTTTGGTGACTTCCTGATAGTGTGGAATAGTTAACGTATCTTTGTCCTGAAGTTTGGGACCCTGATGACCAATTCTAGGGCAAACATCCTGTTACAAAGGCAAGAAATTAATGAGTTAAATGATGAGTTTATTATAAAATTATGGTCAACACCCTACAATTATATGTTATAATATTTTGTATAATATGTAGAGCAATACTAATCAAACAAATAGTTATACTAGTAACTTTACCTCCTTCTCCTTTCCATCTTACCTCTGCCTAAATGTCCCTGGTCAGAAGTCCTTAGTCACCGACGGGATTTAACTCCAAACTCCTTTTTTGACATTGATAATGCTCCAGTCCTTATTTCTGTACCCAGACCCTCTGCTCCCCCAGGTCAGGACACTTGGGCCTGCTGAGTCCAGCTCACACACAACTCTGCCTTTGGTCTGACTCTGTTTTTTGTCTGAAATGCCTACCTACTTTCTGTTTGTCTAACTCCAGGCTTTCCTGTAGGTTTGCCTTTCAAGCCACTGTGCACTATAAGGCCTTCCAGAACTGCTCTTCCTCTGGATTTCTTAGCACCCACATTTCACCATTAGCCTAAGCCGTCTTCTCTTTCAGCGTTCTCTTTTTCTTCCCGTACTCTGTTACCTTACTAAATTATACATCTCTCAAGGACAATAACACTTTTCTTAAGCTTCTCCGTAGTGTTATGCTTGTTCAGTGCATATATGTTTGCTGATGGCAAAGAATAATATTTTGGAAATAATTTCATGATTTAAAAATCTAAAAGATATTAAGATATACTGAAAAATAAGTATTTGATTATTTAAAATGTTACAAAAGAGGAAGGTTTCCTACTCCCTCTCTGCATCCACATTTTCATGGAACAAAGGCCTAGGTATAAGCTGATTTAGATTTGCCCCCATCTAGAAATTTAATCAAAGTCTTAGAGCTGGAGAGAACATCAGGGTTACTGAGTCTCCCTCTCTGCCTTAGGGTTCAATACAAAATTTAACACTGTTTGATTTGGAACTAGGGAATGGTTTGGGGACAGTAAATGTTGAGGCTAATTAGGTGATTTAGATAATCCAGAGTCTGTGTAAAATTAAAATCCTATTTGTAGTGAGACTCTGAACTAGCTTTCTCAGCCTTTTGCTCTACCTCCTGCACAAGAATATGACTCAGAGCTGGGAGTAATGGCATGCTTAGCCTTGGATAGCTGTCCTCCTCTGCTTTCAGGATCCATTTTCATTACTCTATCATCTTCCTCTTTCTTTCTTTTCTTTTCCCTTGTTCCCCTAATGTATCAATTGGAAAGTATCTAGCATTTCATGGTACAATAGAAAAGGAAGTGGACTAAAAGGAAACCTAGATTCTATTCCCATCTTTTTCACCAATTATGTGATCTCAACCACCACCACACCACTCTGGGCTTATTTCTTTGTTGATAGAAGTGGGGATGAAATTAGGTAATCATATTAATGTCACTGGTTTTTGTATAGACCATTATATGTAACCGTTCACTTAGTTATTGGCGTACCCACCACATTGTATCGTGTGAAGTATAAACACTTTTTTTCTTTCTTTTTTTCATAAGGTTATAGCTCAGCAAGTGTCAGATAAACACTTGGAAGAGGGTCGGCTTTATCCTCCTTTGAATACCATTAGAGATGTTTCTCTGAAAATTGCAGAAAAGGTAAAACCACTCTTGTTCAAGCTTCATTATTTTTCCTTCCTTTTCTTGCTAAATATGCATTTTTAAATATTAAAAATCTGCTTCCTTGAAATGTATATCTGTATCAACTTACTATGTCAGAAGTCAGAGAAATGAGGCACACTGACACTGTAGAGCTTAGGAGCTACATTTGCTTCTCAGAGAAGAATGGAAGTATTGGGCCGAATAATTAATTTCCCTCTCTATCGTTCTTTTTTTCTCCTAAAATTTAAATAATTCATTAGGGCTTCCTGTCAGCCAGATTTCTCCCATTTCACCTTTTTAAAGTTGTTCTTTTCTATATCACATTAGTGATAATTAACCAAAATATTACAGATATGTTAGAGTAACATTTAGACCTTGAACCACCTTCCATATCCATGTCACTATGATGTGTGGCATCATAAATGACAGATCACAACTGATAATACTGGGCGGAAGGCAAAATAAAGAGGTCAAAGAACTTGAAAGCTGTTTGGGTGGCAGATGAGCTACTGAAGGAGTTAGCCAAGAAGAACCCAAAGGCAGAGAAATTTTCTGTAACTAAACTGGAAGATAAGTGGACTTTTTTTGCAGTGTAATTGTATTAGTTTTCTTGGGCTGGGATAACTACATACCACGGTTATGTAGTAACTGTTTTTAAATATTCAAGCCACAGACTGTGTGGCTTAAACAACAGAAAACTATTTTCCCATAATTCTGGGAGCTAGAAGTCTAAGATAAAGATGTTTGCAGGTTTGGTTTCCTCTGAGGCCTCTCTCCTTGGCTGGCAGATGGCTGCCCTCTTTCTGTGTCCCCATATGGCCTTTTCTCTGTGTGTGTACACGCTTGTGTGTCCAAATTTCCTCTTCTCTTAAGGACACCTATCAAATTGGATTATAGACCATTCTAACCGTCTCATTTTAACTTAATTATCTCCTTAAAGGCCTATTTCTAAATACACTCACATTCTGAGGTACTAGTGGTTAGGGCTTCAACACTGAATTTGGGGTGGGAGGAACACAGTTTAGCCATGACAGTAGTTATATGTTTAAATTGGGGTTTCTCTACTTCAGCGTTGTGGACATTTTGGGTCAATAACCATCATGCGGCTGTCCCAGGCATTGTACAATCTTCAGCAGCATTCCTGGCCTCTGCCCACTAGATGTCAGTAGCATCTGCTCAGTTGTATCAACCAAAGCTGTTTCCAGACATTGTCAAGTATCCCCTTGGGGGCCAAATTGCTCCAGATTGAAAATCACTAGCTTAAGCTATTAGCAAGTTATCTAAACAACACCATTTAAGAGTCACATATCATTATTTATCTCGTTGACTGAAGGCAGTCTCTTAAAAAAAGAAGTAATTCTCTAAAAACCTTTACATAATAATCTGCTTGGTTATCTATGAAAAAGTATGTTCATATATTCTACTAATATGTATCTGCTAGTTTTTAAGTAGTTTAAACTATTAATATACTGAATAGCATATTATCATTTTAAGTTCATTTTGGAGATTTAAATGAAAAAGAGTTAGCTTATGATTAGAGGGGAAAAAAAGCAGGGGACAGCAGGGGAGTGCCAAAAGATTCAGATATCACACCTAGAATAATGGAAGAATACAGAGTGCATACACAGAAATTGAGAAACTAGAACAAAGAACCAACTTCAGAGAGGGAGATCATGTAAGTGGACTGCAAGTTTGAGGTATCAATGGCACATTCAAATGTACCATTTTATCAAGTAGATAGAAATGACTGAAACTTAAAGAGAGGCTAGATAAAAGACCTGGGCATCTTCTGCATGTGGTAACTGGTGAATATCTAGGAGTGGGTGAGGTTGCCAAGAAAGCAAGTATAGAAAGGAAATAAAAATGAGAATAGAATATAGTTTATTATTCTGTCTAGAAGACAGAAGAAAGATGCCAGTTAAGAAGAGAAGTGGTCAGGATTTTAAGAGACTCCAAACTGAGCAGCATGTCAATAATTAGGAAAGAGACAATTTCAGAATGGGAGTGGAAATTGTGACCAACACAGCCAAATCCTGGAGAGAAAAACAGATGCAGACTTTTATTTGGTACTTAACAAGTTATCAGAGACTTTTACAAAAGAAATTTCAAGATGTACAGGAGGTTCAGAAGGCAGAGAATTAGGAAAGCAATAAAATATAAGCCACTCTGTCAGAGAGTTTGGCATTGACAGGACAGAGAGAGTGAAGATTTCATTGGGAGAAGGGATTATTTCTATGGTATAACTGGGAGCAGAAAGAGGAGATGAATTTCCACATAGTCTATGTCAGTAATGAAACAATGTGTTTTATTATAAAATTAACATAGCCATCTTAAGTAGGCATGAGGGATCTTTTTGGGGTGATGGAAATATTCTAAAACTGAATGTGGTAATATTGTTGCACAGCTCAGTAAATTTACAAAAATAATTTAGTTGTACACTTAAAATGCTTGAATTTTGTGTGAATTATATCTCAATAAATCTGTTTAAAAAGTAATACTACCATATTATGGGCACTTTGGAAAACAAATAGAGAAAAGGAAAATAACCAATATCCTATTTTTCTAATATAAGTATTATTTTTTTTCCTGTGTTTGTTTTGAGTCTTTCGTTTGTTTATTTTCTAACATTATTATAATTATGAAATATACATATTGTTTCCTGCTTTTTCATAGACATTTCATAATACAGCACAGTATTCATAACCTTAATTGTTCATAAATGCATAGTTTTACATTGAGATGAGATAATCATTCTGATATTCTTTGAAATCAGACTTATCAAAATAAGTCAGTCATATAAATATTGTTTTAAGAACTGATGTGAATTCGGCTGGGCACGGTGGCTCACACCTGTAATCCCAGCACTTCGGGAGGCCAAGGCAGGTGGATCACCTCAGGTCAGGAGTTTGAGACCAGACTGGCCAACATGGCGAAACCCCTTCTCTTCTAAAAAAGTACAGAAATTAGCCGGGTGTGGTGGCAGGAGCCTGTTAACCCTTGGGAGGCTGAGGCAGGAGAATCGCTTGTTTTTTTGTTGTTGTTGTTTTTTGTTTTGTTTTGTTTCGTTTTTGAGATGGAGTTTTGCTCTTGTTGCCCAGGCTAGAGTACAATGGTGTGATCTCGGCTCACTGCAACCTCTGCCTCCCGGGTTCAAGTGATTCTCTTGCCTCAGCCTCCCGAGTAGCTAGGGTTACAGGCATGCACCACCACACCCGGCTAATTTTGTATTTTTAGTAGAGATGGGGTTTCTCCATGTTGGTCAGGCTGGTCTTGAACTCCTGACCTCAGGTGATCCACCTGCCTCGGCCTCCCAAAGTGCTGGGATTACAGGCATGAGCCACTGTGCCAGCCAGAGAATCGCTTGAACCCAGGAGGCAGAGGTTGCAGTGAGCTGAGATCGTGCCACTGCACTCCAACCTGGGTGACAGAGTAAGACTCCATCTCAAAAAAAAAAAAAAACTGGTGTGAATTAAATAGTATATATGAAGTGATTAATTTTGATGAAGAGAATCCATTTAAAGAAAGTAGGGAAAGAGAAGATGTATGAAGACACTGAGGAGATAGTCTGAGTTGGTCAAAAGGGAAATTAAGGTCATTTTCTCTGAGTAGTTGAAATTTTCTCCCATGATGTGATATGATGATGTGATTCTCCAGTGAGTGATGAGAGTCAAATGGAAGCTTGAAGATGGGGGAAGGTTTGGAATTGCTTTTTGGGAACCACAAGAGGAAGTTTTAAGTAAAGAGAGAAAAAAGTATAATGTGCAGACTAGAAAAAAAATATAGCACCACAGAAAGTTTACTGCATCGTTCTAGGATGCACAGCCACAAAAGGAGAAAGCCAGCTCTGAGGGGTCCCCAGACGAGGGACTAGAATTATGCATGAAACACAGGGCGTGATGACCAGAGAATCTGTGACGCTGGCAAAGAGTGCTCATCCTGACTGTGGTGTCTAGATGATTAGCTGAGCAAGATCAGGAGACCCTGGGGTACAGGAAGAGATTTTGTAGGAGGCTGTGGTGAGAATAGGGATTCTTGAAAATTCAAGGTTCAAGTTTAGCAGGACTATTTAGGTATTTATTTCAAGTTAATTGTCAGTCAGGTCATGTCAAGACTTTGAACACTGGCTTCTCTGAGAAATCCAGATGTGATAGTACTTGAATCAGTCTCACCTGGTCACACTTTCCTTAGTTGCTGATGTCATTTTTCTCTCTCACTATATGATTTATAATTGCATTTTCATTTTATATCTTCATTGCTTATATGTGCTTTTATTATAATACACTTAATGTTTTTGCAAACATAGGATACAGTGTTTTTGAAATGGATAAAAACTTCCACTCACATGGGCTCATGATTACCTCTATTTATTAAAATAATTAATATTCTTTTCTTATATCTAGATTGTGAAAGATGCATACCAAGAAAAGACAGCCACAGTTTATCCTGAACCGCAAAACAAAGAAGCATTTGTCCGCTCCCAGATGTATAGTACTGATTATGACCAGATTCTACCTGATTGTTATTCTTGGCCTGAAGAGGTGCAGAAAATACAGACCAAAGTTGACCAGTAGGATAATAGCAAACATTTCTAACTCTATTAATGAGGTCTTTAAACCTTTCATAATTTTTAAAGGTTGGAATCTTTTATAATGATTCATAAGACACTTAGATTAAGATTTTACTTTAACAGTCTAAAAATTGATAGAAGAATATCGATATAAATTGGGATAAACATCACATGAGACAATTTTGCTTCACTTTGCCTTCTGGTTATTTATGGTTTCTGTCTGAATTATTCTGCCTACGTTCTCTTTAAAAGCTGTTGTACGTACTACGGAGAAACTCATCATTTTTATACAGGACACTAATGGGAAGACCAAAATTACTAATAAATTGACATAACCAACATTAAAACTCATAATTATTTTGTTGACCATTTTGTTAAAATCTACTTTTCAAAAAAAAAAAGCTAGAAATGAATCTAGGCGTAGGTGAACTTTTGCTAAGCAGAAATAACACTACTTTGTTGCCTAGAGAAAGATAACTTCTCAAGTATTTTTATTCCAGTCCTAGATCATATATGTTCTTTTGTGCAACGGAATTCTAACAGTTCTAAGAGAAAGATCACTGCTGTTTACAGCGCCTTGTGCAGCCTTAGATTTTAATATTCTTTTGTCATTGTTACATCTCATAGAGTAAAGCTCTTATTACCTTGATCCTGAGTCAGAAATCCCACCTGAAATCACCTTTTTTCCCCCTTGATCAAACATCCCATCCTTCAGCTACCATACTGTTGCTACAGGGATTTTGTGGACTGTGGCCCCTGTCCCGAGGTTGGCACCTTCAGTTCAGCACAGCCTGAGCAGTGAGAAGGTCTGAAAGGAGAGTATATAGTTAAGATCCTTGAGAAAGGGCTGCCTGAGGAACTGACCTCTTAAAGATCTCAGGATCTTTAAGACAACAAGTTAGGTTCCTACTGGAGTTACCTGCCAGAATGGCCTCTTAATTAACTCAGGTAATGAAGAGCTAACTGTGTTATAATCATCTTGCTTTTGCCTGAATTTGGAGAAAGTATTATAATTAAGTTCCCAGTATCAGAAATGTCCTTACATAAGATTAAAATATCTTGATGACTAATACCATTCTATGAGAAAGAGTAGTTATATGCCCAGACTGTATTAATTTACTTTAGAAACTAATGTTTGAAGTAATGGAAAAAATTTTAAATTATAAAGCTAAGGTGCAATAACATTTGCTACTTATTTATAGAATTATTTGAAGAATTTTGTTTTTGAAGTAATGCTTTAAGGAGTATAAGATATTCAAGATAAATTATACTATAAAATGATTTTATTGAAAGTTGAAGGTTACACAAATTGTTTTAGGTATGAGCAGAAGAGGTTAAGGTATTTCTAAAGGTAACATATAGTCAAGAGTTTCCTCAAAATAGTTATTTGGAGAAGAATCAGAATGTCTGTGTATTTCTTGTCTGTTTCTATGTTGTCTTATAGCTCTGACTAAATGTGTTTACCTATGCAAAAGATTTATTAAAGCATAGAAAAGGTGAATGAATAAAAATATAAAATAATTGTCCTTTTTCTTAAAATGTTACATTGTAATGCTTGGTCTTGGGGTCATATGATTATGTGTGACGAATTTCTAAAATATTCTAATAACTGCTAATTTCAGTATAAACATCATTCATTTAAAACATATGTGGCTGGGCACAGTGGCTCACGCCTGTAATCCTGGCACTTTGGGAGGCTGAGACAGGCAGATCACCTGAGGTCAGGAGTTCAAGACTAGCCTGGCCAACCTGGTGAAACCCTATCTCTACTAAAAACTATAAAAATTAGCTGGGCTTGGTGGCTCATGCCTGTAATCCCAGCTACTTGGGAGGCTGAGGCACGAGAATCGCTTGCACTGGACGTTGCAGTGAACCAAGATCATGCCACTGCACTCCAGCCTGGGGGATGGAGTAAGACTCTGTCTCAGAAAAAAAAAAATATATATATGTAATCACATATTCTGGACACTGTGATGTGTGAGCCACTTCCTTGTCCTCAGGGAAAGATAATGAAATAAGCATTAGATAGTTACTTACTAGGTGTCAAGTATCCCACATACATTATTTTAATGTAGTCCCCTCACTTTCCTTATGAAGTTGATATTTTAAGTAACTTGCCAAGTCCACAGAATAACTGAAGAAAGTAAGCTTTACATCCATATTCATCTTTCTTTATAGTTTGTTCTCCTTTCCATAGGCTACAGTCTAGAACAGCACTGTCCCATGTGTAATTTTAAATTTTGTAGTAGCATCATAAAAAAAAGACACAGGTGGAATTCATGGTAATAATATATTTTGTTTAAACCAATATATCCAAAATATTACCACTGCAACATGTAATCATCATAAAATTATTAAGATAGTTTATTTTGTTCATATTTTCTTCGAAATCCAGCACATATTTTACACTTACATTTTAATTCAGTTCAGACTAGCCACAGGTCTCAGTAGCCACATCTGGCGAGTGACACTGTATTGGACAGTGCAGGTTTAGAAGAGACAGTTATATACCAATAGCTGTAAAACTGCATCTCCATGAGAGAAGTGAAGTAGAAGTCTGAGGGAAATGTTTACTCAAAAATATTTTGGTAAATAATGCCTCAATAAAGTAGATAAAAAACTAATTTGTGCCAGCCTCTCTTCATAAGCCAGCCATGCATATTAGGAAGGGAGCACAGCCCCAGAACAAGAAAATTATTTAACAATTTTTTATAGAACGCTCACTTTGCTATTAACCAAAGAAATGTAAAATGCTACTGGAGCACACATGGAACAAATAAATTATATAGTGAGAAGGAGATGTCAGGGAAGAGAATATAATAACATTAATGTTAATAAAATTAGACAAAAAGAAAAATGGAAAAAGATAACTTTATCACAAAAATAGAATATCTAAAGAATTAAATGTACATTCTAAATATAAAAAATAAAATATCTGAAATTAAGAATTCATCAGACAGATGGTTTAACAGCCAACTAGAGGTCATAGAGGAAAAGATTAATGACCTCAAAGGCAGGTCATTAGAAATTACCTACATTTTTTTAACTTTTATTTTAGGTTTGGAGTTACATGCAAAGGTTCATTATATAGGTAAACTTGTGTCATGGGGGGTTTGTTGTATGGATTATTTCATCACCCAGGTATTAAGCCTAGTACCCAATAGTTATTTTTTCTGCTTCTCTCCCTCCTCCCGCCCTCCACTGTCAAGTAGACCCCAGTGTCTGTTGTTCCCTTCTTTGTGTTCATGAGTTCGTATCATTTAGTTCCCACTTATAAGCAAGGACATGTGGTATTTGGTTTTCTGTTCCTGTGCTAGTTTGCTAAGGAAAATAGCCTCCAGCTCCATCCATGTTCCCACAAAAGACATGATCTCATTCTTTTTTTATGGCTGCATAGTATTCTATGGAGTTCATATTACCACCTTCTCTTTATCTGATCTGGCATTAATGGGCATTTAGGTTGATTCCATGTCTTTGGTATTGTGAATAGTGTTGCAGTGAACATTTGTGTATGTATGTCTGTATGGCAGATTGATTTATATTCCTCTGAGTATATACCCAGTAATAGGATTACTGGGTTGAATGGTAGTTCTACTTTTAGCTCTTTGAGGAATCTCCATACTGCTTTCTACAATAGTTGAAGTAATTTGCACTCTCACCAACAGTGTGTAAGTGTTCCCTTTTCTCCACAACCTTGCCAACATCTGTTATTTTTTTGACTTTTTAATAATAGCCAGAATGTCATGAAGTCATTCTCACTGGTGTCACAATGAAATTGTATCTCATTATGGTTTTTGATTTGCATTTTTCTAATGATCAGTAATATTGAGCCTTTTTTCATATGTGTGTTGGCCGCATGTATGTCTTCTTTTGAAAAGGGTCAGATCATGTCCTTTGCTCGCTTTTTGATAGGGTTGTTTTTTTCTTGTAAATTTGTTTAAGTTCCATATAGATGCTGGATATTAGACCTTTGTCAGATGCATAGCTTGCAAATATTTTCTCCCATTCTGTAGGTTGTCTGTTTACTTTTACTCTGCTGATAGCTTCTTTTGCTGTGCAGAAGCTAAATTTAATTAGATCTTGTTTGTCAATTTCTGCTTTTGTTGCGGTTGCTTTTGGTGTCTTTGTCATGAAATCTTTGCCTGTTCCTATGTCATGAAATCTTTGCCTGTTCCTATGTCAAGGATGGTAATGCCTAGGTTGTCTTCCAGGATTTTCATAGTTTTGGATTTTACATTTAAGTCTTCAATCCACCTTGAGTTGATTTTTGTATATGGTATAAGGAAGGGGTCCAGCTTCAACCTTCTACATATGGCTAGCCAGTTATCCCAACACCATTTATTGAATAGGGAGTCTTTTCTCCATTGCTTGCTTTTGTTAGCTTTGTCAAAGACCAGATGGTCATAAGTGTATGGCCTTATTTCTGGGTTCTCTGTTCTGTTCCATTGGACTATGTGTCTGTTTTTGTACCAGTACCATGCTGTTTTGGTTACTGTAGCCCTGTGATATAGTTTGAAGTTGGGTAATGTGATCCCTCCAACTTTATTTTTTGCTTTGTATTACCTTGGCTATTCGGGCTCTGTTTTGGTTCCATGTGAATTTTAAAATAGTACTTTCTAGTTCTGTCAAGAATGTCATTGGTAGTTTGATCAGAATATTATTGAATATGTAAATTGCTTTGGACAATATGGTCATTTTAATGCTATTGATTCTTCTGATCTTTGAGCATGGGATGCTTTTCCGTTTGTTTTTGTCTTCTCTGATTTATTTGAGCAGTATTTTTTAGTTCTCCTTGTAGAGATCTTTCACTTCTCTGATTAGCTGTGTTCCTAGGTATTGTATTCTTTTTGCAGCAATTGTGAATGGGATTGCATTCCTGATTTGGCTCTTGGCTTGGCTGTTGGTGGTGCCTAGGTATGCTAGTGATTTTTGTACATTGATTTTGCATCCTGAAACTTGGCTGAAGTTGCTTATCAGCTGAAGGAGCTTTTGGGCCAAGACTATGTGGTTTTCTAGATATAGAATCATGTCCTCTGCAAACAGGAATAGTTTGACTTCCTCTCTTCATATGTGGATGCCCTTCATTTCTTTCTTTTGCCTGATTGCTTTGGCCAGGACTTCCAATACTATCTTGAATAGGAGTGGTGAGGGACAGCATCCTTGTCTTGTGCTGGTTTTCAAGAAGAACGCTTCCAGCTTTTGCCTATTCAGTATGATGTTGGCTGTGGGTTTGTCATAGAGGGCTCTTATTATTTTGAGGTATGTTCCTTTAATATCTAGTTTACTGAGAGTTTTTAATATGAAGGTATGTTGAGTTATATTGAAAGCCTTTTCTGCACCTGTTGAGATAATCCTATGGTTTTTGTCTAACATAAACAGAAAATTTCCAAATGGAAGCATAAAGAGAGAGCAAGAAAGGAAAAGAGAGAGAGAGATGTTGGCTAAAATGAGGTGGTCTAATATACGTGCTACTGGGTCCTGTAAGGAAAGAAGAGATACTGGAGTACAAATATTTGAAGAGATAATGGAAAGAAATTTTCTCAAATTAATGAAAAGCATCAACTGATAGAGCTAGCAAGCCCCAAGTAGGATCAATACAAAGGACACCATACCTAGGGATATCATAATCAAATTGCATATCAAAAATAAACAGAAAAATCTTAAAAGCAGCCAAATGAAATAGGTATACAATGCCTTCAGAAGTACAATAAGAATGACAGCCAACATCTCGGCAGAAAAATGAGATAATAGACATTTTTAATGTGCCAAAAGAATAAAATTTAGCATTCTTTTTTTTTTTTTTCCAGACGGAGTCTCGCTTTGTCGCCCAGGCTGGAGTGCAGTGGCGCGATCTCAGCTCACTGCAACCTCCACCTCCTGGGTTCAAGCAATTCTCCTGCCTCAGCCTCCCAAGTAGTGGGACTACAGGCACCCACCACCATGCCTGGCTAATTTGGTTTTTTTTTTTGTATTTTTAGTAGAGACAGGTTTTCACCGTGTTAGCCAGGATGGTCTCAATCTCCTGACCTAGTGATCCACCCACCTCGGCCTCCCAAAATGCTGGGATTACAGGCGTGAGCCACCGCGCCCAGTCTAAAACTTAGCATTCTATACCTAGAGAAAATATCCTTCAGAAATTAAGGCAAATAGAGACATTTCAGACTAATGAAATCTGAGCTAATTCATGGCCTGCAGACCTACACTGCTAGAAGTACTAAAGGAAGTTCTTCAGTCTGAGGGAAAATGATCCTAGATGGAAACGTGCATCTGTGGGAAAAAATGAAAAGCACCAGAAAGAGTTGGGCCCGGTGACTCATGCCTGAATCCTAGCACTTTGGGAGGCCAAGGTGGGCTGATCATGAGGTCAGGAGATTGAGACCATCCTGGCTAACACGGTGAAACCCCCGTCTCTACTAAAAATACCAAAAAAGAAAAAAAAAAATTAGCCGGGCATGGTGGCAGGTACCTATCCTCCGAGCTACTTGGGAGGCTGAGGCAGAAGAATTGCTTGAACCTGGGAGGCGGAGGTTGCAGTGAGCCGAGATTGCACCACTGCACTCCAGCCCGGGCAACAGAGCAAAACTCTGTCTCAAAAAAAAAAAAAAGAAAGAAAGAAAGAAAAGAAAAGCACCAGAAAAGGTGGATGTGTGAGAATATAAAATACTGTTTTAAAATTCATATAAGACTATTGACTAATACAAATAACAATGTATGTGGGGTTTATAAAATATGTAGAAGTAAAATGTATGGCTAGAGTAGGACAAGGGGTGGAAGGGGGATTAATAATGGAAGTATACTACTGTATGTTTTATACATTATTCATGAAATGGTACATCCATTATAAAAGGAATACTGTAGCAAGTAATATACCACTTCATGACCAATCTAGGAACCTAACAATTTAAAATGTATTGCAAGAATTCAAGGAATATAGTAATAAATTAAGGAAGAATATTATAACCTCTAAAACACTAAAAATAATACAAAAAACATACAGTTTAAAAGCTAATAGGCCAGACGCTGTGGCTCACACTTGTGATCCCAACACATTGGGAGGCCGAGGTGGGTGGATCACCTGAGGTCAGGAGTTTGAGGCCAGCCCAACATGGTGAAACCCCATCTCTACTAAAAATACAAAATTATCCAGGTGTGGTGGCAGGTGCCTGTAATCCCAACTACTTGGGAGGCTGAGACAGGCGAATTGTTTGAACCCAGGAGGTGGTGGTTGCAGCGAGCCGAAATTGTACTATTGCACTGCAGCCTGGGCAACAAGAGTGAAACTCTGTCTCAAAAAAAAAAAAAAAAAAAAAAAAAAAGCTAATGGAAGAAATAGAATAACTCTGAAATACTTGATTAATGCAAAAGAAAGATAAAGGAGGAACAAAGAACGTAAGAGCTTAACTCCTGGGATAAATATAAAACTAATAGCAAGATGGTAGACATAAACCCAACTTTGCTGGTAATTATGTTAAATGTAAGTGAACTAAACACTCTAATAGCAAAAATTGTCAGATTGGATTTTTTTAAAGCTCCAATTATATGCTGTTTATATATATTTTTATTGTTATTATAGAGATGAAATTTCACTATATTGCCCAAGCTGGTCTCAAGTTCCTGAGGGCAAGTGATCCTCCTGCCTCAGCCTCCCAAACTGCTGGGATTATAGGCATGAGGCACCATTCCCAGCCTACAATTATATGCTGTTTATAAGAGACATACTTTAAATATAATGACACAAAAAGTTTGACAGTAAAAGGATGGCAAAAGATATCTCATACAAAGAGTAAGCCCAAGAAAGCTGCTGTAGCTCTATTAATATAAGAGAAGCACACTTCAAGGCAAGGCATATTAGTAGAGATAGTGATAAATGGGTCAGTCATTAAAAGACACAATTCTTTCTATGTTTTTAATAAAACAGCTTCAAAATATATGGAAAACAATGGCAGAAATAAATGGTAAAATATACACATTCACCATAATAGCTGGATATTTTAACTCACCTCTCTTCATAATTGAAAAATAATGACCCATAAATAATTAAGTCAATTTGTGGCCAGGCACAGTGTCTCACACCTGTAATCCCAGCACTTTGGGAGGTCAGAAGTTCAAGACCAGCCTGGCCAACGTGGTGGAACCCTGTCTCCACTAAACAACAACAACAACAACAACAACAAATTAGTTGGGTATGGTGGCCCAGCTACCCTGGAGGCTGAGCCTGGAGAATCACTTGAACCTGGAAAGCGGAGGTTGTAGTGAGCTGAGATCACACCACTGCACTCCAGCCTGGGTGACAGAGCAAGACTCTGTCTCAGAAAGAAAGAAAAAAAAAATTAAGTCAATTTGTAACAGAAAAGCAAAGGGGGAATTACGCTTTAGATAGTTGCATATACATCAAAGTCATGAGAATATACAGGACAATGGAATGGAACAGGAAACTCACAGGAATATGAGTTACCAAGTGATACAGTTTGGCTGTGTCCCCACCCAAATCTCATCTTGAATTGTAGTTCCCATAATCCCCACATGGCCTGGGAAGGACAGGTGGGAGGTAATTGAATCATGGGAGCAGTTACCTCCATGCCGTTCTCATGACAGTGAGTGAGTTCTCACAAGATCTGATAGTTTTATAAGGGGTTTTTCCCCCACTTCGCTCTGCACTTCTCCTTGCTGCTGCCATGTGAAGAAGAACATATTTGCTTCCCCCTCCTCCATGATCGTAAGTTTCCTGAGACGTCCCCGCCATGCTGAACTGTGAGTCAATTAAACCTCTTTTCCTTTATAAATTACCTAGTCTCGGATATGTCTTTATTAGTAGCGTGAGAACGGACTAATACGGCAAGCTAGCACAAAAATCAATAGATAAAGAACAGAATGCTTGGTAAAAGGACTGGAAAAACTGGCCCACAACATGGAGAAAATTAAAACTAGAACCCTACCTTACACTATGTGAAAAGGTAGACTCCAGATCGATTAGAGACCTAGGTATGAATGGTAAAAATATAAAGTTAATGAAAATCAATGTAGCAAAATATGTTTGGGACCTCATAAACACAACTATGAGGTAAAATGGGATATATTATCTAAGGAAGGGAAGGTTTAGGTGGATCAGATGGCTGCTGCCATAATACAGTGTAAAGGACAAGGAATTCTAGGACTGTGAGTTGCGGTGGTTGCTTCTAGCAGAGATGGATACATAAAGAAAGATAATTTAGGCTTGAGTCTGAAATCCTCAGCTCAAAAATTTTAGACTGAATTCTCAATCTAAAAACCAGAAAAAGCCCCATGTTTTTGCTAACAACATATTTTCTCTCTTTCTAGTTATAATGCTGAAATAATTGAAAACCATGGTCATACTTAATCTTGCTGCTTGCCAAATTATATTAATACCCTGAGTTAAACTGACATCCTCATTAGGCCTCTTATGTCAAACTTAGAGTATTGACCAAGAAACAGTAGGACCTTGATTTGGAATGGGGAAGGGGATTTGGAGGACTCATAATATCCTAAACTAGGGAGAACAATAGTCCAGGTTTCAGAAGTGAAAGTCCTGTGTCCCAGGAAACCCCTCAGTCCCAGGAAAACTGGGATAGTTGACATGTTCTCCTTTGCTAATCAAAGCAGGATCTCTTCCCGTCTAAAGAAGTTGTTACTGCCTTGCTAGAAGATCCTGTAATGACCTCACCTGAGGTAATAATTACCTTGTAAAGAGAAACCAATTGTAAAGGGAGGCCTACGCTCCTCCTCCATTATTCACATTATTTCCGTACACCCCAAATCAGATTCCAGCATGAGAAGGGCTGTGGTGGCTAGTAATTTAAAAGGCAAATCCAGAAGGAGGAGACTTACGCCAAAAAAATTCTAGACTCTGCTCACATATATTGGCAAAAGCCCAGAGAAAAATGTGTGGGATTCTCAGAACGTTACACTCACAAGGAGAACTGTAATTTTGGATAAGGCAGAAATGATGATAGGGTACACTTGCCACAGATTCTGGATTCTGTGCGCTGCCTTGAGCAGCTGGGGGTGATTCTACTTGTTGGTTCAGTTAGTTGAGTGAAACATGAACTTAATAAGGGTCCACATTAAATGAAATTGAGAATGCAAACATTCCTTAAATAATATAAAGCCATTCAAATATTTACAAAGATAGGAATGTTGGAGTGGAATTGTTGTGTGCAATATGACTGTCCTAATCTATTGATCTCCTAAGTCTCCTTGGAGGACCTATCAGTGACCCTCCTTTCACTAAGGCCTTGAGAGAAATAACACTGGTGAGGGGAGTACCAACATCCATGAAAAGCATTTTAATGATACTTCTCTTTAAGCTAGGAAGGCTTGGGAAAATGTTATGGTTAAAAGGCTTTCCTGATTTCAATGGAGAAATCAGACTCTTGGGTTTGGTACAGGCTTAATAGCATTTAGTAGCAATTAACAACTGGAGACAAGGTGAAAACAGTGATTGTAATAGGAGGAGGTCCAGTGTAATCAAGAGTTCAGCCCACAGAAACCTTGGTTGTGGATAACACGGGGCCTCCTGGCCTGAAATGCTGTTCAAAAAATTAATGAGGCAGCATACATACTAACCAAGAAAAATTGATACCATTGTATAAAATTGATACAGCCATGCCAGTACATACCAGCTATATCCCAGCCTGGCCTAGGACCAAATACATTAGCAACAACATACGCCCCACTTGATATATATAACAATAGCAGAAAAGCCTGACTGGAGCCACCAAGATACAGTGTCACCAAATTGCCACAAACAGATATGAATGAAAGACCCCTAAAGATGCAGAACTCTGTAATTATATCATAAATGTTTCCAAAATCTTTTTTGAGGCTCCCATTTGCTAAGATAACAATGCACTGCAGAAAGGAAAAACTATTAGGCCTTTTGGAGGTCATCTGGGAACAGCTCTGAACAAATATAAATTTCTCGGGTCTCTGAAACCACTGTGGTCTATAGAACAAAGTATATGCTATAGGAATAAACCCATCCCCCACTTATTTTTCCAGTAAAGAGTTATAATTTATTTCTTCATCCTCTGTGGCAATATACCCACATTGGATCCCTGATCCATAAAAAGAGGGTTATTCTCTCAGGAAGTATGAAGAGATTTGCAGAGATGAGTCCCACCATCAAAAGCTTTGAAAGCAGCAGGAGTGTGATTCTTATCACATCTTGCTTTAGCATGATCTTTGGCATATGTAGGAGGAGACAGATGGGTCTCTAAGAATGACTTCACAGGCTGGGCTCAGTGGCTCACACCCGTAATCCCAGCACTTTGGGAGGCTGAGATGGGCAGATCACTTGAGGCCAGGATTCGAGACCAGCCTGGCCAACATGGCGAAAAACCATCTCTACTAAAAATACAAAAATTAGCCAGGCGTGGTGGCATACACCTGTAATCCCATCTACTTGGGAGGCTGAGGCATGAGAATCACTTGAATCCGGGAGGCAGAGTTTGCTTTGAGCTGAAATTGGGCCACTGCACTCCACCCTGAGTGACAGAGCGAGAGAGCAAGACTCCGTCTCAAAAAAATAGAATGGCTGCACATATTCCGAAACTTAAGCAGATGGTGATTCCAACTGCAGCTGCTGTCATATAAGTTCTTTTTTCTTGGAGCAAATCAGAAAGTAGCTGGCTACTGATTTGGTCAATGCTTTTTTGTTTTTCCTTTATTCCAGTAAGTAAAGACCACTTGAAGCATTTTCTTTATCTCAGTAAGCAGCAATGTAGATTGTCTTTTTCCAACATTACATTAACTTTCTATGTCAGAATATCAGTCTCGATATCAGACCTTTGATCAGCTTACCACTATACAGGGCAGCATGCTGTATGCCTCCAGGTGATATTCTGATTGGACTTGGAGAATGGAGTCATGTTTCCTGGATGCCTAGTAAGATGTGTCATCCCAGAGGGTGAACGATAAATCCCATGAAAGCACAGAGCCTGCAGCCAAGTTTTGTAGAAGTCCAGTGTCTGGTACATGCTGGGATTTCCCCTTCATTGTGAGGAACAAATTGTGTACTTTGTTCCTTCTATAACTAAGGAGAACTCCCAGGGTTTGGTGGGTGATATGGTTTGGCTGTGCCCCTATCCAGATCTCACCTTGAATAGTAATAATCCCCATGTGTCAAGGACAGGACCAGGTGGAGATAATTGAATCATGGGGGTGGTTTACCCCATACTTCTCGTGGTAGTGAATAAGTGTCACGAGATCTGGTGGCTTCATAAAGGGGAGTTCCCCTACACAAGATCTCTTGCCTGCCCCTATGTAACATATCCCTATGCTCTTCCTTCGTCTTCTGCTGTGATTGTGAGGCCTCCCTAGCCATGTGGAACTGTGAGTCCATTAAACCTCTTTCCTTTATAAACTACCCAGTCTCGGGTATGTCTTTATTAGCAGCATAAGAATGAGCTAATACAGTGGGCTTACTTAAATTCTGTGTACCCTGCTCAAATTCATTCGGGGGTTGACCCAAATGCATCTAGTTTTGACTGGGATCAGAAAGAGAGGTCTCTCTAGCTGGTCCAGGCTATGGTGAAATTAGTTCCACCATGTGGACCTTATGAGGGAAAGCCAATGGGCTCAGAGTTTCTGTGGCAAATCAGGATTATGTATAAAACCAGGAAGTGTGAGCAACACTGTGCCCTCTTCAGACAATAACTATTCTTTTGACTTACTACTGGGCTACTTGAGATAAAAGCAAGTGAAAAAAACCTGTTCAAAAGGGTTCCATGAAGGCTGCAGACAGACACCATCAGAACCTTCTCAGGTTCTGAGAGGGGATGGATGGCATGTAAGGAGTTATATGTGAACGCTCAAGTTCACAGGCAATGTATGTTTGATTTAATAAGGAATGTTTTAGAGGTCCCTGTGTTGTGGTCTGCCAACTCATCTGGCCTACTCAATTCACTATGCAGGTGTCCTCAGCTCTTAGCCTAACACATAATAGACCAGTAAGGAATGAAAAGCAAAGAACATACTTGACGATATGCTTCATTTACTTCAGCAAACTTTAAAAAGACACTGTAACTTTTATAAATGAGCACATTTTCCAAATAACCATTTAAGAATATAATAAACAGAATATCCAGATTCTTAAGTTACAAGCAATAGAGACTGATTCTGATTTCCGACAACAAAAGGGAAGATGCTGGGTCATTCAAAGGAAATGCCAAACAGCTGAGCATTCAGTAGGTCAGAAATGAGGGTGGCACTAGAGGTTTAAGCAGCAAGAGCTCACAGCCATCTCTCCAGGAGGCTGCCAGAGGACAACTTGATTCCTATCACTTTCTCTTCCCAAATCACACAGGGAAGGGGCAGTTTCCCAAAATAAGCTGTGTGTGTAGGGGGAGGGGGTTGGGGAATGACGGACTTTTATTATGTGCTCATATCAGGCTGTGCAAACAACCAGCAGACTCCTATACATACAAAGTTGAGTTTTGAATTATACATGTACTTTTTTTTTCTATAAAACCTACACGTCCCCATAATACTATCTGCATTAGTTTTCCTGATAGGAAAAAAAGTATTGCAGAATGCTCAAATTAGACTTATTTATAAAAAAGTAGGTTCTGAAAAATCTCAGAAATAGCTCCAGAAGCAGTAGAGTTCATAACCTAGAATTTATTGCCTTTTCTTTACACCCATCTTTCTGTAGCTACTTTTGCTCATGTAATCAGGAAAAACACCTCTATAAGGTAGGTTGATGGCACATATTGATTCATTTGGATGGAGTTACATCTGTTGAAGGCCTAAAACTTGTAAATGCGAATTATACTTATTGATAGCTTTGTGGAGACTGTGGGGGAAAAAGATTCCTATACTTTGTTGTTTTTAGTGCTGGCAAACATTAAGAAGTGATTCCTTGGCAATGTAAGTCCTATTTCTTCCCTTTGCATATAGGCAAAGTGTCAGGCTCCAGCCTGAGTTCCAGCACAACCAAGGCTAGGATGGAAACATGAATGGCAAGCTGGAGGACCTGGCGGGGCAGGCCTACAGCGAGCCATGGGTTGAAGATCTGAGTTGTGCCCTGAGAGGACACTCATTGTGACCTAAGAAGAAAGAGGCAGTACAAAGTGGACCCAGTTCTAACACCTCCTTGGGATAGGGCCTCCTGCTCCATCATGTCCTCTCTGTAGCCCAAGGACACGTCTGCATCCACGGCACAGAGGGTAAAACCAGATGGTAGTTTCATCAGAAGTTCTGTAGGCTCCCCAGCACAAGCAGCACTGTCTGACATCTAACAGGATGTGTTCCTAAATCCCAGCACCAAGCTTTGGCATCTTGAGAGGACCCAGTAGGAGAATGGAATGCCTCCCGGGAAAGGGCAGCAGTAGCTGACCACAGAAACACGGAAAGCTGCAGAGGCTGCTCAAGACATCTCTTAGCACATGAGACTCGCAGAAATACTTGGGGAGGGATGGAGACCTGGTAATGAAAAGGCTTGGCAAGAGCTACTTAAATAGCGGTTTTTAATCATTAAAATAAACTCTCATTTTGAAAAGCCTGGTGAAGCCTGTGGAGCTTGGAATTTTCAGAGGAGATGGCAGTAACATCATCGGACTGTAGAATTAGATTTTTTTTTTCCCAATAAGGTAATGATGCAGATATCCACACTGGTCCCCTCAACAGTCTCTTGCCCTTTATAGTAATGCATACTGGCACACAGGCAAAGGTTGGATTGAAACAGGCGAATACTTTGTAGACAAGGAACCATGTGTTTATCTTTTCTGGATAAGAATTAAACTAATACTGGTATCAGGATTGCTAGTATCATGAACTGATATAAACAGCCAGAACACATAGCATTGTGTGTCATCTTTTAACTCGTGGGACTTCATGTCTATGAGTCCTTTGCCACTGCTATTAGGATCTAGTTTTACTAAAACACTCGAAATAGGAGTTTAAAGTAAGAAATGAAGTAAACGGGCTGGGCGCGGTGGCTCACACCTGTAATCCCAGCACTTTGGAAGGCCGAGGCAGGCAGATCACGAGGTTAAGAGATTGAGACCATCCTAGCCAACATGATGAAACCCTGTCTCTACTAAAAATATAACAATTAGCTGGGCGTGGTGGCGCACGCCTGTAGTCCCAGCTACTTGGGAGGCTGAGGCAGGAGAATCGCTTGAACCTGGGAAGCTGAGGATGCAGTGAGCCGAGATCGCACCGTCTCAAAAAAGGAAGTAAACATGTCCTTCCTGTTCTCATTTTAAACTTGATTTAGATTTCCAATAATGAAAGACAAGTGGGTGTGTCACATGTGTGCTAGCAATGTGAAACAAATGCTATTCATATTTCTCAATTCATAATTGCAGTTTGATTTTTGATGTTAGTTATGGGCTTTGGATTCCTCTTCAATCAAATCAGCTTCACAAGTTAAATGGATTGTTTTTATTAATTTACAATGAAATAGTTTTTGAATGACTTCACACAAAAACCTAGAGATAACATCACAATTGCAATGTTATAAAGTTTAAAGGCCTATTCATTTCACTGTCAGTTGAAATTCGTTACCAGGTGAAAATTCTGGAGCTGGGTTTTGCACTGAGGATGCTACACAGCCACTAGCCTTTTTAATTTGGTCTTATTAACAGAAATACTGACTTAGTGAAATTACAGGCATAGGCCTCTTAATCGCTTTTTATGAGTCTGAACTTTTGCTTTCAATACCAAATAGTATCTGAAAAACATGCTCACTTTTGTGCTTCTTGAGAAATTCTAAGAATTGGCCCAGATTCATGTGATAGTCATTCCTTAATCCATAGTCACCATGAGCCTCAAGGAGTAACTCTTCAAAAGAATGGAAAAGGCGCAGGTCCTCACCATTTCCTTCTGTCTCCACGCTTTCAGCATGCTTACAGGAAATGTGCTTCCAATTGGGGTACCTAATTGTGTGCCAGAACTCCTCACAGTGCTCTTTGAAACCCTCCACACAGATTATACCAGGCTTTCCTGTCATGCAAAATCCAGTCACATCTAACCTTTTCCCAACATCCAAAATCTTTTTCCTTAGGTCCTGCTGATATATATGGTGACTGTAGATCCACATTCGGAGGAATGTGTTCTTGACTGGCTTTGCTTGTGTAGATGGTTCATATACAAGCTTTCTGTTCAGGAAATAAGATGCACTGTTGTCCTGTAGCCACTGGATTGCTGCACATACACAGAGCTCACCTGGATCAAAAGTCCCTATGTAAGAAGTGAGACCTTTGTTGAGAAGTAGCTGCTGATGTCTGTCAAGTTCAGATGACCGTCCAAACAGCTGCAATGCTACATAGGGGTAGCTGTGAGGCATGGTCACTTGCAAATCAATTTTCACCTTAAAATGAAAATCAAATAGATTTAAATACCATAACATCACATAAGCTAGTTTATCAATAGCAACTGCATGATTTTGAGAAATGTTATTGCTACTATTAAATGTACCAGGTACTTTACATACATGATTGCTTCCTTTTATGCATTATTTCAATATTTATTGAACAACTACGTGTGCCAGGTGCCCTTGTGCTGGGATAAAAAAGTGAATAAACCAGACACTATTTTTGCCCTTCATGAAGTCCAGGGCCTAGTGAAGGAGACACACATTAAACAAATAATTACATATAGCAAGTATTTAATTTCAATTGTGAAAAGCATTACCATGGAAAAGTGGAGGGTTCCATTGAAGTGTGTAACCAGCGGGACAGAATCCAGTCTGGAGAACCAGAAAGTCTCCTCTGAGGGAATAACAACTGAAGGATGAGTAGGAAATAGCTACAACAGTGGTTCTCAAATGCCCAGTCCACGTATTACCTATGCTATGCTAATGTTGCTGGAGATAAATGGATCAGAAGATGGAGGTAAATTCATTTTTAGTCTTTAGATTTTTCCATCCATATTTGCTTTCTGTGTTATGGTGCCATCAAAAAATCCACTCATTCACTCCTTAAAAGACAGTTATGTTACAGGAGATATTTAGATTTATGAAAATCATGATACATGTGAAAGGTAGTCCAACTGGATGGGTGAACAAAATAATAATGGCATAAGACTGCAAGATAGCGTCAATAAAAACTCCAGGTATATTTGTTAAAAAGGTGTATATGTTTACATAAAATTAAAGATATTTACTGAAGACAATTTATAGAGCATTCCGTATCTTTCAAACAAGGAAATATGCACCTGGAATATTTCTATCTTTCCTTGACAGAAAGCTCATGTTCTAGATGTTTCAATTAAAAACTGGGCACCTGGCAAACACTTAAATCAGGGTACCTACCTTGGGCTCTTCAATCTGGAGTGTAATTACAAATTCGATTTTTGGTGGCAGCGCCTCCCTTGTGCCTTCCAAATACCTCTTTATATTCGTCAGGGCATTTACATCTTCAAGTTTTACTTCTCCTTGGTTAGGAAACATAGAAAACAGCATTTCCATCTCCAGTAGCTGAAGCTGAAGGCTTTCTTTCACCGAAGCAGACATGTTGCCTCGCAATCAGCCTGCCTGGAAACCTCACAAGGCTCAGGGACGCTGGGTTTGTCAATGCCAGCCGGTATCCAGCGAAATTTCCCGAAGGTCCCTTTACGTGGAAGCAATTCTGCAGGAACGCTTTGCACCGAGAGCTAGGGGCACAAACCAGACACTTGCACTCTTCTTTATTTCCTGACTCCAAAATCTAGTATGCACAACATCCTCTAAAACACTCCGTAAAAACCCATATTCTGCGTACCCGGGCTCCGGGTTCCCGCCTCCCGCACCCCGCACTAGATAGGGGAATCTGCACTTTCAACAGGTGTTTGGAACTGTCCCGCTGCAGGTGGCAGGCAGACACCTGCAGACGCTCTGCAAGCCTGAATTCTGGGAAAGGCTGGGGCCCGGCTTCCAATCCCACCCGGGGCTCGGGCTTGGGCGGAGCCAGACGCTGCGGCGAGAGAGGCCGCAGTGCCAGCAGGATGGGCTCCGAGTTCCCCAGCGCCAGTCGCCACCCCTCGGTCCTGGACTCGCGGACCGCCCCCCCCCAACACCGCGGTGGCCTTTTCGCTTGGGCCGCATTCCAGGGCTCCGGACGTTTACGATTCACTGGCCTCTGCCCCGAGGGACCCAGGATAAGGGTAGGGGGTGTCTCAGAGGTCATTAAATAAAAGATGTTTACAGTGAGCTGGGGGAAGGGGGTACCCGGGGAGACGGCAGCCGGAGAAGGCTTCCCAGATTCAAAGGTTTGGGAGATGACCTCGACGTCGGAGAGGGGGATGCGGGCCGCCGGCGGCGCTCACTGTGGGCGAGGTCGCCCTGTCCGAGGCCCAGCGACGGGGCTGATTCCCCACCCCCGCCCCTAGCCAAGACCACTAGGAACCCCGGCTTCCCAGGAACGCAGGGCCTGCCGCCCCCAGAGGCCCGGATTTGGAGGCGGAGGCTGTGCCTCCGCGGCCGCAGTGCTCTGAGGGCCCGCGACCCTCGGCCCCAACCCCCGGGCCACCGCGGGGGCCTCACCCTTTCTGGTCACTCAATGGTAACAGCCCCAGACCCCGCTCGGAACCGCAGCCGCAGTTCCTCAGGCGCCAGCTGCGCGCGACCTGCGGCGAGGCGGGGGCGGGGCTGGCGGATAGTCCTCTGCCGTGATTGGCCAGGGGGCGTGGCGACGAGCCGGAAGCCACGCAGGGCCACGTCTGCGGTTCTGAGGACTGGGTTTGGGTGCAGACGTTGTTGCTTGGGCGCTTCTCCGCTGCGTGTAGGTGAAGGGGGCTTCCTGACCGAGGTAAGCCGGGCCCCGAGGCTCGGAGTTGAGAAGGGAGACTACCGGTCGGCAAGGGCTCGGTGGGAGCGGGACAGGTCAGATTCTCGGCCCGACGGAGGGGCTAGTGGTCTGGCGGGCGACTGACCGAGCGGCGGAGCGCGCGGGACACACCTACAGGCCCCTGCGCCCCGCGGGCGGGCTGGTCGGGACGGGCCGCGGGTCTCCTGCCGGGGCTCTGGTACGTGGACCTAGGCGGGGACCTCAGGGTGGAGTGCCGGGAATCACCCTTGTGCGGTGATTCGAGGGTAGGCGGGAGAGAGGCACCAAGGAGATTTGAAGATTGAATGGAGAGTAGGGGGATACTCTTAACTTTTTGCGTGGACGCTGGATTTGGCAAATATGCTTTCAATAAAGGCATTCGCAGAGGCATTGAAAGTAGTTGTAGGGCCTAAAACGCATGAAAGGATGAACTCATATTATCTGGACCTTTTTTTTTTTAATGGCTTTTTGGAGTTAACAGGACTGGTTTACACTCTTATGAATAATCATGACACATAACTGACTGCTCAGTTTTTACAAATATGTATTCATCCTTAGGAAAGAGATCTGATCACTGTCTTGAACTAAATTAGTTTACTGAATGCCAGCTTTTTCCAACTGGACAAAAGCAAGTATTTTTCACCATTTCTTGCAAGTTCTGTTCATTGAAGCAATGAAGGACAATAAAGAAAACAAAATTATGAGGCTAGCAGCTGGCGGACTGCTCCTCATCTCTGGGCTAATTGGGAATTAATTGACCCAGGAAATGTAGTATATGGACTACTGAAGGAAAACTACTGACTGAGGTTGGAAACCCCAAGTTCCACTTAATGGGAGTATCCCAGAGAAAACAGTATTAGTGGGCTAAGGGCCGATTTTTTGTTGTTGTTTGTTTTGAGACGGAGTCTCACCCTGTCGCCCAGCCTGGAGTGCAGTGGCGCGATCTCGGCTCACTGCGACCTCCACCCGCGGGTTCAAGCGATTCTCCTGCGTCAGCCTCCTGAGTAGCTGGGACTACAGGCGCGCACCACCACGCCAGGCTACTTTTTGTATTTTTAGTAGAGACAAGGGTCTCACCATGTTGGTCAGGCTGGTCTTGAATTCCTGACCTCGTGATCCGCCCGCCTTGGCCTCCCAAAATGCCGGGATTACAGGCCTGAGCCACCTCACCTGGCCTGTTTTTTTTTTTTTTTTTTTTTTTTGAGACCGAGTCTCCCTTTGTCACCCAGGCTGGAGTGCAGTGGCGCGATCTCGGCTCACTGCAACCTCTGCCTCCCGAGTAGCTGGGATTACAGGCGCCAGCTAACACGCCCGACTAATTTTTTTGTATTTTTAATAGAGAGGCGGTTTCGCCATGTTGGCCAGGCTGGTTTCAAACTCCTGACCTCAGGTGATCCGCCTGCCTTGGCCTCTCAAAGTGCTAAGATTACTGGCGTGAGCCACCGCTCCCGGCCGATGTTTTATTTTTAAAAGTAAAGGAAAAAGGTGGCATTCTTTCAGAAGAAGATATTGCTAGTTTTAGAGCAACATCTTAGAAGGGTGTCCTGATTGTTTTTAGCAAATGGAAAAAGATCTGGGTAGTCTTGGAGAAGAAACTGTTGCCTTTTGCTTTTCCTTTAAGAATATGTCTCTGTAGTTTGGGAGAAATAGCAAAAGAACCACAAAGATTTCTCAGATATTTGGGGATATGTAGTTTCAGTCCACTCAAGAATCTGACTTTAGGCCTCAATCCGTCACCAGCTATCTATGTTAATTTAGGTTAGTTTCCCTTTTTGTAAAATGAAATGATCTTTGAGCTCATTGGAGTCTCTGAATAGGTGTAAAATCTTCATTTTAGTTGAGAGTGGACCAATTTAAGTGTGCCCGGCGTCCAGGATAGTCCTGGAGCTAAAATGGGAGGAGAGTGGGGACAATCTGCTATCTGCCCTGAGTCTGCCCAGGAGTGGACATACCAAGTTGGACAACATCTTGTAGGTAATTCTAACCCACAGGACTTACTCTCCTGCCCATTGCTCTGTCAAACATAGGGTTCTTTGAGGAGGTTCAGGATGAGACAGACCTATTCGTTTGGGGTGGCAGTTTTTGAAGCAAATGGTTCTTAAGAAATTACTTGTTATGCCCGAAACAATATTTCTTAATTTTGTAGACATGGATTTAGGTGCTATTACAAAATACTCAGCATTACACGCCAAGCCCAATGGACTGATCCTTCAATACGGGACTGCTGGATTTCGAACGAAGGCAGAACATCTTGATCATGTCATGTTTCGCATGGGATTATTAGCTGTCCTGAGGTCAAAACAGACAAAATCCACTATAGGAGTCATGGTAACAGCGTCCCACAATCCTGAGGTAATGGGTTTAGTGCCCTGATAAAGCAGACCATTATTTACAAGACCAAGCCTTAGTGTCTGAGCAAATTGACCTAAAGTACAAATTCTAATTCTAGGA
Organism: Homo sapiens; assembly: GCF_000001405.40. NCBI lineage: Eukaryota > Metazoa > Chordata > Mammalia > Primates > Hominidae > Homo > Homo sapiens. The sequence goes on along the minus strand of NC_000006.12, from coordinate 83,190,709 downwards.
ATGTGCCTTCTCATTTATATGTGCTTTGGATGTGAAACAACTTTTTTTTTTTAAGAGCATGATCATTAAGCTCATGATTCCTAAGGGTGTGGAAAGAATGAAAAGATACTGTCATTTTTTGGAGTGTCCATATTAGAGAAATAACAATGTCCTTCCAAATTTATTGATTTAAGACATTTTCAGTAATTGAAAATTGTTTCCTTTGTTAACTTAGCAGTGATTAAAGATATTGGGGTTGGGTGGGGAAGGGTAAAGATTTGAAAAGAAACATTTTGAACATTTTCAGACAGGTTTTTATAGCTCGGCAATAATTTCTTGTTCTGAATGAACAAACAGGTGAGCTTTGGCAGAATATTGATGACGCCTGATAGTTCTAGTCTTTGTGACAGTTAGATTTTAATCAAAGTATTCTTTTTGACACAATTATTTTTTCAGCTTTATTGAGGTATAAGTGATAAATAAAAATTGTATAATTCAAGTCATACAACACCATGTTTTGATATATGTATACATTGTGAAATGATTACCACTATCAGGCTAATTAACATATCCATTAGCTCACATAGTTACCTTGTTTTGTGGTGGGAATACTTAAGACGTACGCTCAACACATTTTCAATATATATTATTATGAACTATAGTCACCACGCTGTACGTTAGTCTTCCAGAACTTATTCATCTTATAACTGCAAGTTTATGCCCATTGGCCAGCATCTCCCCATTTCCCTTACCCTCTAGCCGCCACCATACTACTCTGTGTTTCTGTGAGTTTCACTTTTTTACATAACACATGTATGTTATGAGCCTGCAGTATTTGTCTTCATGTGTCTGGCTTATTTAACTTCGCATAATGTCTTCCAGATTCAACCATGATGCAAATGGCAGTATTTCTTTTTTAAGGCTGAATAATATTCTATTGTGTATATATACCACATTTTCTTCATCCATTTATCTGTTTATGAGCACTTTTGTTGTTTCTATATCTTAGCCAACCTCTTGACACAATGTAGTTATTCTTTATTAGCTATAGGCCATTAATACAGGGTTTGAATAATATGCTTCTATTTGATTGCTGGGGCTGTGGGATTTTTGCCTTTGTAGCTAAATCAGCAGCAAGTTAAAGTGGTGTAGGTCTGTGAAGGATTGTAACCTCCTCTTCCCCCAAACAAGGGCATTGCTTGTCCAAATATGTGATCATTATAAATGTGTATATGTCTAAATATGTAAGTCACCATAATTGATTGACTGATTGACTTCTAGGAAGACCCTCACATTTATTGCTAGTTCCAGAGGCACTTCTCAAAATGATTCTCTTTTCTTTCAGGTGACATTCACTGTGAACTACACTTTCTTTCCACGAATTTGAGCAGAACAGTGTTGGGAGGCAGTTTTCAGTGTCTGTCCTACCCGCTGGTTGACAAGCTGGCTAGTGTGTTCTTGGAGTTCCGAGTCATAGTGAGAAGGATCTCTGTGTGCCCTTATTCTGCTCCACTTGTGCCCTAGTCAGTTTATGGATAGTGGATGCACAGATCACAGCCTTTTACAAAGGCTAGTGTGGCATAGTGTTTTTAGGCGAGTAAGATAGACTTGCTGTTTTAATATCAGTACTGACATTTGTTAGCTGTATGATCATAAGCAAATTACCTAACCTCTCTGAAGCTCAGTTTTCTCGAAGATTGAAATTAAAATAGGATTATTAGTTTAATTGATTATGTGTGTCATGAGGATTTAATGAGGTAATATATATACATAAAATACCTAATCCAGGGTCCAGTATTAATATTTGGTGTTTATTGTTGAAGCTGCTCAGCCATCACTGTCTTTGGTTGAAGGGAAACAGCTTTTGAGTTCTGTTCTCAACTCAGCCTCATGAGTATGCACAGATTGCTTATTGTTTGTTTTTCTTTTAAGGAAGACAATGGTGTAAAATTGGTTGATCCTTTGGGTGAAATGTTGGCACCATCCTGGGAGGAACATGCCACCTGTTTAGCAAATGCTGAGGAACAAGATATGCAGAGAGTGCTTATTGACATCAGCGAGAAAGAAGCTGTGAATCTGCAACAAGATGCCTTTGTAGTTATTGGTAGAGATACCAGGTGATGATAAGAGTTACTGGTAAAAAAAAAAACCTTTGGGAACGTGATATAAACGATTGTATCAGTTTTAATCCAAGACAAATGGAAAGAAGTAAAGTGGAACTACCCTGAGTTGCATGTCTACCTGCCTGGCCTTTCTAGTAGGATGTAGTAGCTAAGTCACTACTGCAGCTTGGGGTTTGGAGTCTGACTCTGGTTTAAAACCCTACTCCAAAACCCAAGCTGCAGAATAATGTATGTAAAATACTTCCTGACACAAGAGAAGCACTCAATAAATGTCTCCCACCCCCTCTGTAGGTTTATTTTTTTTTCCCTACAGAGTCAACACATGATTTGAACTCATTATTTTTAAAGATTTACTTTGTAATCTGTGTTATTATTGTTTCAAATATTTATATCATTTTCCCATGCTGGAGCTCACTGTAAACTACAATATTATTTTCCACATAGTTCTGTTTTGCAGCTTTTGCCTTTCTTAACAAAAATGTCTTTTTGTAAAATATTAGATGAAAAGTATACTTTGCAACAGTAGCATTTCCTTTTGCATAAGATCTGGTTTTAACCTGAGATTATTTCAAAAGGAAATTTCTACTCAATCTCCAATACCTGGACTGGTTTTTTTACCCTCTGTTGTATTACCAGAGGGTTTTCCAGATACCGACGATGGTAGCAGAGTAACTTATGTTCTGAAGTAAATTATCCCACCACAGTAAAGTCATCCCACATGTATTTGGTTCTTAACTATTAACTAATGTAAGTGATGAAACGTTTTTTCCTACAAGGCAGTTTTTTTATTATTTTTTATTTTTTTGATACGGAGTCTCGCTCTGTCACCAGGCTGGAGTGCAGTGGCACAGTCTTGGCTCATTGCACCCTCTGACTCCCAGGGTCAAGTGATTCTCCTGCCTCAGCCTCCCGAGTAGCTGGGACTACAGCTGTGTGCCACCACGCCCAGCTAATTTTTGTATTTTTAGTAGAGACGTGGTTTCACCGTGTTGGCCAGGATGGTCTCAATCTTGTGATCCACCCACCTCGGCCTCCCAAAGTGCTGGGATTACAGGTGTGAGCCACTGTGCCTGGCCAAGGCAGTTTTGTAATCTGTTTTATTTTCAGATAGATAATTTGTTCTGACTTTACAAAATGGAAAACAGGTTCTATATCCTTGGCAGCTTAATACAAGTACTGTCTTATACACACTGTGTATATTCAGTGTTTATTGTTACTGTTCTTAGAGTTCAGACATGTTGCTGTAGTCGAACTTGAAAAGGTATTTGGGTATGCTGTGGTTAGAGTGTCCTTTATATCTATTTTATAAATTCATTTAAAAGCCAGAATTTTTCCTAGAACTAGATTGTGAAAGGCTACTGGAAAATGCTTATAATTTACCAGTTATCTTGAGAGTTCATAGCTTTCAGTTCAGATACCAGGAACTTACTATTTTGAAATTTGTAGCATGTAATTTTTGCATTTGCTTGCAGAACCAGCAACCCTGCCAGTTTCAGGATGGGATATATTATTTTCTTCCTTTTCTTTCCTAGGCCCAGCAGTGAGAAACTTTCACAATCTGTAATAGATGGTGTGACTGTTCTAGGAGGTCAATTCCATGGTATGTAGTTATCCTGAGTTGGAAATTAAACTAATATTTAAAAAACTTTAATTTACAAAAGTAATGTATATTTATTTAGAAAAGTTTGAAAATACAGATGAACAAAAAATGTTTAAAAAATGAACTCCTAGATACAAAATACTAACTTTAAAAATCATCTTCCAGGTCGTTTCTGGGCAGGCATGTTTTGTCTTACCTATGGTAGTACTATAGGAGATTATAGCTGGGAAATTCTGAACTAATACAACTTCCTTTACTTTGGTAAGGCTGAATTTCCTCAAATAAAAACCTTTTTAAGTACTTGAAGATGATCATTCTGGGGAGCTTTTATCAATATTATTAGGTCTTCCCTAATAGCTGGTTCCCTGTGAAATCAGCTGTTACCTGTCAAGTAGTGATGGGAAATATTTTTGACAGGTAGTTCTTTATGTTATATCAAATGACAGAGAATTAAGTGAAACAAAACAGACTAGGATCCCCTTCTCACACTGTGTCTGTTGTGAAGGCACTGCCTCCACCATGTTTTGAGGTGAATATTTTCCTGGTGTGAGATCTTTCTCATTAAAACAAACGTCCACTCTTGACCTTTGAAACCTCCTCTCGAGTTCCGACTGTGTTCCCTTCCTGCACGGTCAGTCTGGCCTCTGCTGAGGGCTAGCTCTGCTTACCTTCTCTGTTTCCTCCTCTTCTGTCATTCTTCAGCTTTCTGCAGGTGAGTCTGTATCCTTACCTCTCCTTGAAATAAATGTCTCCCCAGCCCACCCCTGACATCCATCTGCATTGTTATTGCCAAATCTGGTGGGTATTGTAAAGTAGGGATTATTAACCAGGGACCTCTGTGGCATGTCTGGGAAAGCTGCAGAGGACCTGTGGACCTCATGATACGATGTACAGAGTGTTGCCGGCACAAGCACTTTCCCAGGGAGTGCATGCGTACCTCTCCTCAGATACTCAGAGGGGGCTGTGATCTAAAAATAATTTTAATAATTTATGCTTTAAAGATCTTACAGTTGAAGTCTTTGTAGCTTTCCATAATGTTAAAGCTCTTTCTTTGAGCTTCTACTTGCTTGGCCACTATTCCATATTGGTCTTCTCTGTTGGCTCCTCTTCTGTCTCTTTCAGGGAGGGCATTCCTCGGGACCCTCTTTCATTCTGCATGATTTCTGAATGATTATCTCTACTGCCATAGCTTGAGCTACCTTTTTTCATTTATTTATTTATTTATTTACTTATTTATTTATTTATTGTTTGAGATGGAGTCTCACTTTGTCGCCAGGCTGGAGTGCAGAGGCTCGATCTTGGCTCACTGCAACTTCTGACTCCCTGGTTCAAGCGATTCTCCTGCCTCAGCCTCCCGAGTAGCTGGGATTACAGGCACATGCCACCACACCTGGATAATTTTTGTATTAGTAGAGATGGCGTTTCATCATGTTGGCCAGACTGGTCTCAATCTCCTGACCTCGTGATCCGCCTGCCTCGGCCTCCCAAAGTGCTGGGATTACAGGCATGAGCCACTGCGCCCGGCCTCATTCATTTGTTAATTCATCAAACATGTTTTACTACCTGCTGTGTACATCCCTCTAGTAGTCTATTTCTGTTTCACTGTGTATCACAACCCATAGTAAGAAACCCATTATGTGTCATGACATGTCAATGTGTGCTTGTGTGTATAACTGAAATAATAGTTTCAATAAACAATGCTCATCCAGCCTACATGACATGCAGTCATCTGTTTAAAATGCACAAATGCTGGTTGTGTCTCACTAAGTAAATTCCATGGCCCATTGGCAGGCTGTGGCCTGCAGTTTGTAAAGCATTGGTCTGAGTGGTGTCTTCCCTTAGGTGGCCTGCTTCTGTCTCATGTTCACCCTGCCCCAAACTGTATTCTTTCTGTCATCCCCAGAATGGTTGTCTTTTTCAGCATTTTCATTCTGTCGCTAGAACCATCACTCTTCTAGTGTTTTAGTCTAGAAAAAGTTGAGAGTAATTTTTTTAACCTTTCCTTCATTTCTCTCTTCAGCTTAGTGTATTTCAGTAAATGAAAAAAGGTTAATGTAGCTGCAACATAGGGAGAAGAGGGGCTAGGAGAAGAGAGTAGGGAGGTAAGGTGGGACTAATTCATACAAATCTTGGAGGTCATGGCAAGAACTTGGGCTCTATTCCAGATGCAATGGGACTCCATTGAAGGATTTTATGCAAGAGAGTGATATGATCACATTTTCATTTAAGCCAGTCCCTCTGTTTGTCACAGAGAGAAGGGAAAGGAAAGTTGTTAAGAAAGGGAAACAGACCAGCTAGGCCGCTCTTGAAAAATTGGTATTGCATTCAAAGGATTTTGTGATATATGGGGAGAACAGAACTGTGAAGAACACATTCCAGGTTTCTGAGTTGATGAGTTGGATAGATAATGCTTTTCACTGGGTATATATACTAGTCATTTAGTAAATGTTTATTTGGTAATTTTGATATTGGTCACAAAATTATTTTGTTTCTTACTTTAGCATGTCTTTTAGAATAATGGGTTCCTCTAGTAAACACTTCCATTAAACTAATCTAAGCTCTTATTTGTATTTTTTGAGCTTCTCCATCTCCTCCCATCTCATCATTATACCAGAGCTAAGGTTGCCTTCATAAGGTACCATTTCTGTTAAATAACTTCAGGGCTCAAGAATTTAAAGTGACTCCTTTTTGCCTGCAGTCAAATTCTTGTGTTTGAGGTTCAGGTCCAACTGACAGGTGTAGTCACTGAGTATTTACTTATTGGTTACTGGTCCATCTTTGCGATCCATTTTTCTTTGTTTTTTGCTCATGGTGCTTTTCTTATATGTTAGCTATGTTTAACTGTAAGCTGGTTTTCTTTCTTTTTGTTTTTGAAAATTATGGGACGTTTTTGAGGTTTACAATGAAAGTATAGTCCTTTGGTAAAGTTTAGTCTGGCTTCTGCTGGGTACCTGGGGCACTGGCTGGGTTCACTTTAAATTGATTCATGACAGGCCGGGTGTGGTGGCTCATGCCTGTAATCCCAGCATTTTGGGAGTATGAGGTGGGTGGATCATTTGAGGTCAGGAGTTTGAGACCAGTCTGGCCAACATGATGAAACCCTGTCTCTACTAAAAATACAAAAATTAGCCGGGCGTGGTGGTGGGTGCCTGTAATCTCAGCTACTTGGCAGGAGAATCACTTGAGGCTGGGAGGTGGAGGTTGTAGTGAGCTGAGATTGCGCCATTGCACTCCAGCCTGAGCGATACGGTGAAACTCCGTCTCAAAAAAAAAAAATTCATGACAAAGTTCCTTTGGACTCCTGTGGTTATGTATGTTGGGCAGGAAGTCCATGCAAGGGCCTGTGCTTGGTAACAGCTCTTCAAGAATGGGTTTTCCCGTCTTCCCTGCTCAGTGTTAAGATAACTGTCCTGGGAATGGTGACATGGGGTGATTAATTTCTGACTCATCCTCGGACTGAAGATATAGTTCTTTGGGATTTCAACTTCATGAGAGTCTGGTCTTCTACTGGGTTCTGCATCTTAGATCAGCATGGGCTTTTTTTGCTCTGAAAACCGTAGCTCAATTTCTAGTTTAGAGGAATAACTTCAGAACAAAACTGGCTTCCGAACTAGCTTAGATCTTGGAGTTCTTGCCTTCGGGTATGTTTTGGCCTGATAATTCTGTCACTTTTCAGCACTGTAGTTCTTTTTAAAAGGAGGTTTTTGTCTTTTATCTAGCATGTTGGTTGTTTCCAGGAGGATGATTCATCTGAATTATGTAGTTTGCAATGTTACTGGAAACAGAACTCAATTATTACTTGTCTGTATTGCTTTATATTTACATTGTTACCTGTTTATATGTAATGATTGGTTTTTTGGCTTCTTATAGTCATTTATATTTCTTTTTAAGATCATTTTTATGTTTTCTAAGATGTCTGAGATGACACAAAAGGATTTGTCACCCTGAAATTCCTACACATGAATGCATTTAAACTTTTTTCTCTTTGTTAAGAAATGCGGTGAATTGCTTTTTGTATTTCTATGACAGATTATGGCTTGTTAACAACACCCCAGCTGCACTACATGGTGTATTGTCGAAACACGGGTGGCCGATATGGAAAGGCAACTATAGAAGGTTACTACCAGAAACTCTCTAAGGCTTTTGTGGAACTCACCAAACAGGTGAAAAGTTTATTGAACATGGTTAAAGTTAAACAAATGAATAAAGTAACATGGTCTACTGAACAAATTATCTTGTTTGTCATGCCTCCTCTTTCCTTTTCCAAAGATGCTGCATATCTCCTTTTTTGTTTTTCTCTAGGGCTACACAAGGTTCTGGTCTATGTATCCTGCTAACTTACATTGGCGTTTACTTGGCAAATTATGTAGTACATTCTGAGATACTTTGGGGAAGCAAACATGGTGGGGGTCTTGACGATGGTATCATAAGTATTCATTCAGATGAATTTGATCTTAGTTAATGTAGGTGCTGTTGGCTTAATACCTGAGGCATGTACTATTGAGATTTTCTTCTAGGTATATTGGCTTGTTAAATGTAGAGAGATTTGAGAAGTATAATTCGTTTGATCAACAAATATTGAGTATATGTCCTTACCAGGCACAATTAACTAAAAGCCCTTGCTCTCATAGAACTTATAATTTGGGGTGAGGATAGCTGGGAGAGGAGACAATTAGAAAAAAAACAAATCTGCCTGATGATGATGTCACATACTATAAAAAGAATGACATGTCATTACTGCCCATTTGTCTGTGTGCTTATTCTTGCATTTGAATGGCTCCCTTGTAATATTACTTTTAAGAGACCCTGTTAATTGAGACTAAATTCTAATAAAGCTCTATGCTATAAGTTGTTCAATCAGCAAAACTATTCTGTTGTTCCAGGTGTTTTTAAATTTTACTTTAGTGTTTTATAATTTTAAAAATTGAAAAATGAACACAATTATAATTGATAAAATTTAAAAATTAAAATGAGTTAACTAAATATTTACATATGCACATATGTATATATGCTTTATATTTCACATTTATTTTTATAACTTGAAATTTTTCTTCCATGTGTCTTTTTCCTTTGTAGGCTTCTTGCAGTGGAGATGAATACAGATCACTTAAGGTTGACTGTGCAAATGGCATAGGGGCCCTGAAGCTAAGGGAAATGGAACACTACTTCTCACAGGGCCTGTCAGTTCAGCTGTTTAATGATGGGTCCAAGGGCAAACTCAATCATTTATGTGGAGCTGACTTTGTGAAAAGTCATCAGAAACCTCCACAGGGTATGTCGTACTAGCACTGCAAAAATTTGTTTTTAATGCTCTTTGAAGCCAATCTCACTTATAAACTAAGGTGGTAAAGTGAGTTAAGAATCTTGCAGCTATTCCTGGCTCTGCCACATTTAGACATTGAGAAGTCTTCCCACTCTCAGAGCCATTGAAACATGGTCTGCTCTCTCTGCCTGTAAATCACACCATTCCTCATAGTCTACAGGAAATCAGGTGGGGAAAGCAAAGTCAGGAAATGGCATTCTAGAGCAGTGGTTCTCAAACTGGCATGTGTCAGAATCACTTTGAGGGCTTGTTAGCACACAGATTCCTGGGCTCCACTTCTGAGTTTCTGGAGGTCTGGCATAGGATTTGCATATGATAGAAATTTGCATTTCTATCAAGTTTGCAGGCTTTGTTCCCAGTGCTTGTCTGGGGATCCCTTTTTGAGAATCACAGATCTACAGGGGAGCATAGTAAGTATTATTAGATACCTTATCTGAATTAAATACACTATGGAAAGCAAATGTAACTCTGCTTATACAGTTGTTAGCAATCAGTGTTTTCCACTCAGTGCAGAATAGGAGGAAGACTTTTCTTCAGATTTTAGTTGTAGTAAGAGGTGTTCTGGATTTATCTGCATTATAGACCCTAAATTATTTGCTTAGGCCAAACCTGACTTGCAGATATGTTTTGTTTGGCTGGCTGCATTTGTGTGTTTGTCTGTGTGCCACTGTTTAAAAATTCCGTGACTTCTCTTATATATTGGAATCTCTAGCATCTCTTTACCAAAATCAGAAAATGTTCACACATGGCATTAGTCCACTACAGTCAGATAGATGCTGCTCCCCTAAAATAGGACATGCATTCTGGAACTCTACAGACTTCATCCAGTTGCCTCATTCATTCATGTTATTATGCTTTACTTAGTAAGCATTTAAAATGTCAGTGTAGTCAACCAATTTGAGCTCCTTTTCATTGAATTGCTTGTTTTGACATTTACTTGACAGTTCAGTTCTGCCACTTATTTATCCATTTCTTAAATACTGAGCTCTTACTCTCTATGCTCTAGGCTTTGGGACTACAGTATGAACAAAACCATAGTCCTTGCTTTCCTGAAGCTTGCATCATGTCCTTTCATCAATCTTATGATCCCATTCCTGACAAAAGCCTTTTACTTCTTAGTTGTCTCATGTTGAATTTGTCACTCTGCTGCTGTCATGGCTAAGGAATAGCCAAATTTTCTAATAAATTTGATGTGACAATTGCTGAGATTTCAGCAACTTTATGTAAATTTCACAGGCCAGTTATCTCTCAAAGTTATAATTCTTTGCTCTTAATTATCAGTGTTTCTTTTTATTGGTGGTATGAACAAATAAAAATCATTTCTGTTAGAATTAAAGCACATACATCATCTAGTGCTGATTATTTTTTCTATGTAAAGGAGATCACGGTCCTAGGTAAATTACATTCAGAAATACATGTAGCTTTCAAAAAACCTTTATGGGACACCTGTCTAGCCAAACCAACCTGCTTATAAAGTGGAATTTTATGGTAGTATTATAGCAAATATCAGCATAGATTTTGAATGCTCCTTTTTTCACTTTGCAGTGAAAGAATTTGACCTGTAAAAACCACTAATAAACTATGTACTATTTAAAGATTATACACTATTTAAGATTAAGACATTGATTTTTAGGTGGATAATTTTAAGAGAAAATTCTAAAACTCTTTATAATAAATTCTTAGACTGAAATGCATGTTAAATTATCCTGTGTGCTAGGAATGGAAATTAAGTCCAATGAAAGATGCTGTTCTTTTGATGGAGATGCAGACAGAATTGTTTATTACTACCATGATGCAGATGGCCACTTTCATCTCATAGATGGAGACAAGATAGCAACGTTAATTAGCAGTTTCCTTAAAGAGCTCCTGGTGGAGGTATGGTGGGGGGATTGGCTACCCTCTAAAACAAGACTTAGTAGTGAAATAGTTCCATATTTTACAATCATTTGTCAGAAGGGCACAATTTATGACAAATTCTTTACATTAGTGGGCAGAAAATTAAAAAAAGAGCAGTGGTAATACCCAGTCATTTGAACATTTGAGGCATTGGCTTTGGAACCTGAAGGTACTCTTTTCCTCCTTATACTGGCTGAGTTTTGTGATTTGAAGCTTTAGGAAGTTTTGCTTCCATCATAATTGAAACTTTGATGACAGTTCTGTGGTCACTCCATAAAAGCCCTAAATTCTAATAGGAAATCTCATCATCTGATATATTAACTGATTATGATAAGCTTAGTAATGTGAGATTTGTTTCATTTTGCTATTTTAGAAATAAATCTCAGGCTAGCTTTAAGTACACAATGTAATTGGAAATTATTATAATCTGGAAACAGCATACTTTAAGAATTTAATAGATTTTTTTTTTTTTTTTTTTTGAGACAGTGTTGCTCTGTTGCCCAGGCTGGAGTGCAGGGGCGTGATCTCGGCTCATTGCAACCTCTGCCTCCCTGGGCTCAAGCAATTCTTCTGCCTCAGCCTCCCAAGTAGCTGGGATTACAGATGCATGCCACCACACCTGGCTAATTTTTGTACTTTTAGTAGAGATGGGGTTTCACCATGTTGGCCAGGCTGGTCTCGAACTTTTGACCTCAGGTGATCCACCCACCTTGGCCTCCCAGAGTGCTGGGATTACAGGCGTGAGCCACCGTGCCTGGCCAGATACTTTTATTTAAAAAATTAAAGAGGTGAAGATCAGGAGATACAGGCTTCTTAAAAGAGGAATTCTCATAGAATTGTTTTAAATAGTGTTCAAATGTATTTTAGGCTTTTTTCCTGGCATACATGTAAATTTTCAGTCAGACATTTTTGGCATAAACTAAGGCACAACTGAACTGGCTGATAATTTTGGTAGCCTTTAGAACTCTCATTATATTTGTTTTTGTAGACCATACTTTTGATGGCAAGTTAAGTATCATTGTTTTTGTCTAGATTGGAGAAAGTTTGAATATTGGTGTTGTACAAACTGCATATGCAAATGGAAGTTCAACACGGTATCTTGAAGAAGTTATGAAGGTATTGAACCATTTTTGTTTTCTGGTAGTTTCTTAATTAAGATCATGTTTCTGTGAGAAAGATACTGCCCTCATAAAAGTGATTATGTTGTAGTGCATGAAGCTGAGCTGCTGTTCATGTAAAGGTAAAGAGAAATAAATAAGAAAAAATTTAGTTGTCCTTGATGAATAAAGGAAAACTTCTTTCCTTCCTTTTCTTGGAGTTTTCCTTTAGAAAACTTGGAATTCTTTCTCTGTGCCTTTGTAATGAATGTAAGTCTTTCTAAAGGCCTAATAAGCCAGTTTTATAGCTCAGGAATACTTTTCTTTAAGGGCCTAGAGTCACCAATTTCAAATATAAACATCAAGGAAGATAGCTCACCTATCTCCCAGTCTCAGGAGAGTTTAACTTAGGTGTTTGCGTCCAATTTGTAACTATCTACCTGTCACAGAGGTATGAAAAGTTTTATTACTCCTTTAGAGAAGGGCAGTTAACACAGGTGGCCATCCCTATTACCAAGTAAGTTTAGGATAAACTATGTGTGTGACAAATGGTGGTTTCAAGTTTTCCTATTTGAGGACTAGTGTTAAAGAAAAAATAATTCATGACACTTGTTAAAATGGTAAGGCAGACTTGATTCAGGACTGTTGTGATAGGTACAGGGACTAATGTGATGGAGTTTTGCAGTGGTAGGAGAAAGATTGGGCTCAACTCCAAATATAGTAAGGAAAAGTAGGGCTTTATAGCCAAGGAGCAGGGTGTGTGGGGGGTGGTCAGTGGATGAAAAATTACTGAGAGGAAACATGAGGGTAAGTGGGTGGTATTTTGGCTAAACTGATCTAACAGGACTTTTGCTGAAGGTAGGCCAGGGCGGTCACATATTACCTGGGGGATGGTAGAGAATGAGAACTCAGATCAGATGTCAAGAGTGGTCATGTATCAGGATGAGGGATTCTCGCTAAGCTCACTTAGCATGACTCTTATTAAAATCGGGCTATTGGAAGACATGCCTAAGGACAAGGCCTAGTCAGGCCCACCTAAACCTAACTAAAGTTTGGTCAAGGAGAGAATTTTTGTCATTAGCCATCTTTTATCTTAGCAAATTGTATTGGAATGTGTCCGCTTGGCTATATTAAAGGGTGAGCGTTTATCTTTGCTATCTCTTAGCAAATTAGCCTGTGATTGAACATCAGTTTGGCTTAATACTTATTCAGTAATAAAACTGTTTCTTACCCTTCTTTTTTTTTTGGAGAGGTTTTCTGGGGTGGTGGGAGATTCTGTTTCTAATTATTTCCCCGGTGTCCACCAGGTGACCACCCTTGGCACCACACTACTTGCTCGGAGAGTTACCAGGGTTCATGGACAAAACTGGAAGTCTGTTTGCCTATACTTTCTCATTATCGAGAAGTTTTCCAACTTTTTTGTACCTCATTTTGTACCTCGTTCTGGCATTTATACTAGTTTTAGTTACCTTTCCATTCTCTAGAAAGCAGGAATTACAAAGTCAGATTCCTGCAGGATTTGGACAGGTAAAGTGAATGAGGGCAGCAGGGGGCTAAAAACAGGTCAGTATGTGCCAGCTGATGTCAACTGTAGTCACACTCTTCAAGAGAAGCAGGAAATCTGAATTTTCATGTGATGTTCCTATTTGTTTAAAAAGAAACAGTGGCTGGGCAAAACGAAATATATCTTGAGGCTGCTAGTTTATGACCTGATTTTAATATATGGTTATAATAAGCTCATTCAAGGGATTCCATCTGGGGCCCATTTGCCTGCCTTTCACAGGGATTGGGTTATTTCACAGTACTTGGGTTATTGTTTTAGGATTTTCATTTTCTGTCTTAAAAATTTATTACAGATAAAATAACCTAGTTTAAGAAACTGTTACTTCTCAACTCACTGTCTTCCAGATGAAATATTTTTAGCCCTTGCCATTCCTGAGGTCTCCTACATCCAATCTAATGCTGATCTTTCTTTTGCAGTTTTTCTACTATCAATCTTTCCTTAACCATTCTTAAAGCTCTCTCAGATCCATCCATCCATGACTTTCCCTATTCACTATTGCTGATCCAGCCACTATTTCTTACTGGGATTAGTCCTAGAAGCCTCCTCATTCCATTTCTTAACCTTCTAATTGAACTTGCTGCTATTTGCAAACAAAGTTTTATTGGAATAGAGCTATGTTGATTTGTTTATGTATGGTCTGTGGCTGCTTTTGCACTGTAATGGCAGAGTAATTGTGACAGAGACCATATGGCCTGCAAAGCCTAAAATATTTACTGTCTGGCCTGTTACAGAAAAAGCTTGCAATTCTGCTCTAAGCTATTCTCCACACTGTAGCTAAACAGCTTTCTAAAACAGTTAGGTCATGTCACGCCCCCACTTGTAATCTTTCGTGTCTTATAAGGAGACCCTCATCTCTCTCACCGTGCTTTACCCTTGGCTGCGTGCTTCCAGAGTGTGTTCATGCTTCCATTGTATACGTACCATTTTGTATTTTAATGCTTAATCGTCTTCCTCACTGGACTCGGCCCCAGTATTTTGTTCCCCTTTGTATCTCTGGGATACTAGGTATGCAAGAAACATTTGACATCTGAGTAATTGCTGTATTTCTTTAAATGCATGTGTTATAGGTACCTGTCTATTGCACTAAGACTGGTGTAAAACATTTGCACCACAAGGCTCAAGAGTTTGACATTGGAGTTTATTTTGAAGCAAATGGGCATGGCACTGTAAGTTCTCTTAATTATAGTTGGCCTTAGCTGGCACTTTTCTTTATGATGAGACTTCTATATCTGGGAGGTAATAATAGGTAATATTGTACTTTGTTGAAATAATTGGATGTGACAAAAAGATCCTTTGGTTATCTTATATATTGATGTATTATGAAACTGTGATTCTCTTTTACATGGTAATGATTCTTCTTTGAATGTGAAGAGATATACTAAGGTGTTTTGAATAGTTTTTTAAAATTTACAGTTCTTAATTTTTTTATAAGTATGTTGTCTATGCATTTTCCGGCTGGCCATAGGAGAGGAAAAGAAAAATTCAGTCGCTATGGTGAATTGCAAAGTGTTGGAAAGTTGATAATTAATAAGAAATGAAAATGAATTTAAGGTAACTAGTGATAGGCATAAAATGTTTCAATTTACATTTTACATAAAATTACATTTTAAAGTGTATAATTTAGTTTTTTGTAGATTCATAATGTTCAGAATATTTTTAAAATGTTTTTATACTCACCTCATTTAATGAATACACTTGAGGTGGCTATCAGAACATTTGAATCAAAGCCAAATAATTTTCCTCATTAATTTAAAATTGGCTTTTGGAGGGCATAAATATAAAAAGGGGAAAAATAAGTTCCTACAAAATGCAATTAAGATATAACTTTAGTGATCGAATGGAGAAGTTGGTAAATTATTTTCTAAAGGGTAGAGAGTAAATATTTTTGGATTTTCAGGCCATAAGGTCTCTTACAGTTGTTTAACTCTGCTGATCTAGCTTAAATGAATCTGTGTGGTTGTGTTCCAGTAAAACTTTACAAAAACAGGTGACTAGCCTGTGCCTTATTTTATCAAGAAAAATGTATTTCATCAAGTAGTTGAGCATAGTATGCTAATCTTGCTCAGTATTAGGCCTCTAGAAGGCAGTAAAAAAGATGAGTATTTCCAAATGAGATAAGACTCTTGAGGAGCATGATGAATTATATATTGTAATGACTATCCATGACATTATTTGCCATATTTTGATGAATACTATGAACTCTTAATTTTGCCTAGCTCATCCCCTTAAGTTTTAGAATAAAACTATACTAGCTGCAATGAATTATATCCTTCAAAGTAAAAAGGATACAGACAGGCTCTAAGTAACCTGGTTGCACAGAAATGATTTAGCTGGTTAAAGGGAAAACATGAACTTACTGTGTGTGCTTGCCTCTTGTCAAGGTGGTGTTTTCTTTGTAATCAGATGTTTAAATTTTTATAACCAGTTATATAATCCGCAAATAAAATTTTTCCCCTAGTACTATCCTCTGGGTTTTAATGTGATCTTACATTAATTTCATACATTTTAAGGCTGCCACTATTTTTCCCCTCAGTTTCTCCAGATTGACTAGGAGGGAAAAGTGGGTTAGCTAGAATAATAGTACTTATGACTAGGTTTTGGATAGTGTTTTGAGACTGATTTTATATTCTTTTGCTGCAGGCACTGTTTAGTACAGCTGTTGAAATGAAGATAAAACAATCAGCAGAACAACTGGAAGATAAGAAAAGAAAAGCTGCTAAGATGCTTGAAAACATTATTGACTTGTTTAACCAGGTCAGAACTGATGGGGCAGTGGACTCTTGGTTACCTTTACATTATTCAGAAGATGGACAGAACAGAGTGTGGGTGCATACAAAATTAAAGTGGAGACGTCCTGGCCTGGTGGCTTCCTTCTAATAGTGGTATATTCAGTTGAGATTTATAATGAAATGGAATGACAGAACATTTTTTAATATGCTTCCCTTCCCCTACCTCTTATGATGGAAATTTTCAAGTATATTGGGTAGCTTCTACCTAGGATCACAGATTCAGCTACTCAGTGTATACATATATATTATTAATTTTTTTTTAACCAAACCTCGATGAAATTAAGTAAAAATAACTGGTTGTCAGGCCAGGCACGGTGGCTCATGCCTGTAATCCCAGCCCTTTGGGAGGCCAAGGAGGGCGGATCACGAGGTCAGGAGATCGAGACCCTCCTGGCTAACAGGGTGAAACCTCGTCTCTACTAAAAATACAAAAAATTAGCCGGGCATGGTGGCGGGCACCTGTAGTCCCAGCTACTCGGGAGGCTGAGGCAGGAGCATGGTGTGAACCCGGGAGGCAGAGCTTGCAGTGAGCCAAGATCACGCCACTGCACTCCAGCCTGGGTGACAGAGCGAGACTCTGTCTCAAAAACAAACACAAATAACTGGTTGTCTCATTGACAAAGGACATACATGTGGGTTAGTTGGGGTTGGAGTGTCGTTTGGCTATGGAAAAGCAGTACTCAGGGTAGAGGAAAGCGATTCAATTATTTGAGTGTCTTGCACACACTGGACACTTTATATACCTTGCTGTGTAATCCTTACAGTAACACAGGGAGAGGTGTTACTGTAATTTCCATTTTATAAGTGAAGAAACAGAGATTTATCTTCAGTTATATCTTATACCAAAGCTCATATTTCTCCATTTTACCTTGATGCTTTCTATCAATCATTGTGGGGTAATATCTCAAAAGGGATCTATTTATAAAAAGAAAAATGAGTGATGGAATGTTAGGCTGAGCCTTAGAGTTATCCAGTCTAATTTCATTTTATAAATAAGGAGTACTAAAGGCAAGTTTCTCAAGAGCTAGTTTCAGTATTCTTTGTTATACCTTTCATTGTCTTCCACAGAGATCTTCACCTCATTGTTCGTATTTTATCCATCCACAAAAACACTTCATTTAATCATGCTGCATGTGAGAAAGCACATGATATAGGCTGAGTATCCCTTATCCAAAATGCATGGGACTAGAAGTGTTTTGGGTTCCAGATTCACTGGATTTTGGGATATTTGCATATATATAATGTGACATCTTGGGTATGGCACTCAAGTCGGAAACACTAAATTCTTTTGTTTCATGTATGTTACATAAGATTAAAGGTGGTTTTATAGAATACTGTAAATTTAGTGCATGAAACAAAGTTTGTGTCTACTGAACCATCAGAAAGCAAAGGTGTCACTCTGTCAGCCACCCGTTGGACAATCTGTGGTTGTCTGGCATCACCATCATTCCTAAAACTCTGAATTTATATGCTATCAATCAATAAGCAATCAATCATTTTTTTACACTTATTCACACACAAGTATTTTAATAGTAAAAAATATGATACATATCTGGCATGCATGGAAACGATGTATCATAGCTGAAGGAGGCTGAGAGGGTCTTTTTCCCTTGGGGATGCTGAATGAACTGCGGGCCTGCCTTTAGTGGGTTTTTTTTGTTGTTGTTGTTGTTTTGTTTTGAGATGGAGTCTCGCTCTGTTGCCCACGCTGGAGTGCAGTGGCGCAATCTTGGCTCACTGCAACCTCTGCCTCCCGGGCTCAAGCAATTCTCCTGCCTCAGCCTCCCGAGTAGATGGGATTACAGGCGCCCACTACCACACCTAGCTAATTTTTGTATTTTTAGTATAGATGGCGTTTTACCATGTTGGCCAGGCTGGTTTCAAATTCCTGACAGTGAGGTCAGGAGTGCATTTGTTTTTTATTAAGAGACAAGGTCTTGCTATGTTGCCCAGGCTGGAGTGCATTGGCTGTTCACAGGCATTATCACAGCACACTGCAGCCTCAAACTCCTAGCTTCAAGTAATCATCCCATCTCAGCCTCTCCTGAGTAGCTGGGACTGTAGGTGTATGCCACCACACCTGGCAGTTGTATACCCACATTTTGACCTGTCACAGGAGGCCAGGTGTGGAATTTTTCACTTGTGATTATTTTGGCACTCAGCATGTTTCAGATTCAGGTTGTTCAACCTGTACTGTGATTGGTTTTCTAAGAAAAAACATCCATTTCCAAGATTTGCTTGTGTTAAGTGGTTTCTTCCATTTGTTTCCCCATTTGCAGGCAGCTGGTGATGCTATTTCTGACATGCTGGTGATTGAAGCAATCTTGGCTCTGAAGGGCTTGACTGTACAACAGTGGGATGCTCTCTATACAGATCTTCCAAACAGACAACTTAAAGTTCAGGTGTGAGAGAAACTTTAAAGTAACTTTTTTGAATATTAGCTAAGTAAAACCTATTATCCCAATTCTCATTATATCTCACTGACATATGTTTCCTATTTCATTCTGTACATACACATATGATACATAGAAAATAAGGCCTTATGGGCCAAGCGCAGTAGCTCGTGGCTCATGCCTTTAATCCCAGCACTTTGGGAGGCCAAAGCGGGCGGATCATGAGGTCAAGGGATTGAGACCAGCCTGGCCAACATGGTAAAACCCTGTCTACTAAAAATACAAAAATTAGCTGGGCGTGGTGGCACACACCTGTAGTCCCAGCTACTTGGGAGGCTGAGGCAGGAGAATCACTTGAACCTGGGAGGCAGAGGTTGCAGTGAGCCGAGATTATGCCATTGCACTCTGGCCTGGCGACAGAGCGAGACTCCGTCTCAAAACAAAAAAAGAAGGCCTTATGATACCTAATTGTATTCTCTTACAGCTGAAAAAAAAATTATAGAATAACTAAGTTCATTTACTTAACATTCTATTGTCTGTGAAGTATTTGGTTTCCAACTTTATGATATAATAAATAATATGAATGACGCATCACTTTTTTAAAGAGATTTTATTATGGAAAATTAAAAATAGATATAAAAAAATTAAAAATAGATATAAATGTAGAGAAACAACATAATGAACTTTTGTGTACCCAGCTTCAACAGATTTCAATTATTGCCCTATACATTCTTCATACCCCCTCCCAATACTCTTTTGTATATTTTATTTAGAGACGAGATCTCACTATGTTGCCTAGGCTGGTCTTGAACTCCTGAGCTCAGGTGATCCTTCTCCCTTGGCCTCCCAAAGTGCTAGGATTACAGGTGTGAGCTACTGCACCTGGCCCCAACATTATTTTGAAGCAAAACTCAGATGCCCTGTCATTTCAAGTGAAAGTACTTACTCTGCATTATGTTTAGTTCACAGAGTACTTCCTGAGGGAGAGAATTCAGATAAATTGCTAATTGATTTCTGTACATGTTTATGCCAGTTTACACATTCACCAACAGAATTTGTGAAAGACAATTGGAGGTACTAAAGCCACAGTTCACAGAAATGGCTGATTGTTCAGATTATTTTTGGCATATTTAAGAAATTCTTATCGGTCTTCTTATATAATGGGCTACCACTTATCCTGTTTTTGTGTGTGATATGGGACTTAGTCATATCGTATTTACTGGCCATTATCTTAGTGGTAACTCTAAGCATTTGTGGAAATATTTTTTGCCAAAGGTAATTCTTTATAGACTGAAGAAAAAGAGAAAAGTTGCACAAATGTTGAAATTAATTACCCTGACCTTGGAGAAAGAAGTTTTAATGTAATTTTATATTTAGTCTGGCACTTTTCGTAGAATGTATGTTTAACAGGTTAAGCTTCTGAAAGGAAGTGTAATAGAGTAACAAATATGAAATGCTTGCACTTAGGTTGCAGACAGGAGAGTTATTAGCACTACCGATGCTGAAAGACAAGCAGTTACACCCCCAGGATTACAGGAGGCAATCAATGACCTGGTGAAGAAGTACAAGCTTTCTCGAGCTTTTGTCCGGCCCTCTGGTACAGAAGATGTCGTCCGAGTATATGCAGAAGCAGACTCACAAGTAAGCTGGGATAGTTCTATTGAAAAAGAGCCTAATATTAGGTGATGGGCAGGCAAACTATTTTAATGGTTTTTAGAATCTCACTATGATGATTAAGGCTTTATTTTGTTGAGCCTTTTAGGTTCACATTAAGACTACAAAATTATTTTCACCAGCAGTAATTATACAATTTAACAAAATTAGACCCACTTAGTTTATTTCCCCAAATATTTTTGACTTATTCTAGACTTCCTGAAAGTGTCATATTTTTAACCATGGCAGGAATAACTAATAAATACTTAGTTTATGCACTATAAGGTAGATGATCCTTTTCTCTTCTTTTAAAAATATACTCTTGTGACATGAAAACAACCAGCTTTGTAGTTCATTTCTAAGTCAACTGATAGCATTCTGGACTCTTGATTTGTTTTTCAAAATATTTCCTTTAAATGACAGCCTTACTCTGTGCCTGTTTCCCTGACAGGGGTCAAGACTTGTGGTCTGGATTTTTATTATTTGGCCTCTTCACATACTCCTTAAAGTGTGTGCAAAGCCAGGGCAAAGTACAGTGAGTGCGCTGAATAGGGAATCAGGAGGAGACATTTGGCAGCTTTCCTGCAGAAGCTTAAGCCATCTCAGAGTCTAATGAATATCCATGATGGATGAGGAGATGGCAACAGAGGCATTAGTACTTACTTACTGTTAGGCCAATTGTGGATTAAAGTTTTATTGAATTTTTTCAGTTGTGGAATGATAGCTATTTTTATAATCTGAATTGATTAAAAACTTACCTTATTTAGAAGAATTTGGTCTGTTTTCCGTTTATTTAAGGGCTTTGGAATTTGTTACTGAAAGATGAAAAAAGGTTTTCATTAGAATTTGTTAGTGAAACAAAATCAAGAATCACCCCTCTCTTCCCCAGAGTTCCAAGTAACATGGTCTTGCCCATGTTAGACACATGCTATGTCTTTCTCATCTAATCTCTTTTAATGTAATTTGCAGGAAAGTGCAGATCACCTTGCACATGAAGTGAGCTTGGCAGTATTTCAGCTGGCTGGAGGAATTGGAGAAAGGCCCCAACCAGGTTTCTGAAGATAATTTTCATATTCCTGAGAAACTGGACTTTTTACAAGTCTTTACAAAACTGTCAATAATAATGGCAGTACTAAGAGATTTATAATCATAATGTTTACAATGCAGCCTACTGGATTGTCTCTAGATCTGTTTTTCTTAAACACTAACAGAATAATTCTTTATAAATAGGTAAGCCTTACACTTGTTAAAGAAATTTACCTCTAATTTCAGTCTCACTAATGTAAAATACTGGGACTTAAGTATACAATTCAGTCACTAACTGTACAGTTTTATGTGGGGAACAATTCATGCAGGCTACTGGAAAATTAAATCTTATTACCAACTCCTTGTGATATCTTTGCCATCACCATCACATGAGCAAGATGATGTTTTGCAGCATTCCCCATTGCTGATACAAATGGAGAGGGCAGAGAAGACTTTATACAACCAGTTTTTCCATTGCAGAGTCTTAAGAAAGATTATTAGATGACTTACCTATATGACTAATGCCATCAGGAACTCAGAGGTATGAATAGGGGGTTGTCCATCCCTCTTCCATACTGAGGTGGAGATGCTCATGCAATACTTTTAAGGATGCATGGTCCAGCCTTCAGTTATTCTTCACTGCTCTTGGTGAAGGTATGTGGGAGAAAAACTAATTATAATACGTTTCCCAGCCTCTGATGGAGAAGGAACACCATTCTGATACCAGAACATGGTTAATAAGGAAAAGAGAAAAATCCCCAACCAATCTTAATTGAACCAAGTCTGAAACCAATGGAAAAAAAAAATGGGTAGTGTATATTTTGCAGGTTTAAGACAACTCAGGACAATAAAAACAATGGACTTTACATGTGTATATATATAGCTCTCTTAGGCACCATAATCAGTATGAGCCAACAATATTTAAACTTGATTCAGGCCACATTCAGACATTTGCTCTTATATACAAATATTTAAATTAAATACAATCTGAAATGTGTTCTGTTACATACAAAAAAGGAAAAACTATACAACGCAGAGCAGTGTGTGTGTTTTAAATAATTACATTTACATGTAAGCTAAATGGAACCAGCAATGGTGCTCAAGTTTTTATCATCCCTTCCAGAAAATCTTTTTCTACCATCTCTTCTATTTTTTGCCTGGCTTTGCTGGAACATGGTTTGTGGTTCTCCAGTTTCATGTCCTTATTAGGGAAGGCATTTGAGTAGAGGATAGGACTCCCTGAGTGTCCTCCACATCGGCTTGTGACTTTGCTGTTGAAGACTTGACTGAGCACATTGAAGAACGGCAGGAGCTGCTCCATACTGCGCACGGTGCAGATGGTGAGCAGCAAGTGCCCTGGCTCCCAACCCAATGTTCTCCCTGAGTTGTCTTCCTCTGGATTTTTCTGCAGAAAACAAAAAGTGAACTGGTATTAATACAACAGACAATGTGGTATGTTAGAAAAATTAAAAATATATAAACTTTGGCAATTGGTCAAGAAATGAATACAAATGACATTAAGTTTCTAACTCCTGACCTGATCAAAACCCTTGGTGCTTCTGAGACCTTTTACTGCCATTTATTAGTTTTACATGGAGCAGTCTAACATTGTAGTAATAGTTCCCAACTAGAATGCGCAGATAAGCTTAGTTAACAGAAATAGCTTTGAACAGGAATAGAGTCAAACATAAAAGTTTTATGTTGTGCTTTGTATTTACTCAAAAAGCTCCCAGGTTTCTGAACCCTCACTACTGTAACCAAGGACTAGGTCACAAAATTACTACAGAAAAAAGGAACAAAGTGCTTTATACATTTCATAATATATCCCCTTTTATTATAATTAGTTAATTCCCTTTTATCTAAATGGCCTAAATTTGCCATGATGGTAGCAGTGTCCAAAGTGAATAATTACTGTCAGTACTGCATCACAGAGAAAGGAAGGGATCCCTCAGGAGACACTGCTGTCTCCTTCTGGGTTGTGCTAAACAACATAGGGAGGAAAGCTGGACCTGGAGTCAAAGGAATTGAGTTAGTGTGCTGGCTCTGCCATACTTACGGCACCCTTGGGCAGGATATACAAAGGTTCCTCACTTATAAAATGGGACAGTCTAAAACTACCTTTTAGTAGAGAAGTCAAATGAGAAGGTATGTGAAAACTCTGTCAACTAAATATAAAGACTAATAATTTGGGTATTAAGAGGCTAGTTTGAGAAGCCACCTGAATTACACAAACACAGCTACAGACATCATTCTGTCTAGAGAAAGATAAGAGAGAACAGGTTGGTTGAACTTGGGCAGAATCACAGATACAATTCCACACTAAAGAATGAAAATAAGCAATGAACTAGACAGAAGGAAGAAATCATGAAGACTTAGGAAGCAGAATTACAATCTGTCATATTAACAAATGGAGTTTGCCTTCTAAGATCAGATGTTGCTCAGAAACTTTCATTGTTTACCTAATAATTTAATATCACTAGTTTCCTAGTGGGTCAAGCAGATGCAAAATCCAGCTTATTTTCTTCTATGTGCTCTCAAGCTTATTGCTTATTTTAAAGTAAAATCCTGAAAAAGGAAAATATTAGGTTGGTGCAAACGTAATTGCGGTTTTTGCATTGTTGAAATTTGCCGTTTTATATTGGAGTACATTCTTAAATAAATGTGGTTATGTTATACATCATTTTAAGCATATTTCTCACTTTTTTTTTGCTAATGACTTATTGCTGTTTATATTTATTTTAGACTATGGAAATGATGTTAGACAAAAATCAAATTTAGCGATTTTCTGAGTTCAAAATAGGTTATAAAGCAGCAGAGACAACACACAACATCAACAATGCATTTGGCCCAGGAACTGCTAATGAACATACAGTGCCGTGATGGCTCAAGAAGTTTTGCAAAGGAGACTAGAGCCTTGAAGATGAGGAGTGCAGTGGCCAGTCATCGGAAATTGATAATGACCAATTGAGAACATCATCGAAGCTGATCCTCTTACAACTATAAGAGAGCTGCCCAAGAACTCAATGTTGACCATTTTATGGTCGTTCGGCATTTGAAGCAAATTGAAAAGGTGAAAAAGCTCAATAAATGGGTGCCTCATGAGCTGAGTGAAAAATAAAAAAATTCGTTGTTTTGAAGTGTCATTTTCTCTATTCTATGCAACAATAATGAATCATTTCTCTATCGGATTGTGATGTGTGCCAAAAGGTGGATTTTATACGACAACTGGCGATGACCAGCTCAGTGGCTGGACTGAAAGAAGCTCCAAAGCACTTCCCAAAGCCAAACTTGCTCCAAAAAATGGTCATGGTCATTGTTTGGTGGTTTGCTGCCAGTCTGATCCACTACAGCTTTCTGAATCCAGGTGAAACCATTACATCTGATAAGTATGCTCAGCAAATCAATGAGATGCACCAAAAACTGCAATGCCTGCAGCCGGCATTGGCCACCAGAAAGGGCCCAATTCTTTTCACGACAACACTGGGCCGCACGTTGCACAACCAACGCTTCGAAAATTGAACTAATTGGGCTATGAAGTTTTGCCTCATCTGCCATATTCACCTGACCTCTTGCCAACAAACTACCACTTCTTTAGGCATCTCAGCAACGTTTTGCAGGGAAATTGCTTCCACAACTAGCAGGACACAGAAAATGCTTTCCAAGAGTTCGTCAAATTTGGAAGCATGGATTTTTATGCTACAGGAGTAAACAAACTTATTTCTCATTGGCAAAAATGTGTTGATTGTAATGGTTCCTATTTTAATTAATAAAGATTTGTGTGAACCTAGTTATAATGACTTAAAATTCATGGTCCCAAACAGCAATTACTTTTGCACCAAACTAAAAATATAAGTTAAAATGGAAGAGTCTAGGAGCAAACCAAGAAAAGATCACCTACTTCATCATCTCTGGTCAAAAACAAACCAAAAAACTTAACAGCTATCACTTAAGTTTGCTTCCTAGCAATTATTTAGCTTCCAGTCTAGATTACAGGATATATAAAACTTTCTTTCTTTCTTTCTTAACTATGACACTGGCACCAATGAGAGTCCTGTGACTGACTTTCACATTTCCACCATTACTCAATTACTGGTACCATACCACCTCTAATCCCCTAAATCAAACTGCAATTCAACAATAAAGGGCGTACAGAGATGACTTTGTCCTGAAGGAAAATGAATATCCTTGTACCCTCTATATAGCTAACTTCCAAATGTAAGAGAACTATGGGGTAACCTTTTGTTTCTATTCCTATCAAGATGAGCCTTTAAGAGAGGGACTTTTATTAAGCTCTTGACCAAGAAGAATACACTTGATTCAGAGTTTCTGATGCTCTTAATCAGAACTATATGTATTGTCTCAATATTAAATAAAGTCAAATGTTTCCATACAAATGATTTCTCCTTTGACTTCACCAGTCCACACTTGAAAAAAGACTTCCTTCCTGTTTACCTCCCTTGTACTTGTTGACATTCAGACCTGGGTTTGTGTCTCAATATTTGGCAACTTTTGCTGCCATATCATAAGCATGAAACAGCCACCCTCACCTGATGCTTGGCCATCTCCAATCCCTCCAAAATCACTGTCTTAAAGTCCTCCTCCTTGTCCTGTGGAAGGAAAGAGGAGAACTCACAGCCTTTGTTCCAGTGAAAAGTATGCTTGGCCATGAAGACCTTGTTTAAGGTGATTTGGATGGGAAGATGCCTTTCAATCAAAATAGTTTTCTTATTCTGTGGGACAAATTTTGGGCAAAAGACTGTCATATTTATTATTTAGATAAAGGAGGGGGGTCTTATAAAAATTCTCATTACTAATGAAAGGCAGGCATAACAGAAAAGGACATGTGCCTGGGGTCATATTTGCTTCTGGATTTGTCATGATTACTTGCCCAAACTCTGAGATATCAAATTGAAAGTACCAAAGTCCTACCCTGAACTCAGGACCCAGCATACATCCTCATCTCTGTCCTTTTATTAAGCCCCTACAGAAGCAACTAGGAATTTAAGTCAAGTTTTCTCATGTAAATTCCTTCCAGCAAAATCTCTTTAATCACTTTCTTCATTCCATTTTTATAGTTATGGAATTCAGTTTAAGAGCTGCTGCCTGATTAGGAGGACTCCAGAAGACTGGAAAATTTCTGAGCACTCAAAGCACACACTGCATACTAGATCTCACCAGACAACCTAGATCACTCCCAAATTGTACAATTTGATTTTGAAATTTGTTGAATGTAAAAGAAAATTTGACAAAAGGTTAATAACAAAGGCCCAATGGTGAGCATACCAGTTTCATTGCTGGTAGGTTCTTGGGCAAAGATCTGTAATAAATTAGCATGATGCATACTGAAAGATAAAAAGTATATAAGACAATATTTTACAAATTTTATTTTCCTACACTTTTTAATGGTATATGTTTTAAGTAAATTCCCACTTTTCCCCTTAAATAATTTCTCTAAGAAGATGCTTTATATTAAAGAGTCATAAAGCCAGTTTAACTCTGAGCACTGTTTTAAAAACTGCAGGTTGTGGGGGTCTTGCAATCTGTACTCAGCATCATCACTGTGAACTACAAAAAGGAAAATATCTCATGTTAAGGGCAAGAACTGTTTTGTGAAACTTTAGATTCGGTTATATAGCTGTACTGGATCAGGATAAGGAACACATTTCTGAATGTAGGTTATAATCAGAAAGTGAAAAATACTTAGAAAATGAATTTTAGCATATATATTTTATTTCATATAGATAAACAGAATGAATGCTAATGATTATTTCCTTTATTCTGATCGAGGTCTAGCTCATTCAATTTCAATGAAATCTGACTCATATTTTACAAATTTAAAATGTATAATCTTCTTACCCATTGATTAGTTCTGTTGAAACAACTCTGACAGGTTCTAAAAATCCCTTTTGTACTGTATTTTTTTCAATCAACTCATACTTTTGTTTGTCATCATGGCATTAAGATGAACATTATATTACATTCTCAAGTTTTTGACACGAAGAGTGTTCAGGACTACAGTCTTAAATACTCACATGTATGGTTCCAAGGTTTTTATTTTCTTTTTTGAGGGGAAAACATTTTAAGGTAGATGTTATTAATGTACAAAAGCCTTCCTTTTTCTTCTTTAAAAAAATGAATAACCGCATATTCCTTTAAAATACATACGATATGTTTTCTAATGTCTGGAAATATGAGGCTTATGGACATTAACTCTCAAAACTGGGGACTTGTTTTCAAAATAGCTCAACTTGATAACGTTCTCAGTTTCCCAGGAAGTATTTAATAAATACCTCACTAATGCAACATGTAGTGATGTAAAACAAAACAATCACAAAAGAATGCGATACCTTTGCTCTTTTCCGAAGAAGTTTTGCTAGTCGTACCACGTAAGGTTTAAATTCTCGTTGATGTATACCCTGCCTTCTGACTTCCAAACCTGAATCATCTGAGGCTTCTGGAATAAAGGCCCATCGGTACCTATGTATAGAATAATGACATCAGCATCAGTAAGACAGACTTTGTGCCATCTAAGATTAGGCCACATAATGTAGTAGAAAGATCATGACCCCACTGCTTATAAAAATTCAAATGCCAGATGTGCCACTCGTAGCCTTGTCACTTTGGGTATGTTTCTTAACCTCTCTGAGCCTTCATCAGTAAATAAAGATACTATTAACTACCTCATAAGGTTGTAAGGAATAAATATGAAAACTTGTAAAGTACTCATCATTACTTTTTTCATGAGTCCAAAGCAAGTACTCAACAAATGTTTCTTTTCTCATTAGCGAACAGGCATAAGGTTCTTAAAAGGAAGATGTTTTCATTTAGCTTATCTCTTTGTACTGCAACATAACAGTCTGACAAAGACTTGATTTTTCAACATATAACTGGCCAAATGTTCCCTAGTTGCATAGTAAAGGAGTAAAAAATTGAACGAATTTAAGAAAACTAAGGGCTTTTTTTGCACTTCTCTTGTATTTTTGTTTGTAATTTTGTCTTTCATAAGTAAGTAAAAGTAATATCCGACCATGGGAAAAATTCAAACAGTATAAATGGGCATACCAAAGAAAGGCAGTCTCCCCTCCCCGCATAGGATTCATCAATGTTGTCAGCTTCGTAAGTCCGTCCAGAGAGTTTATGCCCAAAAGAGTATATATTCACACAACCAACCCTCTCTTTTAAAAAAACATGATTGCTGCCTGTTTTAATTATACATGTAGGATATATATTTTTGATATAATTTATTTGATATAAATTACATATCTTGGAGACAATTCTGCATCATATAAAACTTCATTCTTTTTAACAGCAACATAGTAGTACACCACAGCCAATGTCCTAGATTGTCCAACTTCTTGCACTTACAAAGTACCACAGTGGATACTCTTAAGTAATGCTTATTTATTTTTGTGCACATCTGAGAATATAGAGACAGGATAAATCCTTGGATGTAGCAGAATTATAGGCTTAAAGATATATATTTTAAATTTTGGTAAATATAACCTCTGAACAATTGGACAATATCAGTGTATACTTCCAACAAGAATAAGAATGCTTCTGTTACTAAAAGTAAAAGGAAAGCAACTTTCAGATCTTTACCATTCTGATGGTTATCTATAATTTTAATCGGAAACTCAGGAGAACAACTGAGCAGTTTTTCCTATGTTTAGAAACCATCCTATAAATTATTAACTGTCTTGCTCATTGGCTCATTTTTCTACCAGGTTATTTTTATACATTATGCATTTTAGACTTTTGTCATATACATCGAAAATATCTTTTACCAATTCATTGCTATCTTTCGAACTTTATAGTACCTTTTAGTTACATGGATACTTTTAAATTTATATACAGTAAACTTATCAAGTATTTTGAACTTTCCAAATATGGATCATGCTAAGATATTACTCTTTCAAGATAATTAAAATCTTTACACTTTCTACTTTATAGATTTTTATTTTTAGAAAGATGTAAGTTTTTAAAAAACTAATTAATATAACGGCATGTTTCCTTCCCTTTTGTAGTAACTAACATCTTGACAAAGAGGATAAACTGATTTTGGTTCTTGTCATGGAAGATAAAAAGTCAGTATCATGAGCATACTATTTCATGTCCCTCCAAAAGCACCACAGAATAGTTATCACTTTTGTGAAGGTAAGTGTCTTGGTTAATATTGGCCACATTCCTACGATTCTGTTTAGTATTCTTTTCTGGACTTCCTTAGGAGTAACATCTGTGTAACAGATACCCAACAACTGAAATTCATCAAAAAGTAGATATATATATATATATGGTTTTCAAGTAGAAGAGAAAATTAAAGGAACTAGAATGACTCTAAAAGTAATTTCTAGTTCTTACCATTAAGTTTAATGAAAAGTAAGCTTGTAAAATAGCAAATTTTGGAGCATGTCCAAATAAAAAAGAGAAAAAGCTCAGTAGCATACTCTTTATCCTATTATTTCTGTTCCAGAAGAAAAATAAGACACAATATAATAAATTAATACATATTTGATCTTGTGGATAAATTCTCATATTACCTTAACTACATTTTGATAAAACAATCTTACATAGCTTGCCCATTATTTTTAAAATTTATATATGCTTTTATCAACTTTTCCCCTATTCTTTTCAGTTCAATTCATTATCATCTAAGATAAAACTGCCTCCTTCATTCTAGGCTTGCCCAGCTCCAGTCCATTCTCCACACTACATAGCCAAAATAAGCATTCTAAAATTCAAGCCTAATAATATCACTTCTTTCCTTAGCTGTCCAAGTTCTCTAACACAGCTTACAAGGTCTTACATGGTTTAATCCCTTTCCAGCTTCTTCTTAACATTCTGCTCCAGCAATACCAATCTCTCCACACTTCAGACGTATCATGTCTGCAGCTGCCTCTATCTTCACTCTCCCAGCTGTCATTCTTCACCACCTCAGGTTAAGACTGCCCTCAGGGCCTGCTCTGACCTTCAGAGCTAGTAGGGATCTCTGCTATGTGGCCTCAGTGTGTCTTGTGCATGAGCCACCATAGTATGAGTATGTCTCCTTCCCTGGACTTGAAGCATGTGAGTTATGTACCCCATTGTCTCACATCTGGAGGTACTCAATCTGTTGACTGAATAGTCTGTTAATATATCCACATTGACCATTTACTTCCGATAACTCTGCTGTGCCAAAAGAATTACATTTTAGTAAAAATTAGGAATATTTCAACTTACACAAAAAACTTTTTAATTAGTCATAGATGTCAGTGACCAAAGCAAATGCACTTTCAAAAATAACCATTTAATATCCTTGCTTTTACTTACATCTGAAACTGAGGAAGGTTTTCAGAGGGCAATGCGAGAGCCAAATCCAAAAATTTGCAAGCAGAGAGATAGAGGTTTAACCACCGCTGGCTGTTATATGAAGTAGAGAAGCCATTACCTCCTGTGTACGTTGTCTCCAGACCAGCCACAGAGGGCCCTGAAGTCCTGTAAGCAGGAGACAGTGCTGTCAGCAGCTGGACCCATTTACTCACAGGAATTCCTGGAAAGATCTAAAAGTACCAGCTAATATTTTTCATAATCATCCTGAGATAAATGTGCCAGTAATTGCTAAGCAAGGTCATGATGAAATGTCACTGTTTTCAAATCAAAAATTCACTTTTCTTCTTTGAGAATGCAAAAACAGTACATAGACTGGGCGCAGTGGCTTCTGCCTGTAATCCCAGCATTTTGGGATGCCAAGGCGGGTGGAATGTTTGAGCCCAGGAATTTGAGACCAGCCTGGGCAACATGATGAAACCCTGTCTCTACAAAAAATACACACAGACAAAAAAAAAAAACACTAGCCAGGCATGGTGGCACACACCTGTGGTCTCAGCTGCTCAGGAGGCTGAGGTGGGGGAATCACCCGAGCCTGGGAGGTCGAGGCTGCAATGAGCCAGGATCACACCACTGCATTCCAGCCTGGGTGAAAAGATGAGACCCTGTCTAAAAAAAAGTAGTACATAACTTATATTATGTTCAAGAAATATAAAAATAAAAACTGTAAAAGCGAGAAACTTTTTTACTCAGTTTCTGCAAGGATGAGAAAATTCTCTATAATAATAAAGTTATTAGTACAGGAGATCCTTTTTATAAATCTACTACTGAAGAAGAAAATATATTCAAGAAACTTGGTCTTAAAGGAACTTTTCAATTTATAAATTTGTGTAAGTAAAAAATTGTATTTAGTCATACATTAATAAACTGCCTCTATTAAAAAGAATAAAAGTATATTAAATTGGGACCATCTGGAAGATCTGCATATACGAATAGCCTGGTTCCAGGTTACCTACCATAACAGGGTTGGCTATATGTTGCAATGTTTCAGAGACCAGATGTGACTTACCAAAACCAGCCTAGCTCATGTAGCTGAAACAATACTGTACTGCTTTAAATTAAATTTGTGTCTAGGGGCCCAGGGCAATGAATGCTGATGGCTTAATCCAATCTAAAGGGCTTAAGGAATAAGTAAAACTACATTATATCCAAACGTAATCAATTAGATAATAATAAATAAGTATTCAGAAAAAGACTATATTCTCCTAGATGCTGAGTAATATTCTGAATAATTTCAGGGTATTAAAAAATGGACAACAATATATTTAAATTACATATTACCGTGAAATATCTTCATCAGCAGTGAGTTCCTGCTCCATCAGTAAAAATACTTGTACCTGAAAATGGTGAAATGTTAAATGTTTATTTAAACTGGATATTTAATCCTTTCAAGTTATCTTTAAGTTGTATTTTCATTAACGCAAAAACAAATTTTAGAATACATTTTCAGAATCTTTTAAATTATACTTAGTTTCTGAAGGTAAAACTGCAAATTTAGCCACACAGAGCCTTGCTAATCATTTGGTGAAATCCAGTGAGATGAAGGTGAGCTTTTGTTTTTAGTGATTATGGAACAGAGTTAGTTATTAAAAAAGGAAAAATAGGTCTGGTGTGGTGGCTCACACCTGTAATCCCAGCACTTTGGGAGGTCGAGGTGGGCAGATCACAAGGTCAGGAGATCGAGACCATCCTGGCTAACATGCTGAAACCCCGTCTTTACTAAAAATACAAAACAAAATTAGCTGGGTGTGGTGGCAGGTGCCTGTAGTCCCAGCTACTCGGGAGGCTGAGGCAGGAGAATGGCCTGAACCCGGGAGGCAGAGCTTGCAGTGAGCTGAGATCTCGCCACTGCACTCCAGCCTGGGTGACAGAGCGAGACTCCATCTCAAAAAACAAAAAAAAAAGGAAAAATAAAAGAAAGATTAAAGCAATTATATTTGCAGGGAAACTATAAAGCTAGATTTTCAGAGAGAGATTCCTTTTCCATTGTTTACTCATTCCTCTTTCCTAACTCCCCAAATCATTCTGAGGAGGATAAGGATGACTGTGTACGGTTTGAGGAGGGGAACAGAAGGGTGTAGGTGGGACTTGGGAAGGTTTTACCGTTTGGTAGGTTACAAAATCTTTGTGAAAGTCTCTCTGAAGCAAGTTTAAATGGGGTAGGTGCTGCACTTCAAGAGTGAGTATATGTAATATGTCAGAGCAGTTAAATCCAGCTCAGCCATCTCTATCACTAGAGGTATTGCTACAGCTATTGTAAATGGGTCCAGCTGCTATTGTCAGGACTGTAGGCCATGACAGAGTTAAAAATGTAGTGTAGTACAGACTAAACACTAAACCAGATCCAAGAAAGTAATCATTCACAAGGAGCTGGCCATCCATCTATGTTGCATGTTTGTAAATTTAAGCTGTATGGAAATGGAATCTGACTTGTTTTACTATTTTCAACTGTAAAAAGCATCAGTAACTGGTTTAACTACAGCTCAGTTCTCTCCCAATATTCGTTAATATCTAGTAAGCACATGGAAACTAATCACTGTTTTATCATTTAGATTTATAACCTGACTGAATTAAAATTAACTCACAAGTTCTGTAATCATGGTAGGCCAGAGTGAGGTAAGATGTTGGGGAGACATTCTTAAAAGTAACACTCTGAAAAACAGGAACACTTGAGAATGGAGAGTTGGCACCTGTGGCAAACGGAGACTCTCAACCAATCTCTCTGAAAGAAATGCAGAGCATTTTCAATAACTAAATAATCTTTATCACATAAAACTTTCTATATTGTCGGTCCAGTACTCTCAAACTATCTGTAGTAAAGGATAAACTTTAAAAAAATTCAAAACTGTTGTAGATATTTTCATAAAACAACGAATAAGAGAACTCCAATTAAACAAAGATACACAAAATACAAATGTCATTTTCTTATTAAGCAGATTCTGTCAAATAGCAAATAAAAGTTTAAAATGTTTACTCTAAAGTTTTGTACTTATGGATGGGATAACAGACTGGTTACTGGTCCATGGACCATACTTTGAGTAGCACTGATCTAGTCAACTTAAACAAAAAAAATTGTAGGGACAAATAGTGTACATTTTGCATATCTGAAATTAGGCGTAAAAGGTTAGGAAACAAGGAATCATTTGTCTTCTGGGAGAAAAGAAAATTCTCCCTAGAGAGATGACAACTATCATGTTCCCATGTTGGCTCCTGAGGCTGGAGGCTTTAGAGTATGCTGACTCGAGCAGCAAATAATTCTGTTCTGGATAAATCCCCATTGTGGAGCTATTTGGTGGTACAGGGTGATGACACGTGTACTGATATCCTTCTGGATACAGAAGGTCACCAAACCCACTTGATGAAGTTACCGAAAATGTTACATAATCCCCCATGCAGTCCCCAAATTACAGATCTCCAGGTGTTACTTCTAGCCACAATTTCCTGGCTTTGCCTTATATTTTGGTCTTCTCAGAGTACACAAATTCTTGTCCACAAGGAGAACATGCTAACATGACTGCCCGCAGCAAAATCATCTTATACCTCATCCTCAAACATGAATTCCTAAGAAATTTGAACTAAACAATAAAATAGAGACCACATTTAGGCAAGTCCTACAACTCAGTGATGATTTCTTTTAGATGCCAGCATTGATAATTTTCATTGTTTCAGTAGAAAAATTTCTAATTCCCGATTGATCTACACTTGATATATTTTACCCCAACTTAGTATTTAGAGAAGTATTTTCTAAGGAACCAAAAACCTGTAGTTAGAGAAAAAATAAAGGGTTTTTCATTTTTTACCTTGTATATCTGGAAGATATTTCTGGTACTGGTCAATTTCACTGCTAAAAATAGCAAATGCTAATCTTTTAAGAAGCATAGCTCTCTGTTCTAGCTCCACATCACGGTTTGCAAAGAGATTAAGTGAACTGCTTTGAGCCACTGCTACACGAGCTGAAAAAGCAAGTGAAAGAGACTGTGACACTGTCATCTGAAGAAAGATTATTCTGTTGTTTTTTAAAATAGCTAGATGCTCTATGACATCCAAAACTGAGAGGAGCTTGGGGTACAAAACTTGATGCCCCTCTCTGGGGCAGACAGGCTGGCAAACAGATCCAACGTATATAAGCCAGAGGACCAAAATGGTAGGAATTGTGATGGAGAGGAAAATTTAGAACTGTAGGTTTTAGAAGGTAAAACCACTAATACCATTTATATAAAACCCTGAGGAAACCCTTTAATATTTGAGGCCATCTGCTTAAATCCTTCTCGTTACTTTAAAAATACCTTCTGGTGTAGCTTGCCTACCTACCTCTCCTTCCTCAAGTCATTACTCACCCTCAACTCACTCTGCTGTAGCCACACTGTCTTGCTTGTCATTCTCTCAGTGCACCAAGCGTGCTCCCATCCCAAGACCTTTGCAATTTATTTGTATTTTTCTTTGAGATGGTATCTTCCTCTGTCACCCAGTCTGAAGTGCAGTGGGCACAATCATGGCTCACTGCAGCCTCAACCACCTGGGCTCAAGCAATCCTCCTGCCTCCTGAGTAGCTGAGACTACAGGTACATACCACATTTGGCCAGTTTAATTTTTTTTTTTTTTTTTGTAGAGCTGGGGTCTCGCTATTTTGTCCAGGTTAGTCTCAAACTCCTGGCCTCAAACAATCCTAGTGCCTTGGCCTGTCAAAGTGCTAGGATTACAGGCGTGAGCCACTGCACCCAGCCAACCTTTGTAATTCTTGTTCCCTATTCCTGGAATATTTTGACCCTAGGCCTTCTCATGGTTGGCTTCTTTAGTTTCACCTTGTATATGAGCTATTTAGCTGTTATTTAAAATCCATCACACATTGCCCTATTTCCTTCACAACTTTTAAAATTTGATTAAGGTTAGCGCAATGCGTGGCCCACTGTTGTCTTTTAATAAAAATTTGTTGAATGGATAAATCTGAACCTTAAAACAACCTTATGAAGATAAAACAGATATCCTGCCCTTTTTCCAAATGAGAAAACTGTAGCTTTAGCTAAAGAATTTGTTAAAAAATATTACAGAATCATACAATGTTACTGCTATTTAATAACTTTCAAACGTTTTTTAAAACTCTTTTTTTTCAGATGAAATTCTAAATGGAATCCTAAACTATAAAAACAATCAAGAGTAGAAAGAGGGGGTGGGGGGTGATTCTGCCCTTCTTGGCACCCCTCTTTCTTCCTTCAGATGAAATAAACAGAGCCCCAGAGATTTAAAGTGACTTGTCTGATAGGCTGGATTCGACTGCCTGCCTTTTGCACTTCACCATCTGTCAGTCTCTCATTCACTGAATAATTATTTATTGAGTGCTATTATTATGTGCTGGGTATGATGCTGTGTACTGAGGAAATAATTTAGATTCAAATTAGACATGGACCCTTCCCTCCACTAGTTGCTGCAAAAGGACAAATAGTTTTACTTATTACTTATCACTTAAGTTGTCCTCTGTAAATTTTAAGATTATATTCCCATAGCGTACAGAAAGTAGTGTGCTTTCCCTAGAGCACATATCCCCACTGACACTTGACAAAGAGCTAATTCAGTAGTCTCCTAGTCTCCAGAAAAGAGTACAAGTAAATAGTAAGAAGGAACCATGTACAGGAAAGAACTTGGATTGTCATCCCGTAATACTCACTCATCAAATCTCTAAATGTTGTTTTATCATGTGTCATCAGATTGTCCATAATTGCTCTCCAACTGAAAGAGATAAGGATTACAACATGTAATTATGTTGTTACTGTTAAAGAACAGTATTCTAACTTTCCAGGGGAGTAGCTGATTTCATCAGACTGTGAGGTGCATCATGCTGAATACAAATAAGAGGGCAACTTACTGATTAACACAAGAGGCATCCATCTGAAAGAAACTGGGATCCATAAAGAGGTCAAAAGCTTCTTTTTTCCAAGCTCTCCGTGTGTACTGATACCCACTAAGACTGCTGAGCAGCTGGACACAAGCTCGATAACTAGGGGC
This sequence comes from Homo sapiens, assembly GCF_000001405.40. Lineage (NCBI taxonomy): Eukaryota > Metazoa > Chordata > Mammalia > Primates > Hominidae > Homo > Homo sapiens. The sequence goes on along the minus strand of NC_000006.12, from coordinate 83,153,903 downwards.
ATTATGTGCACTACAAGGAAGAAAAACCACCTTAACCTACGTGTCCTAACTTTAATCATCCTATCAAGTTATACATAAATGTTCACATTTACCTAAGACAGTGACATGAAGATATGAAATAGAAAGCACCATAAGAAAAATAATATATGAATTTTTTTAAACAATTATAATTCAAGGTAAAAATGCCATTTTATGATAATTCTAGAAATGGCAATAAGGGAACAGAACTTGTTTCTAACAGGCTATGAATTAATTTTAAAAACTATTTAAATAATGATAGTACCTGTGATTTCTGAGGTAGGGCACAACATAATGCATAATATTTACAAGTAAAGGAATAACCCGCTCCTTTTCATCACTATAGAAAACCATATCCAAAAGATGAGCCAAAACCTATGAAAACATAAAAAATGAAGAGTAACATATGAGGTGAAACTGACATCATCCCAAGGTACTGATTTTCAGTTTGTTAGAAAACCTAGACTACTTAAAATTAGAAAAATCTAAAATTAAATCTTCCTGAATCATTTTTATGTTAATGAGTTTTGCCACCATCTGCTTTTTTGTACATTGTTACTATAGGATATAAATATGGGCAAATCTTGCCATTTCCAACTGAGATAGGGAAGTACAAAAAAGAAAAGAGTTCAAGAACCTTCTGTGACAGTGAGTAAACAGTGAATTTAGTACTAGAAACTATAGTATTCTTTTTCCCTGACTCAGCTAAAATGTAGTTTAGGAAAAAAAAACAAACAATTGAACTGGGCTGTTCAAATTCCAACACTGTCAATTAACAGCTATTTGGCCTTAGTCCTATTGTTCTGATCTTTGTAAAGGTCACTATCCACATCTGCAAAGAGGAAACAAAATGACATGTGTATAATAGGGTATAAAAAAGAACCTGTCAGACAATGTACATGAAAATGTTTGGTAAATTGTAAAATACATTATAGTGGCAGGCTTTAGATCACCTCCACCCCTCCCCAGGCCGGGCGCGGTGGCTCATGCCTGTAACCTCAGCACTTTGGGAAGCCGAGGTGGGCGGATTACCTGAGGTCAGGAGTTCGAGACCAGCCTGGCCAAACTGATGAAACCCCGTCTCTACTAAAAATACAAAAATTAGCTGGGCATTGTGGCACACACCCGTAGTCTCAACTACTTAGGAGGCTGAGGGAGGAGAATAGCTTGAGCCCGGGAGGCAGAGGTTGCAGTGAGCTGAGATCACCCCACTTGACTCCAGCCTGGGCAACAAGAGTGAAACTGTCTCAAAAAAAAAAAAAAAAGAAAAAGAAAAAAACACATAAAAAAGAATAGGACATGGAGAAGGGAAGCAGTATCTAAATTTATCACTAATGTTTGGCAAACTAAATAATCCAAATACATACAAGGCCAAAACTTTATATTAATTCTATATAGTGATTTCTAGAAGCACAAAATAGTTTCTCAAATTAGAAATTCCTCTATAAAAATTACTTGCTAATTTTTAATAATGAAACAGTCTACTTGAGAGTTCATGTGAAAAAGCTTAATATTTACCTCAGAGAGTAATGTCAATGCATGGACACTATATACAGAAGGAGTTATGTTTGCGGTTTCCATTGCAGGTGATAACATATCTATAAATAAGAGAAAATTAAAGATATGGCTAATTCCCACTGAAAATAAATTTTATGTGTGTGTGTGTGTGTGTGTATTATTTTTATATATGTATATATATATGTATATGTATATATATATTTTTCCCACTGAAAAAAAGTTACTTGTTAGACATGAGAAAAGGGATAAATTTGTGGTACTTATAGTGCTAGGCAAAATGATTTCTTAGTAAATATATGCCTGCTTACAGATAATAAACCTAAATGTTTGACAAGAATACCTTCAACATCAGATTCCAAATTGGTTCCATCTACCATTATTTTGGGAGAAGGCTTAACTTCAAGATTTCGTCGCAGCCATGTTGTCTGTTCCAGAGAAGAACCAGCAATTGCACCAATTGCATCCACTATTTTGTGAGTTACATCCTAAAAAAATAAGGAAGAACAACTATGTATGGTACACACATGCACACTAGTTATGAACTTCTGTAGTTTATATTTCTGATAATAGATATTTTACAATAGACTTGTTGATTCCCATAGAATGTTCAGAGTTGAAAGAAACTTCAGTTTATTTTATTTGACTCTCTCATTTTCAAATTGAGGGCACTGAGAAACAGTTTTGGCAACAGCTCTTAGACTGCCTTACCTGAAGGTCTCTTTGGTCTTTTTTATTTTCCAAACTAGGGTTTTTCATAATAAACTCATTCAGAACCCTAAAAGGGCCAAAGAGAAAACAGAAACGGGAAATATCAGGCTAAAAGAAACTAATGCGATCTAATTTCTCACGATGAGTTAAGCGGCTTAATGGTCTTGATTTCCATTTTAAATATTTAATATATATACATATCCTATGACTCAACTGACATTCATAAACATACTCATGAAAAGACACTGTATAAAGATGCTCAAAGCATCTTTTGTAAGAGCCCCAAAGTGGAAGGAACCCAGATGTCCAGCAAGAGCAGAAAAGATAAATTGTGGAATGTGGCCAGGCGTGGTGGTGCATGCCTGTAGTTCCAGCTACTTGGTAGGCTAAGGCAGGAGAATTGCTTGAGGCCAAGGCTGCAGTGTGCTATGATCATGCTGTGAATAACCACTGCACTCTGGCCTGGGAAACCTGGCAAGATCCCATATCAAAGAAAAAACAAATTGCAGAATGTTCAAATACTAAACAACAATGAAAAATTACAGATATGTGAATTACATAAATGAATCTCATAAACATATGTTGAACAAAAGAAGCCGACACAAAATATTTATATATACTTATAGTTCAAAAACAAGGCAAAATCCATCTGTGGTGTTAGAATAGTGGTTACATTTGGGGAGATAAAAGAATAGTAATTGGGAGAGGTGTGGAGGGACACATGGTGTTTTATTTCTTAATTTGGGTTTGTAATGATATAGTGGTATGTTGACTTTTTACAAACTTTGCATTTGTAGAGTTGTGTACTAATTATTTGTGTATTTTTCTATGTGTGTTTTATATATAAACAGAAAAGTTTAAAAAATCTTAAATTGTAATACAGAAATGATTTCTTCCCATAACACATTAAAAATAGTTCATGAAGAAAAAAATTTCCATTTTCATTATTTGCTAAGAGTCTACTCAATATTCACTCTGACATGGTTTTTTAAAAGATAAATTATATGCACAATTACTTCCAAACTAATATGTAAAATGAAACTAAAGAGCAACCTTCATATCAATATCTATTTTTTAATTAGGTAATTTTAGAGGATCAGTACAATGGTTGGCAAAAAGGTAAACTGACAAATTTTAAAAGGAAATAAAGTTTCTAGTATAACTGAAAATGTTCAACTTTCAACTTTTTGTTTTAACATTCAGAATATGCACATGTTGAAAAGGAAGAGGATCCTTCATTCTGAAAGGAAGAAAAGGCATGTAAGGAAAGGGGAACAGCTACAGATCACAACAAATGAACTTAATTTTTTGATGAAATTAGCCAGCAGGGTTATTTGGTGATGATTCCAACACCTGTACATACATTCCCTCTCTGAACCTTATGACAACTCCTGTGTAGCTGGGACTACAGGCACGTGTGACTATGCCTGGCTAATTTTTAAATTTTTTGTAGAGACACAGTCTCCCTATGTTGCCTAGGCTGGTCTCAAACTCTGGGCTCAAGCAGTCCTCTTGCTTCAGCATCCCAAAGTGCTGGGATTGCAGGCATGAGCCACCGCATGTGGCTTCTTTCTTTTCATGATCAAATATCCTCAAAGAAGAATCAACACTTACTTTCCCACACTAAGCATTTGCTGTTAACACATCTGTGCTGCTACCTCTCCAAACCCTCTCTCCAAAATCATCAGATAACTGGTGATTGGACAATTAGGATGCCTGTCCAGATTGTCAACAAACATAGCCTTTTATTATTCCTCACCTTCCTTAACCTCTCTGTAGGTGTTAACCATGCTCTCTTAACCTCCCTTTGGTTCTGGACAATCAAATGCCTGGTTTTCTTCTTTTTGATACTTCCCTTTCTATCTCCTTTGCTGGCCCCTTCTCCTTCTTTATCCTGTTCTTTCAATCCCATCAATAGTTGAAACCATCCCCACACTTCCCACTTGAAATAGAATTCCTAGTCTAGCCTCTTTCCCCTCTGATCTAGCCTACTACTACTAACATGCCAGTCATGTCTCTCCTCAAAAACCTGCAACCGCTCCCACTCCCTTTCAAGACCACATTCTTTAAAATAAAATTCAAGATCCTGCCCCATCTAGCTCCCATCTCCCTTTTCATTCAGTCTTATTTTCCACTATACCACTGCCTGTGCCCTGCTCTATTACCAAATCAGACAAGGTACTTTGCCCCAGAATACCCTTCCCCTTCCTGTTTCACAAAGGCTTTCTGTGCCCACCACCTCTATTCACTTACCAAGTATTTACTGGGGACCTATTAGGAATCAAGAATAATGGCAAGCAAGAAAGAGAGACTGACTATGACATCCCAGTACTTGCAGTCATAGGTGACTAACATTTATCAAATAATCATATAAATCACTAAGATAAATCAGAAAACTTCAAGACACAAAGAGAAAAATTTTCCCAGGCTGTTTAGGTTTGGGGCCCAGCTCAAGTGTCCCTCCTCTGTGAAGTTCCCCTTCAGCCATGCTACATCACCCCCTCCCCTTTCCATTCCATACTCTCCACCACCACGGAAACAGCTACTGTTGTAACAGTTTTATGTTAGTGTAGTTACATTTTGTATATGTATAAACATAGACTGTTTCCTCCTCTCACCCTGCCTCCCACTTTTTTTTTTCTTAAACAGGCCTTATACATCTAGTTTTGCATCTCAAGAACACTATGAGAAGGTAGAGAGATCACTGTCACCTAAAATATCTATTACTAATACTTGGCAACTAGGACAATTAACATTATCCTTTTATTTGAAATAATATTAAGTGAAATTGCTTACCCAAGTATAAGAAACTGCCCTGGAGCTGGAAGACTCAGTTGTATAGAGTCTTTCAGAAGTATCAACAGTGACGCCCAGCTATCCACTAAATTGGGCACTGGAATTCTGCAAGATAATATAGTTTATACAAAAGCCACAATAAACTATGGTTTTCTACTAGTTTGTGGAACATTCTCTAAATTTTTATAGACAATGATAGAACAAAATTCCTAAAAACTTTACATTTTTACTAACGTTAATTAGTAAACCAACACAGTTGAAATATCAATGCAATTTCTTTCTTTTTTTTAAAACAGAGATGGAATTTCACCATGTTGCCCAGGCTGGTCTCAAACTTCTGGGATCAAGCGATCCACCTGCTTTGGCCTCCCAAAGTGTTGGGATTATGGGCATGAGCCACTGCATCTGGCCCCAGTGCAATTTCTTTTTTCTTTTTTTGTCTTTTTTTTTGAGATGGAGTCTCACTCTGTTGCCCAGGCTGGAGCACAGTAGCGCGATCTCGGCTCACCGCAGCCTCCACCTCCCCGGTTCAAGCAATTCTCTCCTGCCTCAGCCTCCTGAGTAGCTGGGACTACAGGCGTGCGCTGCCATGCCCAGCTAATTTTTGTATTTTTAGTAGAGACAGGGTTTCACCATGTTGGCCAGTATGGTCTTGATCTCCTGAGTTCGTGATCCGCCCGCCTCGGCCTCCCAAAGTGCTGAGATTACAGGCGAGAGTCACCGCCCCTAGCCTGCAATTTCTTAATCTAGAAATTTTTCTATTGAAATCCCATTTATCACATGGGATCTCAAAAGTAAAATACAACTGCAGTAATTCTCAGTTTAACTACTGATACCACAGTCATGTACTCCCTAGCCTGGTCTCTCCATTTCCCTCTTAGTTCTTTTTCCTTCACCTTGTACGTCTCTACCTCATATTATGGAGGGCTGTCAACTGAACATTAGTCTTTAACCTGTAAAAATAATGAAGACTATCTTTGTTTCAGTCTGACCTTAACCCTAACACCTCTCTGTATATAAGTTCAGATTTTAGGCAGTGCTTGCTCTAGGTCACAACCAGTTTAAATACACTCAATAGCCTGACCTTATAATGCTAGTCATAGATTACAAATGGAGGCTGAGTTTGGTGAATAAAATGGAATTATCTTATAAAGGAGGATGAAGAGTCAGGTTCTTGAGTAAGAAGTTATAAAAACTCAAATCATAACTTCTGTTCACAGGTCAGTTAAACGCAAAATGGAATATGATAGTAAGAAGATATTTCATGTAATCATTCCTAACATTAAAAAAGCAGAATGAATTACTGTATGTTCACCTATACCAAAATAATGGATTCAGTGGCAATATGCATAGTTTCGAGAGTAGGTTCAACTTTTCATTTATGTTTAAATGATTTTATCACAATTCAGTGTTTTACTATCTAGGAATCTTCAATATCCTTAGGTCTTTAGGTTTGTAGGATATACATGGCTGGGTCGTTAAGACACTCATTACTTATATTAATATATCCATAAATAATGTTTCTCTGTTTCTAGCAACATAGTAAGGACAGATCAATATCAGTAATCTTACCTTTGAATATAAGCATAGAAAAACTGAAGCATGCAGACTTCCAAAGAAAGATGTTTCTATAAATAAAAGAAATCAATTTTGTAGTGAAGAAGAATACTGCCTTTGCTTTTTCATTGTTGCAACTACTCTGTATCTTACTGCCAATTTTTAATTAAAAAAATTGAAAGAACAAAATCATCAATTTTTCATTAATGAGCCATGCAGTTCTCTTCCACTCAGTAGGAAAAATTCAGAACACATGAGCTATTTTAAAAGTTGAAAACAGATGGAAGGAATGGAAAGACTGTCAATTTTTCCTTCCATATATCAGAAGTTGATAGTCCACCACTCACTTTTAAATGATTCATGTACTCTATAAGTATCAACACTATTTTAGGTAGCTTATGCTTGGTGCTATCAGAATGAGGTTGAGATTTTTAATGAAATGTGTATTTGAGTCTTATTACACATATCTGTTCAATTAGTGTAGTTCAAATTTGTGATCAATTCCTAAGAGCTTTAAATATAGCCACTAAATTAAAGATAGTGTTGAGTGTAATATATAATAAAAATAAAACACCTGCCCTTGGAAATTAACAAGAGGCCAGAGAATGATATTGATGACCACTGACGTTTATCAATTTGTGCTTTTTTAGTCCCAACTATTTCCTTGAAGGTTTCCTGTCCAAAAATCAAGTGTCTAATAGATTCAGAACTTAATAAGGGGACACAGGTTGGTGGGGCAGGACAGTGGATTGGCTCTAATTTGTTTTCATATCCCTCATGTGTTGCTCAATGTCTGGCACAAATAGGTACTCAAAATACAAACTAAAAATCCTATGACAAATGCCCCAGTTTTTATTAAAAACTTAATAAGGACACTGACTATTCACACACATCTTACTCCCTTTGGAAACACAAGATAAAAGGAAAACATCATTCAACATTTTCAGATATATATCATAATTCTTTAAAGGATGTGATTAGGTCTATTTTGGCTTGGCTCAAAGTCTAATGTTTGTAGTTGGTAAATACTTTCTGGGAAAATATGACCTCTTGGTATTGCTTGAACAAAGAGCAGAAAAAGTAGAAAAGTCCGTAATATTCCTAATTTGTAGACTTTTATTTTTGCCTAGAAACACAGCAATGTGTGTGCAGAGACTATGTCATTCATAGTGTAGCACTTGCATAGCACAGTATTATACATGGTCAAGAAATGACATTGACTAGAACTAAGGTTATAGCAAAATTTGGGGAGTTCACAGAATTAAGAGATTCATTCAGAAAAGAAAGCAATAAAGAAGCTATGAAAAATGGCAACAACTGAGAGAAGCAAATCTTGAGCTCTGGCTTATGTTCTTTAAATGACCAGAAAAATCTCTCCTGAGAATTTAGTCACATGGTCCCTGACTACCTTTGAGGTACATATGAAGATATGAGCAGTTAACTGCTCTTCACTGGCTACCGAATAATCAGAATAGCAAGTCACTACAAATATTGATAATTGTTTTGATTGAAGCAGTGTGAGGGCCACATGCAGTCATCTCTGCAATCTGTACTATATTGAAAGGACATTATTGTACAAAAAAAAATCTTACCAGCATAATTTCTGAAACAGAATTGTAAACACATGTGAAGAAGAGTTTTTTCTTACCTTGTCCTTGGCTATGGCTGGTGGCTGCTTTAAAACTTCTTTTACAGTCTGGATAACAGTTTCTGCTCTCATGACACTGATTGAACGAACCAATTCCACTAATAAAAGCTGTTCTTCACTGGCTGCAGGAATGACCTAGGTAATAAATCATTGTATGTATGTATGTATGTATATAAGTCTTTTAGGGGAAGTTACAGAAGAGAGTATTTTATGATCTCTTCTTTTTTTATATTTTTTAAATGGAGATGAGGTCTTGCTATTTTGCCCAGCCTGGTCTCAAACTCCTGTGCTCAAAATGATCCTCCTGCCTTAGCCCCCCAAAGTGCTAGGATTACAGGCATGAGCCACTGCACCCAGCCCTGGCCTCTATTTAATATAAAGACCTCTTCAAGTCCCTTGACTACTTTAGGCAAATTTTACTTATATATATATATATTATATATATATATATTATTATATATATATATTATATATATACTTTTAAATATATATATTATATATATAAAAGTAAAATTTGCATATATATATATATATACAATATATGTATATATTTTTTGAGATGGGGTCTTGCTCTGTCTCCAAGGCTGGAGTGCAGTGGCTCAATTACAGTTTACTGCAGCCTCAACCTCATAGGTTTAAGCGATCCTCTTGCTTCAGCCTCCTGAGTAGCTGAGACCACAGGCATGCCACTATGCCCAGATAATTTTTTAATTTTTTTGTGGAGACAGAGTCTCCCTATGTTGCCCAGGCTCAAAATTTATTTATTTTTCATCAATAAAGGTACATCACCTCAAAAAATAAAACAGAACAATAAGCTTTATAAGAAAAAATAGTATTGTCCTATATCCCTTCCCATGCCCCAAAGCAACCATGCTCAACTCTTTATGTTCTTTTCCATTACGTCTAAATAACATATACTACTATTTTTCCTATTTCCTGATTTTATTTTCAATTTTAGACATTATCTATTCATTACTTATTTTGGAAGACAAAGATGTAGCTCTCTTATACTTTTCTACCTATCCTCTCAACATTGTTATATCATATTTTTATTTAAATCCATATCCAATGTTCACATGATTATTTTTGGTTGCAATGTGCATTGTACTAGCATTGCATTTGTTTTATGGTACAACTTTTTGTTTTTCCTAGAGCTAATAAACTGCTTTGTTTGCTTCATTTTCTCTGTACCTATTAAAAATTCATCCCTACATACTTCAACTGTAAATCTCTAATTACATATTCAAATACTTCAGGTAATTAATTTGTATCTTTTCCTCCCTCTCTTCTCTTTTTTCCTTGAGACATTTCTGTTAGATGTCTTTTTATTCTACCCTGGGTTGATACTCTCTAGGTTTGCTACACAGTGTCATCTTGATATCTCTCCTGTTACCATTATCCCAGAGATTCCCCTTGCTTTCTCTTTTGTGTTGCAGCCCATTTCTTGGATCCCCTGTCTTCTTCATTCTTGGTTTATTCCTCCTCCGGTGGAGTTACATCTTCCAGTAGCCAAGAAAAAGTGAACTCATGGCAATTTTCCTTGTTGTTGTTGTTGTTGAGACATTGCATAGCTGAAAATGTTTGAGTGACAGTTTGGCTGGAGATAGAATTATGGGTTGAAACTAACTTCCCATCAAAATTCCCAGTGTTGCTGTTAACAAATCTCATCTTTATTCTTTGGAATGTGACCAGTATTCTTTCATTAGAAGCTTTTAGGATCTCTTCTTTATCTCCAGTGTTTTGAAATTACATGCTAATCTTTGTGCAGATCTCTTTTCACAGTGGTAGGCACAATCTGGAAACATATTTACTTCATTCCTGAGGACTTTTATTGTATTATTTCTTTGTATTTTTCTCCTCTTGTTTTTAAATTCTGCAGAAAGATACTGGGTCTCTAGTATCACTCCTCTAATATTCTTATCTCTTTTCTCGTATTTTCCGTATCTTTAAATTTGTATTCCATTTCTGATATTTATCCACTTTCTGTTCCAACCCTCCTAAAAATATTGCTTTGTTTCTGTTGCAGAATTTTTAATATCCATGAAAAATTTTAATTTTGGGAATGGTCTTTCCTATGATCTCCCTTTCTACTTCATGGTCTCACCCACTTAAGGACATTACTATTATTTACATTTTCTTCTGTTATCTGCACTGTTTGACTTTTTAAAATCTAGTTGTTTCAGTCTGTCTATCACATTAGAGACTTTATGTGACTGGTAATCCTTGGCTCTCTATTTCTATTTAAATATGAGGAATAATATAGCTAATATTTACACAGTGATTATTAAGTGCTAGGCATTGCTCTATGTGAATTACATATTATCAGCTGTAATATACCTGATAATTCTCCTGCCTCAGCCTCCTGAGTAGATAGGTCTACAGGCAAATGCCACCACACTTCACTATTTTTATTTTTTGTAGAGACAGGGTCTCATGAGGTCTTGAATTCTTGGCCTCAAGCAATCCTCCCGCCTTGGTCTCCCAAAGTGCTGGGATTATAGCTATGAGCCACTGTGCCTGGCTTCAACATGCCATGTTAAATCAAATGTTCTTTACTGCTTTTAAGTAGTCCAGGATTTAAATTTTCAATGTGAGTGATATCTACTACTGAATCTTCACATGCAAAATAATGTAATATGGTGTGAATGTTTATTTTGATTAATTTAAAAATGTAATGTAAAATCAGCACAAAATCAGGAATTGTTAGGTGGAAAAAATCATATATTTTATATAAATGTAAGTTATATAATAGCCTTACTATTCTAATGTGCCATGATTTGTTTTCAATATAGAGCATTTCTCTTGAGCTTTGAAACTCAGAAAGCAACAAAATTCACATATATAACTCAGCTAAGACCAACAGCAAAGTGAGACCTCATCTCTACCAAAAAAAGTAGAAAAAAAAATTTGTGAATTATATTTAGAAACAAGAACTCTTTGAACTATCACATCATAGTAAACTATAGTCAAGATGAAAACTTTTCTCCATATCCTTGCTTTGTACCCTAAATGACTAGCACTTGAAAAATATACTGTACCATATTACCATTTCTATTTAGTTTTAATATCATACTAATTTCTCTTTTTTCACATATCTTTTATATTTGACCTCAAATTTTATTTTATTTTTATCTTTATTTATTTATTTTTTGAGGAAGAGTCTTGCTCTGTTGCCCAGGCTGGAGTGCAGTGGCATGATCTTGGCTCACCACAACCTCCGCCTCCCAGGTTCAAGCAATTCTCTTGCCTCAGCCTCCCGAGTACCTGGGACTACAGGCGTGTGCCACCATGCCTGGCTAATTTTTGTATTTTTAGTAGAGACGGGGTTTCACTATGTTGGCCAGGCTGGTCTGGATCTCCTGACCTCATGATCCGCCCTCCTCGGCCTCCCAAAGTGCTGGGATTACAGGTGTGAGCCACCGTGCCTAGCCTTGACCTCAAATTTTAATCAATACTTAAAGAAATTAAGGCAACAATTTATCTAAAGCTGTCGACAGACTTTTGCTTTACACTCGAATCTACCCCGGCCCCACTGCAATATATGGAGAAGTGGAAATTAGCATGTACTCACCAAATGCAAAAACAAAAAGTGCCAAATGTCTAAATACATACCTTGGTCCTGGTGGTTGTTTTATTCTGTCTTCTTTCATTCCACACAAATGCAATGGCAGCCATAAAGTGAACACCATGATTCATTGAAATGGGGCCCAACAATTCAAGAATCTGTTGTCTCAAGTTCTAAAACAATTTGAAGCAAATGAAAGTGAAACTTTTAAAAAATGAAAAAACATTTACAACTAGACTGCGTTTTTGGTTTCTTTGAAATAATATAGTACTTATAGGTTTTACTATCTAAATAACACTAGAGGAAACTTTAATAACGTTAAGAGCTACAATATGACTATAATTCTAAAAGAAAAACAAATCCTATAAAATGACGGCTACCAATCAGCCAAATAAAAGTCTATTCACTGTGAAAAGATACTAGAAAAACACAACACATATAAAATTCAACTTAGTAAGTCTGATATAGAGTCCTTTAAAAAAAGGTGAGGGATTCTATAATTATAAAACACCTTCTGTTTTATTTAAGTAAAACGAAACATAAAAAGTATAGTTTAATCCAAGCATCAAAACTTAGATCAAATGTTCTAATGGTTCCCACCCTTACCCTTTTCCCACTTCCCTATGTGTTCCCTTGGATCCCTGATCCAGGTGGTCTGGTCTAGGAGCAAAATTAGGTTATTGAAGGATATCAATTTGACAGCTTGACATGGCACAGCATTTGGAAAATATCAGAGTGCAAGGAAGAAAAAAAATTTAAAAATCAATAAGTTATCCCACCATCCTGAGATAATTACTGATAAAATGCAAACTTTCTTTATTCCTTTTTCTGCAGATAACATTTTTTACATAATTGAAAATATGGTATTTGTTCAATTATGTAACATCCCTGTTTCACTGAGCTTTTGAGCCCTTCTCCATCCAATAAGAATTCTTCAAAACCATGAATATTAGTGGCTATGTAATGAAACATTGAAAGGATAATTTAAACATTCCCTAATTAATTGTTTAGGATCTCTGTTTTTTCTGCCATTAAATAATACTATAATGAACACTTTGTATATACATCTTTGTATAATTTCAATTACCTTAGAATTCATTCCTAAAGTAGATTACTAGGTCAAAGACTATGAAACCTTTAAAGCTCTCTATACATATTGCTAAATTGTTTTCTAGGAGGGCTTTGCATATTAAAATGTCAATTTAAAATGCCCTAAAAAAAAAAGGAATAAAGTTATAACATGTATGAATGAACCTTAAAAATATGTCACGTGAAAGAAGCTAGACACAAAAGACCAAATATTGTTATCATTCCATTTATATGAACTTTTTCAGAAAAAGCAAATCAATATATGGAGAGAATAGATTCGTGGTTGATTGGGATTAGGGATGGGAACAGGGAGTGAGTGCAAATGGCCATGAGGAATCTGTGGTAAAGAACATATTCAAAAATTGGACTGGGGTGATAGTTCACAACTCTGTAAATTTACTAAAAAAATTACTGAATTGTATACTTAAAAATGGGCAAATTCTATGATACGTCAGCCATAGCCCAGGAAAACTGTTAAAAATTATTTGATAATTAGCAGAGTCCTGTAAATACTACACAAATTATTCACATATTCTGAATATAATCTTTGGGAAGGTCCTCAGACTCTTGAGCTCTACAGATTAAATATGAATTGTCTAACCTTTGTAGCTCCAAGATTAATAGTGGTAAGAGATGCGGATGCGGCAATAGTCATCTTTTCTGAAGAATCAGCTTGATGCAGTATGCTCCAAAGCAGTGTCACAGAGGACATGATCATATGAAGGATTGAGAGGATTCCACTGCGTGCTTCAAACAAGTGTTTCTGGTCTACACTGACCAAAAGCTATTAACAGTTGGGGGAAAAGAAACATATTACTTACTGAGATTTACAAATGGAAATTTATTAGACCTCACAGTCTTTCAAAAGAAGTCAAATATTTGTGCAGTCTTACTTGGTGATACTGTGTAGTTGGATCCAACAAACAGTAATGGATAATGGCTGTAATCCCTTCCAAAAGAGTAAGAATCATATCTGGTGGAATAATTGATGCCATCCACAGAGGCCTGAAGTAAAATGCATTCATTTAAACACAAGTTTTATGATAGTATAGTTCATATTTTATCACTAGTAAATACTCACAATGTGTCAGGTACACAGAAGATGTGCAATAAATACTAGATTAACAAATGGCTAAAAGAATAAATCAGGGGCTTTTATTTCCTAATCTATAAAATAAGTGAGTTGGACTAAATGTACTAGAGTTCTTTTTGGCTAAAGAATTCTATACAAAATAAACAAATGATGGCTAGTGACTCTCTAGCCACTGAGGAATGGCAGGCATATTAATATTAAACAATACAGGCAGTTTTCTTATTATTTTACATGTAGAAACTAAGGTTATTCTGAAGAAAAATGACAGTCTACTGGAACTAATTTTTCAGACTTCATTTTGAGCATAGAGACTCAGATCGAATTTTGTCACTAAACCATGAAAATCCAAAACAAGAAATAAAATTGGATGGAAAAGATTTGTAAATTTAAATTATTTTCAGTCTGAAATTGATTTGCACTTAGATAAAACAGACAAAACCTGGGAAACCCTTTTCTAAGCTTCCCATTAGTTTTGCCAGCTCAGGCAAGAAGAGAAGAGCATTGAAATTAATTTTAGATCTTGGTAGAAAATAAGCCTGTTTAAATATTCCTTCCCTTTTCCATTCTAGATTCTTTTACTGATACTCTTCCTCAAGTCAAATTTTCTTTTTTGTGGAAAGTAATACACTATTTGTAACCTACCAAAAACCATTACTTTATTTACTCAAGTTGTGACCAACTTTCCAGACATTAAGCAGTCATATATGTGAAAAATGTCAGTACCAATAAAGTTAAAAATCACCTCTTACCTACTATCAGATAATCCTGTTTCGTATTTGTACTGCTGAATTAGATTATCTAAATTTCTGCACAGTTGTAGTGTCACAGAAACAACCACTCTCTGCAGAACTTTTCCCATGTAAGGCAGAGTAGATGTGATTAAACCAATCCATTGTGGGTGCATCTTACATGCACAGTGCTGATGCAAAGCTCGTATCACTGCACAGAGGAACATGCCTTGACATGTGATTGGCTGAGCATGCAAATACTGAAGAGAAGTCATGGGTTGATGGGGACTGATGTGTTCTAAGTCAGATACAACAAAATCAAAACCTGTTTCATTCTCTTCAGGAATAGTCATTACTCTGTGTTCTAGAACAATCAGCCTCTGAAGCACCTTAAGAAGTTGTGACTGCAACGTGCTGCCATTGTCAAATTCATCCTCTGAGAAATTAATAAGGCTGTCCTCTGAGAAACCTTCTTCCACAGCAACCAGGTTCTTACCTGCCATTTTTTCACTATGCCATTTCTGAGCACTAAAGATAGATGACAGCAAACAATGAAGAATCACTTTCTGAACTTTGCACTTAGATAACATATCAGAAATAAAACTAGGGAAACCCTTCGCTGAGCTTTCTATTACTTTTGCCAGCTCAGTGAAGAGTAGTGTCAGAATTTCTATGCTCATCATTTGCATGTTTCGATTGCCTATTAAATCTTGTGCAGTAACCTTGACATGAGTTGGGTAATGGCTACGCATGTAATATAAGCAGAGAGAAATAAGAATTTCTATGTACATAGAACTCCGGAAGTTATGATTTGAGTCCACTGGAATGTGACTATAAAAATCTTTGCCCATAACAGAAATCCGGTGTCTGGCCAATAGATTCTGAAGGAGAGACAACTGAGGAGTATATGCATTATTTACACTAGTAGTTGAAATGGCATTTACAAAAGCTATAGGGTTAGTTTTCAAGATGGCTTTGATGGCAGAGAAAGCATACAAAGTCCTGGATGAATCATACAACTGGAGATACAGGAGCACATGTTGATAGAGAGGATGAATGTTGAAATTGGGAGATTTTCGAGATCCTGGAGAACCCATGTCACTCTCAATTTCAGAAATGTCTCCCTCTCCACAGCTATACCAGTTCTCTAAATCCAGACCATCACTGAAGAATACACTGGTTTGTTTGAGTTTTTCATTTGAAGATTTTTTCTTGTCATCATCCTTTTTTCTGGCAAGTTTTACTTTAGGTTTTGCTCCTGGTTGTTTACCTGACTCCTTAACTATTGTTTCCTTCTCCGAAACTTTTTCTGATAATTTTTCTTTGAAGCTGAATTGAATACTACTGTGACTCCTTTGTCTAGATTTGGTTTCTATGGAAGCAACAGAAGAGTCATGAAGAGTGTGTGTGGTTCCTGAAATACAAGGTGAGGAGCTATTCCTGGAGATTCCATTTGCCACACACTCATGGCCTCCCTCTGCAGACACAGACAGAAACTGAGAACTTTCATTACTCAGCAAAGCATTCTGACTCTGTTGAATGGAGTCATCTTCAATTTTAATCGTCTCTTCATCTGGATCTATATCACTGCACTTTGGGGGCATAGCTTCAATTTCTAATTGAGATGTAACTGATGCAGATTCCACTTCGAGGCCACTTACAACTTTACATATCAGGTCAAATACTACCTGTTGAACATCATCATCTGGGGAGCTTTCCTTGGGCATTTGAGAATCCTCTTGGGCATTCACGGTTTCAGGATCAACTTCGTAACTCAAGTTGTCCCCAGCAGAGGACTGTGAACATCCCGAGTCAGAACTCTGAAGTATTTCTATCTGTTGGTCTGGAAGATCAAAATCAGACACAACCATTGGAATTGTCTCACTGCTGGTACTTAGGAGGGAAAGTCTGTCACTTAATGGATTCACAGTGAGACTAAAGTTCTCTATTTCATCCATGGTAAGTGGCTTTTCACCATTTCCTTTTGATGTGATGAGTTGTACTTGGCTCACTGATATATGAGAAAAACAGTAAAAGAAGAAAAATACAAAATGCATTAAAATAATTGAAATGTAGAAATGTAGACTGATCAAAATTTTTAATCATTAGTGTCATCATCTACTTATATTTTCCTAAAATTACATTTTATTTTATTGCAGGTGAAAGTTTTGTTTTTTCCTCCTTAATACCTCACTTTAGTTATGCTGTTTCTAAGCTCTCTAAAGACTTTAAAATTAGCAGCAAACCACAAATACATAATTCATTTCTGTATTTTTTAGGGGGCATACAATAATGACGGTCTTCTTTTAGAAAAGGTGGAAGGCTTAGTGACATACAAAGTAGTACATACCAAATGCTAGCAAATTTAGGGAAAGAATCATGATACCATTGATGAGGTCTGGCACTGATCTCAGAGGGGAGGTGAGAATTCAGCAGACAGTTAGATAAAGCATTAACACAAAGACATTCTGGCAATAAGCAGGGTAATGCAAATTCTTACAAGATTCAGAAGAAGGAATAGAAAAGAAGCCAGAGAGAGGAACCAAGACTCTGTAGAAACACACTAGAGATGAAGTAGGACTATGACAGTTTGGTTTCAGCTTCATCACTTAATAGCCATGAGACTCTGAGAAAGCCATAGCCTTCTAGGCATCAGCAACCTGCTCAGTAAAATGATCTTTTCATTACCACCACAGGGTTTGTCAAGAGACAAATGACATATGTGAGAGTCTTTGTCCCTTAAATGAAATAAATTAATCTAAGGGGACAATATCACTGTATAGAAGGCATCACTCAACTATAAAGTATGGACTTTGTAGTAATATAGTAATAGTGAATATTTAGGCATGTCACAAACATGACTACATCTGATGGTCATAATAAAACCTTGAAAGTTGAGCATTATTCTTCTCTTAAAAGATGAGGAAAATGACTCATGAAATACAAAATGTGCATTACAGATTTACTATAAATTCCCAATGAAGTATCTACAGAGCCTGTAGGACCAGAATTGCTAACTAAGCTCTAAAGATATTTCCATCAAAATTGAAGAATGTCTCTAATCAGAGCTGTGCCTGATTCCTGCCCTGAAAGAGTCAACTGAGAGACCCACATCCTCTAAGATGGTCATTGACAAAGTACATTCTGACATGGTCCACACAGCATTGCTAGTGCATGAGGAGGGGAGAAAATAAGCCCATGGAGAAAATCTCACATGCAGTTCTTTCAACAATTACTGTTGTATTCATGTATCACTTTATTTTAATAATTCTAAATAAAGCTGTCTACTTCTATGTGTTATTCACCATTGCTGCAGGCAAAATTTTGCATGAAATGCTTGTCACTCTCCTCTCCTGGATAACAGGGAGACTTATTCCAATAACGTTCTGCTTGTACACGCTGTACTGAAACCCTCTGAGTTTTTGGATGAAGCAGGAGCAATAGCAATGGTTCCAAAACTCGTGCAATATCATGTCTTTGTAGGACTTGGTTCAGCCAGGCTTGTCCCACAGAGCTAGTAGAACCATCGAGACTGTTAAGGCTATCTAACATGATGAACAGTGACCTAAAATAAACACAAATAATTAAAATAAAGAACCAAACATCTACCTTGTCACACTCTTTTATAAAATTAATAAATTCTGTTTCTTATTTTGAATTAACTATTTTGAAGTAGTCATACTTCAGGATAAATTTTGATCATAGTATTTTAATAATCTTAATCCCAATAGTCTCGGTGGGTATAAGAAAGGAAAAAAACCTTTTGCCCTTTTAAAAATATACTCATGCTTTGAAATTTCACAGGCATACATTACTAAGATTAATACTGAAGAACTGAAAAAAAATATGATTAGTCTTGTTTTAGCAACATTTTCCTGTTCATATTATCAAGCACTGAGCCTTCGGCAAGTCGGCATTACTCCATGTTGGTCCATGTTCCTCTGCTCACACTCTCCTTGTGAGCCAAAGCTCTGTGCTTAATTCAAGGAAAGATCTGTGGAAGGTATGAAAGTGTGGTTTGGAATCAGAAAAACCCAAGATTCAAATATTTTGTGTGGTGTTGGGCAAGTAACAACTTTTCCTGACCTCTATTCCCTCACTTGTAAAATTAGGAAAGATGGTTGTCAAATAAGAGATGATTATTTATAAAGTAAAGGTTCAATATATTCAGTACATTGTAGGGGTTCAATATATGGTTCAGTATCAGATGACTTAAAATGCTAATGCTGGTTGAAAAGCACCAGCTGAAATAACGTTCAGTAGAGGACACATCTGATCCTGAGCTGACCTTGAACATAGATTCATGGCCACCAGTATGAGACCAACTGGTGAGACTACCTTATGACAATATATGAATCCACCTAAAAATGGCAGCTCCTTGGAATTTAATGCAGATCTGATATTTGAAGTCACCTACGTAGTCCAGACAAAAACCAAAACCACTCTCAGGCAGCTACAAGTTCTCTGGATTCATGGAAAGAATCTGTTAGTGTTTTCAGCTATAGATTTTAATAAATCTAGTTTAGGCAGAAGATTGAAAATAATTGCTTGAGAAACACATAATCTACTATCTATATGCAGTTTCACTAAATGTGAATATAGTCTCAAGAGAGCTGTATCCATTGCTCTATCACTAACATTATCAGGAACGTGATGAATAGTTGTCCAAGGAAGGGAAGTGGAGCCGGGTACTCCAAAACCAGAAAGTAAAAACCTGGTGGATGAGTAAAAATGCCATGCATTTTAATACAGCTTACGGTTTTCAAAATAATAAATTCTCTTTATAAAATTTGTAAATTGCTATCTCCTACACTTGCCAAGCTAGACAGTGGACTCAAGGAAAGAGGCAACATTAAGATATATGACTGTGAAATCTTAATATAAAATGTAACTGACCTGTCAAAAGAACGTACAAAAGATGAAGATTTATTTATATGGAGATCTCTCGTTAGATGCCAAAGAACTGCAAACTTGGCATGTGCTTCCATCCTTATTTTCTGAGGAGAAACATGGGAGCTTAAATTATGTTCTTCTCTCTTGAAGATACTATGATTTTAGTAAAATCAGAGTACTATTTAGGAGTACTGTATTACGTTCAACGTCCACAATATTCAAACACACATTGCAATAAACTTTATTTATATTCTTTATGGCAGTAGAAACACAGAAAATATGTAAATATATACAGAAATATTGAACTTAAAAGGATCATCTCATCCTGTCTCATAAATAATTATTCCTGAGTTCAGACTTTAAGTAATTAGTTTACTATATTATTGTATAACAGGAGAAAAAAGTTACTAATGTACATATATCTGGAGTCCAGAAAGCACTTCCTCCTTCATTTTAATATAAACATTTAGTTATCAAAATTGATTTCATTGCACTATATATTTTTTGTCCCAGAAATGATACATTAATCCCAAATGAGTTTTTCATCACTTATAAAGCTGGTTTGACTCAAAAATTTAAATACTTAAAAATAATTTTTACAATAAAAATATTAAACTACTTTTGAGATTATTTGGAAAAAGATTAATATAATAATGGGTAAAACAATGTAAAAATAAATTATTTAGATAGGCAAGCACATTTGGTATTAGATAATAAACATGTATAAATCAAGTAGAAATTGTCACACTATCAAAATTTTTAAAGTCTTTCTTTAGCATTTATGGATCCTTCAAGCAAAAGCCCCAAGAAACCAGACGGCAACTTTCTAAATGCTTGTGATAGGTGGGAGGCATGCTTGTTTTTTCTATGGGCTTAATACAGGCTTTTCTTATGAAGCCTGCATTTGTATCAACCACCAGAAATGTAAAAATTAAGTAGTAAAAGATATTTTAATTTTTTTTCATGGATGTGTATCTTTATTTAGAACTTGGGAGTATTTCTTTAAAAATGAAATGCTACCCAAGTGAAAACAGGCATATATTTGTCCTAGATTTATATTTAATGTGAAACTTAAATTGTTAGAATACAGTGCTTACCTATTATTTTTGAATAATTTTGAAAAAATATGTTATAGCAGAAATAGAATTTTAACATTTTTCTTGGAATAAACTTTTCATTCCTTTCATTTACTCCTTCATATACTACTTTCTCCTCTACCAAATGTTTCATTTATTTAACACAATTCCTTTTTTGATTATGACCCACTCAAACTCACTAGCATTTTGAGTTTTTTAAAAATAGGACAATCTACTTCTAAAAGCTCTTCAATAAAATCTTCAATTTATATTACAGAGCAGCACAGGAAGACCACAAATGTCATTAAATAACCCTGATGAGGTTAGTAAAAATGATTATTCCAGCTTCTTCTCAGGCTAATTCTCAGCCACCTTTAACTGAATTATATATCACACTTCATATACATTAGGATACAAAATTCTTATTTTGGATATGCAGTATAATAATACAAATAATATAATCTCACATATTAGCATTCTATGGCTTATAAATATACTTTATACATTATTTCATTTCATATATATTAGTTAATAAATCCGTAAGTTCCATAACTGAGGCCTCTGGTTCCTCTTTAAATGACCCAAGAACTGAGACCACCAATACTAAACATCAGTTCCCATAACTGTGTCTTGAACAAAGAAATAAACCCAGCATTTTATTTTTGTTTTAATTTTTCATATTACTGATGCTTTTGTAAAGAACTTTCCTCTAGAAATAATTGAATACATTTATTTTAAAGATATTAAGATCACTGTGAACAAAGCTATTTTCTCTTACTCCGATGTTAATTGCAATAATTTCCCTAAAGTTTTCTTACTTTTCAGTATTTGTGTGTGTGTGTGTGTGTGGCGGAGGGGGCGGTGTGCACAAGATAAGAGGATTTACCTTATCTTTATGGGTTAACTGCTGACTTATAACATCCTCACAGATGCTAGAAGAAGGAACTAAGTTATGTAATTGATAAAATAGTTCCACACTCTTCTGGTGATGCTGAGGTGTCCCATCTCCCAACTGGTCCCACAATGTTAAAGCTACATGCTATAAAAAAGATGTAAAAGTGACAGTCACAATACCATACATGAAAATTTAACAAATATTTCCTATTAGGTACAAATGAATGCCTGCTCTCTGTCAGACCTGAAAGGCTTTTAATATTCTACTGCATGGGGATGAGGTTACTAAGGCAGTCTTCCATGTACCTACCTTCTGATCACCCAAGCCCTTGGAACCTTTTATGATAGTCCTTTAATGATATTTGTTTTCAGACATCAGGCGTTGTCTGAACATGGTGGCTCATGGCTGTAATCCCAGCATCTTGGGAGGCCGAGGCAGGCAGATCACCTGAGGTCAGGAGTTTGAGACCAGCCTGGCCAACGTGGCGAAACCTTGTCTCTACTAAAAATACAAAAAGTTAGCCAGGCATGGTGGCATGCACCTGTAATCCCAGCTACTCGGGAGGCTGAGACACGAGAATTGCTTGAACCCGAAAAGCGCAAGTTGTAGTGAGCAGAGATTGCGCGACAGAACGAGACTCCATCTCGAAAAAAAAAAAATCAGACATGTAAATGTTTTCTGCAGGGCCCAGATAAGACCCCATTTCGTTATTTAGTGGTGTTTAGTAAAGTGATGCTAGAATAAACTATCCTTAATAAGATACAAATCCCACATTGAATGCAATTTAATATTTATGGTTGTATATTACAGAGTGAAAAATAATTCATAGTTGAAATATCCAAACTACTTAAAACCTATACAATAGATAATAGGTATTTCAGAGCTACATATGTTAACATAGCACTTGATCTGTAACAGCATTAATAATAATGCAATGAGTAATAATAATAATGCAATAATCTTCAGGATTCACTACCACAATATTATAGAATCCAACTCTAATCTAGCAGGAGGAAATATCTGAAGGGGCACAATGACTTGAAATCAGATTTTTAAACTTTTTTTTAATGTACAGTCTACCTGCTTAAGATGTATACAATCCAAATCTACTTGATGTTCGATATAGAGAATAATATTTATACCAGTGTGGTAGAAATCAAAGACTGAGTTTTCTGAATTTTTTTCTGAGTGACTTTATACGCCACAGATGATAATGAGACAATATGAAGAGTCAGAAAAAGTTTTCATGAGAGTTTTGGAGTGCTGAGGTTTTACTGTATGAAAAGCAAAAGTGTTGCTCACACCTGTAATCTCAGCACTTTGGGAGGCTGAGGCGGGCAGATTACTGAGGTCGGGAGTTTGAGACCAGCCTGGCCAACATGGTGAAACCCTGTCTCTACTAAAAATACAAAAATTAGCTGGGCGTGGTGGCACACGCCTGTAATCCCAGCTACTCGGGAGGCTGAGGCAGGAGAATTGCTTGAGACCAGGAGGCAGAAGTTGCAGTGAGCCGAGATCATGCCACTGCACTCCAGCCTATCTGACAGCAAGACCGTCTCAAAAAAAAAAAGAAAAGCAAAAGTGTTGCAACCACTTAATCTGAAAGTAAGTTCTACCGCTTTCCTCTTTCTAGCTGAAATTATTTCCTACATGGCTTCAGTGCCCTAATACTTCTCTTTCTTTATCCTAATATTCCTACTCCTTTATCCTTATCTTTCTCCCCTGCTCACAAAATTGGGAATAAGATGGGGAGAGCAGTATGTATATCAGCTGTGGCATCATTTTCTACATGGTATGGCCTATTAAGAGGTGTTTAAATGAAGCTTTATTAACATTTAAAAAATAATTCTTAAAGCAAACTAGGTCAAGTATCATACATGGCTGTAATCATCATAGTCATATATGCATTTCTTAGAATTTACCTTGAAAAATTCAGTCTTCTCAGCTATGTACCTCAGATTGCCCTGAGTGAGGGGAGGTCTAATAACCACAGCTACTCTTCCCTGGTTTGGACTTAAGGGTTGTGCAGGCTCTACACTGTTGATGTTTTCCCCAGTGACCATGGCCACAGACTGTGTCAGTCCCACCAGGTCCATAACTAGTGAAATAGCAACACTCTGAACACTGAAATCACTTGCTTGGCTGCAAGCATTCATCAGAGTCTGGAGCCACTGTGGAGGCTGCACATGCTCACAGTCTGAAACAAAAGATGGTAGCAATCAGAGTTCATTATACTAAACATTTCACACACACTCTAAGTTAATTTCAAAAAACAAAGCCACTAAATACTTTTAAGGCCTTGATCTGTTAACAAAACCATGGTTTCTCACCTAGTCTAGAGCTTTAATAAAGTAGCAACAAGAATTTCTTATACTTTTTTCAATATATATTTTTCTTATGCCAAGTCATACAATCTAGTTTTCTGTCCCGAAAAACAGTATATTGATCAATAAGCATTATGTAGTATTCACTGCACTTTGTGTGTATATATAAAAATCAAAATAAAGGTAAATACATATGTTACTGGTCATAACAAAGAAAACCAGCAGATCTACTGCTACTTTTCTCCAGAGATTTCCTTTTCAGCTCCTACTTATCTGCATGCAAACTGTGAAAGACATCAAAATCACAAAATCTTCCAATATATCAATCTCCCCATAGTGACAGTATTTCATTTTTAAAAAAACTTGCAAATTAAAACATTAAAAAAAGTAACTGGCTAAAAAAACCCCAGTTTTGAGTGCCTCTTTTAAAAAGAAAAAACATACTACAGACAATACTGAAATATAAGCAAAACTGAGATGACCTTACCAGTCTCCAATTTTTCAGAACGTAACTCTGATGTATGGTTCCCCTCAGCAATGTAAACTGGGAAACTTGAGCACTCTAGGAAGAGCTGACAGGCAGCAAGGAAGGCAGACAGGTATTCTTTAGAAGTTTTTTGTTTACTTATGTTTTTCTCTTTTACATCTCCTTGTGAATTTCTGTCCCATTTTGAAGTCTCTCCTTGTTCTCGACCAAGATCCCCTTGATGTTCTGTAGCCAAAGACTGAGAAAAAGAGTTATTCTGAATGATGTAGAGGTTGATAAGTCTGGTAAGAAACTGTTGGACATACTCCAAGCAGCACTGCATTGCAGTCTTTTGGGCTGTCTTCCTACTTCGGGTTGCTGTCCCCTGAGTGACTACGGAAGGGGTCTGGATGATGGTTTCTTCAGATCCCACAGTGGATGCTGTTTCTGTCTCAGAGGATGTGCTACCAATTGGGATGGCAGCTGCCCCCTGGCCCTCACTCAGTTCTCTGTCAATATCATCAGTTCGGTCTGCTTGATATTGTATAAACTCAGTGAATCCACTCTCTGATGATCGACTACTTGGTGGATTTTCTCCATCTTCAAACACTTCAGTAGGATTTTCATGAGAAACTGATGATACCTGTTAGAGATTTTTAAGAAAACAAAAGGCTGAGTAGCAAAGTGTACATATTAGGAATTAGAAATGACCACTTTTGAGATGTTTTAGACTATTCACAACTTAATCTGCCCATTCTGTTGACTCTTAAAGCAGCCCCACACTGATTTATTCATTCACCAAGTATTTACTATGCACTACACACACAGCATACATAAGGTTAGATTCTTGAGGACAAAAATACATATATACAAGTCTCTAGGATCTATATCCTTGTTTTCAAATGACTATTTCATCTACTTCATGAAATCACTTTCCTAATGTCTAAACAATGCCAAGAATGAGATATGTAAGGTTAAAAAATGACATTTTAATAACTACAAATAAAATCTAATAGGTCATCTGTTCAGGGCCACATGAATGTGAAATTTTTATTGAAATGTGTATAGTACTAATTAAATCTTTGCTATTA
The DNA here is from genome assembly GCF_000001405.40 of Homo sapiens. Lineage (NCBI taxonomy): Eukaryota > Metazoa > Chordata > Mammalia > Primates > Hominidae > Homo > Homo sapiens. Next base: position 83,128,438 of record NC_000006.12, on the reverse strand, counting down.
ATCTTACTTTCTTTCAGTGAATAGTTACTGAACTCCTATCATGTGCCAGACACTGTATTAGGTAGTAGAAATAAAAGGAATATTTTATAATCTAGAGGGGAAGATGAGAGAATTACAGTAAACAAACAAATGAACCATTCCTGGAGTAGAACTGGAGTATATTAGCCTTTTACTCCCTACAATAGGATAGAGTAAGTATAAATATCAAGCATATTTTCTGGCTTAGTTTAAGTAAAAGTTATATGTAAGAATTCCTTGGGTGACTGAGTCAGAATATAATAGCATCATGAACTAAAGCCCTGTTGCCCAAAGCTGGGCTTCACGCAATGTTCCTTGCCTCAGTGAATGACACTTTTCCTTGAGTCAGGAAGACAGAAACCTAGGGGTCATTCTTGGTACCTTCGTCACCCCTCCTCCCCTTCCCCACTTTCATATCAGTAGAGGGGTTAAGGGTGCAGGCCTTGAGTCAACTAGGGCTCTGCCATTCACTAGTTATGTGATACCTGGCAAGTTATTTAACTTCTCCAAACCACCATTTCCTAATGTGTATAATTGAGAGACAGTAATTCCTACATTTTACAATTGCTATGAGGATTACATAACGGTATATATAAAGCACATGGCAAAATAACTAGCACTTAGTAAACACTCATTAAGTGTTAGTGATCATTACCCTTATCAATCTATTACTAAGTCTATTTTTCCTCCTAAATATATTGCTAATCCATCCATTTCTATTTTTACTCCTCGTATCTTGTTGGCACAAGTTATCACCACCTCTCACCTGCGCTACTATAGGTCTTCCCACATCTGTTTTTGTTTCTCCTCTACATTTCATACTGCAGCCAGAGTAACTTTTCTAATATACAAACGTAATTATGCCATTTGCCTTTTCCCCTTCAGGGCCTTCCCGGTGCTCCTAAACAACAAAAGCCCTCGAACAGCTCAAGGCCCTCTAAGACCTGGCCTCTGCCTATCTTATAGCTGCATCTCTTGTCTGCTTGGTGCTCGTCTCTGCCTAAGAGCCTTTGCAAAATCATAGCTGAGAAAATTATGACAGTGAAAGATATCAAACCTAACTGACCTCATCTTCTATCCTCTCCACTGTCCTTGTTCATTCCTGGGTATAGGCTGAACTAGCCTTGGGAAGGAATTTAGTTTATAGTTTAAAGCTAAACTGTTCTTGTAAAACAAATGAAAGGCCACCAGCCACCAGGTTAGAATGAGAAGGACTGGAATTCTAAATATTACGAGCCATTATTCCAGAAGTCATAAGATTTGCAACTTCCCCAATTACTCTTGTAGGTAACATCACTATGTGAACCTAAGATCAGCCTTTTGATATGTCTTTTCGGGTTTTTGCATTTCTAACAACTGAGTGGTCCCACCTGGACCTGCCAACCAGTTCTATGTTCCCCACCCAGGAACTGACTCAGCATAAAAAAGCAGCTTCTACTCCCTATGATTTCATCCCCGAGCCAACCAATCAGCACTCCCAATTCACTGGCCCCCTACCCACCAAATTATCCTTAAAAACTCTGATCCCTAAGTTTTCGGTGAGACTGATTTGGGCAATAATAAAACTGCAGTCTCCTACACAGCCGGCTGTCCATAAATTACTGTTTCTCCATTGCAATTCCTCTGACTTGATAATTTGGCTCTGTCTAGGCAGCAGGCAAGGTGAACTCACTGGGCTGTTATACTTCTTCCTCTGTCAGGTGCTCTCTTTTTACCTCCCTCACCACACCAATTCCTCTAAGGCTTCACTCAAACACGTCTTCCTCAAGAAAGCGTTCTTTAGCCCCAGCGTAGGTCAGGTCACCCCATTTTCCATATTCCTACCACTTGATTATTTTCCTTTGTACACTTATCACAACTGTAATTAAATGTGCACTTACTTGTATAATATCTTTCTTCCAATTAGAAAGGAAGGATAGAGAAGGGCAGAGACTATGTTTAGCTCACCACTGGATAGCCAGCAACTAGCATAGTGATAGCAGCAGGAGACAGACAAATCCTAGGCAGCCAGGGACGGGTCCCCGGTGAAACCCCACCTTCAAGCCAAAGACAGTTTAAAGCCTAGCTACAAGTCCTGGATAAATCCACAGACCAGATTGAGAACCTCTCCTCCCATTTGGCATGCTTTCCTCTGATTGATCCCCACTCTTCACCTATTTTACATATACCTACCCTTCCCTAATTGGTTATTTATACTGTTGTGGCTCACCTTTGAGTGGTGCCTTTGTTTTAGCCTCTTTTGTATACTCACAAACCAATCAGCACGAAGATGTGCTGTAAGTGTAAAATGCACACTAGATCTTGAAGAGAGTACAAAAAAATCATGTAAGCTACCTCACTTATTTATATGACATCAATTTTATATAGATTACATTGAAATAATATATTGGCTACAATTGTCCAAATAAACTAGAATTAAAATTAACTTTACCTGCTTTTTACTTTAATGTGGGTACTAGAAAATTGAATTACATATGCCATTCACATGATACTTCTACTGGAAAGTACTGATAAAGATAATTAAACTGCCCTATAACCAAAAGCCTACAAGCCTACTAACACTGCATTTGGATCTAGGAAAGACTCACTATTATTTAAATGCTTATGTATAAGTGATTTTACTAAGTAACTGTTCTGCTTTGAAGAAATATGAACAGTCTAATACCAAAAATAATAGTTAAAATTACCTTTTTGTCTTCCCACTCTTTGACTGAATTGTTCTGCCCACTTGGAAACTGCAAAACACCTCCAGTGCTAGCAGATAACAGTGGAGGCTGAACCTTGCTAAGGATCTTTGAGCAGAGTCTGAGAGAATCTGTGAGTTCAGATAAGTGCAATGTCTGGAGATGGCTTGTCAAGGCAGAAATCATTCTGAGCAGCAACTGGGGCAAGTGTTCTGTCTGGATTTCAATGTAAGTCTCCTGAAAATAAAAGTGAAATGAAAAAAGTTTAAACAATGTGGAACCCAAAAGTTACATTTTTTAATCTATATAAATAGGCAATGATTTTACTCATCCATAATGTTTTATATGCATCATGCTCTTAATTAACACTGTATATTTTATTACTGATGCCTTATAAAATTTCTATTCCCAAATTCTCAATTTAAATACTTCAAAGCATATATTATAAAATAACCCCAGTTTTATCTGCTACATTACTAAAATTATAATATAACAAAAGTAAATAGAATCATTTAAAAACAAAACAGGCTGAATGTCATACCTGACACAGCACCCTCATACTTCTAGTAGGCTTCAAAATGAGAAAGCAAAGAAGTGAGGAGAGAAAACAGAAGGGAAAAGATTTCCAAAAGTCTTCATTTAATAGAAATAATATTAATATAAATGCAGCATTAGACCACTATACACTAAACAGTTAAGATTTTATAACATGCAATTATGAAGTTTACTCCATGTATTTTTTATATGTATATGTCAAAGGACAAACACTTGAAAGATCTTATGAAAAAAGCTTACCAAAGAGGAAAAAATCAATTTAATTTTAAAGATGAAATGTATCTGAAGGCTTGCCTACAACACGAAATATTTGAACTACGTTATTCGATTTCCTTGATATTTTCTTACCAAGGTGGTCTTACCAAAGAAACTATGTCCAACAAAAAATCCACCAGTAAGCAGAAATTGGTCAGCTGTAATTCAGATGAGTCATTACTATCTCCAGGTCCAATCTGAAGTCTCACATGCAGTGTCCTCCTAAAAGGACAAAATTCACTTTATTAAGTATACTGTCAAGTGATGTGAATACCTGTGACAGCATCATCATCCTTCTAATGAAGTCCAAGTCAATATTGGGTCACACACAGTAATGTTTTTGTGATGACATATTTTATTTCCCCCAGGCCACTGTACCTCTTCATGGAAAATTCTCAAAGCAAGATTCCTAGGCTGATCCTCTCCCTGTAACTCCCATCCTGTACTTCGAAGTGTTCTGAATGGATCTCACTTTCTGGGACTTATTTCCCATTGCTTCCTGTATAGATATCACCTCCTAGTTAACAGTGATTAACTGCTACTTGATTTCTAACCTTGGGTCTTAAAATAGGCTCATTTGTCCTTCTGTACTACTGTCCTCCCCAATCTCATTTTCCCATGATCAGAATGCATCTGTCCTTCAAAGTCTGAGATCAAATGTTACCTCCTCCAGGAAGCCTCTTCTGATCCAAGTAGTAGAGATCATTCCTCCAACAAACATTCACATTAAATCATAGAAATCCTATATGACCATACATTGCCCTCCACTCTGAAGACACAAAGTAAGAATATAATATAGTCCCTGACCAACAAGAATATAAGCATGTAGACAAATAAAAGCAACAATGTGACAGTGTGGAGGCATTGATTCTGATAGGCTATTTGAGGAAAGGAAGGAAAGGTGGGTAACCTCTACATAGGATTTTAGCAGATAGGCAAGGGGAAAGAGTATTTCAGAAGGAATAGCACAAGTGAAGCCTCAGCAGAATGAAAGTTAAAATGCTGCTAACTTTCAGAGAATAGTCCAGGTTGGCTGAAGAAGTGTGGATGTGTGCATTTGTGAATGTAGAAGGTAAAAACCCAGGGTAGGGCCAGGCGGCAAAAAAATACGATTCCTACATTTTAATCTATTAAGACATTTGTAATTTTTAATACTAGGAATATACGCGTGCATGTCTTATTTGTTCCCACTATAAGATCTTTGAAGACAGGGACTGTCTATCTGCCTAGCATGATGCTTTTTAACTGGGTGCTCAACCTCTGCTGAATAAGCTAGGAACTTTCTAAACCACTAAAGAGATTAATGTGTAGGAGCAACAATTAACATTTTTTATTAAAAGACTTCTAATGCTGAAATCGTACATAATTACATTTTGACTACATGCTCCTGGGCCTTGAGTGGTTAATCTGGTTGAGAGGATCTGGTCTAGAAGCCAGACAGAGATTCCACTCAGATTCACTAGTATCCTAGGGTTTTCAGACCATATTTTTTGCTTTATTTGCTAAGGGGTAGAAGGCTTTTATCACTTCCCAGTGACAGCATGGATTAGTTCTAATGGCTTTAAAAACACAAGTCAGGCCAAAAAGTTTTTTGTTAATCAAAGTGGAAATCCTTTTGGAAAAGTGTGCTGAGGCAGCAGCCAAAAATTTGCTATCTTTTCTACAACAAAAAAACTGGATTACTATAGACTGAAGACGGAAAATTTTTAATCTACTCTGGTGTATGAATAACTGATCTCTAAACTCCCTTCCAATTCTAAGATTATATGATCAATGATTTTATATCCTATGTGACAAGGTAGAGTCAGATTATGGATAGTAAGTAACAGTTATTATTAGTAATAGAATGTATAAAAGAACATTCATTAAATGTAACAACTTAAAAAAAACCCAAAGGTTAGCTTTAGATGTTACGAAATTAAAAGGAATGAAAGTTTAACATACCTACAACATTCTTCAAACCAGCGTGCAACATAATCCCACATATAATAAGGTTCGAAGGAATTAAAGAGAAGGTTAGCAGTTTTAATCAGCTCTGCTGTTTTCTTATTTTCTCTTAATTTACTGAAAAAAGAGAAAAGAAAACAAAAACTAAAAAATATTAACATTTGTTTTTTCAAATTTAAATTTGAGTGCAGTGCCAGTACATATTCCTAGGTAGTTGCTAGAAAATGTGCTAGTAAGAAGATTGCAACAAATAATTTTTATCTACTGCCACTCTCCTATCATTTTATGGGCAGTTATTTTTTCAAATTTGAATTTTTGTCAAACATCAAGATCAGAAATGAGACTTGCACAGTTTCTGCATAATAAAAAAGACAAAAGAACAAGAATTTCTTTTTGAACTATTTAGTGTGTGGGACTGTAAATTTGGCAAAATTCTTTTATTTCCCTTGGCACATACAAACTGAGTAGTGATTTGATTTTCACAGCCTTGATTGTGAAGAATTTTGTCTGCTTCCCTGTGCTATTCAGGATTTTCTTAAGAAAGGTTTACCTTGACCAGTTTCAATCAAATTATTATTCTTAGTTTGAAAAACAACAACAACAAAACCAACTAGTGCTGTTAATAGCCACTATTACTGAAATTGCATCAGGGAAAAAGAACTTTGTTATTTCAAGTGGCAACCCTTTAGCCTATTACCTATTTCCTCCTCCTGTCTTTTGTAACAATTAAAACAATTGTCTTTATATAGTGAGGCACTGTCAATACAACTAGTATGTCAGTATTAAATCAGCTTTACTAGTATTAAATCAGCTTTACTTATTAGAACACAAACTTCATAGAGTAGGATCCCAAGTTATTACACTTCAAGTTTATATTAAGTGAATACATATTATGTCTTCATGTCACATTTAATTTTTTGATAATCCACCTGCTTAACTGAGCATGATCCTTGCTGAAGGGTGGTTCAGTTTGAAGATCCAACTCTGCTTTGCATTGAGAATATAATGTTCTAAACACTTCAATCAGGACATCTTCTAGAATTACAGGTCCTAAAATTAATATTCAAATTAAAGACAGTAATTAATCAGCATGAGCAAATCATGCTTATCTGAAAATTGGCCCAATGAAACAATGTTTTAAAAACAAGTATTTTTAAAATAGTATTTCTTCAGAAGCTAAGCTAAATTCACACTTCTTTGAGAAGGTAATATAAGATATTACATAACTGAACAAATATTTAAAGTGCAGGTTGACACAATAGAAATTACAGAATCAGAGAAATTGGTTTTGCCAGTTAATAGTTCTGTTACATTAGACAAGTTATTTAACTTCTTTGAGCTTTAGTTTCCTCATCCAGAATGAGGATAATACCAAAATTTACAGGACTGTTAAGGGTTAGAAAAAATATTTGTAAGATGGGTAGCATAGTTTCTAGAATATAATAAGTATTCAACAAAAGCTACTTGTAATTACTGCTATTAATTTAAATAATACTAAAATGCATAAGGCTAAATTTTCTTGCTATTACAGATTTCCTTAAAAAAATTCCTGAGCTTCATCTGTTACCATAACAGCTAAAACACCTCTCAAGACCATTTATATAATTCAAGTTATTCTTATATTTTAAATTTTTCATGTTTAAAAAATGGTGAGAAGACACCTGCTAAAACATCTGTATATAATTTGAAGAAATTACATACTTTATGATTTCATTTTATTGCTGTAAATATTTATGTTTTTTACTAATTTCTGTCTCAAGTGCCATAATATATAAGAAATATACAATGGATAAAGAGAGAACATGCAAAATAAAGGGAATGTGGAGAAGAAAGCTGAGGGATATAACTCAAATATTTTCCTCAAGTCCTTGGATTCTGTGAACTATAAATTGCTCATGATGGATTAATGTTTTAATTTCAGTAATACAATCAGGATTAAGAGAAGCTTAGATAGCATCTTTAAAGGGATTCTTCTGCTACATACATACCACAAGACAGATACATAATAACGTATCAGGTGGATGAATACCTGTATCTTAACTTTGTAGAGTGAACTTTAAGAAATTGTTGAGAACTTATATTTAAAGGCCACCTCAAAATATAACAATTTCCCTGATGACTCTTTTTATTTTCTTATTAACACAAAAGTACCACACATGACCTTATGCCCTAGGACAGTATACATTACCTAGCTCAGGTTTGTCCAGTAAACTGATTAAAATGCGAAAAGGCTTTAGATCCTGCATTAGAGTGTTCTCTTCTCCAAATCCATTCACTTGTAAGATTCCCACCATTGCCTTTAAAAAAGGAAAGTACACTGGTCATTTAAGTAAACATATTCAAATATTTTTTCCTTAAGAAAAAGTATTTTTAAATGCAACCATATATAACGGAGACTTATACCCACTATTGCTTTTCTGAAGCCTTTTCACCAACCTTGGCCTTCTTACTCTGCTAGGAAAAAAATATTATTTATCTATCTTGAGAAAAAAAGTGTCTAAATTTTCTTTAGACATAGTGGAATATCAAAGAAAATTTAGAAAAATATATTCATGAGCTGAGTGTTTTCCCTACAGATGAATTTCTATTTAAGATCATTCTTCTCAGAACTATGCCACATTATCATGGCAGTGTCTGCTATTAGGCAATTATTTTCCCGTTAGTGACTTAACAACTATATTCTTATAACCTCACTCATTTAAAAATGCTTCAGATACCATGTATTTTCTTCTATTTCAAATATCTTAAATAAATATAATTGAATTAAAAATAATATGAAATAAACTTCTCCAGAGCTTCACAGGAAATAGCACAGGTCCTGACTCATTTTTGGAAAAGCTCCAACTTCCATTGAGCAGACAGGTGAGAAGCTACAACTATGTTTTAATAAAGTAATGAAAACAACAAAGTAAGAGAAAAAAAGTCTTTTGTCTTACATGGTAGTCTAACATATGATTATCATTTTACAGGAATTTTCTTGTTATAAAAATTCTTGGGAAGTTTGTAAGTCTTGTCTCCACCCCTTCAACTGTGAATTCAATTAAGGCAAGACCTCGTCTTACACTTTTTCACTACCTCTAGTGGTCAGTAAGTAACCAAAGAATAATAAAAGTATTCATTACCTGGACTAATAATTCTTTTGAAAAGGTAGTGAAATAGTAAGTGGCATGTTCTTCAGGATTACTGTGTCTTGTGCTTCTGGGTCCTATGATAGCACCGTTGTTATCAAAACCTCCATGGAAACAAATCACAAAATTACTTAAAATGGAATTCTCAAAACTGTTGTTCACTAAATACCAAAACAGCAAAATCTCAGAACAGCACTAAACACTTACCAATTAGTAGCCCATTCAATGTCAGCAAGAGAGATCATTTTAGATAGTTTAATAAAGGGAAACCAATTCAATACATAAGTATCATAGTATTCTTCCAGAATTATCCTTTTTATTTTTTGGCCAATTTTACTAACAGTGAAATAACTGAATACTCAGAACATCCACAATAAGTTATATTATGTCCCCTCACTCTAGGCAGTAAAGAGTTGTGAAGACAGACAAAACACACAAAAAGCATGGACGACCAAAGTGTACATATGTATTACTGCCTGAGTGGGACACTGTATGATGTGTAAGACAATGGTACTAGTCCTGATTCCTTTGATGAATTCAAAGTTTTGGACAGTATTTTGATTATTAGCTCATCCTTCTTTGCCTACTAACTTATATACAACCATCTCAATTTGTAAGGGGAAAAACATCTTGTTAAGGACAAGGGAACATGACTTTATGAATTCAAATAGACTCTTCAAATATAAAGCTGCTGAAATTTCTTCATACAATACACAACTAATACTGTTTATATTTTTATTGTCCATTTACACAAGAGATTTTAGTTTTTAAATTCAGGACATACATACAACTTGGTAATACTTATACATGACAAATCTCCCTCCATTTTTTCCCCAATCATGACCACAGACATCAAATACCTACCAAGAAGCCATGCATAAAGTCTTCGATTCAGAGACATATCCCTCCTTAGCACTACATGAAGGGCTGCTGACAAGATCCTGATCATATCCGGTCGAGTGGCCTGAAAGAGTTAGGAATATGGTTGTACTTAGCAATATACAATATATATTATTTTTTTCCTCTTTAAAAAATGCCCTGAAATATGCTTAGAATATTAGGGTGTATGGAGTACTTTCATGGATTATTTCAAACACAGGATATTACTTCCATTTTACAGATTAGGAAACAGGAAGAAAGTTAGGTAACATGGCTATTTAGCTGCATAACTGAAACTATAACTTAATTATTTTAACTTACAGTTTAAAGTTCTTTGTCTATATAATAAAAGCAAATTCTGACATAAAACAAATAAAATGAAGCAAGATGGGACAGACACAAGAAAATGATATGCCATTAGTCTTTCACATTTATAACGTTGTCAACTGACTATAAACTCCTGAGAAGGTTACTATCTTCATCCACTCTTTATTCTTTTTAAAAATTTTTATCTTGTAGTATTTTAAACATATCAAAAAATACAGAAAACAAAATAATAAACCGTTTTCTACCAATCATCCAGCTTTAACAATCTTAATTTTTCTCTCATTTTGTTCCATTTCTTTTTAAGAGAAATAATTTTTTTCTTTTTTCCCAATATCCTTAATTCAACGTTTAAAAAAATGATTAAAGGAGATCTGGGTTTTAGCTAAAAGAGGTAAATTTATAAAAATCAAAATAGAAGAAAAGCAACTAACTTGCTATTAATTTTAAGAATACTGCCAGATAATCACTTTACAATATAATCTTGGAATCTGAGAATTAGATGATAATGTGGAAACTGACTAGTTTAACAACCACTCTATAAGTAAAGAATCTAAACCTCACAGGTTCTTGAGGTTTTGGCTAAGTGCTTAGCCAAATTCAAATGCCTGGTTAGTGCCCCAGCTAGATGGAGAACTCACTTCTCCTTAATCACAGACCAGTGAACTTTGTCCTATATCATGCTTCTTGATAGAATTAGAAAGGATTTACCCAGCTCATTTGTGTTAAAGGAACCTTAGAGAAATAACTGAGATGATACAGAACACAGATCACCAACAATTGACGAATTAGGTTCACTCCTTTGAACACAAATGCCTTCTATTGATCTGTACAATTCTGAAAGTATGGTTCAAGACCCCTAGGTATCTCTAAGACTTTTTCAGGGGGTGCACAAAGTAAAAACCAGCTATTCATATTCATAACAAATAAAACTATGCATATTCATAACAATACAAAGATGTTATTGGGCTTTTTGTTTTGTTGACATATGCCCTGATCATGCAATAGTGGATAAAACTGCTGGCACCTTAGCATGAAAAGAGGCAGCATAGCAGCTGCACCTACTATACTTGTAATCATTATATTTTCACAGCCATGTACTTGCAGTAAAATCAAAAAATAAGTATCAACCTTTGAGTGCATGTCTTTTAATATTCTGTATAATAGAGTGAAAGATTCACTTAAAGTATTTCTGATGTGGCCGGGCACCGTGACTCACACCTGTAATCCCAGCACTTTGGGAGGCCAAGGCAGGCGGATCACAAGGTCAGGAGATCTAGACCATCCTGGCTAACATGGTGAAACCCCATCTCTACTAAAATTACAAAAAATTAGCTGGGCACGGTGGTTGGCGCCTGTAGTCCCAGCTACTCAGGAGGCTGAGGCAGGAGAATCACTCGAACCCTGGAGGCAGAGGTTGCAGTGAGCTAAGATAGCACCACTGCACTCCAGCCTAGGTGACAGAGAAAGACTCTGTCTCAAAATAAAATAAAATAAAATAAAATAAAATAAAATAAAATAAAATAAAAAAGTACTAAAATTACTTCTGATGTATACTGAAGTATGATAGTTGTCTTAAGGAAAAGCAATTGTATAACTGAGTTGTGAGCTTAACTACCAGCTTTCTCAAAGAATGCCATTTTTACCCGAAGAATTACTAATATGAATTATGATTATTCAGGCCTGGACATTTTGTAGTCATTTCCTCAAAGTGAGCCTGACATTGCAAGGAAAATAACATTAATCGTGACAAATAATAAAAGTTGGGCTTCTAGGAGAAAAGTAGAATTATGGAAAACTTGCATTTAGACTGAAACTGTATTTTTTGGATTTTTTTTAAGTTGGAGTCTCACTCTGTCGCCCAGGATGGAGTGCAGTGTTGCAATCTTGGCTCACTGCAACCTCTGCCTCCCAGGTTCAAGTGATTCTCCTGCCTCAGCCTCCAGAGTAGCTGGGGTTACAGGCATGTGCCACCATGCCGAGCTAATTTTTGTATTTTTATTAGAGCATGGGGTTTCACCATGTTGGCCAGGCTGGTCTTGAACTCCTGACCTCAAGTGATCTGCTTGCCTAGGCCTCCCAAAGTGCTGGAATTACAGGTGTGAGCCACCGCATCTGGCTGAAATTGTATTGTTTTGATTTGAATTGGTTGAAAGCTTCTCAATACTGGGCTTAAAAGTTTCTCCCAATATCTAAAAATCTTTACTGATGAGATCAGTGGCAATAGTAATAAACATGATTGGTATTGTACAATAAAATGTGAAAACATTTGGAAAATCTGCATAATTCAATAAACCAGTATTTCCTTAATATCCAATCATGAAGTTACAAAAGCACATATGACTGAAAGAGCCACTGAAAGTACAAGATAGACCAGTGGATTTTAGTGGAATAGAATATGAAAAGTTCATTGATGTGGTTTAAGACTTAATATTGTAACTAATTTTTAAAATCTACAGCTTCGAAGTTTTGGTATAATATCAAAGAATATGTAATTTTAACGGAAAATGCTACTGAAATACTCCTCGATTTTCCAACTACATATCAATGTGAGATCAGATTTTCTTCATATACTTTAACCAAAAGAACAAATCACAATAGATGATCTAACCAATACAAGCAAAAGATTTTTGAGGACCTTCTGTACTTTTAAAGAGTGTAATGGGGTTCTACAACTAAAACATTTGAGAACTTCTGATCTATCCAACATAAGATATGAAGATTATATTGTCACAAAATCTTTAAAAGTACAAATGTCTCCCCATCTTATTTTGGGAGAAAAACTACTTAAGAAAGCAGAAAGTAGAAGATGTTAGTCAAAGGATAAAAAATTTCAGATGGGAAAAATAAGTTCAAAAAGATCTACGGTACAACACGGTAACTATAGTTGTTAGCAATGTATTGTATTCTCTTTTTCTTTTTTTTGAGACAGAGTCTTGCTCTGTCGCCAGGCTGGAGTGCAGTGGCACGATCACTTGCTCACTGCAAGCTCCCCCTCCCGGGTTCACGCCATTCTCCTGCCTCAGCCTCCCGAGTAGCTGGGACTACAGGCGCCCGCCACCATGCCCTGCTAATTTTTTTTGTATTTTTAGTAGAGACGGGGTTTCACCGTGTTAGCCAGGATGGTCTCGATCTCCTGACCTCGTAATCCGCTTGCCTCGGCCTCCCAAAGTGCTGGGATTACAGGCGTGAGCCACCACACCCGGCCACAATGTATTGTATTCTTAAAAACTGCTCAGAGTACATTTTAAGTGTTCTCACTGTAAAAATTAATTGTGTGAGGTAATGAATGTTAATTAGCTCCATTTACAGATTCCAGAATGTATACATATTTCAAACATCATGTTGTACAGGATCAATATATACAATTCATGTCCATTAAAAAATAAATTTAAAAAAGAAGTTGCTTCTTGATTACAATTGATATCACCATCTATTTCTAATATGAAAAAAAGTCTATTATAATCTCAAAGGTGTAAGTACTACAGATTTGGGTGAGCTTTCCAGGAAACAAGTTAAAGAAGTGTAGCAGTCCATCCCACTGCTGAAGTTCCTAACAACTATCATCCTTTTGGGATATGGTAATGAAGGCACTGTTAAGTCACAATTATAATACAATCCATACTTGGATTGTATTCTATTATATGTAAGACATAGAAAGAGGGAAAGTGGAACACTAAGGTACCTACGTCATAATCCTTATTCAGTTTGGTACAGTAATAGGGAGAACTATATTAGAATTTGGTAGCATAGTGGGGAGAAAAGTATTAGAATTATAAGATTATTAGAACTGGGTGTATACTTTTAAAAAACACATTCAACGAAGCTATTGTTTCCATAATACATATTATAGAATATAAGAATCTAGAACATTTTGGCTGGCAGGAATACAGAAAAGGCAGAGTAAGAAAGTACAGGCTGAGAAAAGCTTAGGAAACGCTGATATATTAAGATTACAAATTAAGTTATTCTTGAGTCTACTATGACTTAATTCCTCAGATCTTGTTGAGACATCTGTCAATTGAGGGCCTAATGATGTTGAATGTTTGGAAAGTAAGAAAGCAATGGGAAAAGTTCAAGAGGAAAGTCAATAAATTTTTTGGATAAAGATCCAGACAGTACATAATTTAGACTTTCAGATCACATACATTGCTTTGGCATATTCTTCTTTGTTTTCTAAGTGTTTAAAAAAACATAAATCTTTCTTAACTTATGAGCTGCTGTTTGGCCATCCCTATAATAGAGCATTGGTAAATTTAGATTACGCTGAGATGACTCAACAGTTGTTTTTGTGAAAAGCCAGAGGGCAGAATAAAGTCCCTTGGTTGAAGGGTGAAAGTCTCAAAATAGAAACAGAGTGGTTTATGTTCCAATTAGTCAAAGTATAGACAAGGAAGAGTAGAATTATTTAGTTATTAATATTTCAATATCAAATTAAATAAGTAAAAGAAAAATGTTAATAAAATAATGAATAAAAAATTGGCCAGTCATAATGCAAATTCACTACAGTTATCTATTAATCACAGTTCTTATGAAAACCTCAAATAATAGTCCTTTTTAGGAATAAATTTACTTTTCCAAGGTAGATATTCTCTATATCTTATTACTTTTGTTAGGTATGTAGTTCCACCATTCTGAATGCCTATATACTGGTGCTGTAAATCACTCTTCATCAAGGTTTATAAGTCAAAGGAATTTAGATCCTTTCTTTTAAAATGAGGGCACTGATTAAATTAAGTTCTAGGAATGAACTTCATTTATTATTTGTCAACTTAGTTGCACTTATTTGTAATAAAAGTACTATAGAATATCACAGTGGCTAAACATGTGGCTCTTAAGTTATAGTCAACTCTGCCAAGGGTCTGGCATGCATGTTAAAATCACCAAAACAAGATAACATAACACCAGTACAGATGATGGCTGGGTCTCAGTCTTGGCTTACTCAGAGTTAGCAATAGAGAACCTCTTGCTTTTTATATGTTACAACTTTTTTCAAAAGTATGAAATAATCTACTTCAATGACCATATTCTTATCAAATCAGTGAAGCTTTTATCTTTAGTTTTTTTTCACAACAAATTCCACTCCTTAAGAAGGAACTTATTTTCCATGCGCTTACTGATTTATACAAGAAGAATTCAACACACATGCCTTTAAAAAATAACTACACATTATCAATCTACAGTTTTCCAAGAATGCCTTATAATAACATCGGCGTTAATATTTTACCTGACTCATGTGGAATGGAAAACAGAAGAGTATGAGGTCCAGTGTGCTTCTCTGTACAAGTACACTTGAGTCCTGCACTGAAGTACTTACTGCTTCTACCTGAAATAACAGCATCTTTAACATCTATTGTCTATTATGCTGAGACATTTTTGCCACGAAAATGTGACAACTCTTTATTTTCTCGAAAGTATGCTTCTGAGGATCTAATCAATAATTAAAGATATTTACATTATTTTGAATAGTATATATATAATGATGGTTTAAAAATTAAGAAGTACGTAAGACTATACAGCAAAACTTCCAACTATCCAACTTCTGTTTTGTAGGCACCAGTTTTACTAGTGAATATTTCCTGTAAATACAAGAAAAACACCATATATATATATATTCCAAACCTGCCTTTTTCATTTAACATGTTTTAGAGATCTTTCCTTGTCATTAAAGAGCTTCATTTCTTAATGGCCAAAGTATTTTATTTCATAAATGAACTCTAATTTATTTAACCAAGCTTCTAATCATGTGCACTTATACATTTCTAAACACTACTGTAAATAATGTTGCAATATATAATACTTACATTACATCTGTAAGATAAATTCCTCAAAATAGAATTGCCAGGTCTTGGGGTATGTGCAGTTACAATTTAAATAGCATAATGCTGTTAGGCATGGTGGCTCACGCCTGCAATCCCAGCACTTTGGGAGGCTAAGGTGGGTAGATCACTTGGTCAGGAGTTGGAGATCAGCCTGGCCAACATGGTGAAACCCTGTCTCTACTAAAAACACAAAAATTAGCTGGGTGTGGTGGTGCATGCCTGTAATCCCAGCCACTCAGGTGGCTGAGGCAAGGGAGTTTACTTGAACCCTGGAGGTGGAGGTTGCAGTGAGCCAAGATTGTGCCACTGAACTCCAGCCTGGGCGACAAAGTGAGACTGTGTCAATAAATACATAGCATAATGCTTTATGTTAGGTTTCTATCACTTTATATTCCCACCAGTTTTACATGACAGTTTGTTTCTCCACATGCTTGCTTAGCTTTATATATATATATATATATTTGTATTTTTGCCCATCTGACATGAAAACTGGCTTGGTGTAGTTTAAACTCTTATTTCTTTATTACAATGTTGATCATCTCTTTATGTTCAAATTATTCTTATTTCCTTTAAGTTAATTATCTGTTCAAATCCATTTTCTACTTGTTTTTATTTATCTATAGTAGCTCTTTGAATATTAGAAAGAATACTCCTTTGACTGTGATATTTTGGAAATATTTTTCCATGTGTGTCATTTGTTTAAATAAGTAAAAAATGATTTGTTTAAAATTTCCATTAAGTTATTCAAAAGAAATGTAACAGTATATTTTAAAACCTGAATTTAAAAAGCATAGCCATTTTGGAAAATAGTTTGGCAGTTTCTAATAAACTTACGCATTGAAGAAAAAAGACTAAATCTCTGGTACCTTGGATTAGACAATGGTTTCCTAATATAACACCAAAAGCACAAGCAGCAAGAGAAAAAAAATCAAGTCCGGATGAACTGGATTTGATCAAAATTAAAACTTTTTTGCTTCAGGGGACCCTATCAAGAATGTTAGAAGACAATCTACAGAATGGGGGAAAATATTTTCAAATCATATATACGACAAGGGTTTAATATCCAGAATATATAAGGAACTCCTACAATTCAACAACAAAAAGGCAAATAATCTAATTTTTAAGATGGACAAAGGATTTGAATAGAAATTTATCCAAAGAAGATACACAAATAGCCAATAACCAACCACAAGATGTTCATCGTTAGTCTTTAGGGAAATGCAAATCAAAACCACAATGAGAATACTTTATACCCACTGGGAGGACTATAATAAAAAAGACAATAACAAGTGTTGTGTTGGCAATGATGTGGAGAAACTGAAACCTGCATATACTGCAAGTGGAAATAAAAATTGGTGCAGTCACTTTGGAAAAAAGTTTGCCAGTTCTTCAAAAAGTTCAACAGAGTTACCAAAAAACTTGGAAATGGCACTACTAGATGTATACCCGAAATAAATGAAAACGCATGTCCATACTAAAACTCATACATGAGTGTTCAATAGAGCATTATTTTTAACACCCAAAAAATATAGAAACAACCCAAATGTCCATCAGCTGATTAATGGTATGTGAACACAAGCCAGGCGCAGTGGCTCATGCCTGTAATCCCAGCACCTTGGGATGCTGAGGTGGGTGGATTACCTGAGGTCAGGAGTTCGAGGCCAGCCTGACCAACGTGGATTTAAAGAACACAAAAAATGAGTCCACTTATATACAGTATGATTTATTTAACATTCTAGAAAAAACAAAACTATAGAAACAGTAAACAGATCAGTGTTTCTAAGGGCCTGGGAGTGTAGAGGAAGGGGAGTGACTAAAAAAAAGGCATAGAGGACTTTTTAGGGTGATGTAAATATTCTGTGTCTTGATTGCAATAGTGGTTATATGACTCTACGTGCTTGCCAAAATTCAGGTAACTCTACAATGTAAGAAGGGCTAATTTCAGTGTACATAAATTAACTTCACTAAATCTAACCAGAAATATGCATTAAAATATCAGTAATGTCATAATCATATGCAGAAAAAGTAAAGTATGATCAATCAAATTGTTTAATTTTTCAAAATGATCCTTGAGGGTTTTTTATTCCTTGCTCATATTAAGAGTATAGCACCCTAGAGATATAAAGCTTGCCCTCTGTTGTTAATCTTGAAATTAAAAAGAAAAATATTGTATAAGTAAGCAATAAATGTGATTTTTCTTCCTATTATCTTTCACTATCTGTTTTAGTACATCTTCTCACATAAATTCCATACGGAATCTGGCTATATTACTTTATCTAAAATTCACTTCTTATAAAGAAGGCTATGAGGCCAAGGTGAGAGGATCACTTGAGTCCAGGAGTTAAGCTTTTAAAAATAATAATTATTATTTTGGCCTTTAATTTTCCTTGATAAATGTAAGCTCGATGAAAATAGGAACTTTGTTCATTATACAATCCTCAATATATGTCTGGAATAGTGCCTGACTCTAAAGAAATATTTGTGAAATGAGCAACCATATTTTTAGACCTACCATTAGCTCAATATCACTGCCAATTATATAAAGTTGATCTTCCATAGAAAGCTTCCTGTTTAAATGGGCAAGAACATACGTGATTCCAGGTAAACGCACAGCAGGACTGGTGAGAAGACTACCCCACAGGGCACTGTAGAATGCTGACTGGTCCACAGCAGCAGCAACCTTTTCCAACAACATATTTGTTCTGAGGTATAAATAAAGTGGTTTAAGAAGGGAAACATTTAGTTTCATATTTTAAAAAATAAATCATTCTTTTCCAAAAATGTATGCAAACACCCATGCTACAGTCATATGTTCCACCCTGGAAACAAGTGTGATAGACTGAAAGAAGAATATACTTTAGAGTCAGAGGACTGAATTTAAGTCCTGGCTCCACCATTTACTAGCTGTATATGTTGAGGAAGTCACTTCATTGTTAAGTTCAGTCTCCTCATCTGTAAAATGAAGAGAACAACAACAACAAAACACTCCACCACAAGACCTATCTACCTCACTAGGTTGTTAAAGTACGCTAAGTAATAAAATACCATATACATTTTAGTTTTTTAATAAGAATATTAGTAATGAGATATTAGAGATACTTAATGCCATCATGCATTGCCTACAAATATTAACTCCCCGAAAATAATAATAGGGTCCAAACAGATCAAATAACTTTGTTTGAATAGTTAGATATCAAGAGTACCACGTCAACAGCTAGTGAAACAGCACTGTACTGGTACTAAGCTATTTTCTCCCATTAGCAACTTAAAAATTGTTAGTGCATGGACTAATCTTCCATTCTTATCACTAATCTAAATGTCCTGTTATATTATTTTAAATTATGGGTCACAATTTTCTTGAGTGACTTATATGTGCTTGGCTAAGGACTAAGTGATTTGTTATTAGAATAACACAGATAAATAGGTATTATGTTTGTTTTAAAGATGAGGAAACTAAATAAAGTTCAGACACTAAGAAAACTTCCCTAAGCTCAGTGTCTGTATAGGCAAGATTTCAACTCAGTACATCCACCTCCGAAGTCTATGCTTTTATCACTAGCTATATTTTCAGTATGATACATAGACTAGATAAACTATAATAATGTTTCATTGCTATAGAAATATTCATGTGATATACTGAACTGTCTAGAATAATTCATTTGTGATGTTAAAACATATTTGACCTAAATATGCTTGCTGACAAATCCATGACTTCAATTACATAACTGCACCAAATATGATCTTACCTCTCATAGTACTCTGATCCTTCTTCTAAGCCAGGAAGAATACCAGTAAGCAATCCCTGTAGACCAGGTTTCAGTGTTTTACCCAAAGGCAGATAATATATCTCATACAAACTGAGCAATGTTGGTTTCACAGACATGGCAGCATTTGCAAGAAGAGGAAATAATCCAGAACTATTAAAAAAATAAAGACAAAGGAGAAGGAAGCAAAATAACTATACAATATTAATTCATATGCAATTATATGTATAAATATTTCTTTCTGATGAAAAAGTTATACTGATTGGCTTAAAAATGATACCTGTATATGAATGACTACATCCATTAAACCAGACCAGTTCTCTCACCTGGGTTTTATACTTATAAACCCAATAGCTACCTAGCTGTTTCACAAAGTCCTCATATTTCACAATTCCAAAAACAGAATTCTCCCCCAATGTGCCCCAGCAAAACATGTGCCTTCCCTGTAATAACTGTCAATTTCAAAATATGGCATCACTATCTATCTGGCTGACCAAAAGCTATAAATCTAGGACTGATCCTTGACTCATGCAATCTTCCTGCCTCAGCCTCATGAGTAGCTTTAAAAATCTTCTACTCTAACATGGCTGGGTAAGTTGGCTCATGCCTGTAATCCAAGCACTTTGGAAGGCGGAGGTGGGAGGACTGCTTAGGCCCAGGAGTTTAAGACCAGCCCAGGAAATATAGTGAGACCCCATCTCTACAAAAAATAAAAATTAGCTGGGCACAGTGGCATGTGCCTGTGGTCCCAGCTACTTGGGAGGCTGAGAGTAGAGGACTGCTTGAACCTGGGAGGTAGAGGCTGCAATGAGCTGTGATCATGACACTGTACTCCAGCCAGGGTGACAGAGTGACAGCCTGGATCCAAAAATAAAATAATTTTCTACTCTAACCTGCAATCAGTTATCAAGGTCATCAAGTTCTCTCTCCAAGTCACTCTCCTAGATATTTTTTGAATATAACAAATTGTATCTCCACCAGATAGCTACCTAGAAGCAGCTGCTATCATATCTTGCTCTTCATGTTTTAACATGTATTGGTTCATTATTGCCCTGAAGCAGCTCTCAGTAAAACCTTTCACTGATTTCCCATTGCCAATGTGGACTTTAACATCTTTTAAGAAATGGCTACTACATATCTCTGTACAATCCACTGATACTCACCAATTTTACTCCTGTACCCTCTGCTCCAGCTATACTGAAGAATTCCTTTCTAGTTCCTTTCGGAACTTTCTATGCTCTTTTTAGTGCCCATACCTTTCCATATGCTGCTCTGACAGATACAATTCCCACTCCCTTACTTATACCCTCCTTGTCTGGGGGATTCCCAAACTTTCAGGCCTCAGCCTAAGAAGCCATTTCCTTAGGGAGATTATCTCCTAATTAGACTAGGTTAGGCCCCCTATTTGATGTTCTCATAGTACCCAATATTCACTTACTAAAACACTTATCATTCTTTATTTGAATTGCTTAATGTCTATCTCTTCCAACGGACTGTAAATATCAGAAAACAAAGGACCATGACTATATTTTTATTTCTGTATCCTAAGTTTCAAGCACCATGTCCTGTACTTAGCAAGTGATGAACAAATGAATTAGGAATCTCTCTTGCTCCTAGTTTATAAAAAACAGAAATCATCAAGAAAGAATGGCTTCAGTTTTCTACTTTTCTGTCTCCCATTTTAGGTACTGTTTGATCTAAAGATACAGTCACAGTCTCTCAGTCTCTTCCAGGCTACCTTTTTTCCCATGTGCCCCAGGGCCATGACCCGCCTGTCCAGGGACCTGCTTCATCCATTATCTTTTTTCTTTTCTGTAATTTTTCTTTCCGAACTGACATCTTTGCTTTTTAATACAAATGTACTCACATATTTCCTCATAATTCTAAAACGAGAAAAAAAAACAGCAACAACCAAACCCCAAAATCTTTATTCTAACTAACCTTCTGGCTTAAAGCTACCAAACTCTATCAACTGTTAAAATATATATATATTTTTATGAATTTCTTCTGTTTATCTTCCATCATTAATCAATCACGATACTTCTACCTCCTCCACTGAAACTGTTCTCATTTTGGTCACCAATGTCCACCAATTGCCAGATCCAATGCTCTATCTTCAGACCTTATCCTATTTTATTTAACATGTGATACTATTAACCAGAGCATTCTCTTGAAGCGCTCTTCCCTTTTGACTTTCAGGACTGCTTTGTCTCCTGGTACATTTTCCTTTCTTTTCTCTCTCTCTTTTTTTTTTTTAGATGGACTCTCACTCTGTTGCCCATGCTGAAGTGTAGTGGTGCAACCAGCTCACTGCAACCTCCACCTCCCAGGTTCAAGTGATTCTCATACCTCAGCCTCCCCAGTAGCTAGTATTACAGGCACTCACCACCACACCAGGCTAATTTTTGTATTTTTAGTTAAGATGAGGTTTCACCATGTTGGGCAGTCTGGTCTTGAACTCCTGACCTCAGGTAATCCACCCACCTCGGCCTCCCAAAGTGCTGGGATTACAGGCGTGAGCCACTGAGCCCGGCCTCCTGGTACATTTTCTATTTCTGACTCTTTTTCATTGGCTACTTTCCCCCACCTGATATTAAATACTGAGACTCCTAAATACTCTTAAAATGATCTCATTCCTTTTTTCCTCCTTGTTATTTACAATGTACCTAGGTAATTTCAATTATTCTCTTGGCTTCAACTGCCAACTAAATGCTGACTGCTCTATAGTATCTGTCTAGTCTGCAATCTAGATTTATATTACCAAAAGCTCACTTTACATACTCATCTAAATATTTTAAGGCATTCAAAACTCCACTTCTAGCCTTCTTAACATCTTTGTGCACTGCATCACATTAAAAAGAAATAAGCTTGAAGAGGCAATATGGTATTCTATCATGTAATAGGTTATAGAACTTTAAAAGTATTTGTATTTAATTATGTTAAACCATAAACCTTGAGATGAAAAAATCATTAATTAAAAATAAACATATCTACATTTAATATAAACTTTAGTTTTTAAAATAGTTATACTTCAAAAAAGTATAGAACAATGGTATCATTTACTCCATAACGTGTGTGTATGTGTACAAGAATATCTGCCATATTTAGAAATGGTATTCTAGATTTAATTTTACGTAACATACTAATGATAAAAATAGGTATACTACAACTGAAGAATAACTGTGTTGCTTAAACTTTCTGTTAAGAGTTAGAAAGTAGCAGGCATGAATTATGTAAATCTTGCCTTGAGAAAGGAAAATCTACCAATTATTAGATAATTACATGCAACACTGATTCAGCAATGCTCAGTTTTCTTAATATCATTCTTTGAATGTATTATTTATTACTATCAAAAATACCTTTACTGGCCTTACATACTATCTTTAAGACATCCATGCTCAACTGGGCGCAGTGGCTCACGCCTGTAACCTCAGCACTTTGGGAGGCCGAGGCAGGCGGATCACGAAGTCAGGAGTTCGAGACCAGCCTGGCCAACATAGTGAAACCCTGTCTCTACTAAAAATACAAAAATTAGCTGGGTATGGTAGCATGTGCCTGTAATCCTAGCTACTTGGGAGGCTGAGAAAGGAGAATTGCTTGAACCTGGGAGGCGGAGGTTGCAGTGGGCCAAGATTGTGCCACTGCACTCCACCTTGGGTGACAGAGCGAGACTGTCTCAAAAAAAAAAAAAAAAAAAAAAAAAAAAGAAAGACATCCATGTTCATTTCTCTTTAATAATATTTCCTTGCTCACTTCTCTTTAATAATATTTTAAAATATCAAAGAATTGAGTATAACAAATAGCGTTTCTTTATTCATTAAACAAATATTTATTAAGGGTATACTATCTGTCAGTTCTTCAGGATACTGAGAATAGAACACTTAATCACAGTAAGAAATTCCTGCTCTTTAACCTCATAAAGCTTATTTTTTGGAGAGTATATATGTATATATTTTAATTGTTTGGTTATTATATGTCTTAACACATACATACATACATATCAGATGGTGATAAATGTTACAGCAGAGAAGAAAAAGTTACAGGAGAATAACAAGGAGAGTGGAGCATAGACAGGTTCTAAATAGGGTGGTCAGAGAGAGCTTATCTGAGCAAAAATGAGAGAGTAAACACATACACAGTAGAAAGGATCAGTAAATAAAAGTTGGTTTTTAAAAAGACTAACAAAATTGATAAACTCCTGATAAGACTGATCAATTAAAAAAAAAGGATGGCTTGAGTCACCAATATCAAGAGTGAAAGAGGAGACATCACTATAGATCCTACATGCTACAAAGATAACAGTATATTAAGAACTTTAGGCTGATGCATCTAAAAATTTAGTAAAAGTAGGCAAATTTTGAGAGAAAAAACTTATTAAAACTGACATAAATAAATTTGAATAGTCCCATAACTACTAAAGAAATTAATCTGTAATTACAAATCTTCCCACAAAGATAAATTTCAGATAAAACCTTCTAAATAATTATACCAATGTTATGAGAACTGTTCCAGAGAACAGAATACGAGAACAATTTGAAAGTTAACATATACTAGAAAACAAAATTAGATAAAAATGTAAAATCATAGCCATTCTCTACTAAACAAAGATGGAAAAAAAGGATTCTAAATCATGAGCCAACTGGATATATTCCAGAAATGAAGGGTTGATTGAACCTTCAAAAATATTTAACATTTTCTACCTGGAGTGAGAAATAAGACAAAGATATACTTGCCCCTACTCTCTTTAACACTTTACTATAGACCCTAGTCAATACAATAAGGCAAAAAAAGATATGAAATTATTAAAATCGGAAAAGAAAACTCACCATTCACAGATAGTGTGACTATATCTCAAAATTCCAAAAGCTATTAGAAAGAACAAGTGAACTTGACAAAGTGTCTGAATACAATGTCAATACAGAAAAACACCTTCATATTTCTACATTCTAGCAGCAATATACCAAGCAAAGATTTCTTAAATAAGAAGCAAAAAGGACTACTTAATAAAAGGTTGATAAATCAGACTTCATTAAACTAAAAAAAACTTTCTTCAAAAGACAGCATAAAGAACTTTTGGTTCTTCAAAGATACCATTTAGAAAGTTTTAAAAGTTAAGCTGCAGAATAAGGGTAATACATATAGTTGGATAGTAGGGGTTTTCACTAGAAGGGGGTAGGAGGGAACTTGCTGGGTTGACAAGAATGTTTTATATCTTATTTTGAACAGTGGCTACGAAATTGACTAAATTTGTCAAAACTCATCACATTGAACATTTACAATCTGTTCATTTTATTGAATGTAAATTATATCAACAGTTTAAAAGAAAAGTTAAGTCGTTAAGAAAAGGAGAGACAGAATTAGTGACCTGGAAACTAGGTCAGAAGAAATTCCTGAGAATGAAGCACATAAGGACAAAAAGTTAGAAAATATGAAAAATGGTTAAGAGATGGAGAAGCCATAGTGGGAAGACCTAATAAGTGGGGAGAGAACAGATGTGGTGAAGGCAATCTCAAAAGATAGTGGTTGAAAATTTTCCAAAATTGGTGAAAGGCATCAATTCATAGATTAAAAAATTTTTTTAATGGTTTTTTTGGGGAATAGGTGGTGTTTGGTTACATGAATAAGTTCTTTAGTGGAGATTTCTGAGATTTTGGTGCACCCATCACCCAAGCAGTGTACACTGTACCCAAAGTGTAGTCTATTACCACTCACCCTGTTATACCCTTTCTCCTGGGTCCCCAAAGTCCACTGTATCATTCTATGCTTTTGCATCCTCATAGCTTAGCTCTCGCTTACAAGTGAGAACATACGATGTTTGTTTTTCCATTCCTGAGTTACTTCATTTAGAATAATGGTCTCCAATTCCATTCAGGTTACTGTGAATGCCATTATTTCATTCCTTTTTATCCAATTCACAGATTTTTTAAAGTCCAACAAATACCAACAGGATAAATAATAATAATAATAAAAACCTACCTAAAAACACATCACAATAGAATAGAATACTAGGGATAAAAATGTGGAAGAAGGGCCATTTCAGATGATAATTAAGCAAGTCTTCTGAGGAGCTGATATCTGATCAGAGACCTGGATTTGAGAGTTACAGGGCAAGAGAATAGCAAAGAAAATGAGTAATAATAAGCAAAGAGACCTGTGGACCTGAGTGGAATAAACTGGGGGGAAAAGAATAATAGTTTAGTTTTAGTTTATTAAGAGTTGAGGTCACTGACAAAGCCAGGGTCAGAGTACTTCAGGAAGTAAAGTCTTCAAAGCCATGTTAAAGCCTTTTTCTTAATTTTTCTGAAGTGTGCTGAGAAGCAGTCAATAGACTTTTTAGCAAGACGGTAACATTATTTAATATATTAAAAAGATTACACTGGTACTATGTGGAGAACAGGGTAGAAGAGGATAAGAACAGATGGTGGATCAATGTTAGGCCAGTGACGAAGCCTGAGCTAGAGATGATGCTTACTTAGACTGCATGCTGCCAGTGAAGGTTCAGGGAAGTAGATGTATTTGAGACATATATCAGAATAGTAGCTAACATGTATTAAGAACTTACTGTAAGTTGCCCATTGCATTTTACATGTATGAACTCTTTCAATTCTATTAACCACCCTATGAGGTTGATAATCTTATTTCTGTTGTGCAAGTGAGGACACAAACACAAACAGGTGAGGACAATGGCCCCAGATCACAGAGCTAGTTTGACCCTGCCATCTCTTCTCTTAACCACCATGAGACATAACTCTGAACAACAGACTGTGTACACCGGAGGTGGGAAAATGTGGGTGGGGAAAACAAGGTAACAAGTGTAACTCTCAGATTTGAGGGTTATATAAATGGATAGATGGTGATACCATTTATTGAGCTTTAATACAGTACATTGCAGGAAGGTCAGGTCAATAGGAGAAGAGGAAAGTTTAGTTTTAAACAGGTTGAACTTTAGTTGCCTTTAAAGATCTATATGGCGATGTCAAGCAAGCAGGAGTTTAAAGCTGCTGCCAGCACTGGAAATGTCCAGCTGGGAGTCAGCATATAGAAGATAAAACAGTTGTTACCAAGGGCAGGAGAAAATGGGAAATGTCAGATGAACAAATCTAGAGATCTAATGTACAACATGAAGACTATAATTAATAATATTTTATTTGGGATTTTTACTAAATAGATTTTAACTGCTCCTGCCACATACACAAAAAATAGGTAACTATGTAAGATGATGGCTATGTTAATTTGTTTATCTACAGTAATTGTTTTATTATCTGTTGGTATCTCACATCATGTTGTGTATCTTAAATGTACACAATAAAATTTAAAATAAAAAATAAATCATGGGTATGGCTAAGTTTGTCTAAGGAGAGATTACAAAGTGAAAATATAAGAAGGTGCTGCACTAAATGAGCCCTAAGAAACTCTGTGTGGAGTTTGGGTAGAGGAGGAAAGACTTGTAAAGGAGACTGAGAAAGAGTAACTGAACAGGAAAATGTGGTACAATGAAAGCCAAAGGAAAAGACTGTTTTAAGTGGAGAAGAGTCAACCATGTTGAAAGTTGCTGAGAGATCAAGGTATCCTATTTTTTTCTCAGGCCAGTTTTCAAGCTTAAAAAGGTAGAATGTACTATAGTCTCAACAACTTTGAATGAAAACTTTTAATAAATGATATCTAAGAATAAAAAACAAAAAGACATTAAAGACTGTTCTACATTTTTCTGAATCACTTAACTCAAATATTTAAGATTGATATCTGAGGCCAGGCGCGGTGGCTTATGCCTGTAATCCCAGCACTTTGGGAGGCAGAGGCAGGCGGATCATGAGGTCAGGAGATCGAGACCATCCTGGCTAACACGGTGAAACCCCGTCTCTACTAAAAATACAAAAAAATTAGTCGGGCGTGGTGGCGGGCGCCTGTAGTCCCAGCTGCTGGGGAGGCTGAGGCAGGAGAATGGCGTGAACCCGGGAGGCAGAGCTTGCAGTGAGCCAAGATTGGGCCACTGCACTCCAGCCTGGGTGACAGAGCAAGACTCCGTCTCAAACAAAACAAAACAAAGATTGATATCTGAAAACTTCTAATCACTAAGGAGTTTTCAATTTTTAGTTTTTAGTGCAGAAAGTATAAAATAGTTTAGCAATACATTTTCTTTATATTATTTGTATATATATAGTAAAATTATTCTTACCTATATAAAAAAAGATCTTTGGCAAGTCGCTTAGGTCCAATTATTTTGAAGATAATTTCATATGTTTCAAGCGCCTTCCGATGAACTCCACCTGGTAATGCTGGATGTAGACATTGAGCTAGGCGTTTGCCTATGGTCAGCTTTTTGGGTACTACTTGGTACTTTGCATTATTTTGTAAAACCTTGAAGAAAGCATTTTAATGTAGTTGAGAAAAACAAAATATTGCATTCATTTTACTTCCATTTTCTAGCATAGTATTATAAAAAATGATCATTGTAGGTCTTTGTGTTTTGTTAGCTACATTTGCCTATATATACCATATTTAAAATTAAAACTGAGGAAATGTTACAAACTTTATTAATTTGTTTAAAAAATAAACTCGTTACCTGTTAACAGAATAACATTTTTAATGAAAAATGATATTTTCCAAAACAAATTTATGGAGAAGAGAGGTATTTTAGATTTTTTTTGGTAAATTTTTAATATTTGATGTGAGAAGACAGCTGGAATGTTACATGAACATGTAACATGGAAAGTTACAGCCTTCAATCCATTTTTGCTACTTTGAAATAAAGTCTGGCCTCAAAGTAGATATTTACAGTACTTGGAAGAGGTACAACCATTGTCCTAGTATATCAAATTACAGCAAGTAATTCTAATGCTTATAAGAAAATCTACATGAGATTATCATTGCCCATTTGTTTTTATAAACTGATTTTTCTAACTGGACAAAACAACTTTTTGTTTTATTTATTCAACCATAACATTTCCTTAGAAATAATGGTCAGGGCAGAATTTCTGTACAGAGACCCTATCTTACCAACCACTCAAAGGAGATTAGTTAAGTAAAGAAGATCTTATAATAAATGTAATCCTTTAGTTTGAACCTAGAAGTCAGTATTATAATCAAGTATTGATAGAATGTCACAAAGTGAAGACTCAGAATGAATACAGACTATGTTAGAACTGGAATTTAGAAGAAATATGCAAAGTCTTATTTTACAGAATAAACTGAGGTTGAAATAATAGGTTAGTGCAAAAGTAATTGTGTTTTTTTGCCATAATATATGAAATGACCATCAAAGGCGGTATGAGTATATATATGTAATAGAGCATATATATATGTGTATGTGTATATATATGTATACGTGTGTATATATATATATATATGTATATACACACACACACACACACACACACACACATATGCAATCCTTGCCTTGTTCTATCACAATTTTGGCTAAGCTTCATAAACAACTTGGGTATTCTTCTTTGAGTTATCTAGATACCATGAAATCTACTTTTGTGAATATTGGTTAATCTAAAAAACTAATTATGTACCTAATTAGGCAAATTAATTTCCATCATTTAATGACTTGCCTTTAAAAAGAGTTCCCAGTATATCTTCAGAAACAGACTCTTCAAAACTCTTTAGGAAAAAAAAGAACCTAACTACCTTTAAGCAAACTTGTACTTTTAGATGGAATTTCTTGTGGATGTTGTAAAGGAATAAAGAATTATTCAAACTTCAAAAGATAAATGTTAGAAGTTCTAACATCAAAGAGAAGCTTCTGAATCAAATTTTAAGACAAATCCTTGACATACTGAAAATGGTAACTTTTCTTTTTATGGTATCAAAGTGATTATCTGTCGTATCAGGTTGAAAACTAGTGTCCTGGTGTGGTATTGTGAGTGAGAGTGTGTCTGTAGGTTTTCATCCATGGTTCCTGGCTCATAACTCCCACAGCCCTTATTATAATATGGGGAACTTTGGGCCTCAGAAGCAGGCCTCAGAAAACAATTTCTCTCTGACTTTTCCTGCCCTCTTCTCATCTCCTTTTTCTCCCTAAGGCAGGAATCTTCCCCTGTCTCGGAGCTGGCCGTAACAAAATTCTCTGGACTACTTGGTCTCATTGTAGGTCAAAGACCCCTATTTCAGAAGGGGTCCTGCCCCATACCCAGAAGGAAGGAATGCTGTAGAGAGGCCAAGAAAAATCTGACAGACGGGCCTTGCTGGGTTCCCCCACTTAGTCTGTTAGTATTACATCATATCTTTTCTTTCCTATCACATTTCTACACAGCTGTCCATGCTTCAATCATGCCTATCCAATGAAGTCTCAAAAGGCCCAAAAGGATGATTAGAGAGTGTCCAGGCCAGCTGAACACATGCGGAGGTTCCTGGAGGGTGGCACTCCTGAGGAGGGCATGAAAGTTCTACGTCCCTTCACCCATACCTCACACTATGCATCTCTTCACTTGTATCCTTTGTAATGTCCTTTATAATGAACCAGTACCCTAAGCTCTGTGAGCCGCTCTAGCAAATTAAAGCTAAAGAAAGGATTGTGGAACTTTATAGCCAGTTGATCAGAAGCACAGGTAAAACAAACTAGGGCTTGTGATTGGCATCAAAACAGGAGGACAGTCTTATGAGGCTCAGCCCTCAACCTGTGGGATCTGATACTATCTCCAGGTAGATAGTGTCCAAATTGAACTGCAGCACATCCAGCTGGTATCTACTGTAGAACTGCTTGCTTGCTGGTAAGGGAGAAATAACCACTTGTTTTAGGGTTATAGAAATCTTCTGCATTGATTGTCGTGGTGAGAGCAGAGGAAAAACTATCTGTGTTTTCTTCCCCCACACATCTTAGTATGTATTTTAAGACAAACTTCTTTCCTAATTTGTATGTTAAGCTATTTGATAGGCTGGGTATAGTGGCTAATGCCTGTAATCCCAGCACTTTGGGAGGCTGAGGTGGGAGGATCATTTGAGGCCAAGAGTTCAAGACCACCCTGGTCAACATAGCGAGATCCTATCTCTAAAAAAATAACTAGCCAGACATGGTGGCATGCCTGCAGTCCCACCTACTCAGAAGGCTGAGGTGGGAGGATCCCTTGAGCCCAGGAGTCTGCAATGAGCTATAATCATGCCACTGGACTCCAGCCTGGGTGAAAGAGTAAGACCTTGTCTCATATAAAATAAAATAAATGAAAATAAAATAAAATAAAATAAAATAAAATAATAAAATAAAATAAAATAAAATAGAATAAGTTATTGGAAGGCCACTCCTTTCCTATGTAACCTCTTTAATATTTAGAAACACTCCCATTCAATAACAATTTAAAAAAAACCTTAACTATGGGTATGCAGTAAAAAAAATTGATGTTTAAAAAATAAAAAGGTCAAAATGAAGCGCCAGAGGTTGATCAATGATGCCACAACAATAACTGAATAAAAACCAGACATGTCTCAAGAAGAATTACTCAAGGACAAGCTGCAAGGCGTAAGCAACTGCTTGTATATACTCGCCTTTGTAAAAAGTACCAAATTATAACTATAGCTTGCCAGGATAGAAAATGTTTCCTTGTTGCTATATATCATTTGGAAAGAACACAGGAATTACTGCTTTCCATTTGTAGGTTTTCATTTTGCTGCCAGGAATTCCAGCACCATATCTGATGCTCCATTACAGAAATTTACTAGCCCTCATAGTTAGCATATTTGCTTCCTTCTCTTCTGTTTTTATAGCTGATAATCATGGCGATAACTATATTTTTCAAGCATTGTTATTTCTTTGAATTAAAACTTCCAAAGCCTTAATATGCTTGACTACACAGGCATGCAACTCATGAAGAAAAATAGCACTACCAAGAGTAATCTAAGGTTCATTTATGTTTTTGCATTCTTACTTCAAGATTTCGAGAAATCTAACAAGTACAAACACAGATTTCTAATTTTTACTCCTTTTATGAAATGGATAATACAGACATACCTTATTAAGTTTTCCAAGTGCTGATATCAAATCTGCCCATTCACTGGAGTATTCAAAATTCTTTAGTGCTTTGTCAATTGCTGCTACATAGTTTCTGTATTTGGAGTCACTCAATAACTCCAGCTCTTCTGTGTTCATCCTCCCACAACTTCCCACTAGAGACCAGTTCCAAACTCATGTAAAGTCATTACCTACAAAAGAGTTTGCAGGAGGAACCAAGGTTACAAAGTATTAAAACGGGTTCATATGATCTTACTACAAAGGTAATGACTAACTTGAAAATGTTCCTTACTGTTAGCAGTGGTTGAAACTCTCCTCAGCTAGTGTTCAGGGTCATGGAAGTATTCAAAGACAGCCTGAAAGATAACTACTTGTGTGTTCCTTCCTAGGAATTGGAAAAATGACTGTGAAAATTTAGTAAGTAAAAGCATAGAAAATTTTCTTATACTTATTTCAATTTAGAATCATGTTATTTCTCTGTCATATTTGTTTATGTAACATTTCTGATATATATATGCTCCTCTACTTTGTTTTGATCCTAAAATACATTAAGTCTGGTTAGATTGGAAGAATCAAGAACACAGGGGAAGAAAGAAAAACAAATAAATGATTCGGAGATCATTTTATTAAGTAATAAGTGGGCATCTAGTATGAAGGCCCATTAGCTGTTTGGAATTAGACTTTACTTTGAATAAAACTGACAAGAACATGTGGTGGTTTAAAGTATGCCCACAGCTGAGTACAGTGGCTCACACCTGTAATCCCAGCTACTTGGGAGGCTTGAGGATGGAGTATGGCCTAAGATCAAGGTTTCAAGACCAGCATTGGCAACACAGTGAGATCCTGTCTCTAAAAAAAATAAAAATTAGCCAGGCATGGTGGCACCTGTAGTCCCAGCTACTCAAGAGGCTGAAGTGAGAGGATAGCTTGAGTCCAAGAGTTCAAGGCTGCAATGAAATATGACTGGGTGATAGAGCAAGACTCTGCCTCTATTAAAGCAAAAAAACAAATCCACAAATTCTTTGTTATTTCTTTGAAAAAGTGGTTCCCAATCCCCCAGCACCTTAGGGTCAACTTTGTGACTCATTTCTCATGAAAAGAATAGGGTAGAAGAGACAATGTGTAACGGCCAACAGGTCATAAATGCACTTTGGTTTCCTCTTTACTCTCTTATCATTAGTTCTGGGGGGAGCTAGCTGCCACATCATGAAGACACTTTCAAGGAGCCCTATGGAGAAGGCAGGTCTCGTGACAAGGAGCTGAAGCTTTCTATACAGCCATGTGAGTAAGCCACCTTAGAAGCAGATCCTCCATCCTCAGCCAAGCCTTAATTTGACTGTGGCCCCAACTGGCATCCTGACTATAACTTCATGAGTTACCCGAAGCCAGGAATACATGAGCTAAGTCTCTCAAATTCGAGACCTACAGAAGATTTTGTTATAGGCCACTGAGTTCAGGGGTCATTTGTTACACAGCAATACGTAATCTAGGGTAATAGGAATAATTGAATTAAGGTTCTACTTAAAAACCAATGTGGCTCCCCTTTAATTTTTCTGGTATCCTAACTGACTTCTAACTAACTTGGTACCTTTCTCTAGAGCTGGATGCACGGACCTACAGGAAGGTCTAAGAGTGGGCCTTAGGGGATGCTAACACAATTCAACCAAGGTAAGAATAGTCTTTCCAACAAGTAGTTTGGGATAACTGAATATCCCATGTGCAAAAGAACAAAGTTGACTCCTTCACATCTACACAAAAGTTACTTTAAAATAGATCAGAGATCTAAATGTAACAGTTAGAACTATAAAACCCTCAGAAAAAAATATAGGATTAAATCTTTGTGACCTGTGGCTAGGCAAAGTCTTCTTAGAAATAAAACTGAAAGCCAGGCACGGTGGCTCACGCCTGTAATCCTAGCACTTTAGGAGGCCGAGGTAGGCGGATCGCTTGAGGTCAGGAGTTCAAGACCAGGCTGACCAACATGGTGAAACCTCGTCTCTACTAAAAATACAAAAATCAGCCAGGTGTGGTGGCTCATGCCTGTAATCTCAGTTACTCGGGAGGCTGAGGCAGGACTATCACTTGAACCCGGCAGTCCGAGGCTGCAGTGAGCCAAGATCACGCCGCTGCACCCCAGCCTGGGCAACAGAGTGAGATTCCATCTCAAAAAAATAAACAAAATAAAATAAAATTAAAAACCAAAAACACAAGCAACAAAAGAAAAAATAAATTGGACTTCATCAGAAGTAAAACTTTCGTGTTGCAAAGGATAACATTAAGAAAGTGAAAAGACAACTGACAGAATAGGAGAAAATATATCCTCCATATATCTGATGAGACTTAAACTAGATAATAAAAAACTCTTCCAAGCCAATAATAAAAAGACAAATAATTCCAAAGTGGGCAACAGATGTGAATGGACATTTCTAAAAGGAAAATGTACAAATGGTCAATAAGTACGTAAAATGACACTCCACATAATTAATCATCAGGGAAACAAATCAAAACCACAATATTTCATGACTACTAGGATGGTTACAATAAAAAAGATAGACAATAAGCGTGTTATGTAGAAACTGGAACCCTCATACACTGCTGGAGGAACATAAATTGGCGTAGCTCCTCTGGAAAACAGTCTGGTAGTAGTTCTCCAAGGTTCAACATAGAATTACTATAAGCCATAAATTCCACTCCTACGTATGGTGTAGACACAAGAGAAATGAAAATATATGTACACTCAAAAACTTGTGTGAATGCTCATAGATGCATTATTCATAATAGCCAAAAGAAGAAATAACCCAAATATTCATCAACTGACACACAAATAACTAAAATACCATGGAATATTATTTGGTCATAAAAAAGAATGAAATAGTGATACAAACTATAACACGCATGAACCTTGAAAACATTGTAAGTGAAAGAAGCCATTGACATAAGACCACATAGTATATGATTCCATTTATATGAAATGACAGGAATAGAAAAATCTATAGAGACAAAGTAAATTAGTGGTTGATTAGAGTGGGGGGAGAAGAGGAAAAGAGGAATTGGTGGGAAATGGACAATGAACTCAAAATGAATATAGGGTTTCTTTTTGGGGTGACAAAAATGTTTTAAAATTGATTGTAGAGATGGTTTCACAATTCTGAATATACTGAATATCATATTTTATATATATATTTTTTGTTTGTTTGTTTTTGAGACGGAGTCTCACTCTGTCACCCAGGTTGGAGTGCTGGAGTGCAGTGGCGCCATCTCGGCTCACTGCAATCTCCGCCTCCTGGGCTCAAGCGATTCTCCTGCTTCAGCCTCCCGAGCAGCTGGGATTACAGGCACCTGGCACCATGCCTGGCTAATTTTTGTATTTTTAGTAGAGATGGGGTTTCACCACGCTGGCCAGGCTGGTC
The DNA here is from genome assembly GCF_000001405.40 of Homo sapiens. Taxonomy (NCBI): domain Eukaryota; kingdom Metazoa; phylum Chordata; class Mammalia; order Primates; family Hominidae; genus Homo; species Homo sapiens. Next base: position 83,093,705 of record NC_000006.12, on the reverse strand, counting down.
TCGAACTCCTGACCTCGTCATCTGCCTGCGCTGGCCTCCCAAAGTGCTGGCATTACAGGCGTGAGCCACTGTGCCCAGCCCATATTACATACTTTAAATAGGTGAACTGCATACTCAAAATATATGAATCACCTTAAATTACATGTGAAATTTACATGTCTTACATTTTATTGGGGAGAGTCTACTTCTTTCATAATATTCTCAAACAATAGTTTTTTAACAAAAAGGTTAAAAACCACTAGAGAATATAGCCAATGAGTAAAATCTGTTTGTACTGAAAAAAGCTACAAATCCATTGATTTATAAAATCAAAATTTCCTTGGTTAAGGTTGTGCCAAAGAGAGGCTATACGAGTTTCCCAATTCTCTACTTCAATTATTTTATCCACAAAAATGAAAACAAGTCCCAAAGCCTATCTTTGGAGAGAGTAGTCACCTTAAATGTGATTTCATTTGACATGAAATGATTTTGCTTCAGCATACCATGTGCCAAGCACTATGTTTGGGTGCTGACTAGAGAGAACATCCCTGACCTCATGATACTTTCATTCCCAATTGGGACAGTGAGAGTAGAGAACAAAATAAGATAGTTTATTTTTCTCTTTAAAACTTGATATTTGATGCTAAGGGACTTAAAATAATATAAAGTTTATGTGGGGAGGAAAACACAGTCATACAGTACTTCTTCCCCACCCCATCCACATTTTCACTGTCTGTGGGGTTTCAGTTAACCTCAACCAACCACAGTCTGGAAATATTACATGAAAAATTCCAGAAATAAACAATTCGTAAGTTTTAAATTGCATAACATTCTGAGTAACATGACAAAATCTCTCGCAGAACAAAGTGAACCCTCCCTTTGTGCAGTGTATCCATGCTATAGATGATAACTGCTCATTAATCACTTAGTAGCTGTGTGGGTTATAGACTGACTGTTGTGGTAGCACAGTGCTTGTGCCCTTATTTTACTTAATAATAGCTGTAAAGTGCAAGAAAGAGTACTATGCCTAATTTGTAAATTAAACTTTATCACTGGTATATATGTATAGAAAAAAAAACAGAATTTAGAGTTTGGTACTATCTGCAGTTTCAGGCATCCATTAGGGGGGTCTTAAAACATATCCCTGGTGAATATGGTGGGGGGGGGGGGAGGGACACTACTGTCCCTTCATGCTTTGGACTCAGAGCAGCAAATCAAACATAAAGCAGTATTTTGAAGTACTCTGAAGAACTCACAATAAATATGAACTTAAATATGTGAATCAAAATAATCTTAACCTTGCACATCAAATTAATTTTTGTTTTATATAAGGATTTGCTATGCAATTTTCCTACCAGGAAAGTTCTTTGAGAGCAGGAACTATGTTTTATACATGTCTCTATGCTGGACAACACATAACTTACAATAGTGAGGCTACAGTTGGACTCATGATCAAAGTGTTTAAACATAATAAAGACTGGTAATAAATTAAAAATGATACAAGCTATTTCATTATCAATCCATGGTTTCTAAAACTTTTAAATACTAGATTTAACCATAAACACACACACACAGCATACACACAAAGCAATACCTGTATGTATGTCAGATACAAAAGACTAGCACACTAAAACAAGTAAGGCCATAAACTCTGATAGCTAATAAAACAGTTAAATACCAACAGTGACATATATGGAATGAAGGTTAGAGTGAACACAACCTAAAACATTTCTAGTTCTGTTTCTCAGAAATCAGAAGGATAGCAAAACCAAATTAAACTCAGGGAAAATATCAACTTGACTGGATTTTCTGAAAGCACATAAAATTCGTATAAAATAACTAAAATCCAATCAATGAATTTAAGAATGTGGTAGACAGAGTAAAACACACGCATAAATTTTATCAGCAGGAACATTTTTTTTCCTTCCTTAGCAAGATTTCCAGAATAAGATATAAAATAGCATTCATTTTGAAGACATATAATATTCAGTGCATGAGGAAGATTAACCTGCCAAGCAATTTAGTAGTAATTTCTATTAATGAAAATAGGGGTCATTTATCAGCCTAATAATTTTTAAGCAATATTATCTCAACATACACATCCTTCAGATAATCTTATTTGCTATAAAAAAGTCAATTAATAATGACCAGCTATGTCTGTAAGGCTTATAACTCTTGTATGCATCTACAGCTAAAAAGTTTGGTCAGGTAATTAATTTGAACTTTCTTACTTTTTTTTAGGCAATAAATTCCTAAATATTTAAATATGATTAAAAAGACTTCATATAGCTTGTTTGTTTGATATATGTTTATATCAAACATATAAAACAAAATATTAAAAGCAAAATCTTAAATTGCTGAAAAATGAGAAGAGACATTTTGCAGAAGTTTCATCAGCAGAGCTGCAGTATTACTTTTCATGTGAAAAGATGGTTGATATGGTTTGGCTGTGTCCCCACCCAAATCTCATCTTGAATTCCCATGTGCTGTGGGAGGGACCTGGTGGGAGGTAACTGGATCATGGGGGCAGGTCTTTCCCATGGTATCCTCATGGTGGTGGGTGAGATCTGATGGTATTATAAGGGAGAGTTTTCCTGTACAAGCTTTTTTTTTTTTTTAATTTTTTTCCTTTGCCTGCTGCCATCCATTAAGATGTGACTTGCTCCTCCTTGCCTTCCCCATGATTGTGAGGCTTCCCCAGCCATATGGAACTGTAAGTCCGATTAAACTTCTTTCTTCTGTAAACTGCCCAGTCTCAGGTATGTCTTTATCAGCAGCATGAAAACTAATACAATAGTCAAATCCTAGGACTAAAAATTTAGTTGTAATTCCACAATGACTTTAATGCAAATAAAATTGTCATTATATATCAGAAAAGAAGTGTAAAGATACACCATTTTAAGCCTTTCATCCAATATATACATACAAATTGCAGTTCTCAGTCATTTTCCCCCATATTTTGTTTTATAATGGCTTAGGTCAATACTTCTCAAACTATCTGTAGTGAAAGATCAGTATTTCCACCAAATCCATCACTGACCAATACTTTTCTAAAATATAAAATCATGTGCTTTAGTTGTTGCAGTAATATTAAATTGCTATAAAAGTTTCTAAATGTTTACTTTTATCTCTGTGCTTATTTCACCATGTCTCTTAACAAAGTTTGTGAATAACACACTTTAAACACCACTGACTTAGATCATAATGCAAATATAACGTATCCCCATAGTGTATCAAACTTTATACCATGCCTCTTCTCCAGAATAAACACAAAATAAATAGACATACTTAATAACAGAGTAGTGTTTCACAGAAACCCCAGGCGATGAAAAGACAGGCAGTAGACGGTAGGGCCTCCAAGAACAGGGGTTAAAGTCAAGATGACCTAAATCTAAATCCTAGCTCTAATACTTACTTAGCAGCTGTATGACCTTGGGCAACATGCTTAATTTTGTCAAACCAGTTTTCCTTATCCATTAAATGAGATGAAAACACTTATACTTGAATGGCTGTCAAAATTAAATAAGTAACATACTAAAGTTATCAGAGTGCTCAGCACATAGAAAATGCTCAAGAAACAGTTGTCGTCATTATTTCCTACGAAATCAAAACAACACTGGGAAGCAAGTATGTTAATTAAGAGGGGTAGTAAGTTATAATTAAGCATCAGATGTGGCTCTGAATTTCTTGGCAGCAAACTGGAAAACTGAGGACTCACTAACCTATCTTGAATTGTCTTGTGAATATTAGTTAAAATGTAGTATTATTGCCAAACATGTTTTATGGCTTTGTTAAACTGTATATATTTAATACACATATTTGATGAGTTCTGACTAGTGCGTGCACCCATAAAACCATCACCACAATCAAGATTCTTCACTACAGTTAAGATACAGAACATTTCCATCATCTTAAACGTTATATCAAACATTTACATCATCTCTGTCAAATGAGCTGTTTTGTTTGAAATTAACTCCCTCCTCTCAATAACCTGCAACTTTCCAGGAGATACAATAACAAACTATTTATTTAATATAACCAGGAAACTTAAAAAAATAAAAATAAAAATTCTAGCTTGTTTAAAGTGATGCAAGTAAATCAAAGTTGCATTTGTAATCTTTCTTCTAGGGGCTGTTAATCGTAGTTTCTCTGACTTGATCTTTAGTCCACTGGACAATTTAGTTGCAATACTTTCAAAGTTACAACTCAGATAAATTGGACCTGAATTGTCATGAAACATAATTTAGTGTCATGTTTTGTCTCACAAATATAACATATATCAATTATAAAAATAAAGCAAAAAAGCTGTTTATGAAAAAAGATAAAAGCTGTAGATTTCTCTGGGCAAGTTATGCCCTATGAAAAAATTAGTAGGTAGTACAGATTTGTTTTTACACTTTATAGCATAAAAAGCTAAAATTTAAATAAGAAATGAAATATTGTATCATACCATCTCAATTTTTAAAAGTTCTGTTTAAATGGTGATAAAAAGTGAGTAGACCTCACTTCAGAATAACAACACAAAGATACTTTGGCTAGTTTGCTTATCACTAGCTGCATTTTCTCTTTCTCTCCTTCCTTTGCCACAAAAGGCAGGGGGAGGGCTGAAAAGAGAAAAGATTCATTATTACTCAATTCCAAAGATGTATCTGGGGACTAAGTGTTTCTAGCACATCCCAAGAATATAAATTAATGAATTATTGTAAGCACCATGCAATGGGGCAAAAAACCCTGCTGTTGTTTTTGAAAGAGAACATCGGAAAAAAAGCTATATAAGTAGATGCTCTTTCCAAACTTTTCTAACTAATGAAAAATTACCATTCAGTAATTGTTACCATCTAACAGATGTAACCATTAATAATCTATTTCATTTTGGTCAACAGTTCTAGGTTCCAATGTTGGCACTGTCACTAAATAATCTTCAGGAATCATTTATTTAGTCAATTCATAAAGCCAGTCACTCCTGAAAGCTGGAAACTTCCCTTGAGTGTTAAAAATATGGATGAAGGCCGGGCATGGTGGCTCACACCTGTAATCCCAGCATTTTGGGAGGTTGAGGCGGGCAGATCACGAGGTCAGGAGATCAAGGCCATCCTGGCCAACATGGTGAAACCCGTCTCTACTAGAAACACAAAAATTAGCTGGGTGTGGTGGTGCATGCCTGTAATCCCAGCTACTGGGGAGGGTGATGCAGGAGAATCGCTTGAACCTCAGAGTTGGAGGTTGCAGTGAGCTGAGATCGCGCCACTGCACTCCAGCCTGGGGACAGAGTGAGACTCCATCTCAAAAAAAAAAAAAAAAAAAAAAGATGGAAGACAACACTTACTAGGTATTTTACAAATAGGTTATTGTCACTCATTATAAACCTGATGCTCTGTACTTCCCTAATCTGATCCAATCTCCCATGCCCTTACTGTTGTCTCAAACTTTCAAATGGTATACACTCTAGGAAACTTCAGATATGTGCTCAACAGATCATCAGCCTTTCCTCTGCATGTCCTGTCACCTTCTAGTCTTAATTATGCCATTCCTTTGCTTAAAACCCATCAATGGTTGGCCGGGTGCGGTGGCTCACACCTGTAATCCCAACACTTTGGGAGACCGAGAGGGGTAGATCATGAGGTCAGGATATCGAGACCATCCTGGCTAACACGGTGAAACCCGTCTCTACTAAAAAAATACAAAAGGTTAGCCGGGCATGGCGGCAGGCGCCTGTAGTCCCAACTACTCGGGAGGCTGAGGCAGGAGAATGGCATGAACCTGGGAGGCGGAGCTTGCAGTGAGCTGAGATCGCGCCACTGCACTCCAGCCCGGGCAACAAAGCAAGACTTCATCTCAAAAAAAACCAAAACAAACAAACAAACAAACAAAAAAACAAACATCAATGGTTTTCCCCAAAGCTTGTCCTGTCGCCTTCTAGTCTTAATTATTCTCTGAGGACAAGACCTCTTCTAACCTTACAGTGTACTTACTAAATACCAGGAACTATTCAAGTGCTTCGTGTATTTTAATTAATTTAATCCCAGTTGATCCTTTGCAGTAGGCACTATTACTCACATTTACAAGTAAGGAAACTGAAGGATAGAAATGATATGCAATACAGCTAGTAAATGGGAGAGGTAGGGATTTAAACACAAGCAATTTGGCTTTAGAGTCCTAACTCCTAGTCATTACTCTTCACTTTCACGGAGGCTGTTTTCCTTCTCATACCCATCCTACCTTGGGGTAAAGAGTGTGGAATCTTCCTCTTTATACTCATCTGACAAAACTCCAATCCTGGTTAAACTCAACTACATGTTTTTTTTTGTTTTCAGCCTGAAAATGAGCAACTAAACATTGGAGAAAAAAATCATACAATCAGGTTGACTTAAATTGAGAAGCACAAACTTCAAACAGGTACTCAACACTATCCTAACCCACTGTTTCCTTAGTAAATTTAAGTTCTTGACACAACTATTTCATACCTTCTCTTCTCAAAATCCTAATACTGTCTTCCCTCCATCATTGCTAAAGATCTAGTTTCAAACTTAAGAAAATGGAAGCAAAAAGAATATTCTTACCTTCCCTCCAACAAATCTGTAACCTATCTTCACCTATACCCATATTCTCTACTTTTCTTTCCATTATGAAGGACAAAGGACCTTCCTCCCAGTAAAGGCCTCCCTCTTGCTGTGTTCTGAATCTGGTCTCCTCTTGCCTTCCCAAGGACTATTAGCTCAGGCTCCTTCAATACTATCAGTTTCTTTTCCTGTCTACAGCCTAAAGTCTACCCCCCGAATCTCTCATGGTCTAAAACTAAAACTAAAACTAAAACTAAAATTAAAACCCATAGCCTTTCCTTGACCCCCACAGGCTCTCTGGCTGCCAACCCATTTCTTTATTCTCTCATAGCAAAACCTGAAAGATTTCTCTATATTTGCTATTTTTTCCTTATCTTTTATTCACTCTTCAGACTCCGTGAAATGCCTATGGGACTGTCCCTCCAGGAAAAAAACCCGTATAAAAATCACCCATAATGTGCTTTAACCAAAGCCAAAGGTCACTTCTGTAGCCCCTCATTTTATTCAACTCAGCAGTATTCAATACCTTGTTTTTGGCTTCCGGGACTCTTCCCTCTCAAGGTTTGTTATCTCTTAGCCTCTTTTTTTCAGTTTATGTTGGCTTCTCTTTTCTATTCAATTTTAAATGCTGAGGTACAGCTGAGTCTTGAAAAACATGCAATTTGAGTTGCATGGGTCCGTTTCTTCGTGGATTTTCTTCCACTTCTACTACCTACCCAAGACAGCAAGACCAACCTCTCTTCTTTCTCCTCCTCTTCCTCTGCCCACTCACAGTGAAGACAATGAGGTTCATGAAGATCTTTGTGATGATCCACTTCCACTTAATGAACAGTACATATATTTTCTCTTATGGTTTTCTTACTATTTTCTTTTCTCTAGCTTATTTCATTATAAGAATACAGCATATTATACATATAACCTACAAATGTGTTAATCAACCATTTATGTTACCAGTAAGGCTTCCAGTCTATAGTAGGCTATTAGTAAAGTTTTTGGGGAGTCAAAAATTATACGTGGATTTTCGATTCATGGGTCAGCCTTACTTCAAGGTTCAATCAGGAACCCTCCTCTCTTCTTTCCCTTTAGGTTATCTCCTATAGTCCTATAGCTCCAATAGCATCTGTTAACTGATGTGTCCTAAATCTATACCTGCCACTTTTCCTCTTCTATTATTCTAACCAGTTATAGCCCACTCCAGCACACCACTGATTCCTGCTTCTATTCTTGAGAGTCTGCATAATTCATCCTCCACAGAGAAGCCAGAGACACATTATGTCATTCCTTTGCCTAAAACCTGTCAATGGCGATAGAGCGAGACTCTGTCTCAAAATAACATAACATAACATAACATAACATAACATAACATAACATAACATAACATAACATAAAATACCGCAAAAAACCCATCAATGGTTTTCCTCAAAGCTTGTCCTGGTCACCTTCTAGTCTTAATTATTCTCTAAGGATAAGACCTCTTCTGATACAGCAGAAACAGCAACATCTTAGCTATACCCTAAATACAAATATTCCAATACAAAGCTTAGAATAATATCCAAACTCAAATACACCAATTTTTTTTGCATTCTAGGCATTTTGTTCTTGCTATTCTCTACATTTAAAATCTCTTTGGTCAACTCTATGTGACAGATTTCTTCCCGTCCTCCAGTAATATCAAACCCTACCAAAAGTTCTTTCTGATCAGTCTAAGTAGCCTGCCTGGGGCCAAACTCTTACCACATACCCTATAACATCACATTATTTCCTTATTAGCATTTGTTACACTTTGAAATTTTCCTATTTATTTGCTTGTTTCCTGTCTATCATCTCTCAATGGGATGCAAATACTATGAAGTCAATAGCCTTATCTTAGTTGTTCATACCTGCATCGGCAGTCCCATAATAGTGGCTGATAAACAGTAGGGCCTCAAATATAATCTGAATAAATGAACTAATCTATCAACGACAATATAGTTAAACCATTTTCGTTTGTTTTTTCTGAGAAAAGCTTTGTAGAAGAAAAATAAAAAGCAGAACTACAGTTCTATTTCTTAACTAGTATAGTCACACTTGACCTTACTCTCCTCAAATACAGAATACATTCACATGGCTATTAAGTGCTTTAAAAAACAGATTGCCTAAGAACATTTATAAAAATGTGTACATTCCAGTTACACTTTTAAAAAACTGGCTCAGTTTAATCTGTATTAAACATAACTATCTAAATGTGAAGGAAGTCATTCCAGCCCTGTGAAAGGAGATTTAAAAAATCCTATTTAGGCTGGGTGCAGTGGCTCATGCTTGTAATCCCAGCACTTTGGGAGGCCAAGGCAGGCAGATCACTTGAGGCCAGGAGTTCGAGACCAGCCTGGCCAACATGGTGAAACCATCTCTACTAAAAAAAAAAAAAAATACAAAAATTAGCCAGGTGTGGTGGTGCGTGCCTGTAATCCCAGCCTCTTGGGTGGCTGAGGCACAAGAATCGCTTGAACCCAGGAGGTAGAGGCTGCAGTGAGCCAAAATGGTGCCACTGTACTCCAGCCTGGGCTACAAAGCAAGACTCTGTCTCAAAAAAAACAAAACAAAACAAAAAAAACAAACTACTTAGGTATGATACTCCCAGACGTCGAAGTCAAATCTTTTCAAATTAATTAGCTGCAAATCTCAAGCTGGAGAAAAATTTGGAAAAAGTTTTATTATACTTTATGTACTTATTTATAGTCATGCATTGCTTGATGGGAATATGTTCTGAGATGTGTTGTTGGGTGATTTAGTTATTGTGTGAACATTCATAGAACATGCTTAAACAGACATAATGGTAAACCCTACTACACATCCTGGCTATATGGTATAACCTATTGCTCCTAGGCTGCAAACCTGTACAGCATGTTATATATTGAATACTGTAGGTAACTGTAACACAACAGTAAGTATTTGTGTACCTAAAAATAGAAAAGTACAGTAAAATACAGTATTAAAACCTTACGGGACCACTGTTACATAGGTGGGCCATCATTGAAATGTTATACAGCATATGACTATTTATATTTTCACTTTAGGTCTCAGAAAAGCTATACGAATAAAAACCTAAGACACAAGAGGTTTAAAAGCCCATAGATCTGCCAAGGTGACAGTGAAGCTGATTTAACTTTACGATTTCTTTTTTTACCAAGTAAATATACACAAAATTATATACGTTATTAAAAATTGTCTCTGAATGCTATAAAATCAGATTCTTTCTCATTTCAAATTCTGTGATTTCTGGTACACATAGCAATATGAAAATATTAATTTTAGAAAATACAAAACATAAGCACCATTTATAACTTGGAATGAGCCATTAGCAGGTAGGTGGGATTCTACTTTAAGCTTCAAATGGCAAACAGCCATAATAATAAACACTTAAGCACATACCCTTGAGTTACAAAGGATCATCCTGTCTCCAAAGCATAGTAGCCAAATAAACATTGTCCACGTATTACTCAAGATGATGATAATAATCACAGTTGATACTGACTTACAAATTACTCTGTGCCAGGCACTATACTAAGCCCTTTCATGTGAATTATCTCATGTATCTTCACAATACATCCATGAGGTAGATATACACATGAATCCATGTTCATATAAGGCAATTAGTGTTCAAGGTGCCACAGAGAATAAAAGGAAGAACCAGGAAGAACTCTGGCAGACTGACTCCTGGAATTGGCCCTTAATCAGTATCTTTCTGAACTTTTTTTTTTTTTTTTAAACCACAAGTCTTAATTCTCCTGCATGACATATTCTACCTCTCCTCTCTCATTAACTTTTTTCAAAAAACTTTTCCGGCTATATAGATTTCTTTCTTAGAAATTGTACTTAAAAAAAAACTATAATAATGTAAATACATATGTTATTCTTCCTAGACCTTGAATGAAGCACAGGGACCAAAGCTCAACTCAAAATACCCCAAGTGGTTCACCACTCAATACTGATAGTGTTTAAAATATAAGGCAAAAATGATCATGATTCTGATACAGAAGTTTTTATTTTTGGTTGTTATCTATAAAAGAGTGGGTTTTTGGCCAGGCATGGTGGCTCATGCCTGTAATCCCAGCACTTCAGGAGGCTGAGGCGGGTGGATCACCTGAGGTCAGGAGTTTGAGACCAGCCTGGCCAACATGGTGAAATCCCATCTCTAATAAAAATACAAAAATTAGCTGGGCGTGGTGGCAGGCACCTGTAATCCCAGCTACTTGGGAGGCTGAGGCAGAAGAATTGCTTGAACCCAGGAGGCAGAGGGTGCAGTGAGTGGAGACCGCACCACTGCACTCCAGCCTGGGTGACAGAGCAAAACTCGGTCTCAAAAAAAAAAAAAAAGTGGGTTTAAAAAAGAGACATGTAGCTTATTTCAAATTGACAGATAAAATTGTATTATGTACAATATAATGTTTTGAAGTATATACACACTGTGTAATGGTTAAATGTAGCTAATTAACAAATGCATTGCCTCAAATAGTTGTCATTTTTGTGGTAAGAACACTTACTACTCTTTGTATTTTTCAAGAACATATCATCATTAACCATAGCCACTATGCTGTACAACAGATTCCTTGAACTTACTCCTCCTAACTATATATCCTTTGACTAACATTCTTCCATCCTGTCATTTCCTCAAACCACCCCAGCCGCTGGTAAGCACCATTCTATTCTCTACTTCTATGGGATATACTTTTTAGGTTTTACATATTGGGTGAGATCATGCAGCATTTATCTTTCTGTGCTTTGCTTATTTCACTTAACACAGTGTCCTCTAGGTTCATCCATGTTATTGCAAAGAACAGAATTTTGCTTTTTGATAGGTGAATAGCATTCCATCATGTATATAAACCATATTTTCTTTGCCCCTTCATCTGCTGATAGACCCCTAGGCTGATTCCATATCTTGGCTATGTGAATACTGCTGTTTATGTGCACTTCTCTCTTTGACATACTGATTTCATTTTCTTTGGATATATACTCAGTAGTGGGATTACAGAATCATATGGTAGTTCTATTTTTTTCATTTTTTGAGGCCCCTCCTTACTGTTTTCCATAATGGCTATACTAATTTACATTCCCACCAACAGTGTGTTCCCTTTTCTCCACATCCTCTCTAACACTTACCTTTTGTCTTTTTGATAACAGCAATTCTAACAGGAGTGAGATGATATCTCATTTTAGTTTTGATTTGCAGTTACCTGATGATTAGTGACGTTGAGCCTTTTTTCATATACCTGTTGGCCATTTATGTCTTCCTTTAGGAAATGTCTACTCAGGTCTTTTGCATATTTTAAAATCAAGTTGTTTACTTGCTATTGAGTTCCTTATATATTTTAGATATTAACCCCTTATCAGATGTATGGTGTGCAGATATTTTCTCCCATCCTGTAAGTAGGTTGTCTCTTTACTCTGCTAATTGTTTCCTTTGCTGTGCAGAAGCTTTTTAATTTCATATAACCCCATTTGTCTATTTTTGCTTTTGTTGCCTGTGCTTTTAAGATCATAGATACAAAATCATGGTGCAGATCAATGTCACATAGCTTTTCTTGTTTCTCCTAGTAGTTTCATAGTTTCAGGTCCTATTTTTTTTTATAACCCAAGATGATTTTTGTATATGGTGAGAGATAAGGGTCTAATTTTGTTCTGCAGTTTATCCAGTTTTCCCAACACGATTTACTGAAGAGAATGTCCTTGCCCCACTGTGTATTACTGTTGCCTTTGTCAAAAACCAGTTGGTTGTAGGGCTGGGCATGGTGGCTCACACCTGTAAACCCAGCACTTTGGGAGGTTGAGGTGGGTGGATCACTTGAGCCAGAAGTTGGAGACCAGCCTGGCCAACATGGTGAAACCTTGTCTCTATTAAAAATACAAAAATTAGCCGGGCATGGTGGTGCATGCCTGTAATCCCAGCTACTCAGGAGGATCGCTTGAACCTGGAGGCAGAGGCCACAGTGAGGTGAGATCACACCACTGCACCCCAGCCCGGGCAACAGAGTGAGACTCTGTCTCAAAAAACAAACGAACAAACCAACAGTTGTTTGTAAATGTGTGGAATTATTTCTGGGCTCTCTATTCTGTTCCATTAGTCAGTCTGTCTGTTCTTATGCCAGTTCCATGTTATTTTGGTTACAATAGCTTTGTAGTATATTATGAAGTCAGGTAGTAGAACACCTCCAGCTTTGTTTTTTTGCTCAAGATGGCTTTGGTTATTTGGGGTCTTTTGTGGTTCCACAAAATTTTAGGATTTTCTTTTTTCTATTTCTGTGAAGAATGTCATTGGTCTTTTGATAGGAATTGTATTGAATCTGTAGATTGTTTTGGGTGACACAGACATTATAAAACAGGGATTTTAATTCAATAAATGGCCGTGGTGAACCTATATACAAGGGGAACTATATACAGAACATAAAAGACAACAATCTATTCCTCCCTAGAAAATAATTCCTAAGAGGTAAAAATGCTCTGAAGTGGGATGAAATACTACAGAGGTACTGCAGGTTGGGTTACACATCCAAAAACAGTATTACAGATGTGGCTGTCCCCAAATTTAGGATGTGCAGGGCTGATGACAGGATTCTTGCTGGATTAGCAGTATGCTTTAGTGCACAAATTCTATTATTAAGCACCTAAGGGATGCTTTATAGGACCTACTAAAGACAGGTTTTTTCTCTTGGCAAAGGGAGATATAATTCCTGAGGGTTATTAGTTATGAGGGGACAAAATGATAGTTCAGAAAACAAATATATCAAGGAAGTTTTCCTTATTTTGATGAAACCTGTGAACATCACTGATAGTTTAATATTCTGGTTTAGTCATATATCATTGTATTAACAGTATCTATAGAAAGAAGTAGTTGTGTGGATAATGTAAAACAGAATCCCAAACAACTAAATTTTGCTTTTAGGATATATCTGCTTTTTTCAAACATATCTTTCTAATGTTTTGTTTTTCCTAACATTAAAATGTTTGATTTCACTGTGTATACATTGATTGGGTAGGGGGAAATGAAACAAACATTTTAGATGGCAGGGGAAAAAAAATCAGCCTAAGAGTAAATATCAGAATAGTACACTTAAAGAACATCTAAATTATCTAGATTGACCACATTCTGTTTTGCTTTTATTAATAGTTTGGAAGAAGAAAGAAAACATGGCTTATTTTTTATATACAGCAGAAGGTAAGACATGAGAATAATGATAAAAATGAATGCATTGCTATTCAGAATGATTAGAGAGGTGAAACGCAAGATGAGGAATAACTAACTGTTAACTATCCCACCATGTATTTCTTTCCAGCTTATTTGAAACATAAATTTTCATCAGAAAGTACCTTTCTCAAAGTATCTTTATTTGTAGCTATCATTCTTCATTTAATGACAATGATTTTGCTTAAACTTTTACATATGCTAAAACATACTACTAGAAATAAAGTGAAATAAGCAAAAATAATTTTTACAGCATAATTAAACCCATATTAAGTTAATCAAATCATTATTTGCAAAATAAAATCTAACCAATATATTTAAAAATTAGTAATTTAACGTTTTCAGCATTTAAAAAATAAATAGTATGCTATTAACTTACTACAGAGTTGGATTTTCAAATAAAGACTGGTTTTTACATAAGTTAACATAACAATGCCGTACTATACATACTAGCCAAACATTTTTCTATACTTCCTAGTGTGTTCCAATTTAACTGAATATCTGTAAACAAATTTTAATCACAGCCAGTAGAAACAAATTTTTCCCATTAAAAAAAATCCCATGGAATTTTAACGTTTTTCTTTGCCCATTTTATTAAGACTGTTCCAAAAGTAAAATCATAAGAAAAAGCACACATGCAAAAAAATTCACTGAGATGCAAATTCAATCATGCCTATGTATTTAAAAGATAAGATCAAAATATTACACAGGAAGTCACCAACACTTTAGCTGAGTACTTTTATTTAAAGATGCTTTTTTAAAAAAGGGTTCACCCTGGACACAGACCATGCATGTATCTGTGCACATCAGTTTCCAAAATCTGTGAAAGAATGGTGACAGAAAGTAGCCTTGCACAAGGGTTAACTCCCTTGATGGACAAAGTAAACTAGAATTAATGTTGAGGATATCAAGATACTTTACAGAGAAAAATGGGGTACAGCCTACAGCAGACCTTCCCCCAGCTCCTACAACCCTTCAATGTCCATCCCCTCTCATGTTTTAAGGTTAAGATGGTAACAAAACAACAATATTAATAATGCTCATCATGAAAGAACAAAATAACTTTGCTGAGGTGTTAATTCTGTAAGAGAGAATTAACTCTAGATATTTTTGCAGATTCTGAAGCACGTAATAGAATAAGAACCAAAATAAGGTATTGCTTAATTATTGTAAAAAATCTCTACAAAACATAGGCACCCTCCAAAATACTGATAAACCATAAACTGTTACTACACCTCTCCTCACTTTCCATTTCACAGTACCTCTGTTGTCAGAATATCACTCCAAGAAATGCTGTAAAGTCTGTCAAGCACTGCTATTATTTTCTGAATTTCCTTGTTTTCCTTCATTACTGTCAACAGCACCATCATCTTCCTAATTACACAAGTTTGTACTTGTGCGATTTCATTTGGAGCAGTTTAATAAAGTCTACAAATGTGCATTTTTCAGAATGGTCTTTAATTCATGCCTATTTTATACCTGGACTATGTCAACAACCTATTTTCACTACCTTCACCTTCTCCAAGAGCCAATTAATTTTACACAGGAAAAAGCAGGTGGAGCATGTTCCCTGCTGGAAGCTCAGAAAAGTACATTTGATAATCCCTGGAAAGCTCTTTAGCTCAGTGTTAACTTAGCGTATAAGAAGTGCTCTTATTACTGCTATAATTGTGATATTCATTTTCTTAGACATGAAATGCAAGCTGTTAGCCATATAAAGCCTTCATAAAATAGACCCATTCCTTCAATCTTATTCACACTTCTGTCCCAGCTAAGCAAAACCTAGGCAATTGTCCACTGTTCAAGACTTGCTCCCTCCCATCTCAGTGCCTTTACACATGCTATTAATTTTGTGGATAGAATTTAATTTTCTATTAAATTATACTCAAACTCAAAATGCTATGTCTCTGCATGATACCTAGTGATTCAACCCCTTTGACCTAATTTTTAAATCAGTATCTTTTTCAATATTCAGAATAAGCTTGTCCAACCCACAGCCCAGAACAGTTTTGAATGTGGCCCAAGAAATTCGTAAACTTTCTTAAAACATTAAGAGATTTATGCATGGACCTTTTTAGCTTATCAGCTATAGTTAAGTGTTAGTGTATTTTATGTGTGGCCTGAGACAATTCTTCTTCCAATGTGGCCCAGGGAGGCCAAAAGTTTGGACACCCCTGATTTAGAAACATGGCTTACATGACAGTATAAAATGTAAAAAATGTACATATGCTTCATGTTTCTAGAAGTTTAAAGTCCTTTTTATTTTTTTGAGACAAGGTCTCATTCTATCACCCAGTCTGGAATGCAGTGGCACAATCATGGCTCACTGACGTCTCTAACTCCTGGGCTCAAGCAATCCTCTTGCCTTAGCCTCCTGAGTAGCCAGGATTACAGGTGGGTGCCAACATGCCTAGCTAATTAAAAAAAAAAAATTTTTTTTTGTAGACAGGGTCTTACTTTCTTGCCCAGGTTGGTCTTGAACTTGTGGCCTCAAACGATCCTCCTGCCCTGGCCTCCCAAAGTGCTGGGATTACAGGTATGAGCCACTGTGCCCAGCCTATAGTCCTTTTTAAATTGTTTTTAAAGCATATAACATTTACCATCTTTTTTTTAAGGGGTCTTGCTATGTTGCCCAGGCTGGTTTTGAACAACTGGGCTCAAGCAATCCTCTGGCCTTGGCCTTCCAAAGTGTTGGGATTACAGGAATGAGCCACTGAGCCTGGCCAAAATTTACCATCTTAACCACTGAGTGTACAGTTCAGTAGTGTTAAGTACATTCACATTATTGTGCAACCAATCTCCAGAACTTTTCATCTTGCAAACTGCAACTCTATACCCATTAAACAACAATTCTATTTTCTGCTTTTATGAATTTGACTACTTTAGATACCTCATGTAAGGGGAACCATATTGTATGGGTCTTTTTATTATAACTGGCTTATTTCACTCAGCATAATGTCCTCAAGATTCATCCATGTTATAGCATGTGTCAGAATTTCCTTTTTTAAGGCTTAGTAATATTTCATTCTATGTAGATACTGTATTTTGCTTATCCATTAATCCATAGATGCACACATAGGTTGTTTCTACCTCTTGATTATCACGAGTAGTGCTGCTATCAACATGGGTGTGCAAATTCCTCTTCCAGATCCTGCTTTCAACTCTTTTGGATATATCCAAAAGCGGGATTGCTGCATTTAGAGAGTAATTTTTTAAACTTTTTTTGAGGAATGGCCATACTGTGTTCCACAGGGGCTGAACCATTTTACATCTCTACCAACAGTGCCCAAGAAGTTTCTAATTTCCCTACATCCTTGCCAAAACTATTTTTTTTTTAATAGTAGCCATCATAATGGGTGTAAGGTTAGGTATCTCTTTGTGGTTTTGATTTGTATTTATCTAATGATTAGTGATCTTCAACATTTTTTTTTCTTTTGAGATGGAGTCTGCTCTGCCTCCAGGCGGGAGTGCAGTGGTGCGATCTTGGCTCAACCTCCCAGGTCCAAGCGATTCCCTTGCCTCAGCCTCCTGAATAGCTGGGACTACAGGTGTGCACCACCACGCCCAGCTAATTTTTTGTATTTTAGTAGAGACCGGGTTTCACCATGTTGGCCAGGATGGTCTCAATCTCCTGACCTCATCATCCACCCACCTCGGCCTCCCAAAGTGCTGGGATTACAGGCCTGAGCCACCACACCCGGCCTCAATATCTTTTCATATGTTTGCTGGCCATTTATATATCATCTTTGGAAAAATGTCTATTTAAGTCCTTGGCCCATTTTAAAATTCAGTTACTTTGTTGTTATTGAACTGTAAGAGTAGCTCTTTCTTTATATATTCTGGGTATTAGCCTCTTATCAAACACATGATTTATGAATATTTTCTCCCTTTCCATAGTTTGCTTTTTCACTCTCTTGTACTCTCTGATGCACAGAAAGTTTTAAGATTAATACAATCCTATTTTTTATTTTTGCTTTTATTGTCTGTGCTTTTGCTGTCATATCCAAGAAACTGCCAAACTCAATGTCATAAAGCTTTTCTCCTATGTTTTCTTCTAGGAGCTTTATAGTTTTAGGTCTTATCTTTAGGTCTTTAATCCATTTTGTGTTAATCTTTGTGTATGGTATAAGATATACAACTTCATTTTTTCACATAGGGATATCAGTTTTTCCCAACACTATCTGGTGAAGAGGCTATCCTTTCCTGACTGAGTCGTCTTGGCACCCTTGTCAAACACTGTTGGACCGTATAAACTAGTGTTTATTTCGGGGCTCTCCATTCAATTTCATTGATCTATATGTCTGTTTTGGCCAGTACCATACTATTTTGATTACTATAGCTTTGCAATAATTTTTAAATGCATTTTTTGAGAGCCACCCTTTTATTCCTTCTGTTTCAAACACTAAATCCTAACTTGACCTGACAAGTACCTACTTATCCTTCAGGTCTCAGATTTTATCCCTTTTGGGAAGTCTTCCAGGACCATTCCACCATTCCCCTAACACTCACATATACACCTCCTTCCTGTGAACTCCCATGACATGCTATACTTCCTCTATCATAGAACTTACCTTGCTTTATTGTAATTGAACTGTGACTCCAGGGGTGGTAATCGCTATAACAGAGAGACCTCATCTGTCATTTTAGCTCTCAAATCCCCAGCTCCTAGAAAAGTGCCTGACCCACGGTAAACAGTCAATAAACATTATAAAAATTGAATGACAATAGAATATTCTCAGTTGGTAAAAATAATGAATTAAGTGTATACATTGATTTTTAAAGTGCTAACATATATTAACTAAAAGAAGCAAGGCACAGAATAGTGTTTATAATATGCTATCATATTAAAAGAGGGAAAATATATATTAATTTGCATATGTACAATACATATCTGAAAGAACACACAACGAAACTAAACATTACTTCCTAGGAGACAGGTGGTAACTGGATGGATGAGGGCCCAGGAAAAGGAGTCTTTTCATCATACAGATATTCCTTGACTTATGGCTTATATCCACACAAACTCATCCTAAGTTGAAAATACCGTAAGTTGAAATGTATTCAACATTTCATTTAGCATTGCTGGGCTCAAGCAATCCTCTGGCCTTGGCCTTCCAAAGTGTTGGGATTATGGAAATGAGCCACTGAGCCTGGCCAAAATTTACTATCTTAACCACTGAGTGTATAGTTCAGTAGTGTTAAGTACATTCACGTTGATTCACTATAATTTACATCATTACTTAGCCTAGCCTACCTTAAATGTGCTCAGAACACCTATATTAGCCTATAGTTAGGCAAAAATCACCCAATATAAAGCGTGTTTTATAATAAAGTGTTGAATAGCTCATGTAATTTATTAAATACTATACTGGAAGGAGAAATCAAAATGGTTGTATGGATACTAGAAGTCGAGTTTTTATTGGATGTGTATCATTTTTGCACGAGTGTAAAGTTGAAAAGTCATAAAGTCAAACTACCATGATTTGGGGACTATCTGTATACTTATACTTTTAAAATCATGTGAATTATGCCCCATTTATGGTAATAAAGGGTGAATGAATAATGTCCCTAAAGAACATGAAATAGCAACTGTGTAAAATGTGGTATTTCCTCCTTTCATCTCATAATAAATAACAATAAATAAATAAATAAATAAAATCTGTATCTTAAGTGCTACGTCTCAACTCAGAATCATACCCCCCTCCCAAAGGACCATGGAGACTAAGAATTTGTCAAAGTGCTTGATTTGTTTGGTACATTAATTTTCAAGTGCATTTTAAGTTAATCTTTGAATATTCTTTCCAAAATCACAATGAGCTGTGTATATACTGCATACTGAGTAAATAGGTACTGTTTACGATTTAGATAGATATTCACATACTGGCTTCTAACATGGGTTTCAATGATCCTCACTTCCTGATATTCATGCTCTTGGGCAATTCCTTACCACATGGAATCACTGCTGGCCTGTGAGAATAATCAATATAACACTGCAGAAGTAAAAGGCCATAACAGACACTGTAGCTCCCACTTTGATATCTCTAGAATCACTCATTCTGGGGCAAGTTGGCCTCTATGTCATAAGGACACTCAAAGCAGACCTGTGAAGAGGCCCATGTGGGGAGGAACTACATCATTCCTCTAAAAGCCAGAAACAACTTGCCTTGCCAGTCATGAGTGAGCCACTTCGAAAGTGAGTTCTCCAACTGCAATCAGACTGCAACCTCATAAGAAACTCAAGCCAAATAACTTCCCTATCCCCTCTGACAAAAATTGTGTGAGATACTGTTTTAAATCACTACATTTTGAGATAATTTGTCATGTAGCAATAGATAACTTAACAACAGTTTATTCCCAAATAATATTTTCATTTTTTCAACCACAATCTCTGAAACTTAAAACATAATGAAAGTTATCAGATTACGTAAAATTGGCAGCCTCAAGTTATGGAATCAGGTAGGTTTGGGGAACAGTGCTTTGAGGACAGCCTTCCAAAAAATGTCAGAGGCCATATTTTGTTTCTGGAACCCCTCATTCAGGCTCAAAAGTGAACTGCTGGCCAGGTGTGGTGGCTCACACCTGTAATCCCAGCACTTTGGGAGGCCAAGGCGGGCAGATCACCTGAGGTCAGGAGATAGAGACCAGCCTGGCCAACATGGTGAAACCCTGTATCTATTTAAAAAATACAATAAAAATTAGCTGGGCATGGTGGCACATGCCCGTAGTCCCAGCTACCTGGAAGGCTGATGCAGGAGAATCGCTCGAACCCAGGAGGTAGAGGTTGCAGTGAGCCGAGATCATGCCACTGCACTCCAGCCTGGGCAAAAGAGTGAGAGTCTGTCTCAAAAAAAAAGAAAAAGGAAAAAAAAGTGAACTGCTACTTGGTGGTAATGCTGTATATAATATGGAAGTCATTCAAACACTTATTTCTTCCAAAATGTCAGAGACTAACTTTAAAGCAAGTACTGTACTATGTTCTATTTTTTCACAGGCCAGCAGGAGAAAAACCTCTCCAGGAAATTTTTAAACTGTTAAGCATGTATGGAAAAGCCACTGTGCCAGCTGCATCATTCTGAACAGAAGCAAAAAGCATAATCAGTGCTCTGCGATGGCATTTGGGGTATATAAAAAAATTCTAGCTATGTAGAATATTCGATAAAAATAACACATATTCTAAAGGTTTCAGGTAGCTGATACTTTATAGTACCTTTTCATAATATAATAGCACAATCAAAAGCAACTGAAAAATGTAGGGCTATTTACCTGTATAATTCAAAGGACTAAGATTGCAGTATTTTTATGATTTTCTGATTATAGTCAGCTGTCACTTCTAAATGATGACAATTTACCTATATTGCTTCTGTACTGCTCCCTTATTTTACAGTGAGAAGCAGGAAAGAAACCACTTGTTTGTGAAATAAATGCTATGCATCCAAGATGGCTCTTTACTTACTTCCAATTTTTTAGGTTGTATCCCAGAACCTTATATTAACAGGAATCTCACTCCACCCTGGACTACAGAGCCCCGTCTCAAAAACAAAAACAAAACCCAGGAATCTGACCTCTTGGTGAGTAGCAAATGATTGTGTGTACTGATAAACTTATCACCACTCAGGTTAATTTTTTTTTTTTGGAAACCGTTAACACCAAATGAAAGGGTCTATTTACTCAAGCTCTTTGTTCATGAACACGAAATAACAGCAAATGTTAGGCTCATAATATGGATATATGCCTATAAGTAACTCCAGCAACTTTAAATACAAAATGTATTTTACAAAATAAGAGCAGGGAATTTATTTTCCAGTATGTTCATACGAAACTCCTTCCACAGGAGAGTAGAAGGTGTCATCTCAGGAGGAAAAAGTCTAGAAATGTCTTCGGCAGGATTAAAATATAAAAATATAGCTATATAAAACTTAAGTGATGAGAGAAAAAACTAAAGGAGATAGGAGATTATTTTAACTTTATTACCTCATCTACTCATACAGGAGCTTTGCCAGATAAACATTATATTAACATTTCATCACTCCTGAATCAACAGTCATCACTTTGTCATATAACAGGTTCCCACTTGTTTTCTGATTTAGATTTTAGATTCAAATGTTTATCTTAAGGCTAATGTACCCTAGTAGGATGTAACATCAGTAACATTCAGAACATTTTTGAAAAAATAAAGACATATCTGATTCAAGAATATTATCTTTGTACTATTTTTTAAAGTAACTTTTTTTACTATATTTTTTAAGGTAATTGTAGTACACTTTTTAATTTACAATTAAGGCTTTGTTTCTCAATTATTGCACAGATAAAATTCTAAGGAATTTTCAAGCACTGATTAACTTAGTATCTACAAAAATTTGGGCCACCAAATGGAGACGTGGGATGATTTTATAAGATCCGAGGGCAGAGCTAAGTGACACTGAATTAAATGAGGAGGGGCCGGACACAGTGGCTCATGTCTGTAATCCCAGCATTTTGAGAGGCAGAGGCGAGGCGGATAACCTGAGGTCAGGAGTTTGAGACCAGCGTGACCAACATGGCGAAACCCTGTCTCTGCTAAAAATACAAAAGTTAGCCCGGTGTGATGGTGGGTGCCTGTAATACCAGCTAATCAGGAGGCTGAGGCAGGAGAATACCTTGAATCCGGGAGGCAGAGGTTGCAGTGAGCTCACTCCACTGCACTCCAGCCTGGATGACAGAGTGAGACTCCATTTCAAAAAAAAAAAGGTTACTTCCTCTTCATTCTCTTTCAGTTCCTCTGACTGTATCAAGAAGAAAGTCTCAGTTTGGTGCCAAGATGTTAACACCACTGAAATTCTTGCCAATCTCACTTTTAAACAAAGGGCAAGTTTTAGGCTTAGAGCCTCCTGCAGGCAATAGTTTCTAGTTAGAAATTAAGGGGACTTTGATTTTCATTATTTTTACGTATACGTCCACCTTCTGTTTATGGCAAGTGCCACCTGCTTTTTACTCAAAGTTATTCCAAGTTTCCTTTAAAATATTACTTTAATAATCACATTGATATAAAGAAATATTAATAACTAAACAGGAAGTATGCCAAACAGGAAGATATGGCCAAAATTTTGAAGATGATATCACAAAGACTGAAGTTGAGGAAATATTACATTAATCCATTTGGTCAACAAATAAGTGCCTGCTATATGTTTGCCACTGGGTTAGCCACCACAAAGAACAGAGAAGAATGATGAAAAAAAAAAATGTGAAAAGGAAAGTCAGAAGAGGAGGAAATTAATTCAAAATGAGGTAATCAAAAAAAGGTTCACAGGGTGGCATTTGAGCTAGGTCTTAAAGGTATAATTTAGACACTCAGAAACAGAAGAACATTCTCAGAGAGTAAAAGTATAACTATATGTGCCTGAGTGGTGGCATCTTCCAAATCTTGATTGTGGTGGTAGCTACACGGGTGCATATATATCTACTAAAACTTATTGAAATGTACACTTAAATGAATGTACATCAGTATATATAAATTTTTCCTTAATAAATTTGATACTATATAATTGACCAATGCAATGAAAGGTCATTGAGATTTCAGGCTTGGATAGCTTGGAGAGGAGGAAGTAAATACAATAAAGGAAAAAGGGAAACCGCCAGTTAAAGACAAGGGTATCATATTTTCATACAATTCTCAATAAAAACTGTTAACTATTACACAAAAAATATTAGCTTTATATTTCTACTTAATAGTTTTATTCCAGGGAGATAATTTACCTGAATTAACGCTTATCTATTAAAATTACATGTTCTCTTCCCACCTCTCCTATCTGCAAGCAAAATTGTGCATTAACAGCATTCACCCTAAGAAAGTAATAAAGAATGAACAGAATATCCACACTGGTGGTGTACTAGTGACACTTAACAGACTTTAGCAAAACAGTTTAAGATTGTGTTCAGCACACATCCTGTTTGTAAAGCAATTTAGAAGTAACTGTCTCAAAATTTGTGTTTTAGCCTTTAGCTCTTTTCCATGATATAAGCTCTTAAAATAGGTAGTTATTACACAGTAAGCACATTTTGGGTGGCTTCTACCATAATTTCATTTTAGGAATGCATGACTATAAGGAGAAATCATCACAGCAAAAGTGATGCCATTATCAACAAGTCTTCACTTGTTGGAACCTCAAAATGCCATTTTGAATAAAATCAATAACTACACTCCACCATCAAATTCAAAACATGAATTATGGTTTTAAAAAAGTCAAAAAACCAGAAAGAATAAGATAAGTCTTCTGCCAATAATTAAAGCATTAAGACTCATGGGAACTTAAGTGTATCATTAATATTTTACTAAGAAAAATATAATTTTTTTTATACAAGTGAGTTGCCACTAGATCTTCATGCTCCAAAAAGTTTAAAATGACAGCCAAAAAATAAGCCTAATGCATGGACCTTTACAGTTGAAGAGGACTCAGCTTAAGTACAGCAGTTTTTAAATTTATATTCTATGTAATTATATTCTAAGAGTTGTTAACCATTTGGCCATGAGAAAATAGATCAGGTAAATTTGGGAATGCTAGGATAACCTTCTGGAGATTTACATGTATCAGCATAACAGTAAAGGTTTTGAAGAGTCCTGCCTTTATAAGCAAAAAAGTTAAACCTAGTTTAACCTAGTGTGCTCCCAAATTATTTGCCATTGAACACTGCTTTGGGGAAAGTAAGCCTATTAAATGGTTTTAGAACACTGTTCTGGGGGAAACATCAGTTTGGAAAACCCTGGTCTTTTCAAATTTCCTTAAACAATGACAAAACCGAAGCCTGGAGATCACACCTGGTTAGTAGCAGATTAAAGCACTTGAATCTAATCTCTTCATTCCCAGGCCAGAGCTCACTCCTTTACTTTAACTACAAAATAGGACTTCTTTGAATGTATACAAACATTTAACTGACAACACTTACCTTACATTTAAGATTTGGGTTATGGTGTCACATTTTCTGGTTTGTGTATTAAATCAGGTGTTTTTAGTTCCTTCAGCACTAGGTACCTAATAATCAAGCCCACGTGGAGATTTGCTACTGCTTAACAATTACAGAGAATGATTTAGTTATCAGTTGTGGCCGAAAGTAATCACTAAAATAAAGCATTTAGACTACTCGTGGTTTTAATTTACTCATAACTTCAGTCGGCCCACCTAAATCACTGTGTTATCTATCAGGTGGTGAGTTACTTAGCACATAATGCCGACGTATGTTATTCACTGTAGACCATATTAATACCCACAAACAAAATTAAAATGTGAGAACTTATGTCTGCATAGACAATGGCCAACAACATCAAAACAGATTTTTCTCTCTCTACAGTTCAGGGCCTATTTGTCAGGCAAACAGTTTCCTACATTTTTGGTAATTATCATTTTTTTTGACTGCTTTAGCTGGAGTCGAAGTCATTTTCCCAATCTTTACATTTCTCAAACGCCATAGAACTCTAAGATAGTGTAAAAATGTTCAAACACAATTTACTTAGCTTAAGAAAAATAGTTGTGTGCCATTCCCCGCCCCCCTCAGGGTACAGGAATGGAGGAGGCCCGAACAAGTGACTATTGTTATGTTGCAACTTTAAAAGGCTTAGGAATCAAAGGTGATAATTGTTAACAACACCCGTTTGACTCTTCTGACTTCCTCTTAATAAACTTCGGTACTCCTTTCTAAGCCCCACGGAGAACATGAACCATCGCGGGCCTACGTGTCTCCTCAATGCTAAAAGAACCCACCAGCCGAGAAGGCACAACGCCTCGATTCCTTCAACAAAGAGGGTACTCCGCACGCCTCCATCGCACAGGTGCGACCTCTGCCCCAGCCTTGCGCACCGCTCCGCCCCAGCAGGGGAGGCTCGGGACCTGTCCCCGGCTCCCCGGCCCCGCCTCCGGCCTCCCTCACCTGGGGCCGCCCTCGCGCCTCTGCCCGGCCCAGGCCCCGGCCCCAGCCCTGGCCCTCCAGTCCCCGCGCAGCTCCCGACTCCCCGTAAACCAGAGGGCGGCCGACCAGCTTCGCAGCTCCTGGCGGGGCCGGAGCGGCAACACCCCCGACGCCACAGCAGTCAGACTCGCAAGGCGTCCCCGCGGCTCAGGACCTAGCCGGGCCGAGAAGGATGCTCGGAGCCGGCTACCAGCCTAGCGGCCGCACTGGGGGCAGGGACGCTTTTACCTGCTGCTGGCTCGGCCGCTTCTCGCCGGCGCAGCTCTCCTGGCAACCACGGCAGCTACACCGAGACCGGGAGCCGAAGGGCCTAGTGACAGCTCCCAGAGTGCACCGTGCTCGCGCCCACGCCGGCGTCGACGTCTGAGGCCTTCGATCCCCGCCCCCGATCGGCTTCCTGCCTCCCGGCGCTAGCTGTTGCCACAGCGCCCTCAAGTGGACTGTCGCGGGAAGCGGCCATGGCTACCAATTTCAGGAGTGGCTAGAAAGGGGGTTAGCAGATGTTTTCATTTGAAGAGATAATAGGAACTGAAAACAGCTTTTAAATATTATTTGAATAGTTTCTCAATATTTCATATGAGTAACCTGCATCCCAGAGAGGTTAGGAGACTTGTGAAGTTAGGAGACAAGTAGTTGGTGTCAGATTTGGAACTATTTTGAGTCTAGAGCTCTATCAATCATATCTAGTTACTCCAAGGTAAATTGCACCGTTTTGCCAACACCATACCGTAAAAAAATGAAAGTTTTTACAAATACGTAACTAAATATATAAAAATCTTTTAAGCTAACAAAACAATTATAAAGAGTAAGTTGTGCTACGGAAGTTGTATATTTCAATATAATGTGTCAATATTTAAGCATTCAATAGCCTCGGGTACTAAAGGTGGAAGATATGAAGAGTTGAAATCATCATCCTTCAAATAGATGAATTATTTGAGACCAAATAATAGTAAACTTTATTTTTTTAAGTGAGTTGTTGCTTCCATCTATAACTTCAAATTATTGTGATAGATATAATAATTTGTGCATCAACATAATAAACTTTAATCACCCCAAATACTGATTTTAGAAAAATTGTCAAGCTATTATCTTAAAATATATGACAGGATTTATTTATTTAGAATTTATTTATGGTTTAGGCTGGGCATGGTGGCTCACACCTGTAATCTCAGCACTTTGGGAGGCCAAGGTGGGCGGATCTACCAAAAACAGAAAAATTAGCCGGGCATGGTGGCGCGTGCGCCTGTAATCCCAGCTACTCGGGAGGCTGAAGCAGGAGAATCGCTTGAACCCAGGAGGCAGAGGTTGCAGTGAGCCGAGATCGCGCCACTGCACTCCAGCCTTGGCGACAGAGCGAGACTCCGAAAAAAAATAAATAAATAAAAGCAGCTCCTTGTTTTTAAGAAGCCCTATTGTAATTCTACCCGGTCTTATATTTTAATAGTTCTTCATTATAAGTATTTACATTATACCAGGTTCTTTACTGTGTCAAACTTTTCAAAACTATCTTCTGGTAGTAAACTTCTCCAACTTCTCTTAGTTTTTACTTTTGTGAAAGTGAATAGTGGAGCTGTACATACGTAATCATTCTCATCTTCCTTTTTTACCCCCTAAAAAATGGTTAGTCCTGATAGACTTCAGCCACACTCTTCTGCATTAGGTAACAAAGAACTTCCTTATATTTTTGCACCTGTTTCAATTTTGGAGCTATCCTGTCTAAGTTGAGAAGCAATGGCAAGTCAATTCTTGAAAATTTTGTCGCTTTAGATAGAGGCTAACAAACGACCCTTGTTCATAAAGAGACCAAGATAAAGTGGGTTTGGGGCCGGGAATTCTGTTCTTGCATCTCCTGGGGACAAAGCCCACCTGTAACACTTGCCTCCATCATCTCCCTCCCTTCGAGCTAGCCAAAGGTGTGAACCCTGGGTCTGATTTTTATGGTCATTTCCAGGGATGCTAACGCGCCAAGTCACGCTCATAAGAAGCAGAGTGGGGCGATAGCTAGCCTCTCGCCGCCCACCTTTCTCAGCACTCTGGGCCAAAGCCTGGTTTTGAAAATGCGCGCCCCGCCCCGGCCTCCGGGGTCACGCGCCTTCTCGGTGGTGCACTCTCCGGCCGGCAGGTGGCGCTGTGAGCTGGTAGGCGGCGCCAGCCCTGCGATCTGGCACAGGCGCCTGCGCCGCAGCGGGGCTGCCGCTGGTTGGTCCGCACGTGGAACCTCTCCTGGTCCTGTTGACCCGGGCCCCTCGGAACCTCCAGCTTGGTCCGGTCTGGGACTGGAAGCCTGCCATGGCGGCTTCTGCGGCGGAGACGCGCGTGTTTCTGGAGGTGCGGGGACAGCTGCAGAGCGCGCTTCTGATCCTGGGGTAAGAACTGGGATTCTAGGCGCAGTGCCCAGCTCGCTTTACTGCTGCCCGGGGGTCGGGGGCTGGTGAGTCTCTCTCTGTACGAGGGATTTTGAGTTTCTTCTTTCCAGTTGCGTAGAGCCTCTCGATCACTCAAAGTGAAGCTTTCCCCTGTAGTCGGCTCCGCCACTCCCACCCCTACTGACAGTGTGGGTATCTTTGGGGAGCTTTTTAGAAATTCAGGGTCTCAGCTCCACACCAGACTTATGGAATCAAAACTTATATTTTAACAAGATTTCCAGGAATCAAATGCACATTAAAATTTGAGGAACAGTGATGTAAAACACTGTTGGCAGTGCCCGGCGTTTCCAACAAAACAATGCAAAAAATGATTTGTCTGTCTCTCTTCGGGATCCTCCTTACTGGATCAGTTCCTATGTGAGCTTCTTGTTTTGTAAATAACCTCGGGTCTTTTCGTCCAAAACTGCTCTTTGCAGAGAAACCACACAATCATTCAATAAACGTGAGTTTAGTGAACCACTAAGACAGGTTGTAGACTTCTTACTGGAGCTCGTTCATTTATTCATATTCTTCCTTCCAGTGAGAACGTCAAACTTGTTATTCGCTACACAAATAACTTTTAGGAAAAATGTTCTCTATTTTGTTTGACAGCAGTTTTAATGATTTGTGGTCCCCTTGTCTATTCCTTTGTGATCGCTGTTTCAAAGAGAGTAAGTTAGAAGTTAAAATCCTGAGAATGGTATTACACGGTGCCACAGGTAGATTGATGCTTAATTTTTTCCTCTTCCCTAAATCTGCCAGATATCTGGTGTGGCAATTTGGAATATGGCGTGAGAACTGAGTTCAAATGCTAGCTTCCTCACGAAATTAGAATAATTTAATCTGAATTTCTTCAATCTTGAAATGGGAATAATAGTACTCTGAATGTATTTCTTTTTCTCTTTCAAAATTTATGAATTTGGACAAATATCTCCAATTCTGGTGCACCTTGTAGAGTAATTAGGAACCCAAACCCTACCAAAATAAAACAAAAACCACACACACACAACAAACCCTCCCTTCCTCTCATGCAGGGGCCTTTCACAGTTCCCTTGGACTACTCTCCTTTGTTTAGGCAAGGTACCCGGGTGGCTCATGCCTGTAATCCCAGCACATTGGGAGGCTGAGGCGGGCGGATCACGAGGTCAAGAGATCAAGACCATCCTGGCCAACATGGTGAAACCCTGTCTCTACTAAAAATACAAAAATTAGCTGGGTGTGGTGGCGCGCACCTTTAGTCAGTCCCAGCTACTCAGGAGGCTGAGGCAGGAGAATGGAGTGAACCCGGGAGGCGGAGGTTGCAGTGAGCTGAGATCGCGCCACTGCAGTTCAGCCTGGCAACAGAAAGAGACTCCGTCTCAAAAAATAAAAAATAAAAAGAAAAAAAAAGAAACCTAACTTTGCTGGACTTAGTTTTGCCATTTCTTGAACTACTTATAAATGGATTCATACAATATATACTTTTTTGTTTCTGGCTGCATTCCTTCCATAATATTTTTCAGATTCACGTTCCATCTATGTGGCTGCATATATCAGTAGTCCATTCCTTTTTCTTGCTAAGTTTTCCATTGTATGAATATACCACAATTCATTTATCTGTTCTCCTATTGCTGGATGTTTTTCTTGTTTCTGGAGTTTGCTTATTATGAATACAGCTGTCATAACACTGTTGTATAAATCTTTTTTTGGACATACATTTTCATTTCTTTTTAGGTAAGTACCTAAGAGTGAAATTTCTGGGTCATAGGATAGATGTGCATGTTACTTTGTGAGAAATTGCCAAACAGTTCTCCAAAGTGATTGTACCAGTTTGCACGTTCAACCAGAAAAAAAATGAGTTTCAACTACTTTACATTTTGACTTACATTTAGTATTATCAGTCCTTTTAGTTTGAACCATTCTAGTGTGTGTAAAATAGTATCTTGTGGTTTTAATTTTCATTTTACCGATGACTAATAATGTTGAGTGCCTTTTCACTTGCTTTTTAGCAATTCATATATGTTCTTTTTAAAAGTATCTTCTAATTTTTTTTGCCCATAATCAGATTATTTGTCTTGTTTAATTGAGAGTTCTTTATACTGTCTCAAAACAAGAGCTTTCTCACATAAATGCCTTGTGAATATATGACTATTCTTATCTGTGACTTAACTTTTCATTTTCTTTTCTTTTTTTTTTTTTTTTTTTTTTTTTAGACAGCGTCTTGCTCTACTGCCCAGGCTACAGTGCAGTGGTGTGATCATGGCTCACTGCAGCCTCAACCTCCTGGGCTCAAGCAATCCTCCCACCTCAGCCTCTGGAGTAGCTGGGATACAAGTTGCATGCCACCATGCCCAGCTAATTTTTGTATTTTTTTGTAGAGATAGGGTTTCACCATATTGCCCATGCTGGTCTTGAACTCCTGGACTCAAGCGATCCACCCACTTTGGACTCCCAAAGTGCTGGGATTACAGGTATGAGCCACCATGCCCTGCCTCGTTTTTTTGATAGTGTCCTTTGATGAACAGAAATTTTAATTTTAATGAAGTCCACTCTATCGTTTTTTTATTCCTTAAGGGTTAGTTTTTTTGGTGTCTTAAATCTTTGCCTACCTTAAGGCTGTGAAGATGTTTTGGCAGGTTTATTTTCTAGGAGTTATATCGTTTTAGCTTTCACATTTTGATCTGTGATCATGTTGAATTCATTTTTGTGTTTGCAGTGAAGTAGGGATCAAAGTTCTTTTTTTGGTATAAGGATATTCATTTATTCTATCACCATCAGTTGAAAAGGCCATCATTTCTCCCATTAAAATAACTCAGTCTTCATGAGAAATCAGTTGACTATACTGTTTGCATAGTGTGTCCTTTCTACCTTTTTAACCTTTCTTATGTCTTTCTGTATAAAGCAAAAAGCTGTAAAAATACTGTATTTCCCTAAAAATAGCATAAAACTGTATGCTAGTTTTAAAAATATATAGTTGGGTGATTTTAAATCTGTTCTGATGATCTGTGTGTTCTAATTAAAATGTTTAGTATATTTTATAGTTAATTTAAATATTGGTGTTCTTGTTCCTAACTGCTATGGTTTGGATGTGTTTTGTCCCTATGTTTTCTCACTTTGATCCCCAATGTGGCAGTGTTGAGACATAGGGCCTAGTGGGAGGTGCGTGGTTCCTGAGGGCAGATTCTTCTTGAATAGATTAATGCCCTCCCATGGAGATGGTTGGGTGAGTTCTCTCTCAGGAATGGATTAATTCCTGCCATAGTGGGTTGTGAAAAAGAGTCTGGCTTCCAAAGTTTACATTCACAGATGTAAAGATCTATTTATATTAAGATATCTTAGCATTTTGGGATAAACTTTGGCCATTCATTTATTCAATCCACAGATGTTTATTGTGTTCTTACTCTAGTGCCAAAAATTCAAATTCTAAGTGCTGAGAATACAGCCATGAACAGTAACAACAGCAAAGACAAAAACACCTGCCTTTGTTGAGCATAGGGTTTAATGGTGGCAGTAGAGAAGAGGCGGCAGAGAATATACAAAATAAATATATATTTGATAGAAGTGGAGAAAAAAATTAAACAAAAAAGGAATGGGGAGAAAAAAGTTACAATCTTTTATTTCAAATGAGAAACTAACATTTGAGTATTAAACTGTAACTGGTGAGGTGTAGAACTGCCATACCTGGTGGGAGACAATTTCCCTTTGAGAGAAAGTGAGTATGAAAGGGTGCCTAGTTCAGAGAGATGCGGGTGAGTTGGGGGAACACATAGTAAAAGATCTTATGGCAGTGTGCTGGTACATGTTTAATAACCTACTCTCCATGAAAATAAACAAAAAGACAAACTAAGGTCTTGATTTGAAGCATTTGTTGATTTCTTTGGTGTGAATACTTTCACCACGTATGACCTTCAGCCTACCAACTGGGTGAGGTGAGTTGACCTGCTTTGCAGAACTCCTAGAATTTTAACAACAGGTTCTCCAAAGCTTGTAGCAGCAGGGCCTGCTATACCACTGTGCCTTATGGACCATCGAAAGGACTTTAGCTTGTAGTTAGAGTGAGAGATGAAGTCATTGGATAGTTTTAAGCAGTTGTGATACCTGACAGAATACAAGTCAATGGTGAAGAAAGCCTCAAGTATGAAATTATTGTATGAACTATGTCAATCAAACTTAGTCTTAAAGTAGGAATTCTCCTAAAGAACCATCATCCAACACTCACAATTGGGAAATGTGTTGCTACCATCTTACATCATTCATGTTTTACCAGTTGTCTACATAATATCCCTAATAACAGAAGAATCCAGTTCAGAATAAGGCATTGCATTTCACTGTCATGCTTCCTCTGTCTGTTTCAATCTAGAAGAGTTCCTCATTTTCCATTGACTTTCATGGTCCTGACACTTTGCAAGATGATAGTACAATCATTTTGTAGAATATCCTTCCATTTGGATTTGTCTTATGTTTCTTCAAGACAAGATTCAGATTTTGCATCTTTGGCAGGAATATAACAGAAGTGAGGCTTCCTGTCAGGTGGCACATGATTTTGCTTTGTTCCATCAAATTGGTTATGTTAACTTTGAGCACTTAAAGTAAGATAGTGTCTGCCATGCTTCTCTACCTTAAAGTTACTCTTTTTCTCTTCATAATCAGTAATTGGAGAGGTATTCTGAGATTATGTAAATACCCTGTTCCTCATCAGAGTTTCATTTTATTCATTTGTGTGTCAGTAAGGATACATGATTCTTACTGTGGGTTACTCAGTGGGTTTTATTTTTTATTTTATTCAATGGGCTACTTTTTTGTTCATATTATACCAGATGTGGCCAAGGAAGTCCTTTCTGGATGGTTTCTGCGTCTTTTTTGGTAGGTACCTGTCATTCTTTGATTTCTTCATGTTCCAGCAACATGTTCCAGGCATATTTCATTCTTTCCCTGTTACAGCCCTGGATGTAGTCATTTTACTGAGGAACTTTGTTTCTGGTTTGTTCATTTCGTTTTTTAAAGCAGAAAATGGCCTTTACAAACCAAGATCTGGGCACTAAGTGTACTCATCACTGTTGGATGTCGCTTCTCCCAGAACTAGGGTATGTGTGTATGACTTATATATGATGTCTATGTATGGTTGTGCCTACATACCTATGTACATACATGCATTTACAACCATCAATATTACTGTATCTATTTGTAAACATTGAAAACCATGACTTCACACAGGTATTTCTAATTCTGCCCCACCACCATAGGGTCTATTCTAGTTTCCTCGCTTTCTCTTTTTGTAACTCCATTCTCCCACAGTGAGAATCATGGCCCTCATTGTCCTAGTGGCATTTATTTATTTTGTCAGTCTCCCTCTATGTAATTAATAGTCTGCTGGCATCCTTTGCCACCTCCCCCTGCTCATTGTTGACACTCTCCTCACCTGCTTGGACCCTGTTATGGACTGAATGTTTGTGTCCCCTCAAAATGTACATGTTGAAGCCCTAACCCCCAAAGTGATGGTGTTAGGAGATGGGGCTTTGGGAGGTAGTTAGATTTAGATGAGTTCTTGAGGGCGGGGCCCCCCTGATGAGATTAGTGTCCTTATATGAAGAGGAAGAGGCACTGAACTTCCTTACTCTGCCATGTCTGTTGTTTAAGCCACCCATCTATAGTATTTTGTTATAGCAGCTGAGCTAAGACAGGCTCTGAAACCCCATCCTGAGCTGGCCTCACCTCCTGTTCAGATTTCCTCCTCACCTGTCTTGGGATTTGACACCCCTGCTGAGTGGTCCTCCTGGTGGATGCCCTCCACAGCCTGCTTGGTTTCTCATATCCATGCTGGGCCACTGTGTCACCACCCTTGCACTGATGCCTCCCTTGCTTGGCCCTATGGATGCCCTCCACAGTCTGCTTAGTTTCTCAAATCCGTGCTGGGCCACTGTGTCACCACCCTTGCAATGATGCTTCTCTTGCTTGGCCCTATAAAATGACTAAAGTTTTTGGGACTGGGAAGAAATGTGATAAACCAGAGATGGGGTGGCAATGGGGACTTAGGAACCCAGTGGTATCTCTTGCGGCACTTGGAAGTGTCAACTCTACACAGTCTAGTTTGAAAGTCATTGAGGTAGCAAATGGACATTGTGTTATCTTTAGAGCAGTGGTCAGAGAACTATGGCCCATTGGCCAAATCCTACCTGCAGCCTGTTTTGGTACAGCCTGTGAGCTAAGAGTTGGATTTTTCTTCTGTATCTTTTTTTCTTTTAGACAGGTTCTTGATCTGTCGCCCAGGCTGACATGCATTGGCGTGATCATGGCTCACTGCAGCCTCCTGGGCTTAAGTGATCCTCCCCATCTCAGCCTCCTGAGTGGCTAGGACTACAGGTGCGTGCCACTATACCCAGCTGATTTTTTATTTTTTATTTTTTTGTAGAGCCAGAGCCTTGCTTTGTTGCCCAGGCTGGTCTCAAACTTCTTGGCTCAAACCATCCTCCCACCTCAGCCTCCCAAAGTGCTAGGATTAGAGGAGTGAGCTACCTCGACCTGCTGATTTTACATTTTTTAAGGGTTGTTTTTTAAAAAATAAAAAGTATAATATGTATTCTACTTTGAGACCATACATGGCTCATAAAGCCTAAAATATTTACTATCTGGTCTTTCACAGAAATAAAGTTGCTGACTCTTGTTTTAGAGGATCATTATTTCTTAAACACCATTTCTTGAAATTGAACTTTTGACTCAGGTTTGAAACTGTCATCCCTGCAAAAAACTCAGATGCTTAATATTCTGTATTGCTAACTAAGTGCAGATCCATATGCTTTGAAAAGGAACTAGCCAGAAAGTAGCTATAAGATTTTCTAAGGCAGATTTCTAAGGCCTAACCAAGATCCACACCTGAGCACATGGTCTACCCTCTGTACTCAGATGACACTCAAGCAAATGGCTTGCTGTCTGCACTTAGTTGACACCATGTGGATGACCTGCTGTCTGCACTTAAGAGGGAGCCATGGTACTTTGTACCTCTGTTGCATTGCTAAGCGTATTGCAGTTTCAGAGGAGGGTCATTTCCATAGATGCCTTTATCCCCTCTATACTTTTGATGCCTGGGGGCTTTTGACAGGGACTGTGTTTTACTCTTTATTGCCTATACTGAGTAATTTGTGTTTGCTCTGAATTGGATTAGTAAGTCCTTTCACACCTGATATTCATACATCACTGTATCGTTTTCTTCATTAATTCTTTTTATTCTTAAAATTGACAGGTTTTTGTCTTGTATCATTGTTTCACTGAATCTTGGTCTCTTTATTAAAATCTTGTATATGAAATAACAGTACTTTGCTCTGATTTACTATAAAACATTATTTTAGTGCTCTTCTCAGAAGGAAGAACCAAAAATCTGTCCCAGGACTTGCATATTATGGTGATGGTGAAGGGCACTCTGATCAGATCTAAATCTAGTGTAGGTTGCTTTCCTTTATGATCTGCTTGCTGCTGTTTTTCTGGGGCAGTGACTTTAGAGCTCCTATTGAAGAGGAAGAAAGAGATCCTTGGCCATTTTTGTTTCTTTCATCATGTGGTTTTCATTGTGAGAAATAATTTGTTTGGGTTTTGTTTTTAATTACCAGAGAACCGAAAGAAGGAGGTATGCCCATGAATATTTCCATAATGCCATCTTCACTCCAGATGAAAACCCCTGAAGGCTGCACAGAAATCCAGCTTCCAGCAGAGGTCAGGCTTGTACCTTCCTCTTGCCGTGGGCTACAGTTTGTTGTTGGAGATGGACTGCACCTGCGACTGCAGACGCAAGCAAAATTAGGCACAAGTGAGTAATATTAGCACTTCTGCTGCTGTATTTACCTTTTTGTTATAAACCAAAGGTGATTTTTCCTTTGATAAGTTGAACTTTTCCCAGGTGAAGGGGTTGAGAAGCTCTAGGGTCTTTGTCAGCTCTGCCAGTTATTGGCTGTATGCAATTGAACATGTTACTTAACCTTTCTGAGGCTTCTTCCCTCCCTCCCTTCCTTCTTTCTTTTCCACCCACAGCAAAATTGAGCAGAAAGTATAGAGATTTCCCATTTACCCACTGCCTTGTTTCTTTAATTGTAAAATTTTCTGGCTCACAGATGGGAAGATTAAATCAGATGGCAGTTGTATAAGACCTGATTGATTTTAAAGCATTACATGGAAATTTATTCATTCAACAAATATTTTGGTTTGTGCTATGTGCTAGGCATCAATCTAGGTTCTGGGGATACAGAGTGAACAAGGTAGGGGAGGTGTCTGCTCTCATGGAGCTTACATTCTAATTGGTGGGAGCAGATAATGAGCAAACAATTTAAATATTAAGAAAAGTGTTATGATAATATAAAACAGAATAATGGGATAGGGAGTGACTAGGGTTGGCTGAAGGATGATCAGTGAAGGCCACTCTGAGGAGGTAATGTTTGACCTGAGTCCTGAATAAGGAAATCCTATCCATGTGGGGACTGTTCCAAATAGAGAAAACAGTACACAAAAGGTCCTACAGTTGAGTTTGATACTTAATTTGATTTTAACTTTTACTATGCCTGTTATATTTACAACATTTTGTAACTGGTATAATGATTCGGTAAGGCAGTGGAAAATTTGCTTTTTCTAAGACCTCAGGGTTATTTATTGTATAAAATTATTGGTTCATTACATCTATTACAATGTACGTAATATATGCTTTGGGGGATTAAAATTATGTCAAAGGGGGAAATAGGCTGTAAAAGACTTATGTGATGTTTATTATCAGAGAAAGATTGTAATTCTTTCAGCTGCACACTGACACTTCGCTGCTGCCTCATCTGTAATAAACCTTTCATCTGCGCTGTGTGGATCCTGGAGATGGGGTCAGGAGGAGTGTTTGGAAGAGCCATTTAGGAGATGTTGAGTATTCCCCTGAGTCTGTGCTCTTGGCTTTTGTGAGGAAAGAGAAGATAGAGAGGGTTTCATTTCTTTTTTACTGGAGAGCAATTTTTGCTCAAGTCCTGGGTTAGTGAATAACTAGTTTGAGTTGGGCAGGGTTAGTTTTAGGAACAAAGGGTAGGGAAAAGAGATGTCATGGCACTTAAATGTTGTAGGATAAATACTAGGAATGACTGTTGGAATAACCATAGCAAGAAGGTTAGGGTCACCGAGCTGGGAAGTAGACTCCCTGATTGCACCTAATAATGGGCAGAGAAAGTGTTGTTTCAGGGAAGAGGCCATGGGAGGCTGGATGTTGTGTTGTCATCACCTTCTCCTTCACAACAGTTACCTCTTTCACAAGAGTAACCACAGCAGGAATTTTGTGTTGGGTTCTGAGATTTGGGAAAGGCAAGCATGAAAGCCACAGTGGAGTGTTTTCTGGGATTGTGATTTTAGAGATGGAGGAATAGAGACCACCAGGGACATAGTATTGGGTTTTTGCCCATCCATATTCTGTATTCTGTAACTGAATATACAAATATCAAAACTGGAATTATTTTTAAAAATTTAAATCTGCAAACATTGTTTAAACTATAGGACAAAATAAATTGACTGCTATGTGCTGATTTGCATATTGTTTGTGTTCACTGGTCTCCTATTTCTTTACACTTTTAATATATTTTGCTCAAATATCTGAAAAGGAAAATTATCAAAGTCCTGTTCCATAGTGCATGAAAGAGTATGCAAAACAGATTCCTCAGCACTTAATTGCCTGAGTGCTTTCCATATAATAGATGGTGTATAAATATTTGTGGAATGAATAAATATGAATAGATATGTACTGGTGTGAACTTGAATCAAACTGTTTTGTAGGAAGTGACTTGAAAGTTTTAGCCTTCAGTTTGTGTTTCAGGGTTTTTTAAAAAGATGACTTTTCAATGCTAAGAACACCCTTTTAAGGACAACTATAGTAAACATCATACTGGTATACTGCTATTTTGAGTGTCAAACTGTGACCCTCGGTGTGGAACTAGCTACAGTAGGATCTATTAGAGCACACGCATTAGATTGATCCCCCGCAGCAACGCTCTCCCAGGATTCCTCTATATCAGAAACTGAATTTTAAACCCGACCCAGTGCATCATGCTGGGTGGCCAGCAGAGGGTAGTGTTTCACTGAAAATTTGTTTGTGGGTCTGGAAAAAATATTTTGGATTCCTAGGTCTCCTTTTAATCTGCTCAAAGTTAAAGAATAATACTGTTTATTGCACCTTAGTGCTATAGGGATTTCTGGCCACCCCTTAAAAACTGTTAAGATTTTTAATTGCCAAGGCGTAAACCTTCTAGCATCAGTTTTTTAAAATCTTAAAATACATACAGAAAAACACAAACCAAATCCACATTGCTTGATTCTGATGGATATGACCTCATTTCTTTAATTAGATTTTTATAGACATATTTTAGTTCATTCTTTTAAATGAAAGTTTCCTTATTTCATAAAAGAAATAATAGAAACTAAGGGAACATGCGGCCTTATGCTGCTCTTTCCCATAGTGTGAGAAATATACATTTTTCCCCACAGCTTTCAACGTTTTACCATAGCTTTCATTAGAAATTGATTTTTGATCTGGGAAAACTGGACTCTTTTTGGAGCCATTTCATTCCCAGGGAGGTGTCCAATAAACATTAGTTTGAGATCTTTGTTTGTTCATATGGTTATATGCTAGACTGGACATAAACCTTATTTAAATAAAATTAAACTCAAAGTTGGCTGGGCACGGTGGCTCACGCCTGTAATCCCAGCACTTTGGGAGGCCGAGGCAAGGGGATTACGAGGTCAGGAATGCAAGACCAGACTGGCCAAGATGGTGAAACCCCGTCTCTACTAAAAATACAAAAATTAGCCAGGCATGGTGATGGGCGCCTGTAATCCCAGCTACGCGGGAGGCTGAGGCAGAGAATTGCTTGAACCCAGGAGGCAGAGATTGCAGTGAGCC
This sequence comes from Homo sapiens, assembly GCF_000001405.40. Lineage (NCBI taxonomy): Eukaryota > Metazoa > Chordata > Mammalia > Primates > Hominidae > Homo > Homo sapiens. The sequence goes on along the minus strand of NC_000006.12, from coordinate 83,054,720 downwards.
CAGGTTGCGCCACTGCACTCCAGCCTGGGTGACAGAACAAGACTCCATCTCAAAAAAAAAAAAAATTAAACTCAAATTTAAGAGCTCTATTTGTTCACACTGATGAAACACTATTGTGAGACACAGCAGAGGGAAGCTGAGAATGTTGGAGATCTGTGTAGTTAGCTTGATGAGAAGGAAATAGTTCTTTTTCACTCATCCTTAATGTTGGTATTTTTAGAATGAGAGAACTAACAAATGCTACATGCGTAATCTAGAGCAGTACCTGTCTCTGGAACACTTAGCAAAATCTGTTGTTTTCAAAAACACTTCACAATATTTGCTTCTGCTTGAGTCATCAGATAGTATTAATTAAATGTGTACTTCTGGGTGGATCATAAACTGTTTATGGATGGTAATTTATCGTGGCTATTGAACTGTTTAAGTATGTTAATATATTTGTTTCAATCTCTAAGATTAGCTATTTCATTGACTTCCTTTAGAACTGATTTCAATGTTTAATCAAAGCTCGCAAACCCAAGAATGTTGCACGTTTTATTGCCAATCCTGCGGTGAAGTCATAATAAAAGACAGGTAAGGAATATATTTAACACTGATTAATTCTGTGCCTGGCAATGGTTATCTCTTTTTCTATCAGAATTTTTCAAGTAATTGCCAATGGAGTAGTATATGGCCTTAAAGTGAGAGCCAGCTTAATGTCACTTTGAACAAAATTAGCCACAAAACTTGCTAGCAATCGCAGAGTGATTAGCTCTTAGGGACATAAAGGGGAGCACTAGGATGCTGGCTTTGAGAGAGGAGTGCTTATCTTGGCCGAAAACCTGTGCTGATCACTGAAGCACCTCCCTCCTGAAAAGAAACATGGGACCTGTCACATTTCATCCAACACGATGCTGAGTGACATTTTCCACATTCAGTGATTTTTTCCACATAACAAGCTTTTGCACAAAAACTTTTTATTTGAACTGTTTTTATCAGTGCCTTTCTAAAATCCATTTCCTATTTCTCCTGCTTATTAAAACAGAGCATACAGAGCACAAATTAACCTTTTGTCAATGATTAGGTTAATTTTGTCATTTATTCTTGCCATGTGCTGTGATTGCCCTGTTGAGATGGGAAGGACTCTTTGTTGGTTTTTTCGTTGTTGTTGTTGTTTTTGGGTTTTTTTACAGTCCCTAAGGCTTTTTAATTTCTTTTTCTTTTGTCCCTCATGTCAGCCTTCTTGTTTCTTGGGCACAAACCCTTCCTCCTAAAATTTCAGCCACGAGTCATTCATCAGCTGGAGAGACAGATTAAATCCTAATTATTGTTAATACTATTTAAAGAATTTAGAGTTCTTTATTAGATGGGTTTCCTGAGCCATGTTCCTAAGACTTATAAGTGAACGGATCCTTCCTGTCTGAAACCTGCTTCTCTTCCAGTGTTCCTTATCTCAGTAATGCTGTACTTCTACCTGTGTCCTCAAGGTAGAAACCTGGTGTTGCCAGAAGTTCCTCCCTCTGGAGGCAGGGGAGTCCAAGCCTTCGGCTGTCTTGGGCTACACATAAAATACACTAACACTAACAATTGCTGATGAGTTTTTAAAAAATTGCCAAAAAAATCTCATGTCTTAAGAAAGTTTACGTATTTGTGTTGGGCCACATTCAAAGCCTTTGGGCCATATGCTCTAACGTGGGTCAGCTTGCTCTAAGGGGTTCCCCCCATATCAGTTGCCAAGTTCTTTTGCTACTTTCTTCATAGCATGTCTTACATAAGTCCACTTTCCTCCATCCCAGTGCCTCTACCTTAGTTGAGGCTACTGTTTGTTCACCTAATTACACTTGTTGCCAACTCCTCATCCATTGAGCCTCCCTGTAGTTTTGTCCTCTCATCTGATCTATTTTAGCACAGCTAAGTAATTGTTCTCAAATGCATCAGGCTCTGCTGGTCAAACCCCTCCATGGCCCCCCATTTCTCCAATATAAATTCCAGAAACATGCTACATTAGGACCTTTATGAGTTTACCTCTATTTACCTCTCCACCCTCACATTTCATATCTCTTTCCCCAACCTATTCCTCCTCCCCCAAAAAAACATGCCATTATTGACTGGCATTCTGTACACAGCTCTGGTGATCAATGTGCAGCCCCACAGCCTTTTCATGATATTTTTTCACCCTGGGGCCTTATGAAAGTGACTTCCTTTCCTGGAGGAATGCACCCCACACTCTGTCTCCCCCTCGTTGGCTCCTACCTGAACTTCAGAATTCAGCTGACGGGACAGGTACTGTTATGAGCCTTCTCTCAACCCTGGGTTGGTTTAGGTGTTCGTCTAAGGTTTATTTGCCTGTCTTCACAATTAAACTGTAGGCTCTCGGAGTGCAGATAATCTTGTTGTCCCCTGTATCCTTTATCCCTACTCTTTTGAGAGTGCAGTACAGGGTAGTCCCTTCTGAGTCTGTCTAGTAGTACAGACTCAGAAGCCAGAGCAGCTAGGTTTGCACCTGCCATTTACTAGCAGTGTGACTCTGGGCAAGTTACTTAACCATTCTGTGCCTCAATTCTTTTATTGCAAAAATGTGGCTAACAGTAGGACCTACCTCATATGGTTGCTAGGAGAATGGAGTGAGTTTAAGTGTTTATGACAGTGCCTGGCACGTGGCAAGCATTCAGTATGTATTAGCTACTGCTATAATTACTGTTCTTATCATCATCATCATCCTCCTCAGCATCAGGCACTGTCCCTCATAAATAGTATGCTCTCAATCAATTTTTGCTGGGTTGAATTGAATAAACGTTGACATGTTTGTTTTGGCCTTCTACCAACCTCTCTTGCTTGCTTCCTGATTTCTGTCAGTGTCCCAGGTAGATGAGATGGCACAGAGTTACTCTGGCATAAGTGAGAGGTTACAAATGGAGGATCCTCAGAGTGACTGTCTTGAGTAAGAAATGAGGTGACTTTAAATTTGCAGAGGAGGGAACCTCATCTTTGCTTGAATTACCTAAGGGTTGAAGTTATTGCATGTACTCGGTGACAGGCCCACTTTATCCTGAAAGGTTCAGGGGATCTCAGTTTACATTGTAGTTGAACCAAGAGTGTTTTCCTTCTCTCAATCTATTTTAGGCGTTGGTTGAATTCTCAGAAGAAGTTTCTGAAACATGCATTCCTAGACAACAATAGGGATTCCTAGAAGTTACAGTTGGAACATGTTAAATCAGTGTAACAGTATTTCCGGGTTCTGCTTACAGTAAAGGATATGCTGGTTCATTATTGGCTGTTATTTGTGTTTCATTGGAACAGGATGATAATATGAAAAATCTTTTATCTGTTGCCCCCATTTTTTCTGTTCAGGAACTGTATCTTCTGTGTCAGTCCCTTTTACAGTCATGGAACTGAGAACTAAAAGGGCAGCACTCACTCTCCCTAACCCTGACCATCGGCAGGCCCTGGAGGCAGGAGCAGGAGAATGGGGACCTGGGTTTGAAATCCAGCTTCTTGACTTAGTAGCTGGGAAGTTGTGTTTGTACTACCTCAGGTTCTTCTAATACAGCCTTCTAATAAGGCCTATTTTCCAAACTTGTCAAGAGAGTTAAAGGATGTAACATATGTAATAGTTAATGCTCGACAAGGTCTTTTAAATTGGTTTTATAGACTTTCTACCCCCTTTTCCAGATTGCTCTTATTAGCAAACTAGCAAATTATCTAGTTTAGTGTTTCAAACCTTTTTGTTTCAAGACTGTGATTCACATACTCTGCAGGTGCCGAGGAAATGAATTCCCTTTCTCTTTTTCTCTCTGAGAAACAGTGGACTTGACTTAGCCTTTGCCTCATTTAAGCAAGGCTTACCCAAAAACCTTTTCATGTCACACCTGTGTGCCTGGCATATGCATGCCTCTTCAGTAATGCAGAGAAATCCTTAGTAAATGACTCAAGGCTTTGCTTACCTGTAACTCTTAGGTAGCATGCCCTGTGACTGAGTTGTATGGAAAAAGACGCTTCCTTAAGTAACTGCACATGGATTTCATGTTGACCATTAATGTCAAACCCAGTGTTCTTCTTATTTCTCCCGCAGTTATCTGTTTTATGTGAGTGGTAAGGACAACTTTGTGCTCATTAAATAGAAAACAAGACCAAAGGTTTTCAAAAGAGCATGTATGTGCCCCAAATCAACTAATTGTAAACATATTTCCCAGGAAGGTACCTTGGAATATGTTGATTTATCTGTATTGGGAGCACCTCTGTAGGAGCAGGGGAACAGAGTTAAGATCTGCTTACTGGCTAGTCTTATTATCTGGGAACATGTTACATTAATTTCCTGGGGTCCAGTTTCCTCATCTGCAAAATGAGGACGTTGGATTAGATAAACCTGTTAGAGTGCTATGAAACATGAAAATTACCTGATCAATGAACCTCATTTGTATTTGGGGTTTCATGTACTTTGTGATTCATGATTATTTGATAGTCTGGGACTAATGCTTATTCTTTTTTTTTTTTTAAATAAAAAAGGTTCTTGTCAAATTAATTATAGAAATAAGATATAGAGGACAGTTTAAACAGTAAGACTCATTAATGGCTTTTAATACTAGCACCAGGACACATGATATCTGCTAATTATAGCAATGTTTTTTCTTAATTTAAGGTCACATGTTCTTAGCTATTTGTTGTGGTTATTTGAAACCAAATAATGCCTCATTTCTTTATAATAAAATTCTCCAATTTACATTTTACCAGATTAGCAGTTTTTCTATAAAATTTGTGTGAATGTATGTAATTTTTTATTATGCTCTTGTTAAGATTAATGGGCCCTAATATCCAGCAATAATAATAAAATTTATTTTGTTGTGAATAGTCTCAGAAACAGCCAAATAGTCCTTGTGTTTGGAATTTATGTATTTTAGAAATAAATTCATCTCATATGTGAATGAAATCAGTTGGCCAAACTTTCAAACTCAAGCCTTTCGATTTTCAGATGATTTGAAACAGAGTGGCTCTCCGGAGGTCTCTGGATGGTTCGCCCTGTTCTCCCTGCACTGGTAAGGTAGTGCTAGGTGTCAGCCTAGATCTCATGAGGGCGTTGAGACCCTAGAGGGAAACCAGCAAGATGGGATCTTGGGAAACATGAGATGTCAGGATATCCAACCACTTGATTGATCCACTTGGCAGACCAGCTACAATTGTAACCTGAAAATAACTACTCCCAAGAATACAGTCACATTTCTACAAAGAGGTTAAAAAAGAGTACAGTCACCAACTGCACTATTGGTAACACTGTACAAACTTTTGGAATAAAATTATACTTTTATGGCTCAAATCATACTATGTACGTAATAATATTAAAGTGCTAAAGCTAGTTTTGTAGGATTTGTGGCCTGCCAGTCAGAGAATGTCACCTGAATTTATCTAATTCCAGCAGCCATATTTTGAGCTTTAGATAGTTGATGTTACTAATATTCTTAATGTCCACTTGATTATAATCCAGTCTGTAGAAGCTGTTATTACCATTGTTATTATCACTGATTAATGGATCATTTTAAAGCTAAGGGGCATAATTTTATTTTCCTTATGTATGTTCCTTTATTTTCACATTCTTCATTTTTCTTTGCCTCTATTAAAGGGGCATGCATTTTCTTGTGTATATGTTTAAGTATTAAACATCAATATCATTTGGATATTTTAAGTTTTCTAAAAGTTTATGCTCATGGTACATTAAAAATAACTAGGAAATTTTAATTTATTGTGAATTTGTGTTGCTGTTCATTATAGAATCTTAGGCTGAGAGAAAATTCAGGAAATCGTTTCACTGTTTTTTTGAGCTCCACCAGGTTTCTACCTAAAAACTAACCTTGAAAAAAATGGTATGTATTTTATTTTGAAAGTTCTCTTGGGAAGTAGATCATATCAAAGTATATTTTTCAGGGTTTTAGATAAATATGCTTTCAGTAAAGCAATGATTAAAATCTTTTGTTCTTAAATGTTTTATGTTTTCTTCAAAACATCAAAAAAATTTTTTCTGCTTTAAAAACTCTTTTATCTTTGCAATGACTTGCAGATTAGGCACTTTCTTGCTCCTGCTGTCTTATGTAGATGGTTCTAGGACATATTATAGCTTTTATTCACATGATATATGGTCACATTAAGTTTAAAATATCATATTTTGTGTTAATGTGAGTTGTCTCCCAGATCTCTGTAAATCTTGGTGCAATTTTATTTCCCTGATCATGTAGGGGGTTTTGACATTGTTGTCTTTTGCACTGTATTGAGGGTTTGTTTATTGGCACTACATGCAGTATGTCAGGAGACAAAAGATCTTAATGATGGAGAAAGTCCAGGAACCTATTTAGGCCTAACTCCCTCCCACTCTAAACAGGCAATTTATTTGCCCTCTTCTTCTGCTGGTTCTTCTTGGTAAAATTCAAATCTGACCTGTTATTCTGTTTAAAATTCTGTAATGCTTCCTACCCACCTGAGGTACCAAGTCCCTACCCCTTAGCGTGGCCTGGAACACCCCACACAGTTTGCCACCATCCTACCTGCCCAAGTCTCCTCCTCTATGGCTGTTCTGCATTGCCAGGGAAGGAATATATTCTAAGGACCTGCCGTTACTGATCACTTCTGATTCTGTGAACTTAATGCAGATTTTTTTTTTTTTTTTTTTTTTTTTTGAGCTGGAGTCTCCCTGTTGCCCAGGCTGGAGTGCAGTGGCGCGATCTCGGCTCACTGCAAGCTCCGCCTCCCGGGTTCAGGCCATTCTCCTGCCTCAGCCTCCGGAGTAGCTGGGACTACAGGTGCCCGCCAGCACTCCCGGCTAATTTTTTGTATTTTTAGTAGAGACGGGGTTTCACCGTGTTAGCCAGGATGGTCTTGATCTCCTGACCTCGTAATCCGCCCGCCTGGGCCTCCCAAAGTGCTGGGATTACAGGCATGAGCCACCGAGCCCGGCTTAATGCAGATTATTGAACATTTCTGAGCCTCACTTTCCTCCTCTGTACAGGAAAATGGTATTTCCTGTCTCTCAAAGTTGTTGCGAGCATTAAATGAAATAAGGTGTGTTTAGTGGCCACCAAGGGTCTTTTTAAGTTAACTAAACATGTGGACTCACAAGGCTACCACAGGCCACATTCCTTGCCAGCTTGCCAGCAGGGCAGCATCAAGAATTCCTCTCAGCAGGGGCTCTGCATGTTTGCACAAATGACAGCTCACATACCTTTCTGGGGACTGTTGTCTCCCCACACGACGTAGTTCCAGGTACAAAGCCTAAGCTCCACATCAGGGAGGTACGGGAGCTGCCCTGGCTCAGAAGAAGCCTCCTGCCTTAAGCAGCCAGTATCTCTTGTAACAATTCTTGATATAGTTTGTAGGGTTCCCAAGAAGAAACTGCATTCAGGGAAGGCCAAAGTGTCCTATCAGACATTTACAGCTCATTCATATTTCTTCCTGGTTCAGATGCAGTTTACCAACCAAGGATCATTTTTACCGTAAGCAGTGTTGCCTAGCAATATTGTGGATGCCTAAGCTCTTACCTGGTTTCCAGGGTAACAGAGCTAGGTGGCTAAACCAAAGATCAGATTCTCAAGCAGCAAGGGAAAAGGTTTTTAACCCCTTAATTCCAGTGTGCAACAGACGCAACCAGGGGCTTCACACATTATAGTTATCAAAATACGCTAGTTCATTTCTTCAACAAATATTTAAGAGCTCATGATATACGTTAGGAGCAATGTAAGACAGTAGAAATACAGTGGCAAGGTAAACATATATGGCATCTACCTTCATATTGTCTCTTCCATGATGCCCTTAATTCCTTTCACTGCCTGGAGAACTACTATTTATCTTTCAAAGGCCAGCTCAGATGTTACCTCTTCTCTGAAGTCTGTGTACAATCTATTCTTGTAGCAGTTTGTGTTTATTGCCTTGAATTCATGGATTGGTCTTGGGGATCCATGAATCCCCTAAAGTAATATGCAGATTTTGTGTGCTTGTAGAAATGTACATTTGAGGAAAGAGGCTAACACTTTTCTTAAATATTCAAAGGGATCTGTACTGCTCCCCCGGTGCCACCGCCCACCCCCCCCGCCAACTGCAAGAATTTAGAACCGTTACTCTGTTACCAGCATTTATAACATGTGCTTTTGTTATTTGTTTGTAGGTCTATATTTCTTACTAGAACATGAGTACCTTAAGAGAGACGGACTGTATGTGTTCATATTTTGTGCCAGTAGAATGCCTTATTCATAGTAGACTTATAGGAAATGTACGTTGAAAGAATCACTTCTCAGTATGCTTAACAGGCTCAGCACTTTGATGATACCAATGGTGCAGCATATACTAATTTCAAAGGAAAAGTTCTTCCTTATGTTAAACTAAAATCAGCCTTTCTTGTTTCTAGCTTTGTCCTCTGCAGTTATAAATTGTGTACCCTCTTCTGAACTGTAATTGCCCTTTTATGCAACTCAGTTGATTGGGGAAATCAAAGGAAAATGGTTAACATGGGGGAATTGTTAAAAAAAAAAAGTAGCATTCACATTTTAAATGTTTTAACTTATAACATCTGAATGTACATTAATTTACTAGTATTTGTGTTTTGTTAGAAGGAGGAACTTAGCATATATCACCTTAACGAAGTTATCAAGATTAGCATCACTAAGTTGTGTTGATATGATATATTCTCTGATTTGATGTGATGAGAAAGGTACATTTCACTTCTGTGAGATTCTTTCCCCAAATCCATACCACCAGCCTAATCTTGAGACAATATTAGACTAACTCAGATTGAAGAATATTCTGTAAAATACCTGATCTTTGCAAAAATCTCAAGTGTCTGAAAAATAAGGAAATATTGAGAAACTGTTATAGACCAGACGAGACTAGGGAGACATGATGACTAAATGCAAAGTATTATCATAAATTAGATCTTGGAACAGAAAAAAAGGATATTAGTGGAAAAACAGGTGGAATTCAAAGTGTGTAGTTTTGACAAATCTACCATGGTACCATAAAATAGTAAGTTTAGGTCCATCTGGGTGAAGTGTATATGGGAACTAATACACTACCTTTGTAAGTTTTCTGTAAATCTAAAGTTATTCCAAAATGAAAAGTTTACTAAAATATAGTAATAGAAGAAATTATAGAAGAAAGTTGTTAGGTGATCTGACCATTAAGACACGTAAACCAAAATAAAAGGCAGTAACACCAAAAAAATTTGTAACAGATTAATAAGCATGAGGCTAATACTCTTAATATAGAACACATTTTTACAAATTAATAAGAACATAATAATACCACCCTGGAAAATAGTCACTAATCACAATTCACAGAAGAAACACAGTAGACTATAAGTAGCAAAACTAGATGAATCTCACCAGTAATTTAAGAGTTGCCAGTTAAAGCAGCATTGAAAATACTTTTACCTATTACTAATGCAGAAATGGAAAAATGATAGTATTCATTTATGAAAAGGGTGAGTGGAAGAATTATAGATTGGCACAGCCTTTCTGAAAAGAAATTCACCAAATAGGTGTTGGGTTTTAAAATATGCATATAGTTTGTGCTTATCATCTCACACTTATATAGGATTCTTTCCAAGGAAAATAGATATGTTCATAAATATTCTAACAGGAACATTCATCACAGAGTTATTGATAATGAAAAACTCAAAACCTAAATATCTAACAGTTGAGGGAATCATCTCAAAAGTTTTGATGTACTTATGGAATAGAATATTGTGGACTAATTAGGATTCATCTAAATAAAACAACAAAAGCAAGATATAGTATGTTTATTCACGATTCTCAAACTTCGTGTGATATGTACAGATATATCTTTTGAACGGATGGCAAAGAAATACACTGTCATGTTTAGTTACTTATCTCTGGGTAGTGAGATAAAGGATGATTTTTCCTTGTTTATACCTCCTTGCATTTTCAAAATTAGCTGTAGTGAGTATATATTACTTTTATAATTGGGGAAAAAATTAGCATTGCAAACCTTGTGGTTAATGAGTTTCTTTCATCTTTTATGGTCATTTAATTAAGAAAATGTTAGTATCATTTTGTTCTGTGAAAAATGATTTTTCCTCTTTCCACTAGGAAGCTCCTCAGGGTGCTCCCACTGCCGAGTGAGAACTGGGGAGCTCTAGTTGGAGAATGGTGTTGTCATCCTGACCCCTTTGCTAATAAATCACTTCATCCGCAAGAGAATGACTGTTTTATTGGAGACTCTTTCTTCTTGGTGAATTTAAGAACCAGTTTGTGGCAGCAAAGACCTGAACTATCCCCAGTGGAGATGTGCTGTGTTTCTTCTGACAACCATTGTAAATTGGTAAAATATCATTTCAAAATAAATGGTAATTTAGAGGCTGTCTTAGATACTGACTTCTTCAATCTTTTCCTAATTAAGGGCTTGTTACATAGACTGCTGTAAAGGCCAAAATTCATTATTTTCAACTGTCATCGCTATCGTTGCTTTATCAAAACAGGAAGAGCATATGGCTTTAAACTAAAACAGCCACAGGCGCCTGGAAGAATAAGGAGAGGAAGACCTCTGCAGGCTTAGAATTGCGAGTGCTACCATTTTACAAACAAAATGTCTTGCTTTCTTGTTCTTAGGACAATATTGCATAATTTGTGTGCATTTTATCCTAAATAGTCTGATTTAGGTTAAAAGTGTTGTCTTGCTCCAGGATATCTACTATACTATTAGGCTGAGGTATTTTACTATTTCTGCCCATAGTCTAGACTTCTGCTGAAGTCATAAATGGAGATGTCATCAAGTAAAAAGAGGAATGGAGGAGCCCAGGAATGGAGATAAAGCTTGTGTTTCAGGGTCTGAGTTGGTGCTTGACAGTGTGAGGTCAGGTGGCTCTTGCTGCATAAGTTGCTTTGGGAAGAAGGCAATTTTCTCTCACTGCAGAGAACAAGTGTTTTACTTTATTTTAAAAGAAAATCAATGGCATTGGCTTGGCCCATGTGAGAAAGCATTCCACTGATGGCCAGTCAATACAGATATTATTTAAAAAGTAAAATCATTCCCAGAGAATCATTTTAACATCTGATTATTGGTGGGAACTAAAACATTGTATTTTAAATTTCATTCAGAACTCATTTAATTTTTGTAATAATAACTGAGCGACTGCAGGAAATATGCAGTAGGTGGGCAGCTCTTAGGTTGTAAATTAGTTTATAGAACTATTCTGAGGGAGATGAAGGAAATTCGTCAAATGTGGAGGTTAAGTTGTTGTCAGATAAAGTTATTTAAGTGCCTCATTTTACACTGTAAACAGAAATCCCTTTATCTAAATATGGTTCACTTTGGTGAAATGTAGTACTTTACATTTTATATTTTAAAAGGTAAATAGTAAGTTAATATATATTTGTTATATTTAATATGATTAATTAAATTTGTATTTTAATCTAAATATATACTAATACTTTATATGTGTTTTAAATTTCATCTTTATGATTAAGCTATACATTTCAAAAACATTTGGAAGTTGTGAGCAGAAAAGTAGTAGAGAAAGATTGAATCAGAGAAACCATGTTTCCCTTTTTAAATAAACTCAGCACTCTGTGCTGAAATATATTCATCACATTTACATCTTTATCAGTTATGTGATGCCATTTACAAGAATTTCTCTTCATAGTAAACAGCTATCTTATCCATTAAAGAAAGACCCATCATATTTTTAGACATTACAGTTTTAGTATCAAGGAGACTGTGGGAAATTCTGTACTATCAAGACAAGATGCTGTTGAAAAGATTTTCTTCAAGTTAGCCTAGATGAAAGTCCCTCTTTAATTGTATATTGTAGCAGTCCAAAGAGTGTGCCTGTGACCAAAATAGAAACATAAATTTGGAGGGACTGCGTAAACAGCGCTCTCAAGGCTCCTGTGGGAACAAGGCTGTTCTGTGCTATTGAAAACCTATTTCTCCTATCACCCAGTCTAGCCATCTAGCAGGGTTTTGAAATGTCACATAGTAACAAAGCATCCTAATGGTATCTCTTGGGAAACATTTTTTTGATGAGACAATATCAAGGGTCCTTAGAAATTGAAACGACACAAAGGGAAAATAAAAGGGAGGACACGAGGCTAATCCACCTCTCTGAGCAGCCCTGTGGTGTCTCAGATATATTGACTTAATTAGTGCACAACAATGTCTGTCTTTGAGGTTTGCTCTGTAGAGTTCCCACACTGTTAGGCTGCTTCATTACACAACTTGCCTTATTATTTCCTTGAAGGATAGGTGAAGAAAAATGCATTACAAAGCAGAGATTCTCTTTAAATGAAATTTATGTGCTATAATATGTTTAATTAAAAAGATCTGCTTTTAAAAACAGCACAAACAAACATGAAGCCCAACACTTTCTTTTCTTCCATAGCCTTTTAGAGTTTATAATACTTTATTGGAGGCTTTGTTATTGCAGCAGTATCTACTTATTTTTAAAAGATACCTGCTGAAGATTTCCCTATTGGTGTATTCATTTATCACCTCTCTTGTGCTATTTTGTGCCTGCCCACATAATACAAATTTTGCATCTTGGGCCGGGCGCAGTGGCTCATGCCTGTAATCCCAGCACTTTGGGAGGTTGAGGCGGGTGGATCATGAGGTCAGGAGATTGAGACCATCCTGGCCAACATGGTGAAACCCTGTCTCTCCTAAACTACAAAAAATTAGCCGGGTGTGGTGGCGGGGGCCTGTAGTCCCAGCTACTCAGGAGGCTGAGGCAGGAGAATCGTTTGAACCTGGGAGGCAGAGGTTGCAGTGAGCCAAGATTGCACCACTGCACTCCAGCCTGGTGACAGAGCGAGACACTGTCTAAAAAAAAAAATTATATAATAGACGATAAGGATGGCATTTCATCCTTTTATAAGAGTCAAAATATTATTCAAGGCTTCACTCTTTTTTAAAGAGCAAATAAAATTGATCTTTGATTACATTAATATTACTGCTAGCAAGGATGACTAACATCTTTACCTTTTTTTCTTTCTTGGAGTACTTAGTAATTATTAGTTGCTTTTGGTAATTTGTTTTGTTAAATCCATAAGTGTGTCTTTTTTGTTTTCTTAGAAAAATGTGTTGTCAAACTCTGTAAGTATTCACAAGTATAAGAAGAATAGTATTGTGAATTTCAATATGGATTCATTAAGTATGCTTCATCTGCTCTTTTTTTCCTGAAATGCTTAAAACAGTCTTGTCATTTTATCCCTACATCTAAAAATAGGAATTTAAAAAATGTAGCCACACCGTTATCACACCTGATAAAATTAACAATTATTCCTTGATGATATACTACCAGGCCATATACAGATTTTATCAATTGTCTTAAAAGAATCTTTTAGCATAGGTTTGTTTGAATCAGGAGCCACACATGTGATTGAGGTAATTTGGTTGTTGTTGAGCTGATTTTTAAATCCTGATTACCCATGTCTGATAAGGATAGAATCTTATTTTAAAAACAAGCAAACAAAAAACACTTCTCCTGCCCCCTTGAAAGACAAAGTGAGATGTTCTGTGATGGCAGTTACAAAGGAAGTACATATCAAAGCACTTGAAAAAAAATTTTCTGCTTCAAATAGAAAAATTCTTTCTTTTCAAGCATTGCTATTACAATACCAATATTAGTTTTTAATAAAGCCCTTAGTTTTTGGTAACATTTAATGAGTGTGATCAGATTTAACTTGTATAAAATAGTACTCTTTAAAAAATATTTTTAATATCAACTTGGAGCCATGCAGGTATGTTTTACTGTAAGAAAGCATTAAACTGCCAGAATGGCACCCTTTGTAGACCATACTGGCTTTCTGAGTTCTCTTCCTCCTGGACCTGAATAAATTGGCACCTTCCTAGGTTTCTGTGTCTGTCTCTTACCTCTCATGGGTATGACACCATCCAGTTTCCCACCTGGGTCAGGCTCTGAGACCTGCCATTTGTGATGTGCCTGATAAGGATGTCAGTGCAATGGCCAGAGATGGCACACTGTGGGGCCCACTTTGGGAGTGTGCCTGGATAAAAGTTTGAGCCAGGACTGAACTGACTTATGAAGTTCATGTGTGCTTTTGTTTCCTCAGCAGAGACTTTTGAGGAAGGCTGCAGAATCTGTCCAAATACTGCAGCTAGACCAGGAAAAAATGGAATAAGTGTTTATGTTACTGAAGGTTAATTCAGTGTATGAAGGGATTCATCTCAGAAGTTTTTAAATAGAAGAGCTGTAGGCATTTACGGATTTTTTTACTAGTTGCATGTGTTTGAGGCTGGGGGAAAGAATAGGCCATAGAGAAAGACCCCAGTATGAATTGTGCTGTTGCTCTTGACTTTGACCCCTGATTGAATATATATATATATAGAGAGAGAGAGAGAGAGAGAGAGAGTCAGTCTCGCTCTGTTGCCCAGGCTGGAGTGCAGTGGTACAATCTCGGCTCACTGCAACCTTCCCCTCCCGGGTTCCTGTGATTCTCCTGCCTCAGCCTCCTGAGTAGCTGGGACTACAAGCGCGCACCACGACGCCCAGCTAATTTTTATATTTTTAGTAGAGACAGGGGTTTCACCATGTTGGTCAGGCTGGTCTCAAACTCCTGACCTCATGATCCGGCTGCCTTGGCCTCCAAAAGTGCTGGGATTACAGGTGTGAGCCATGGTGCCCAGCATTGAATATATTTTTTTACATCAAGATCTGATAACACACATACACTCATGCACACATACACAAACACACCTCAAATAAAAGTTTCTTGAAGCAGTACTTACTCAGTGTTTGAAGCACTGTCATATTTTCTGTTCTATTGTATTTCATTTTTTAAAAACACAGTAGGCCTGGTGTGGTGGCTCACGCCTATAGTCCCAGCACTTAGGGAGGCCAAGGTGGGTGGATCACGAGGTCAGGAGTTCAAGACCAGCCTGGCCAAGATGGTGAAACCATCTCTACTATAACTACAAAAATTAGCCGGGCATGGTGGCAGGTGCCTGTAATCCCAGCTACTAGGGAGGCTGAGGCAGAGAATTGCTTAAACCCGGGAGGCGGAGGTTGCAGTGAGCCAAGGTCGCGCCACTGCACTCCAGCCTGGGCAATGGAGCAAGACTCCATCTCAAAACAAAACAAAATAAAACAAAACAAAAAAAAACAAAACACAGTAATCCACTGAATTGGTTCCATGAATTGGTTCCCACTAATGGGGCACATGAGCTGTTGTTTGGAAAACACTTAGCATAGTGTTCAGAAGCTTTAGCATCAGAGAGACCCAGATTCAGACATCAGCTCTGTCTGAATCTAGCAGCACTTCCATGGAACTCAGTTTAAATGTACTTTTTATTCAATTTTTCAGGAAATTATTTATGCCAAAGAAAAAATACTTAAATGTATATTAATCAGTTAAAATTTTTTTCCTTAGATTAAATACACATATTATCCCACATCAGAAGTCACTGCCCTTCTTTACTTCAGCCTACACCTATTCTGTGGTTTCCCAGGAAAGGTACCCTGGAGTATCCAGAGTTGTAGAACCTCCTTTTCCCTGCCCACTGTATATGGCTTCTGCCTTGTTACAGTATATCTGGACGAGAGGAATGTATGGTTTTAACAAAGGTATAACTATGGATGGGAAAAGGCATATTCTTTATTGATTAGGCAAATGCTAGCTATTTTAATCTGTATCTCAAATAGCGAATTTGGATTTTTGAAGCTTAGGTTTGTTTCAGGAATTGTCCCAGAGCACTGCCTGTCTTTCCAGTTACAGTGCCGATCCTAAGTGGAAAAAATGGAAGTATATGAACAGACTAGATATTTTTAACTTTTCATTTATTGTAGTTAAGGGTTATGGGTTACTTTTACATAAATTACACTGGACTAGGAGTCAAAATAGTGTGAGTTCAAGTTCTGATTCTTCTGTGTTCTATACACATGAGTTGGGGCAAGTCATCAACCCTGTCTTTGTTGCCCACCATCTGCCTGTTTTAAGTTATAAGGCTATTTGGAAGTGCTTTTTAGAAATATAAGGTACTACTTATTCAAATTATTTGGCAACTTTTGGACTATCAAGAAGTGGCTGGTTTTGGAAAAGTGAATCTGTGTGTTACTGTTTCTTAAGACTTGAAAAATTTTCTCTGTGCATGTGAATTATGCATACAAGCTAAATGTATTCCCAGTATTTAGTAGAGGGCAGAATAAAATGTAAAGTTCAATGTATACTCTGGGGACTATGTTAAAATTATATATTCCTTTTAAGAAAAGCTGAATGACATTTAAATGACATTTTTCTGTTCTACAGGAACCAAAGGCAAATACCAAAGTAATTTGTAAGCGTTGCAAGGTAATGTTGGGAGAGACCGTGTCATCAGGTAAGAATTTCATAACAAGAAGCCAAAATGATTGGCTTCTTGCTTAAAAGCCAGAATGATATTTTATAGTAAATATATAGGAAAGATAGATGATTAATATATGTTGTGGAATTGGTGCTTTTCAAAATAGACCCCAAGTAACATACCATCCAATATACCAAGAAGTTTGTATATTTTGACCTTCATAAATACAGAGTATTGAATTTTAAGTATTAAGAAGTTGAGTCATTTTCAGAGTTTCATAGCCTCTTTGTAGATATAAAGCAATAGTATAAAGTTTGTTCTTGGGCCTATTTCAAGAAAATTGGAGCTTTTTTCTCTCTTTGTTTCCTTCTTTCTTCTTCTTCTTTTTTTTTTTTTTTTAATTTTACCTTCCTGGTAACTCACGAAACAGAGCTTTTTTCTTAATACACCTCCTCAGTTAGAAGAATTGGTGCCCAGAGATGGAGAAGTTGTTTTTCTTGGCTGCCATCTGGCTCGGGGCTGTATTTTGGGGCTGGGGATGGGAGAGGACCTGTTGAAATGGAAGAAAAAAAATTCCGAATTTTGTACTTTGTCCCTTATTCTTTTGGTTCCCCAGTAGCATTGATTATATTTTATGTAAACTCTGTTATACTACTTTAAAATATAATAATGAAAATCCTGATAATTAAAATGCATTGCTGTTTAAAGATATGGTTTATAGTGTCTAGAGAACTACAACATGCTGTGTTAGCTTTGGATGATGAATAATTACTTTTAATACAGTTAATTAGAAGATGTGATTTACATGAAGCAATTGTACTTAAGGGAAGGCAGATGATGGTATTTTTTGTTTATTTGTTTGTTTAATCGTCAAAATCTTGTAAGAAGTTACTTGTTCACAGTGAGCCAGAAAGGAAAAATGAGTTAGTAAAAGGTACCATCCTTAACGTCATTTTTGGAAAATGAAAGCAAGCCTCTGAAGCAACACCTTAGAAAAAGTTAAGCCTTCTGGTTAAATAAGGTGAATTGATTTTTAAATTATTTTCTCCCTGAAGTCCTGTTAAAATGTCAGTTAAGGAATGAAAAGATATATATCTACAAAGGCAAAGAGAAATGGAGAGGAGATGACAATGACATAAACAAGAGATGTAAACAAACTTTTTTGGAACACACTTGGCAGCCTGGAGGGAGCTGCAGCTTTGGTGTCTGTAGATCATTTGGATAAGGAGTGGGCCAATAATCTCTGTAGAGCCCCAAAACAAGTCAGAATTTGGAGGCAGCAGGTGACAGGGAAGGCAGTCTGAGGCAAGGGGCTGGAAGCAGGATGATTGGTTCAAAGTGTATATATACAGCTACTAGACTTCTAGGTTTCCCACTTCATTTTCAACTTGCTTCTGTAATCCTCAAGGTTGGAGATTGGAAGACCTCCCCCACACCCTTTTTTTTTGAATAATGGAAGAATACCAACTAGAGAAAAGACTTGCAGACACTGATTCTTTGGGGACATTCAACCAAAAATGAGGTTATGTCGTTGTTCAACAAAAATGAGGTTAAACTGAGCACAGTGGTGCATGCCTATAGTCCCAGCTACTTGGGAGGCTGAGGCAGGAGGGTCACTTGAGCCCAGGGGTTCAAGGCTGTGGTGCACTATTATTGCACCTATGAATAGCCACTGCACTTCAGCCTGGAGAACATAGGGAGACTCTATCTCTTAAAAAAAAAAAAAAAGAGAGAGCTTATATTCACTCATCCTACAGTCAACAAACCTTGTACCTATACCCAAGAACTTTCTCTCAGCATTTCACTGCCTTACACTAAAATTGAAATGAATTGTTGAGAATCACCAAATATTTGAGTAAATCAACAAAAAAGAAACCAAGGCAAATAAATGATTAAGCAAGCAAATTAAAAGCACTGAGAAGAAACACATTATGTATACAGCAGAAGTAAATCTTTAAAAAAAAAATGCCCTTGAAGAAATAAACTAATATTGCTTCCATAATTCAGAGAATGTGGAATTTAAAAATGTAATAGCTTCAGAAAAAAAAAATTAAAGAATTGGAAGATAAAAGTAAAGAATTAGGCCAGAAATTAAAACCAAAAGACAGAGATTGAAAATTAAAGAAGAGGCCGGGCACGGAGGCTCACGCCTGTAATCCCAGCACTTTGGGAGGCCGAGATGGGCAGATGACCTGAGGTCAGGAGCTCAAGACCAGCCTGGCCAACATGGTGAAACCCTGTCTCTACCAAAAATACAAAAATTAGCCAGACATGGTGACATGCACCTGTAATCCCAGCTACTAGGGAGGCTGAGGCAGGAGAATCGCTTGAACCCGGGAGGCAAAGATGGCAGTGAGCTAAGATCGTGCCACTGCACTCCAGCCTGAGCAACAGGGCAAGACTCCATCTCAAAAAAAAAAAAAAAAAAAAAGAAGTACAAAAAAATATATGTAATCAGTTAAGTTTCCTGAAGGTAGAGACATTGTCTATCTTGTCTATCCCTGTAATCTCAGCACTTAGTGTAATGTCTGGCACATAGTGAGTACCCAGTAAGTATTTGTTGAATGAATAAGTGAATTGAGCCTTTCAGGACAACCAACATCTAGCTTATAGAAATTCTAGAAAGAGAGAATAGAGACAACAGAATGTAGGAAATTATCCAATAACAAAAATACCAAAAATACAAGTCTATTTTCCAGAGCTAGGACTTCAGTTTCTTGACTGAAAGGGTCCACTAAGTACCCACTGTAATTAATAGAGGAATAGTAAGGAAGCCACTTCAGGCCACAACAGTGAATAATTTCAGAACACCAAGGATGAAGTTTGCAGAGGGAAAAAGGCAGTTAATATAAGACAGATTAAGAATTAGAATAGCATTGAACTTCTTAACAGCAGAGCTGAAAGCTAGAAGGCAGTGAAGCAGTGCCTTCATAATTTGAAAAGAAAAAGATTTCAGCCCAGAATTCTATACACAGTCGAGCTATCAGTCAAATATGAAAATAATAAAAGCCATTTTGCAAATAACAAAGTCTCAAAACACAATTCTCAAAGGTTTATTTTTCTTAGTAATTCACCATAAAATATAAATCATCTAAACTAGGGATTCAATCTAGGAAGAGATGACATGGAATTGGGTAACAAGGTGTACAATAAAGGAGAGCGGGATAAGGAAGTCCCAGGGTAAGGAGTGGGCAGCAGGACTACAGGATAGCAGCCTAGATTGAAGCAAATGGGAAAGAAGATTGCAATAAAGATTTTTTTTTTTTTTTTTGAGACATAGTCTCACTCTGTTGCCCAGGCTGGAGTGCAGTGGTGTGATCATGGCTCATGGCAGCCTCAACCTCCCGGGCTCAAGTGATCCTCCCATCTCAGCCTCCCAAGTAGCCGGGACCACAGGTGCATACCACCATGTCTGACTAATTTTTAATTTTTTGTAGAAGTGGGGTCTCCATATGTTGCCCAGGCTGATCTTAAACTCCAGGACTCAAGTGATCCTCCTGCCTCAGCCTTCCAAGTGCTGGGATTACAGGCATGAGCCAACATACCTGGCTGATTTTTTTTCTTTTTTTTTAGTTATAAAGTGGAATTGATAAATTATTTGATTTGTTTGATGTGTATTAGTCCATTTTCACACTGCTGTAAAGAACTACTTGAGACTGGGTAATTTGTAAAGAAAAGAGGTTTAATTGTCTCACAGTTCTATATGGCTGGGAAGGCCTCAGGAAACTTACAGTCATGGCAGAAGGCAAAGAAGCAGCAAGCACCTTCTTCATAAGGGGGCAGGAGAGAGAGAGCAGGGAATTGCCACACACTTTTAAACCTCAGATCTTGTGATAACTCTATCGTGAGACGGGGGAGATGGTGCTAAACCATTAGAGACCACCCCCATGATCCAATCACTTCCCACCAGGCCCCAACTTTAACACATGGGGATTACAACTTGACATGAGATTTGGGTGGGGACACAGAGCCAAACTAGATCAACATGTGACGACAGCTAATCTCGAGACAAACCATTTCATTATATGGAAAGAATTAGCTAAAAGGTGATTGAAGCAGTTATTCACTGCAGGAAGAAGAAAAAAGGTTGAACAAGAAAAGAAACATCTCCATGGTAGTATTATGGTAATAATAATGTAAACACTGAATATTCACTTAACTAAACATTGTAGTATGATACAAAAGTATATTAGAAGGTCAATATGTGTGAGTTTGTGTGTGGGGTGGTATAAGAGATCTATATCCACATCTGTTCTAAAAGTAAATCACTAGGATTCCACTTCCCAAAATAGTGTCATGAAGAGAATGGGCAATTTTATTCTGTAGAAAACATGTACAAAACTGGACAATTTTAAAAATTAATAAGAACCATATTAGGGCACTAGAAAATGAACAAAAGTGAAGCAACAATTTGAGAACTATTTAAGTAGTGGAAAACTGCTACTATATTGGGAAAGAATAGCAAGTTTGTAATTTTGTTTTGCCTGGGGAGGCAGACGGACCTTGTCACCTTATATCTTCCCAACTTAGGCAGGAAAAGCCCACAGCTTTACTGTCTATACATGGTGGGTTTGGTTTAGGGTAGGTGGTGGAGAAAGTAGAAATTTTAAGGAGGATATTTTGGAAGCAAAGTGATTGTATTAGTCCCTTCTCCATTGCTATAAAGAAATACCCAAGACTGGGTAATTTATAAAGAAAATAGAGGTTTAATTGGCGTATGGTACTGCAGCCTATACAGGAAGCATAGCAGCTTCTGGTTTGGGGGAGGCCTTAGGAAACTTACAATCATGGCACAAAACAGGAGGAGTGAGGCATCTCACATAGTGGAAGCAGTAGCAAGAGAGAATGAAGGGAGGTGCTACACACTTTTAAACTAGTGGATCTTGTAAGAAGTCACTCACTCACCATCATGAGTACAGCACCAAGGGGATGGTGCTAAACCATTCATGAAGGACCCACCGCCATAATCCAGTCACCTCCCACCAGGTCCCACCTCCAACATTAGGGATTACAATTCAGCAGGAGATTTGGGTGGGGACACAGCTCCAAACCATATCAGTGATATAGTTCTGATGTTTGTCTCCTTTAAATCTCATAAAATAATAAAATATAATCCCCAATTTACAATAATAAAATGTAATCTCCAATTTTTGAGGTAGAGTGTGGTGGGAGGTGTTTGTGTCAGGGGGCAGATCCCTCATGAATGTCTTGGTGCTGTCCTCATGATCATGAGGGAATGCCTATGAGATCTGGTTTTTTAAAAGTGTGTAACACCTCTCCCCTCTCTCTCTCATCCCTGCTTTCACCATGTGAGACACCTTGCTCCTTCTTTGCCTGCCACCATGATTGTCAGGTTCCCAAGGTCCTTACCAGAAGCCAAGCAAATGCTGGAGGCTTGCTTGTACAGCCTGGAGAACCATGAGACAATGAAACTGTATTAGTCTGTTCTCATGCTGTTAATAAACACATACCCAAGACTGGGAAATTATAAAGAAAAAGGTTTAATAGACTCACAGTATCACATGACTGGGGAGGCCTCACAATCATGGCAAAAGGTGAAGGGGGACAAAGACACTTCTTATATGGCATTAGGCAACAGAGCATGTGCAGGGGAACTGCCCTTTATAAAACCATCAGGTCTTGTGAGAGTTATTCACTATCACAAGAACAGGACAGGAAAACCCCGCCCCCATGATTCAGTTAATTCCCACCAGGTCCCTTCTATGACACCTGGGGATTATGGGAGCAACAATTCAAGATGAGATTTGGGTGGGGACACAGCCAAACCATATCATTCTGTCCCTGGCTGCTCCCAAATCTCATGTCCTCACATTTCAAAACCAAGCCTTCCCAACAATCCCCCAAAGTCTTAACTCATTTCAGCATTAACTGAAAAGTTCAAGTCCAAAGTCTCATCGGATACAAGGCAAGTCCCTTCCACCTATGAGACTTTAAAATCAAAAACAAGTTAGGTACTTCCTAGATACAATGGGGGTACAGGCATTGGGTAAATACACCCATTCCAAATAGGAGAAATTGGCCAAATCAAAGGGGCTAAAGGCCCCATGCAAGTCTGAAATCCAGCAAAGTAGTCAAACCTTAAAGCTCCAAAATGATCTCTTTTGACTTCATGTCTCACATCCAGGTCATGCT
Organism: Homo sapiens; assembly: GCF_000001405.40. Taxonomy (NCBI): domain Eukaryota; kingdom Metazoa; phylum Chordata; class Mammalia; order Primates; family Hominidae; genus Homo; species Homo sapiens. The sequence continues at coordinate 83,032,298 of NC_000006.12, read as the reverse complement.
GATGCAAGAGGTGGGCTCCCATGGCCTTGAACAGCTCTGTTCCTGTGGTTTTGCCGGGTACGGCCCCACCCAGCTTCTTTCATGGGCTGGTGTTGAGGTACTGTGGCTTTTCTAGGCATACGGTGTAAGCTGTCTATGGATCTATCATTCTGGGGTCTGGAGGATTGTGACCCTCTTCTCACAGCTCCACCAGGCAGTGCCACAGTGGGGACTCTACATGGGAGCTCCCACCCCACCTTTCCCTTCTGCACTGCCCTAACAGAGGTTCTCCATGAGGGCTGCGGCCCTGCAGCACACCTCTGCCTGGACATCCAGGCGTTTCCATACAGTCTCAGAAATCTTGGTGGAGGTTCCCAAACCTCAACTCTTGACTTCTGTGCACCCACAGGCTTGTCACCACATGGAATTTGCCAAGGTTTGAGGCTTGTACCCTCTGAAGCCGGGGCCCGAGCTGTACCTTGGCCCCTTTTAGCCATGGCTAGTGCGGCTGGGACACGGAGCACCAAGTCCCTAGGCTGCACACAGCAGGAAACCATTTTTTCCCTCTAGGCCTCCAGGCCTGTGATGGGAGGGGCTGCTGCAAAGGTCTCTGACCTGCCCTGAAGTCACTTTCCTCATTGTCTTAGTGATTTACATTTGGTTCCTTGTTACTTACGCAAATTTCTGCAGCAGTGTAAATTCAAGCAGGCTTGACTGTAACGCCCCATGGAAGTCCGAAATCCAGCAAAGCAGTCAAATCTTAAAGCTCCAAAATGATCTCCTTTGACTTCATGTCTCACAGCCAGATCACACTGATGCAAGTGGCTTGAATTTCTCCTTTGACTTCATGTTTCACATCCAGGTCACGCTGATGCAAGATGCAAGCAGGCTTGAATTTCCCCCCAGAAAATGGGTTTTTCTTTTCTACCTAATCGTCCAGCTACAAATTTTCCAAACTTTTATGCTCTGTCACTTCTTGAATGCTTTACTGGTTAGAAATTTCTTCCGCCAGGCTGGGTATGGTAGCTCATGCCTGTAATCCCAACACTTTGGGAGGCCGAGGCAGGTGGATCACTTGACGTCAGGAGTTCAAGACCAGCCTGGTCAAAATGGTGAAACCTTGTCTCTACCAAAAAATACAAATATTAGCCAGGCATATTGGTGCACGCCTGTAGGCCCAGCTACTTGGGCGGCTGAGGCATGATAATCACTTGAATTTGGGAGGCAGAGGTTGCAGTGAGCTGATATCGCACCACTGCACTCCAGCCTGGGCAACAGAATGAGACCCGGTTTCAAAAAAAAAGGAAGAAATTTCTTCCACCAGATACCCTAAATCATCTCTCTCAAGTTCAAAGTTCCACAGATATCTAGGGCAGGGACAAAATACTGCCAGTCTCTTTCCTAAAGCATAACAAGAGTCATCCTTGCTCCAGTTCCCAACAAGTTCCTCATCTCTATCTGAGACCACCTCACCCTGGACTTTATTTTCCATATCACTATCAGCATTTTGGCCAAAACCATTCAACAAGTCTCTAGGAAGGTTCAAACTTTCCCCCATTTCCTATCTTCTGAGCCCTCCAAGTCTCTAGGAAGTTTCAAACTTTCCCACATTTTCCTGAGCCCTCCAAACTGTTCCAACCTCTGCCTGTTACCCAAATTCCAAAGTCGCTTCCACATTTTCCAGTATCCTTGCAGCAACACCCCACTCTACTAGTACCAATTTACTGTATTAGTCCGTTCTCATGCTGCTAATAAAGACACACCTGAGACTGGGTAATTTATAAAGAAAAAGAGGTTTAATGGACCCACAGTTCCACATGGCTGAGGAGGCCTCACAATCATGGCACAAGGTGAAGGAGGAGGAAAGGCAGGTCTTACAGGGTAGCAGGCAAGAGAGCTTGTGCAGGGGAACTGTCTTTTATAAAACCATCAGATCTCATGAGACTTATTCATTATCATGAGAACATGATATGGGAAAAACATGCCCCCATGGTTTAATTACCTCCCACTGGGTCCCTCCCATGATACATGGCAATTATGGGAGCTACAGTTTAAGATGAGATTTGGGTGGAGACATAGCCAAACCATATCAGAAACGTCTTTTTTTTTTAATTTTAATTACTCAGCCTCAGGTATTTATAGCAATGCAAAAACCACCTGCTGCACAAAGGGTGATAGAAGGGCTGAGATAACTTCTCTGCCCTAACACAACTCTGGCTGACTGCTAAACTCTGCATACACACAAAAAATGGCAGGGAGTATCTATTATATGTATTTTCAGTAAGGATTGAAAGCTTAGGGGGACCTGTGAATTTGCTGTGACTTTGATTGCATTCCTCAATCCACATACAACTTGGGTAGCAGAAGGTAATTTTCGTAAGAAGCCTTACTGGCTTGAGGTGTTTGAGTAGAGCCTTGCCCCAAATTATTTGCTGACAGCTAACCTATGCAGGTACAGTGGATACTTGCTAGGGAGCCAGACTAAAAAAAAATTAAAACTGAGTAGAGACATTAGTGGCTACATACTGTGGGGAGATACATTTCACAGTTCGAGTCCAGGCCAGTCAATTGACTGCTATCCCAACCAATAACCAACAACCTTCAGAAGAGCAACACAAAATCCACAGTTGCTACAACATATTGCACACAATGTCCTGCTTCTGTCTAAAAATTATTAGATGTGCAAAGAAACAGAAAATAATGTTTCATACTCAAGAAAAAAAGGTCTTAATAAGCAGGTACTTAGTAAGCACAGATATTCAATTGAGCAGACAAACATGTGGAAGCAGCTATTATAAATATGGCAAATAACTTTTTAAGAAAAGCTTTGAACAGATAGCAAATCTCAATAAATTAGAAAAATCAAAGAAAAATAATTTGGTAATTCTAGAATTAAAATGTACTGTAACCGTAAAGAAAAATTCACTAGATGATCTAAAGCACAGATCTGAGATGACAAAAGATAAAAAAAATTATTGAACTTACAGATTAATCCAAATTAACCAAACAAAAAAAGTCTAAAACAAAATGAACAGAACTTCCAGTTTGTGGGACAATATCAGGTGTTCCAACAAATGTGTAAATAGGGTCTCAAATAATGAAGAGAAATTGAAAGGGTCAGAAAAAAAATTTATACAAAAAACTGGCTGAAAACTTGGCAAATTATTTTAAAAATATTGGCTTTCAGATCTAAGAATTTCAATGAACCTGTAGTAGGATAAACACAAAAACACTTCACTCAGGCATGTTGTCGTCAATCTGTTGAAAGATTAAGAGAGAATCTTTAAAGTAAAAAGAGAAAAACAAAACCTCATATGTAAGAGATTTCCTAATACAATTAAGGTGAACTTCTAATAGAAATAATGACAACCAAAAGACACTGAAATAAGATATGTGAAGTGCTGGGGGGAAAAAGATGTGACAACCAACAGTACTGTATCTAGCATAACTATCACTCAAAAATGAAGGCAAAATAAGGATGTTTCCAAATAAATACATGGAAATAATGGATTCCTATCGTACCTGCTGTACAAGAAATGATAAAGGAAGTTCTTCAGGCTGACACGAAAGATACCAGATGGTAACTGGAAACTACAGGAAGGAATAAAAATCAGGGAAAATGGAAAATAATGTGGGTAAATTACCAGAAAAGCAGACTCAAAAGAGGTAAGCACAAAATTCAAGCCACATTTTCTTTGCAGTTTGCCCATTCTCTAAAATTAGAACTTTAGTTTCGAGAAGGACAAAAATGAGAGACTACTCAAGAGGAGAACCTCACAAAAATAGGAGACGCTAAATGTTGTGCCCTCACAGTGAGGGTGAATTGGAAATAGAACAGCCCTGTGGAATTGTAGACAGAGATCAATCCTTTGGGACTTGAGGGAATTTCAAGTCTTGAACTTTGTTTATTTCACCTTGTTCTAGACATTTGCCAGGTGCCTGGCAAAATCACCTTTGTAAGGAAATATCTTCATTGTAAAACTCATTCTCACAAATAATTTTTTAGGTATAGTATTCACCATGCAACCAAAGATAAATAGGCACACAAGTAAACTAGACTTCCACCAACAAGAATTAAATCAAATAGACTTCTTATTGGAATTGTGTGTAAACTGTAAAACAACCATGCTTAGCATATTTAGCAAAATGAAAGGTGTGAAGGTAGCTGAAAGGAAAAGGAAACTATAACAGTAAGTTATATAAATTAAACAATAAATTTATACAATAAAATTTCTTAAAAAGTGTTATAATTGATATTAAAAACTCAGCCAGTGGTTTAACACCAGATTAGATACAACTTGAAGAGAGAATTAACGAGCAAAAGATAGATGACAAGAAAAACCTGCTGTGTAGCACAGAGAGACAAAAGGCAAAAAATATAGAAGAGAGAGTAAGAGACGTAGAACAGACTATCTGATGTATGTTTAATCAGACTTCCAGGAGGAAAAGAATGGAGCATGGGCAATATTTGAAGAGATAATTGTTGAGAATTTTACAAAAGTGATGAAGAATAGCAATCTATAGATTCAAGGGACCCAGTGAATTCCAATTCGGCAAAGCCCTAGCAAGAAAAATAAAAAGAAATCCATACTTAGACACATGCGAGTAATACTGTAGAATAAAAAGTGAAGATAATCTTAAATGCAGCTAAAGAAAAAATGACAGAGTGCCTTCAAAGGAACAGCAGTAATGGAAGTCTGAAGACGGTAGAACAATATTGCCAATGTGTGCAAATAACTGTTGATCCTAGGACTTAATCTCAAGTGAAAATTTCCTTCAAGAATTAAGGCTAAGATAAATATGTTTTCTGACAAACACAAACTAGGTTAATCTAGGTTAATTCAATACTAGTGGTTTCTTTTTTTTTTTTTTTTTTTTTTTTTTTGAGACGGAGTCTCGCTCTGTCGCCAGGCTGGAGCACAGTGGTGCGGTCTTGGCTCACTGCAACCTCCGCCTCCTGGGTTCAAGCGATTCTCCTGCCTCAGCCTTCCAAGTAGCTGGGATTACACACATGCACCTCCACGCCCGGCTAATTTTTGTATTTTTAGTAGAGATGGGGTTTTACCATGTTGGCCAGGCTGGTCTTGAACTCCTGACCTTGTGATCCTCCCGCCTCAGCCTCCCAAAGTGCTGGGATTACAGGCGTGAGCCACTGCGCCCAGCCCATAGTGGTTTCTTATGAAAAGAAATTGTACCTGTACTCAGGTAGAAGAAAATGATCCCACATAGAAGATCTAAGTTCAATAAGGGTTGATAAAATCGTGAATATTCACATAACACTTAAATGAATATTAACTATAAAACAATAGAAATAATACTTGTGGGATTAAAATAATATAATTAAATTTTAGATTAACAACACATGAAATAAAAAGGGTCACTTCTGCTTTGGGAGGCGGAGATGAGAGGATCCCTTGAGACCGGCCTAGGCAACATAGTGAAACCTGGTCTCTACAAAAAATTAACTGGGCATAGTGGTGCATGCCTGTAGTGCTAGCTACTCAGGAGGCTGATGCGGAAGGATCACTTAAGCCCAGGGGTTCGAGGTACAGTGAGCTGTGATCACACCACTGCACCCTAATTGGGCAACAGGGCAAGACCCTGTCTTAAATAAGTAAATAAATAAATACATAGGCATTTCATAAAGTTAAAAAGGTTTAGTTTAGTCCTGCGTGTAATAACGATTTCAAAATAGTAAATATTGACACATCTTCAATGATAAATGGGTAAATCTGTCATGGCTGTCTATATATTAATCTATGAAACCATTTATTTTTTTTACCTTTCTGTGTGTAATATTGAGCAATTACACACTTTTTCAAAAAATAACTTTGTCTTATTAAAAGTTGTTTGACAACACTATTTTATTTTATTTTTTAAGAGATGGGATCTTACTCTGTCTCTCAGGCTGGAGCGCAGTAGTTCATTGAAGCCTCAGACTTCTGGGCTCAAACAGTCCTCTTGCCTCAGCCTCCCGAGTAGCTGGAACTACAGGCACATGCCACTCTGCCTGGCTAATTTTTAAAAGAATTTTTTGTAGAGACAGGCTGTCACTTTGTTGTCCAGAATGGTCTCAAACTCCTGGGCTTGAAGTGATCGTCCTGCCTTGGCCTTCCAAAGTGCTGGGATTAAGTATGAGCCACTGTACCTGGGCAACACCACCATTTTTAATGACAGCCTCATTTTTAATTATTTCTGGTTTGAATTTGACCTATTTAAAATTTGAAACATGCATGCAGTTATGTTGCCTGAATATTTAACCCATCCTCAATTTTTAGACATTTGTTTTCAGTATTTTTCTATTGATATTATGAGTATCACTATAGATAAGTGTTTTCATATACCAGTGAGTATTTTTTTGAAATAAATTCTTATATGTTTAATTATGGTGCCACAATACATACACAATTTTTCTTTTTTTTTTTTTTTTTTTTTTTAAGATGGAGTCACGTTCTGTCGCCCAGGCTGGAGTGCAGTGGCACGATCTCGGCTCACTGCAACATCTGCCTCCTGGTTTCAAGCAATTATCCTGCCTCACCCTCCCGAGTAGCTGGGACTACAGGTGGGAGTCACTGCGCCCAGCTAATTTTTGTATTTTTAGTAGAGACAGGGTTTCACCATGTTGGCCAGGCTGGTCTCAAACGCCTGACCCCAGGTGATCTGCTCGCCTCAGCCTCCCAAAGTGCTGGGATTACAGGCGTGAGTCACTGCACCCAGCCCTACATATACAATTTTAAGGCCTTTGCCAAGTGGCTTTCCGGAAGTCTGTCATTTTCTGTTCTCACAGCAGTGTGTGAATAAGCATATCCATCTATATAAATAAGCGTATCCAGCAGTACACCTTATCATTTTAAAATATTTTGTTTGATGCAAAAAAAAAAAATCTTATTTTGATGTACATTTTCTTCATCGTTAGTGAGATTAAACTTTTTCTTAGATTTTTTTAGAACTCCAAGATGATTGTGTTTACATTTATGTCTATTAAATTTCTATTTAAATTTTTCTGTAAGCAATCAGATAACCAGATTTAGTGAGAATTGTATATCAATAGAGTCATTGAGATTCTGGGTAGATTCTAATGTGAGGTTCACCGCATCTGTGTTTTGGGATGCTGTGATTAAAAACCCCTTTTCAGGTAGGAGCACTGGAACATCAAAGGCAAGGTAGGTGTGGTTAGTGTAATGGACAGAAAGCAAGGCAACAATTGGAATAATCTGAGTTATTCAGTTATATGATGTTTGCTAGTTGATCATGGTGTTGTCTAGAAGTGAATTAGATAGCAAGCCTGCTAAAATCTTACTTGATTTGTATAAGAAAGTTCTATGTCAAGTGAATAAAAGTCGAGCTTGAATCATAAAAACAGAGAGTCCTGGCCCCTCAATCAATTCTCACACTTGAGCCTTTGTAGGCCCAGGACCCCTTGAATGAAGGAGAGGACAGATGCCCTCAACGAAAAACGATGCTACCTGAAATTTATACCGTTAATCTTTCTCCCAGGCTTCCACAAAGGGAACCATGGCCTTTCTCAGGGTAACAGTTCCCCATGCGCACTGGGGAAAAGGAAATAATCACACCTTTTAGGGACTGCTGGACACTGGTTCTAAATGAACACCAATTCTAGAAGACCCAAAACATCACTGTGGCCTTCCAATTAGAGTAGGGGATGGGGTCAGGTGATCAATAGAGTTTTAACTCAGGTCCATCTCACGGTGGGTCCAGTGGATCCCTGAATGCTTCCTGTGATTATTCCCGAATTCCAGAGTGCTTAACTCAAATTAACACACTTAGCAGCTGGCAGAATCCCCACGTTAGTTCCCCAAAGTGTGTATTGAGGCTATTATGGTAGAAAAGACCAAGTGGAAGCCATTAGAACTGCCTTTATCTGGGAAAATAGTACATCAAAACCAAAAACAAACCAGAAGTCTTTTTCATTGACTTACAGGTTTGTAGCTATTCTGTAGAATTGAGGAAACCCAGTGACTAATTTCTATCTAAGTGCACTATGCCTGTGATGTGACTAACTTTTATAATCTTCCATATGTGTAAGCAGAGTCTCTGGGCATTATTTTCTAAAAAGACACAGAAGCTTCAGAACTATCTCCTTGTAGTGACCAATGCTTTGTCTTCTGAAACTAAGTAGTTTTGGGAAAATGTTTACAGAATATTAATTTTACCAGTATATTTAATATTTAGTTTGGAATATCCTAATTTGGAGTCAACTTGCCCACAATAAAATTATTAGTGTATTGGGGAGAGTCTTAATTTTCTTTTTTGTTTCTAGAAACCACCAAGTTTTATATGACAGAGATAATTATTCAGTCATCTGAGAGGAGTTTTCCTATCATACCAAGGTACAAATAGCAAATTACATTTATTTATTTGTAATTTATTTTTTTCCCCATTCAGACCTTTATTTTTTATTTTTTGGTTTTGAATTTATTTTTTATTTTAATAGGTTTTTGGGAACAGATGATGTTTGCTTACATGAATAGTGATAATTTCTGAGATTTGGGTGCATCCATCACACAAGCACTGTTCACTGTACTCAAGTGTAGTCTTTTATCTCTTACCCCTCCCCCTGCCTTTTCTCCAAGTCCTCAAAGTCCATTGTATTATTCTTATGCCTTTGCATCCTCATAGCTTCGTTCCCACTTATGAAGGAGAACATACGATGTTTGGTTTTCCATTCCTGAGTTACTTCACTTAGAATAATAGTCTCCAGTTACATCCAGGATGCTGTGAATGCCATTATTTCGTTCCTTTTTGTGGCTAAGTAGTATTCCATGGCATATATTTGTAATTCCAAATGTAGGAAAAAGGAAGTACAATTGATCATATGGGAATTCATTTTTATTCATACCTTTCTTTATTTGGAAAAGGAAAGAGAAAGCCTTTTTGATAGTTGAACCAAACCACACATATAAAAGTTTTGAGGATTTTAAAAAATGTTTTGATCATATAGTGCTGTAGACAAATGTGCTCTTATAAATCTTCTAATTCTGAAAGTTTTCTATGCTTATTTCTATGTGCCAGATATCTAGAATCTTATCACCCAGTCACCAATAAGTTTTTTGAATAATTTCTGGTTTTAATTTGAATTATTTAAAATTTGAAACATGGGTCAGTTTCAAATGACTCCTATGTTTTAAAAACATGGTACTTAGTCACTAAATCTATTAGTGTTTTTATTTCTTTGACTCTTTAGTTTGCAAACAAGTTAACCATGATATGTCTTTATTCCAGTTTATTTGTTGATATCCAAAAATTATAGCAATCTTTGAGTATAGCCTTGAACTTATCCTTATGTAAATACTTTGATTCTGTACCTCAGAGCTGACACTTTAGGGAGATCCAAATGGAAGAAAATGTAGACAATACTGTCTGATGTTTGGAAGGAAATTTCTTGCCTTCTTTTGTAAGTTAGTTATTCTCTGTTTAATATGCTACAGCACAAATGGAGTATTGACTTGTTCTAACATGGTATTTTTTTATTCAGTAGGGGTGAATAGTTAGGTTTGGTGTGGAAAGTGTATCAAGGATTGGAGAATAGGTTTTAAGAAGAATGGAGCAAACCTGAATACATTAAAATATATTAAAATCCACATCAGTGCAGATTCTGAGGGAATGAGCAGTCCGTAGAAAAGTCTGGCATGTGGATATGTCTGCCTTTTAGGTACCGTGTGTGTATTTTTTGCTTATCTTGCCAGTTAGAGTTATTATGAGATACACATTGTAAAAATTGATTTCTGTTCAAACAGGTCTTGGTTTGTCCAGAGCGTGATCGCCCAGTGTCTGGTGCAGCTCTCCTCTGCTAGAAGCACTTTTAGATTCACGATTCAAGGTCAGGATGACAAAGTGTATATCTTGGTAAGAAATTATTTTATCCAGCTTTTTGTAGCCTAGGAATCCAAGGTCTCAGAATTCTTCAGTTTTTTCATCCTTTTTTCTTAATTCTCAGGTGTGGAAAATAAGTGATTAAAAATGTTAATATCAGGCTGGGCACGGTGGCTTATGCCTGAAATCCCAGCACTTTGGGAGGCCAAGGTGGGTGGATCACTTGAGGTCAGGAGTTCGAGACCAGCCTGGCCAACATGGGGAAACCCCATCTCTACTAAAAATACAAAAATTAGCCTGACATGGTGGCCCATGCCTGTAGTCTCAGCTACTCAGGAAGCTGTGGCAGGAGAATCGCTTGAACTCAGGAGGTGGAGGTTGCATTGAGCCAAGATGGTGCCGCTGCACTCAAGCCTGGGTGACAGAGCAAGACTCCATCTTAAAAAAAAAAAAGTTAATATCAGTTTAATTCATAAATCAAACTCCTTTATTTTAATAACAGATGATCAAGTGCCTCTATGTACTAGGTACTACGGATACAGAGAAAAATCCTGATTCCTGCTATTTAGAAGCTCATACCACAAAATCAGGGTTTTTTTGTTTTTTGTTTTTTTTTTGAGATGGAGTATCACTCTGTCGCTCAGACTGGAGTGCAGTGGCGTGATCTCAGCTCACTGCAAGCTCAGCCTCCTGGGTTCATGCCATTCTTCTGCCCCAGTCTCCCGAGTAGGTGGGACTACAGGCGCCCGCCACCACGCCCGGCTAATTTTTTTGTATTTTTTTAGTAGAGACGGGGTTTCACCATGTTAGCCAGGATGGTCTCGATCTCCTGACCTCGTGATCCACCCACCTCGGCCTCCCAAAATGCTGGGATTACAGGCATGAGCCACCACGCCCAGCCAAAATCAAGTTTTTTACTCTCAGTTTGTAATGGCTTTTTTGGGGTCACTATAACACTATTCTGTCCCACTTTTTTTTTTTTCCTATTTAGTACTCTTATGTTTAGAATATGTCCTATTGCTCCTGTTTGTTTTTTGTTTTTTTGAGACAAGGTCTTACTCTATCACACAGGCTGGAGTGCAATGGCATGATTATGACTTAACCATAGCCTCGACTTCCCAGGCTAAAGTGATCCTCCCACCTCAGCCTTCTGAATAGCTGAGACTCCAGGCCTACTCCACCATTCCCAGACAATTTTTAAATTTTTTGTGAAGACGAGGTCTTGCTATGTTGCCCAGGTTGGTCTCAAACTCCTGGGCTGAAGTAATCCTCCCACTTTGGCCTCCCAAACTGTTGGGATTATAGTGGGATTACAGGCATGAGCCACCATGCCTGGCCTTCTTCTGTTGTTTTTAATTGCCTCTGATTCTGTGATATTTGAGAAACAGTGGCAATTTTTGAGGAAGAGGCTCTGTGGCTAGCAATCATCCCAGCATGTACCACTAGAGCCTAATATTACACTACCTCTGAAAAACAGTGTCCTGCAGAAGCAAATTTTGAGCATTTATCTGGATAGTCAAGAATCATAGCCCAAGTATCTTCTCTGCTTCTACATCTATTTTATTCAACCAGTAAACAGGTATGGAGCACTTCTTATATGAAAGACACTGTTCCAGGTGCTCAAGGTAGAACACAAATGCCTTCATGAGACTAAAAAGCTAATAGGGAAACATAGTAACAAAAAGGAGGGAAGGGCCTGAAGTTGCTGTTAGGTGTGACTCTGTAGCTGGCCATCCATTATGGGGACACTATGCTTTTCTAATTGCAGATAATTTCCATGAAAACCTAAAATATTTTCTGACTGATTTTGATAGTAAATATACCTCACAGTTTTCTGAAATCAGTTTTACTTTTTCTTTTATTGTAAGATTTCAGATTGAAGATCGGGAGTAGGAACTTCTGAAACTTTCTAACATATATTTAGATTTTTCTTTTTTATAAAAGTAAAACATTCTTGAAACACAATCAGGGAACATGAAGAACATAAAGTGTTCCCTTTCCTGCCTTGCTATATCATACTATTCAGGGAGCAATCAGTATTAACAGTCTGATATGTGTACTTCATTATTTTTATTCTTTCCATATACAACTATATATATGTACACTCACAGGTGTTTGTCTATTTGTAAAAAAAAAAAAAAAAACAGTATCACATGATTAGCGTTTTTCTGCAACCTGCTTGCTTCACAGTATGTATCATGAGGATTGTTTTTATTAGTTTAAATATAGGTCTGGCTCTTTAATGACTGGAATTTTGCTGTATGGCTGATAAGACTGAACTGCAATGAAAATAATCTTTGCCTGTGTCTTTTAGTACTTCTTTAGAAATGGATCTTTCTAATGTAATATAAGAATTTGTATATTTGAAACTCAGATAATTATCACCTTGCAAAAAAGTTGTACTAATTTATCTTTTATAGTGGGCATTCTTGGTGTGCCACCCAGACCCCATACTGGGTTGATGCACCCATTCCCAGCTGCTGACAGCGTTGGCTGATAATGGCTCACAGCTGCCCGCTTCTCCACAGACTTCCTCTTTAGATGACAGGTGTTGCCTTGCCCAGAAGTTACCTGTCCGCCACAGTCCCTCCCTGACTCACCCCTTCTTGGTCAGCCCGCTGCCAGTGATTTGATCCTGGGGCACAGAAAGCTAGGGACTCTTGTCTCAAGGTAGAACAAACTCTGTAGGTGGGATTCATGCTGTAGAACTCCCCCATGGATCAGGCTGAAACCAGACTCCAGATGATTCTATATCCTTAACTAGCTCTTTCCCCTGCCTTATCCCATTTCCTTCACTTCCTTTCTCCTGTGAGTTTTCCCTCAGTGAATCACATGCATCCAAATCCCAAAACACTCTCCCACCAGCAGTGTATTGGAATGCCCACTTCAAACCCCTTTTCTGAACTAGATGTTATCAGTACTTTTATATTTGCCAATCTGGTAAATGAAAAATGGTGGCACAAAATTTTACATTTATTAGTTACATTAAGATTCTAATATATGTTTATTTATCATTTATTTCTTCTGTTAATTCTGTTCATATTCTTTGCCTGTATTTCTCTTGGGCTGTTTTACCCCCTTACTGAAGCTCTGTATATTATGGATAATAACTTTGTTACTTATGCATATTTTCTCCGAGTCAGTTGTCTTTTTTTTTTTTTAACTTTATGTCAGTTGCTCTACCGAGAGTTATGTTTTGAAAGGCCTACCCAACTTTAAAATTATGTACATGATTCTCATATTTATTTTTTCTGGTATTTTCATAGTCTCTTTTTTGTTTTTGAAAAGTCATAAGATATGGATAAGGTGACAATATTCTTATACTTGGACTTTCTCTTCACATCTTTAGCTATGGCTTTTAAATTCAGACAGTTTGGTGATTGAATCTTTGAGAAATTCCAAATATATCAAAAAATTCCCCTTGTTGGAAAACACATTCAAAGCCGATTCTAGTTCTGCCTGGAGTGCTGTCAAGGTCCTCTACCAGCCATGCATCAAAAGCAGGAATGAAAAGTAAGTTGTGCATTTGTTTTCTCTTTCCACATTATGTTTTAGCTTTTGTTGTCATGTTGGTGTTAAGAAATTAATGAATTAAATGCCACTATACCATTTCCCTACTTGAAGCTTCTAGGAGCCAATACTGCTAAATATTATATGTTTAAAATAGGTTGAATTATTACAGATGATTCATGTTAATATGCAGAAAGCTTGCTTTTACCAAAAATTATTGTTTTTTTCTTGTAATCTAAGCTGTCTGTACATATGGCTGCAGTGCTAAATCAGACTTCAACAGTGATGAATATTTACCAATAAGCACTTTCCAGGCATCAGGATACAATAATGAACAAACCCCAGCCCCTACCTCTTAGCATTGTTGTTCTAATAGGGGGAAGGCAGACCATAAACAAAACAGATTCTTACGTCTCTTACTATGTGTCAGGCACTCATCTAAGAACTCGTAGCTCATTTAAGCCTAACAACAACCTGTGTGGTATGTACCATTATCATCCCCACTTTAAAGATAAGCACACTAAGACACTGGTAGTAAATCACTCTAGTGAAAAATGAAGCAAGGTAAGGTAGTTGGCGAGGGGTAGGATGGGAGTAGGATGTCATTTTATATTGCAAAGTCAGGGAAGATTCTTTAGATAAGGTGATATTTAAGCAGGTAACTTGAAGGAAGTGAAGTGGTGAGCCATATCTGATGGAAGATCATTCCCAGAAAAGGAAACAGCAGGTTATTTTAATTGTAACAGAATCAAAGTTTGTACTTGTCCTGTACTCTTAGATGGGTTTGATCAAATTTATCCTAAGAACGGAAGGGTCTTAGTCTTTTTCTGGAAAGTAAATAAGACATTGAAAAAATTAATTAGGTTTCTTATGCAAGTAGTACCAGTCATAAAATATTCAAACACTAAGAGATATATACAAGGTAAAATTATATCCCGCTCCAGAAGTAAAACGTTTGTTGTCTACTCTTCCACTTCCTTTTCTGTTCATTTTGCACCTAAACATGTGTATTTTTTACACTTAAAAAAAGCCCATGTCTTAGAGATTCTTTCCATTGTGAGTGCTTGACATTTTATGAAATGGAGGTACTATAAATTATTTAGCCAGTTTTCTTTTAATGGATATTTGGTTTATTACTTTTTTGCTGTTATAATTAGTGTTGTGATCTTGTATGTTTGTTTTCTGATTATAAGTTTTTTATATTAGAGGAATTTCTAGAGGTACAATTGTTGAGTCAAAGGGTATGGACATTTAAAATTTTGAGAGGTAATATCAAAGTATTTTGTAAAAAGGCATCATGAATTTATATTCCCACCTGAAGTTTTTATAAATGTCCATTACCCTGCACTCTCACCCAAATTTCCATTTAGATTTTTGCCTATCTGATGTGATTCTAAAGGAAACAGGTTTACTTGACACTATCCTTATATTTTATTGAGACATGTTCAATGGATGCATCTCAGTTTTATGCTTTTGAGACTCTTTTTGAGGGCTTGGGTTTTTTTTTGTGTGTGTGCCCTTATGCATAGTCAACTAGTAAGCTGTACATTGATTATATTCTCTTTTGATGTATGTGTTTGTGTGTATCTTTATATATTTAGGTTTATATCATCAAATTTATTAAAACCCTTTATATTCATCTTTTCTGTTTATTAAAATGTGGACTTTTGTGACAGGTATGTTGAATCTTATATTATGATTATGTAAGTAATTTTCTTCTGTTTTGATACTAGTTTTCACATTATGTATTTTAAAGCTGTGTTATTAGAGGAATAAAAGTTTGTGGCATGACAATGAATTGAATATATTATCAATAGGAGATTTTGCTCTTCTTCAATTTAATGCTAGTTTTTATTTCATTCTAATTTGCTGTGATGGTTAATACTAAGCATCAACTTGATTAGATTGAAGGATACAAAGTATTGGTCCTGGGTGTGTCTATGAGGGTGTTGCCAAAGGAGATTAACATTTGAGTCAGTGGGCTGGGAAAGGCAGACCCACCCTTAATCTGGGTGGGCACCATCTAATCAGCTGCCAGCATGGCTGGAATATAAAGCAGGCAGAAAAACATGAAAAGACTAGATTGGCTTAGCCTCCCAGCCTACATCTTTCTCCAGTGCTGGATGCTTCTTGCCCTTGAACATTGGACTCCAAGTTCTTCAGCTTTGGGATTTGGACTGGCTTCCTTGCTCCTCAGCTTATAGATGGCCTATTGTGGGACCTTGAGATTGTGTGAGTTAATATGATCTTTTATATTATACATATCTTTATATATATGAAGATTTATATATTTATATATGAAGATTTATATATGGCTTTATATATATGAAGATTTATATGCATATATATAAAGATTTACATATATATATGTCTATATATCCTATTAGTTCCGTCCCTCTAGAGAGCCCTGACTAATACAGATTTTGGTACCAGGAGTGGTTCTAGAGGAACAGAATATTAAGGATGGAGTTCTTTTGTTGGTTTTGAGGTTTCTGGAGTTGGCTGTTTAATATGATTACATCCAAAAATGCTAAGGACTCTACTTCTGATAGCATGGAGAATGCTGATAGTCCTTGGCATGAACTGTATAGAGAGTTATGCAAAATACATACATTTGACACTCCTGATTCACCGCTCATGAGAGGCAAGGAGTTTAGTAACTCTATACATAATGCCTTTGGCTGTATTAAGGAACATAATGAAGTTGGTTGGTTGCTCCTAAGTTCACTGGACAAAGTGATGAAAGAAAATGATGAACTCAGGGATTCTAACTCCCAGCTTCAGAAACAGATACTAAGCCTCAAATCTGCTAAGATGGCCTTGAGTGAGAATCTTATCTCCTGTAGAGAAAGAGTTGAAATTGTGGAAAATCAGACAAAAGCTTTTATCATGTGAGTGGCTGACCTGCAATGAAAAGTGTATGCACAGCCTCACCAGGCATCTACTGTTAAAGTGAAGGGATTAATTGGGAAAAAATGGGACCCTGCAACTTGGAATGGGGACGTGTGGGAGGACCCTGATGAAGCTGGGGACACTGAGCTTGTAAACTCCAATGAAACTTTCTTGCCAGAAGAAACAGCTTCCCTACCCCCAGTAGTGGCAATGTCCCCTCCCCAATCCATGCTGTCATCAACCTTTCCACCTTTGTCTGAGAAGATACACCCTTTACTGCCTGAGGCAACAGGCCTCCCCTTATGGCCTCCCCTGAGGCAGTTGCCAGGCAAGATAATGTTGATTCTTCTCAGGAGCCACCCCCAATACCTCTGTTTGCTTCTAGACCTATAACTAGACTAAAGTCCTGGCAGGCCCCTAAAGGTGAGGTTGAGAGTGTGACCTATGAGGAGGTGCGTTACACTCGAAAATAACTGCTTGAGTTTTCTAATGTATATAAACAGAAATCTGGAAAACAGGCATGGGAATGGATACTAAGGGTGTGGGATAATGGTGGAAGGAACATAGAGTTGGATCAGCCTGAATTTATTGATTTGGGCCCACTAAGTAGGGACTCTCCTTTTAATGTTGCAGTTTGGGGAGTTACAAAAGGTTCTAATAGTTTATTTGCTTGGTTAGCTGAAATATGGATTAAAAATGGCCCACTGTGAGTGAGCTGGAAATACCTGATCTCTCTTGGTTTAATGTAGAGGAAGGGATCCAAAGGCTTAGGGAGACTGGGATGGTGGAGTGGATTAGTCTCTCTAGATCTACTCATCCCAGCTGGGAGGTTCCAGAAGATATACCCTTGACCAATGCTTTGTGAAGTAGATTTGTGAAGGCAGCACCTTCATCTTTGAAGAGCCCCGTAATTGCCCTTCTCTGTATATCAGATCTAACAGTGGGAACTGCAGTCACTCAACTACAAAATTTAAATGCAATTGGAATAATTGTATCCCGAGGTGGCAGTGGCCAAGTTGTGGCACTCAGCTGTCAAAGGCAAGGTGGGCATACTACCGTAATGGACAGAAGAGGCAAAGCAGCAATCAGAATAATCTGACTCGTGTCCAGCTCTGGCATTAGCTAATTACGATGTTCCTAGAAGTGATAGGAAGCCTACTGCATTCCTACTTAATTTATATAAGCAGAGAACTTCCAGACTAATTTGAATTATAAAAGCAGAGAATCACAGTCCCTCAATCAATTTCCAGACTTGAGCCAGTTTACAGACCCAGAACCCCTTGAATGAAGGGGAGTCCGGGTCCCCTTGAGGAAGGACCCCTCTACACTACTGACAATTTATGCTGTGAATCTTTGTCCCATCCTTCCCCAAGGAGAAATCCAGCCTTTTACCAGGCTAACTGTTCACTGGGGATAGGGAAATGATCAGACATTTCAGAGACTACTGGACACTGGCTCTGAGCTGACGCTGATTCCAGGGGACCCAAAACATCATTGTGGTCCTCAAGTTAAAATAGGGGTTTATGGAGGTCAGGTAATTGATGGAGTTTTAGCTCAGGTCTGACTTACAGTGGGTCCATTGGGTCCCTAGACTCATCCTGTGGTCATTTCCCTAGTGCCAGAATGCATAATTGGCATAGACATACTTAACAACTGGCAGAACCCCCACATTGGCTCCCTGACTGTAGGGCAAGGGTCATAATGGTGGGAAAGGCCAAATGGAAACCATTAGAGCTGACTCTACCTAGAAAAATAGTAAATCAAAACTAATATTGCATCCCTGGAGGGACTGCTGAAATTAGTGCCACCATCAAGGACTTGAAAGATGCAGGGTTGGTGATTCCTACCACATCCCTGTTCAACTCTCTTATTTGGCCTGTGCAGAAGACAGATGGATCTTAGAGAACGACAGTGGATTATTGTAAGTTTAACAAAGTGGTGACTCCAATTGCAACTGCAGTACCAGATGTGGTTTCATTGCTTGAGCAAATTAACACATCTCCTGGTACTTGGTATGCAGTCATTGATTTGGCAAATGCCTTTTTCTCCACTCCTGTCCATAAGTCCCACCAGAAGCAATTTGCCTTCAGCTGGCAAGGCCAGCAATATACCTTTATTTTCCTACCTCAGGGGTATATCAACTCTCCGTCTTTGTGTCATAATCCTATTTGGAGAGACCCTGATCACTTCCCTTCTGCAAGATATCACACTGGTCTGTTACATTGAGGACATTATGCTGATTGAATCCAGTAATCAAGAAGTAGCAAACACACTGGACTTATTGGTGAGAGATTTGCCTGCCAGAGGATGGGAAATAAATCCGATTAAAATTCAGGGGACTTACACCTCAGTAAAATTTCCAGGGGTCCAGTGGTGTGGGGCCTGTTGAGATATTCCTTCTAAGGTGAAGGAAAAGTTGCTGCATTTCGCCCCTCCTACAACCAAGAAAGAGGCACAACGCCTGGTAGGCCTAGTAAGATTTTGGAGGCAACACATCCCTCATTTGGGTGTGTTACTCTGGCCCATTTATTGAGTTACCCAAAAGGCTGTCAGTTTTGGGTGGAGTCCAGAACAGGAGAAGGCTCTGCAACAGGTCCAGGCTGCTATGCAAGCTGCTCTGCCACTTGGGCCATGTAACCCAGCAGATCCAATGGTGCTAGAGATGTCATTGGCAGTTAGGGATGCTGTTGGAGCCTTTGGCAGGCCCTCGTAAGGGGGCCTCTGCTGTTAGCGGAGGCATCAGGATTTTGGAGTAAGGCCCTGCCATCTTCTGCAGATAACTGTTCTCCTTTTGAGAAACAGGTCTTAGCCTGTTACTGGGCTTTGGTGAAAACTGGATATTTGACTATGAATCATCAAGTCACAATGTGACCTGAACTGACTATCATGAACTGGGTGCTTTTTGACCCATCTAACCATAAAGTGGTCCTGCACAGCAGCATTCTGTCATCAAATGGAAGTGGTATATGCATGATTGGGCTCGAGCAGGTCCTGAAGGCACAAGTAAGTTACATGAGGAAGTGGCTCAAATGCCCATGGTCTCCATTCCTACCACCCTGCCTTCTCTTCCCCAGCCTACACCAGTGGCCTCATGGGGAGTTCCCTATGATCAGTTGACAGAGGAAGAGAAGACTAGGGCCTAGTTCACAAATGGTTCTGCACGATATGCGGGTACCACCTGAAAGTGGACAGCTACAGCACTACAACCCCTTTCTAGGACATCCTTGAATGACAGCAATGAAGGGAACTTTTCCCAGTGGGCAGAACTTGGAGCAGTACACCTTGGATGGAAGGAGAAATGGCCAGATGTGCAATTATATACTGATGCATGGGCTGTAGCCAATGGTTTGACATGGTCAGACATTTGGAAGAAGCATGATTGGAAAACTGGTGACAAAGAAATTAGGGGATGAGGTATGTGGATGACCTCTCTGAGTGGTCAAAAACTGTGAAGATATTTGTATCCCATGTGAGAGCTTACCAACGAGTGACCTCAGCAGAGAAGGATTTTAATAATCAAGTGGATAGGACAACTCATTCTCAGCCTCTTTCCCCAGCCACCCCTGTCATTGCCCAATAGGTCCATGAAGAAAGTGCCCATGGTGGCAGGGATGGACCTTATGCACGGGCTCAGCAACATGGACTTTCACTCACCAAGGCTGACCTGGCTATAGCCACTGCTGAACGCGCAATTTGCCAGCAGCAGAGACCAACACTGAGCCCTTGATATGGCACCATTTTTTGGGGTGATCAGCCAGCTGTTTGGTGTCAGGTTGATTATATTGGACCTCTTCCATCATGGAAAGGGCAGAGGTTTGTCCTCAGTGGAACAGACACTTTGGATATGGATTTGCCTATCCTACACACAGTGCTTCTGCAAGACTCCCATCCGTGGACTCACGGAATGCCTTATCCACCATCATGGTATTCCACACAGCATTGCCTCTGACCAAGGCACTCACTTTATGGCTAAAGAAGTGCAGCAGTGGGCTCATGCTCATGAAACTCACTGATCTTACTGTGTTCCCTATCATCCTGAAGCATAGAACAGTGGAATGGCCTTTTGAAGTCATAATTACAACAGCAAGTAGGTAACAATACTTTGCAGGGCTGGGGCAAAGTTCTCCAGAAGGCCGTGTATGCTCTGAATCAGCATCCAATATATGGTAGTGTTTCTCCCATAGCTAGGATTCACGGGTCCAGGAATTGAGGGGTGGAAGTGGAAGTGGCACCATTCACCATCACCCCTAGTGATCCATCCACTAGCAAAATTTTTGCTTCCTCTTCCCACAACATTGCTTTCCACTGGACTAGAGGTCTTAGTTCCAGTGGGAGCAACGCTGCCACGAGGAGACAAAACAACGATTCCATTAAACTGGAAGTTAAGATTGCCACTTGGACACTTTGGACTCCTCCTACCTTTAAGTCAACAGGCTAAGAAGGGAGTAACAGTGTTGGCCGGGGTGATTGACCTGGACTGTCAAGATGAAATCAGTCTACTACTCCACAATGGAAGTAAGGAAGAGTATGCATGAAATACAGGAGATCCATTAGGGCATCTCTTAGTATTACCTTGCCCTGTGATTAAGGTCAATGGGAAACTACAACAGCTCAATTCAGGCAGGACTAGAAATGACCCAGACCCTTCAGGAATGAAGGTTTGGTTCATTCTACCAGGAAAAAAACCACAACCTGCTGAGGTGCTTGCTGAAGGCAAAGGGAATACAGGCTGGGTAGTAGAAGAAGGTAGTCATCAATACCAGCTACGACCAGGTGACCAGTTGCAGAAACAAGGAATGTAAGTGTCGTGAGTATTTCCTTCTCCTTTTGTTAAAAACACGTTTGTGCATGTATACACTTGTACTAAGAAAATATCTTCATCTTATTTCCTTTTTCCTTTATCATGTGAGATAAAGTTTATTGACTTCATATCAGCTTTTAAGTATTGTTAACTTTATGGAATAGAGGGTTGGGGATTGGTGCATTTCCGTTGTATGAAGGATAGTTGTATTATGTTAGGCGTAATTATGACCTTATTATTGTTTTTATTTGAAGATTATGTATGATCTCAGGAGATGTGTATGGGTTCAAGTTGACAAGGGGTCGACTTGTGATGGTTAATACTAAGTATAAACTTGACTGGATGCAAAGTATTGACTCTGGGTGTGTCGATGAGGGTGTTGCCAAAGGAGATTAACATTTGAGTCAGTGGGCTGGGAAAGGCAGATCTACCCTTAATCTGGGTGGGCACCATCTAATCAGCTGCCAGCATGGCTGGAATATAAAGCAGACAGAAAAAAACATGAAAAGACTAGGCTGGCTTTGCCTCCCAGCCTACATCCTTCTCCTATGCTGGATGCTTCTTGCCCTTGAACATTGGACTCCAATTCTTCAGCTTTGGGACTAGCTTCCTTGCTCCTCAGCTTACAGATGGCCTGTTGTGGGACCTTTTGATCATGTGAGTTAATACTCCTCAATAAACTCCCCTTTATATGTATATATCTGTCCTATTAGTTCCATCCCTCTAGAGAACCCTTACTAATACATTTGCCTGATGGTTAATATTGCTATATTTACTTTTTAAAAAATTGTTCATTTGTTCTTTTTATGTTTATTTTCGCCTGTCTTGTGTCATTTAATCAAGTGTATATTGCATTAAGATATACCTTATGAACTGCGTACAGCTGGATAGTTTAAAACTCCAGTAGGTGAGTCCTTCTATTTTAATAGTGAATTTAATTATTCACATTTATTGTGATTTTGATGAATTTGGACATAGTTTGCTGTCTTTTAGATTGGTTGCCCTCTCTGTGTCATTTCTTTCTTCCAATGATTTGGAAGCAAAAAATAACTTTTTTATTTATTTCAAAATGATTATTCGTGATTAACCTTAAAATTTTAATACACATTTAAATTTACTATTTTTTTAACTGTCAATATTTAGATTTAATTAGTATTCATACTGTTCACTGGAACAAGGAAAGACTTGGAGATTCATGTTTGTCTTCTTGCTCCCTCCCCAACCTCCTCCTATGTTGGATCCTTTGTGATTCTGATGATATGATGGTTATATTTCTTCTTAAAGAAATATTAAGCTGAAGCCCTCCTCCATTTGTCTACTCTCATGCATCATGGCCATGAATGTTTTGTATCTTTATTATAAATACTTCCTTAAAAAAATAGGGTATTATTTGATATTTTCTCTTTTTGTGATTTTTTTCGCTCAGTATTCTTTGTTTGATTTTTTAATGTGATGAAGTATACTCTTTAATACTTCTTTTAACCTTGTACTATAGTCAATCTGTGAATATCTGAAAATTTATTATACCTATTCTGTCTCTCCAAAAACCTTTAGGATTTTCTTTTTATCCTTGGCTAAGATTTTATACAGATGTGTTTAAATGTGAGCGCTCACTCAAAATTTTCTCTTATGTCATAATCTCTTTTTATAGATATAATATTCACTCAATCTCTGTGAGAATAGTATTTCTACTTAAAGTCTTGTTTTTTCTCTATTAATGTTTTCCTTGGGTGTTGGCTCTTCTGTTTTTGAAAACAAAGGTTAAGTTTGGTACCTCTCTTTCATGGTGGTGCATTTCCCAAATATTTGATTATTTCACTGGAATTCCTGCCCTGAAATGTAAACTTCATGTGAACCAGGGCCATCTCTGTCTTGCTCAGCTAGATGAGTACTTATAAAAGTGCTCAAAGCATACAATTAATGTTTATGCAGTGGTGCATGGTTTTCTGCTTATCTTTGTAATATTTGGTAATCATTATTTACCTATTGGTAACTGTAGGTTCTTGTTACCATAGCCTGCCTGTATGGATTAGTGAAAGATAACTCACAGGGTATACTAGCATGGATGTACCAGTTTGTCTTTTGACAACTTTCAAGTATTAAGAAAAAGGAAGTGGTTATTTTGCTGATTTTTATATTCATTATATGTAGAATCTTTACCTTTCCTTTCTTGAAGAGTATTATAAGAATTTGATGCACCTGCCTTATTACTTCACTCATTCTTAACACATTCCTCTGACACTGGAAATATTGTGACTATAGTCATATGTGTTCTCTTGTATTCAATTAGTAGGTTTTTTTAAACTCCAAATGTCTTAGGGACAAGTTGACATCTAATAAATTAGTTTGGTTACTTTAGTTTGCCTGTTGCATGTAACTACTTTTGTTTTATTTTTCCTCCTGCTGTTGTTTGACTCTCTGCCCCCGAGGTAGGAAGAGAAGTAGGTAAACATGCTGTGAGTTATTTACTTTGTCATTTAAGGACATTAGTGTCTTTCTTTTTGGGTGTGACTGAACAAGCTGTAGACTTCCTGGCATATTTTTGGCACATGGGGTGGTGTATTAACTATTTTAGTCCAATTGGCTAGAACTTTTTTCTAATGGAAGTGTGGATTGCCAGATGGTAGTCTAAAAGAGGAAAATAGAAAATGTAACTATGGTTTTATTTCCTTGAGCATACACAAAAAAGTGGCATGTAATATTTTTAGAGTGTTCCTTCTTTCTAGCAATAGATACACATCTCTCTCAACACTTTGAAGTGTATTGTTTTTCATCCTCCCCTCCTGCCCACTTCAGCCAGCGTTTCACATCTTGGTGAGCAACAGCGGTTTTTTTTACTGCTCCACAATTTTGTATTGGGGAAATAATTTATTTCATATATCACATTTTTTAGTTTGTTTATCAGCATTTAGATGCTAAATATTAACTTTTTGGCTTTAGACTCTATATTAACTTCTGTAGTTTAAGTCTGCCAATTCATCAGTTCACCTGTGGCCTCATGTGTAGACTGGGAGTAATTTAGCCTCACAGGAGACATTTGGCAATGTCTGGAGACATTTTTAGTTGTCACAACTTGGGGAACTACTGGCGTCTAGTAAATAGGGATGCTCTTAAGCATCCTACAGTACACAACAAAGAATTTTTCAACCCCAAATGCCAATAGTGCTAAATTTGAGAAACCCTAATCAAGACATCTGAAATCAAACTGTGTCTGCCTTTTCCCTCAGTGTGTTATATAACCCACGATTTTCTTGAAATTGTATTTAGGCCAGCAAATAAGAAAATCTTACTATCACATGAGCCAAAATTTCTTTTTTCTTATATTTTTTACTTTTTTTGAGACAGGGTCTCACTTTGTCACCCAGGCTGGAGTGTAGTGGGTCAATCTCGGCTCACTGCAGCCTCAATCTTCTGGGCTCAAGTGATCCTCCCACCTCAGCCTCCCAGGTAGCTGGGATTACAGGTGTACATCACCATACCTAGCTACTTTTTGTATATTTTGTAGAGATGGGGTTTTGCCATGTTGCACAGACTTATCTCGAACTGCTGGGCTCAAGTGATTCACCCACCTCAACATCCCAAAATGTTGGGATTACAGGCATGAGCCACCGTACCCGGTGAGCCAAAATTTCTATTAAATATAATCCACTTTAACTTTGTTAGGATAAACAGAATAAGTGACAAAAAATATAAATGTTTATGTCATACTTCTCTTTTTCTGTTTTGGAAATATGAAGAGTAGATTTGTTTTTATTAAATACTGGTGAAGAATTTCATAGTTATCAAGCTCCTTGTTTTTGTATTTTTAGGAGAAAAAGACTTAGGAGAATACAATTAGTAGGGAGTAAAGAAGTGTTTTTTATTTAAGCTAAAATTGAATTCTCTTCACTTTGTAAGTTACATGAGTCCTAGTATTGGTATTGGTAGTGGTTCTTCCCACCTTTTTGAAAGGATAAAATATCTAACTTAGGAATGTGGAAATTTGAGCTGAGAAGAACAATTCTACATTTGACTATTATTAATATTTTCTCACAAAATATATTGAAGGAAAAATGATGATGAAATGTTATCTTCAGCTTTAGTAGAATATAGAGACTAAACTATAAACTAATTTGGTTTCTTTATTTTGCTACATATTGCTAAATATTGCCTCTAAAATAGATGTGTTGTTTTAGCTTTAGACAGTTTAAAAAATGTTATTTTTTCCCAATGAAATAAAAACAAATGTAACCACACCCATATATATTTCATAGTCCTAGAATAGTATTAGTAGTTGTCTTTACTTGTAAACTAGTATTTCCTTATCTTTTTTTCTTTATTTCAGCAGGAAAATTGAAACTCTACTTAATTTTAAAAATTATGTTTAAAAACACATAACACAAAATTTACCATTTTAACCATTTTTAAGTGTATATTTTGGTAGCGTTAAGTATATTCTATTGTGAAACAGATCTCCAAAACATTTTTATCTTGCAAATCTGAAACTCCATACTCATTAAACCACAACCCTCTTTCCCACTCACCCCAGCCTCTGGTAACCACCATTCTACTTACTACTTCTATGAATTTGACTATATTATAGTTGACTAGAGCTGCCATAGCAAAATACCACAGACTAGATGCCTTAAACAACAGACATTTATTTTTTTCTGGAGGCTAAAAGTCTAATTTTAGAGGGTAAAAGTCCAAGATCAAGGGTTGGTTTCTCGTGAGGGCTGTCTTCCTGGCTTGTAAATGGCTGTTTTCTCTCTGTGTCCTTGCATGGCCTTTCCTCCTGCACATGTCAAAGGAGAGAGAGATCTCCTGTGTCTCTTCCTCTTCTGGTAAGGACAGCAGCCCTATCAGATTAGGGACCCATCTTTATGACCTCATTTAATCTTAATGACCTCCTATCTCCAAATACAGGGACATTGGGGTCCTATCTCCAAATACAGGAAAAGCAGGGTCCTATCTCCAAATACAAGGACATTGGGGTTAGGGCTTCAACTTCTTAATTTGAAGGGACACAATTCAGTCCATAACATTGGCTACTTTTTTTTTTTTGTTTGTTTGTTTTTTGAAACAGAGTCTCACTCTGTCACTCAGGCTGGAGTGCAGTGGTGCTATCTCTGCTCACTGCAACCTCTGCCTCCCAAGTTCAAGTGGTTCTCCTGCCTCAGCCTCCCAAGTAGCTGGGATTACAGGCGTGAGCCATCATGCCTGGCTAATTTTTGTATTTTTAGTAGAGACGGGGTTTCACCGTGTTGGCCAGGCTGGTCTCAAACTCCTGGCCTCAAGTGATACACCCATCTCAGCCTCCCAACGTACTGGGATTATAGGTGTGAGCCACCGTGCCTGGCCAACATTGACTACTTTTTGATATCTTGTGTAAGTAGAATCACAGTGTTTGTCTTCTTGTGACTAGCTTATTTCATTTAGCATGATGTCCTCAAGTTTTATTCACATAGTAGTATGTGACAGGATTTCCATCCTTTTAAAGGCTGAATATCATTCCATGGTATGTATATATCACATTTTGTTTATCTTTTCGTCTGTCAGTGGACATTTCGGTTGCTTCTACCTCTTGGCTATTTTGCATAGTGCTGCTATGAACATTGGTGTGCAAATATCTCTTTGAGGCCCTGTTTGCAATTCTTTTTTTTTTCTTTTAATTAAAAAAAAAAATAGAGACCGCACCTTACTATGTTGCCCAGGCTGGTCTTAAACCCCTAGTCTCAAGCAATCCTCCAGCCTCAGCCTTCCAAAATGCTGAGATTATGTGCCTGAGCCACCATGCTCAGTCTCAATTCTTTTGGATATATATCTAGAAGTGGGTTTGCTGGATTATATGATAGTTCTATTTTTAATTATTTGAGGAACCTTCATACCGTCTTTTATAGCAGTTGCAGCATTTTACAATCCTATCAAAAGTACACAAGCAGTCCAGTTTCTCCACATCCTTGCTAGCGCTTGTTATTCTGTTTTTTTTTTTAATAATAGCCGTCATAATGGATGTGAGGTGATATCATTGTGGTTTAATTTGCATTTTTCTGCTGATTAGTGATATCGAGTATCCTTTCGTGTTCGTTGGTTATTTGTATATCATTTTTGGAGAAATCCCTGTTTAAGTCCTTTGCCCCTTTTTAATCAATTCCTTTTAATTTGTTATTGAGTTGTAGGAATGCTTTATATTCTGGATAATAATCCCTTATGAGATGTATGATTTGCAAATATGTTCTCTCATTCTGGAGTTTGCTTTTTCACTTTGTTCATTGTGTCTTTTGATGCACAAAGGTTTTTAAGTGTGAGATAGTCCCATTTCTCTATTTTTGCTTTTGTTGCCTGTGCTTTTAGTGTCATTTCCAAGATATCATTGCCAAACTCTGCTTAATTCTGATACTCTGCACCTGATGTGGCAGAGACTGTCATTGCCTGAAATAAATTTGGAAATTAAATTAGGTGGTTTTGAGAAGATTTAGAGGAAATTGTCTTTTTGGTTGATTAAAAACAAAAGAAACAAAGGTTAATTATACTGATTTTATATCCAGCAGAGTATCTAAGACTATTATTTAATAGTTGTGTAACCTGCTAAAACAATTTATGCTAACTTATTTGAATAGTGTGTGAATATGATGCTAGAGTAAATGAATGAATGAATTGACAAGTGTCACCAAATCCTAAAGAACATTATTATTAAACAAAATTATTAAACAATCTCAAGTAAGTGTTTATTCCACTTCCCACTTAGGAGTCACAAGGTGACATTGTCAGTGCATCCCAATTGGGTACACTGACTTTGCAGTGTGGGATATACTTAAACTTCAGAAATGAATGTTCAAGTCTTACATTTTACAATTGAGAAATCTGAGTACAAAAAAGAGAAATAACTTCAGTTAGTCAGTATGTTACTGACAAAACCAGAATTAGAGTTGGGTTGTCCTGATTTCAAATTCAGTGCTTTTCATTGTATCGTGTAGTCTCTCACCATAAAATATTAGGAGATGTGAAAAGGCCACTGTGAATGTATATTTTTCCTCAAGAGAAATTCTCCTGGTAGTTTAGAATGTGTCAGACTTTTGATTACTCCCCAAAATGTATTGTTTGCTATACTATATTCAGTGAAATTTATGCCTCTTAATCTGTAACATCAGTAGCAGAAACTTCTGATTTACAGTATGTTCATATCTGATGTTATAGATCAGAATTTATGGGTACAAATGTGGTTTTCTTTAGAAGTCCAATGCCTTAGCTCCTTAGAACAAGAATCCATTGAATGGAAATTACTCTAAAGATACAGAGAAGTAGTTAGGTGCCTATGGAAAAATATAAATGCATCATTTGAAATCACTTTTCACATATTTGTCTGTTAGTATTATCACCAAAATGTGTACATCTAGGGACCATTCATTATTAAGCAAATTAAGCACATACTTCTTTCATTTGTAAATGGCAAATATCTCCTTTAGACTTGTAAGTACAGTCATGAACTGCACAGTGACATTGCAATGACAGACTGCATATATGGCAGTGGTCCCATAAAATTATAATACTCTATCTTTCCTGTACCTTTTCTGTGTTTAGATATGTTTAGATACATAGATAATTACCATTGTGTTACCATTGCCTACAGTATTCAATGCAGTAATGTGCGCTATGGGTCTGTAGCCTAGGAATAATAGACTGTATCACTTAGGTTTGTCTGAGTACACTCCATGATGTTCACACAAAGACAAAATTGCCTAATAATGCATTTCTCAGGATGTATGCACGTTGTTAAGCGACACATGACTGTACAATGGCCTAAACTAAAACTTGTTTTATTTGAAATTCGTATACTATCCATGAATCCAGTAGTAATCATAAAAGAAGAGACAGAAAATAAGACGTATAATAAAAGTCAGCTTTTTTTTTTACTAGAAATAACAGGTGTCCTATGAAAAGCAGTTATTCTCTTCAGATTGCTTCCTTGAGGAGAATCTGGTTTCCTTCTTTTGATGAAAAAATATGAGACAAGTATAATCATGATCTGTGAGAATACAAATGGCTTGGGGACTGGGATTGGGTAGAGGATGGAAGGGAAATCTGTAAATAAAATTGTTTCTTCTCTGTTCTATGTTTTCTAATCGTATGTGAGATAGTTTTATAAGTCAGACCTGAAGTAGTTGTCTTAACCTTTCATATGAGAAAGGTCTAAGTTTTTCTTTTTTCTCTTTTTTATTACCTCCTGCTATACTTGCTACTGTATTAATAAGTGATTTTGAAGCAGGAGAACAAAGATTTTGCCAAACAGGAACTTACAGTCACGTTAAGGCAGCATGGTAAATACACCCCCAGAATTTATTCAAAAAACCAAAATCTATATAAATGCTAATGTCTTAGTCTGTTGTGCCGCTATAACAAAATACCTGAGACTAGATAATTTATAAACAACAGAAATGTATTTATCTGGATTCTGGAGGCTGGGAAGTCTAAGATCAAAGTGCCAGCAGGTCTGATGTTTGGTGAGGGCCCCATGTCTGCTTCCAAGATGGTGCCTTGTTGCTATATCCTTACAGGATAGAAGGGATGGAAGGCCAAAAGGGCCCAGCTAGCCCCCACCAGCCTTTTGTTTGTTTGTTTGTGACGGAGTCTCACTCTGTCGCCCAGGCTGGAGTGCAATGGCGCAATCTCGGCTCACCGCAACGTCTGCCTCCTGTGTTCAAGTGATTCTCCTGCCTCAGCCTCCCAAGTAGCTGGGATTACAGGTGCCCGCTACCACGCCCAGCTAATTGTTGTATTTTTAGTAGAGACGAGGTTTCATCAGGTTGGCCAGGTTGGTCTCGAACTTCTGACCTCAGGTGATCCACCCACCTTGGCCTCCCAAAGTGCTGGGATTACAGGGGTGAGCCAACACGCTTGGCCCACTAGCCCTTTTAAAAGGTGCTAATCTCATCCATGAGGGCAGAGCCATCATGGTCTAATCACCTCTCAAAAGCCCTACCTCTAAATACTGTTGCATTGGAAATTAAGTTTCAAAATGACTTTTGGAGAGGCCACAAACATTCAAACCACAGCATCTACGGAACAGGTTTTCATGGAGAACAGTATTCTTTTGCTGAATTAAAGAAAATAGAACAAAAGGTAGAAAGTACTGTCCCCCACTCCACCCCTATTCCAGGAAAAACTGAAAAGAGCTGGGCAGCAAAAGCATCCACATGTTCAAATAGTGGATTCTAGCTAATGGGAGAGTATGTGGCTTCCAGAGGGCTTGGGAAGGTGGGGTGGGGGTCAGACACCTACTGTAGAGATGCTCACATTTATTTCTTTCAAATATTAGTCTCTACTCAAGAGGGTTTTTTGGAAGAAAGGGTTCCACAGCTGAAAAAAAAAATTAAGAATCACTGTGATATGAGGTGATATTTAAGAATCTCTGTGATACGCGTTTCACCAGATTGTGCTTGAATCCACTGGGTTATGGCAAAGTTATGACTTGGAAAGCAACTACACTGAATTTCTAATTGTTAGAATGGTCTTCCTTTTATTTGAGAGAAATCTGCTTCCTAGACACTCTTCCAGAGCTGCTATTTTTTGAATATGATAGCTCTTCAGAGATTCAGGTAACCTGCTACTCTCTCCAGGCCAAACATTCTCAGATGGAGTGGCTTCAAGCTTCCCTTTCCTTGTAGTCCTTCCGCTTTCCTGTTACCATCTTGATTGCCTGTAAGAAGATATTGCCCAGCATCCTGTTAATTTTGTGTAGTAAGAGGTGAACTGGAGAGAAGCTAAAGCTAAGGCTACATCCTACAAGGCTGCTGTAGGAAATTTATATATAAAGGGATAAGGCATTTTCAATGAAACTAGACAAAAGAAGCTGAATTGTAAGAATCCATAGAATCTGGACAACTAATAGAAAAGTTTTCAACTTCAGGTATTAGAGAAGGTCATTGATTCGTTCAGCAAATACTTATTAAATGTGTACTCTTGTGCTAGGTATTAGGAATTTAATATTGAGCTAAAAGAGACCTTGTATCACAGACTTATTACAATCTAGCAGGAAAAATAAGTAAATGTAAAACTGCAAACTGATCAGTGCTATGATGAAGAGATAAATGGTGCTATGAGAACAAATCAGAGAGAGACCAACTGGGTCAGGATAGGAGTCCATGAAGAACTGATGCTTGGGCCGGGCTCAGTGGCTCACGCCTGTAATTCCAGCACTTTGGGAAGCCAACGCTGGCAGATCACCTGAGGTAGGGAGTTCGAGACCAGCCTGACCAACATGGAGAAACCCCATCTCTACTAAAAATGCAAGATTAGCCAGGTGTGGTGGCACATGCCTGTAATTCTAGCTACTCAGGAGGCTGAGGCAGGAGAAACACTTGAACCCAGGAGGCGGAGGTTGCGGTAAGCCGAGAGCGCCCCATTGCACTTCAGTCTGGGCAACAAGAGCGAGACTCCGTCTCAAAAAAAAAAAAAAAAGAATTGATGCTTGACTGCTGCCTGAAGGAGGAGAAGGAGTTTACTGTGAAGAGCTTCTAGGCAAGGGGTGGGAGGCAGTACAGTGAGTACAAGGGATGGGAAGGTCAGGGTGGCTGTAATAGAGAGAGAGAGAAACAGGCATAGAGTAGGGAAGAGACAGACCAACTCAGGGACCCAAAGGGACTTGAAAGAATTTAGTCTTTATCCTAAGAACAATAAGAACCGATTGAACATTTTATCCAGAGAGAAGCAAGAGGTGGTTTAATTTAAGCTTCAGGAAGATTGTTCTGGCAACCATCTAGAGAATAGTTGGATTTGGGTAGATCAGATAGGAAGCTATTGCAGTAGCCTAAGAGAAATTATTTTAGTTTGGACCTGGGTGATGGTAGCTGCAATAGATTTGAGAGATACTTAGTAAGTAAAATTGCATACTTGATGATTGATTGGATTTGAGGAATGGGCCACTATATACTGGGATAGATAATATTGGAAGAAGATAAAGTTTTGGGAGAAGATAATTGGTTCACTTTTATACATGTTGAGTTTGAGGTGCATTTGAGTTGTTCAAGAGAGAATAGCAAATAGAATGTTAATATATAGACCTGGGGTTCAAATAAAAGGTTGGGGCTGGATTTGTAAATTTGTGAGTCATCTGCATATTGGTTGTAATTGAAGCCAATGGCATGGGTAAGATTATTTAGGAAGAAAGAATGGAAGACAGAGCAGTGAAGAACTCCCACATTTATAGGCTAATTGAAGGAGGGTGAGTCTGGAAAGGAGATAGAGGAGTGGTGAGACAGGAGGAAAACAACAGTATTGCTTTTTAGAGGCTAAGGGAGGAAACTGCTTTAAGAAGGAGAAAGTAGTCAAACGCTGCTGAGAGAGAGGTCAGGTAAGATGTTGAATGTAAAACATGCATTGGATGTAGATTACAAAGGTTATTAGTGACTTTTACAGGAATTATCTTGGGTGCCTGGGATGAGAGCTGGGGTGGAATGGGTGAGCAGTGAATGAGAGGTGATATGACAAACAGTAAGTGTGGACCACTGTTTCAGGAAGTTTGGCTGTGAACGGCAGAACAGAGAGGAAGGGGATGGGAAGCTGACTTAAGGTAGGCAGGTGGGGTTAGACTGACTTGAGTCCATTTAAAAGCCAACAGGGGGCTGGGTGCAGTGGCTCATGCCTATAATCCCAGCACTTTGGGAGGCTGAGGTGGGTGGATCACTTGAGGTCAGGAGTTCAAGACCAGCCTGGCCAACATGGTGAAACCCCGTCTCTACTAAAAATCCAAAAATTAGCTGGGTGTGGTGGTGTGCACCTATAGTCCCAGCTACTTGGGAGGCTAAGACAGGAGAACCACTTGAACCCAAGAGGCAGAGGTTGCCATGAGCCTAGATCGCGCCACTGCACTCCAGCCTGGATGACAGAGTGAGCCTGTCTCAAAAAATATAAAAGCCAACAGGGAAGGTCCTGTTGAGAAGAGGTTGATTACACATGAGAAAGAAGGTATGACTGATGAGGCAGGATTCCAGGACAAGATGGAAAGGTCTGGTATCTCAAGCTCTGGTGGACCGACCAGCCTCAGGAGCAGGATAGCTCTCCTTTTGTAACAGGACAGAAGGAGATCAGTATTGGAGTGGCTGGAAAAGATTTGCATATAGGTTTTGAGAAGATGAAATACTTGTCCTCTGATGGCTTCTGTTTTATCTGTAAGATAGGAGTAAAGAGGGAGGAGGCACAAGAGGGAGAAGGGATAACGGTAGTGGACGGTTGCAGATTTGAGGAGAATGGAGAAGATTTAAAATGGTCATTTGGAAAGGAGATGAGTGAGATGACCAGAAATGTGTGGACTTGGTAGGCATAGTTCATTGCCCATTTGAGGTTCATGATCACAAATTCATAGTGATATTAACCTTTCTTATGCTGTGACATTTTCCAGCTTATCATCTACTAAGCACAAGCACAGAGAAAGCGGACAGTTGAGTTCATCAGGGTTAAAGTTTGGTTGTCCCCATGCAAAGAGTACTGTGTAACTCTTGTATTAAGTATTATTATAGTGATGGACTGTAGAATCTGTGTGGCCTGTTTTAATGACTTAAGAGTTGGAAAGAGGCTATAGTTTTTAATCACTTACTGAAACTTAGATCTGGTAGAAGAGAAAGCTTTTAATTATATATTTGAAGCTTCTTAAAAAATTTTTTTAAGTACCAAAGATTATTGATGGGAAATGATCCCCTTAAAATATATTAAGAAAAACTCTAATCCCTTAATGGAGTTTTAGCACTTATTCAGACACATGCCCTGAGTTAAATTTCCTTCCAGATTTTCCATATGATTTTTGTAATCCCATTTTGTAAGGAAATGTATTGGCCTAATGTGAGATGATAAGTATAAAGAAAAAGGTGCGTAATCTTTAGTGTCTGCCAGAATTTTAATTTGACATTTATTATGTAAAGGAACTGCAGTGTTCCTGTGGTTCTGCTTTTATTTTAGACATTAAGGTTGAAAAATGATCTTTGGATCCTAAAGTCAGCTGGAGTAGAGGGAAGAAGTCAGTTTCTTTCATTATCACTTGGGGACTTTTTATCCAGATGGCTGTAAGAGCCTTCCAGGTGCATGTACCTCTATTGCAAAGCAAAATAAACGGAACATTTAATTATTGGAGTTCCCACTGTTAAGTCTAGCTGCTGCTGTAACATCCATTGTGGGAGGAAGTGCTTGTCCCAGGTACCTATGCAAGGCTTCAGGCCAAAGGCCTCTAGCAATAGCACTGTCCTCCATGGGACACCCTCTGCCTCACTGCACAATATCAACTGCCAGAACCTTACTCTTGTCATTTTCTCTCCATGTCAGAAAAAATTCCCGTACTTAAAAAAAAATCAATCATTCCTAATTCCCCAGGTAAATGGTGAAGGCATTCTCCTTGTAAAATAATTTCAAATCACAGGGTCAAGTTCAAATCCGTGGACTACCATTTCTAATTTCACTCCCGTCTGTATAACCACTGTAACCAGGTTGCTGTGTATGTTTCCAGACCTTTACCTACGCATATACATATATTTATATATGCCCCTGGAAGTATATACAAAAACTATTGTGTTTTCCTTTTTCTTTTCTTTTCTTTTTTAAGACAGAGTCTTGCTGTGTCGCCCAGGCTGGAATGCAGTGGCACCATCTCGGCTCACTGCAAGCCCCGCCTCCTGGGTTCACACCATTCTCCTGCCTCAGCCTCCCAAGTAGCTGGGACTACAGGCACCCGCCACCATGCCTGGCTAATTTTTTGTATTTTTAGTAGAGACGGGGTTTCACCATGTTAGCCAGGCCGGTCTCGATCTCCTGACCTTGTGATCCTCCCGCCTCTGCCTCCCAAAATGCTGGGATTACAGGCGTGAGCCACTGCACCCGGGCACGTTTTTCTTTTTTTTAACATAAATAATGTCATATACCATAGTGTCCTTCTGCAATTTATTTTTCACCCCATTATGTCTTCTCAGTACATATAGATGTATCTCATTCTTTAAACCTATATTCCATAATGTATTTCATGATTTATTTCGTCATTCTATTAAAATTATTTTAAATTTTTCTTTGATACAATTCTGCAGTGAAGACCTTTGCACATGCCTTCTTGTGCACCTCTGCAACAATTTCTTTAAAGTGGATGGAAAGAAGTGGTGGTGTTGTTCTTGGGGTATATTTATTTTACATCTTTAAAAACTTTACTTTGGAGTAATTTTAGAATTACTAAAATTTAGAAGTAATTTAGAAGAGTTGCAAAGTTAGTACAGATTGTTCCTGTGTACCCCTAACCCATTTTCAGTTTCCCCTAATGTAAGATGATAATATTATCATGACATCTTTGTCAAAACTAAGAAACCAACATTGGTGCACTGCTATTAACTATGTTTCAGACTATATTCACATTTCACCAGGTCTTCCAGGAATGTCCTTTTTTCTATTCCAGGATCCAATTCATGATACCACATTGCATTAATTTGTCATATCTCCTTTGTCTTCTCTAGACTATGATAGTTTTTCCTTGTTTTTCATAACCTTGACAGTTTTGAGGAGTATTGGTTAGGCATTTTGTAGTATATCCCTTCATGCCTGATGTTTTTCTCATGATTAGACTGGGTTGTGGGTTTGGAGAAAATAGCATCACATCATATTAGGGTATCCACCTTCCATCACCGGCAATGTTAGTCTTGATTACTTAGCCAAGGTAGTGTTGGTCAGGTTTTTCCACCAAGCTACTCTTTTTCCCTTCTCATGCTGTATTCTTTGGAATTGAGTCACTAAATCCAGCCCACACTCAAAGGGGTAGGAGTGATAAGCTCTATCTCCTGGAGGAAGGTATTGTCTGTAGATTTTATTTGGAATTTTTAGGCAAGAAGATTTGTTTTTTCTCTATTGTTTGTTCATTCAATTATATTTTAAGGACTCATGTATATTTATTTTATAATTTGGGTTATAATCCATACTATGATTTTATTTATTTATTTATTTATTTATTTATTTATTTATTTATTTATTTTGTTGCTCAAATTGTTCCAGCTTTGGCCATTGGGAGTCTTGGGTTGACTCTCATGTCCCTTTGCCTAACCTCATACTTTTGATTTTTGAGCACCTCCTTGCTTTCTGATCTCACAAAATACTCCAGACTCACCTTATATTTTCCCATTTTCCCAGCCCCAGCCCTAGAATCAGCCATAAAAGAAGTTCTGGTTCTTTTTTATCAGTGGATAGAAGTGCTCCCTACTACTGTTGTTTTTTGCTTTTTTGAGATGGAGTCTTGCTCTGTCTCCCAGGCTGGAGTGCGGTGGCATGATCTCAGCTCACTGCAACCTCTGCCTCCCAGTTCAAGTGATTCTCCTGCCTCAGCCTCCCAGTAGCTGGGATTGCATGTGCCTGCCACCACACCTGGCTAATTTTTGTATTTTTAGTAGAGACGGTGTTTCCTCATGTTGGCCAGGCTGGTCTCCAAGTCCTGACCTCAAGTTATCCACCCGCCTTGGCCTCCCGAAGTGCTGGGATTACAGGCAGCCACCATGCCCAGCCCTACTGATGTTTTTAAAGGTTAAGAGCTACTGTCCAATTCTCTCCTATGGGCTTTTCTAGTTGACGCGTTTGTTTTTCTCCTCATACCTGTTACAATACTTGATACTATCAGGCTTACTAATTTTGGCCTGATAAAATTGCACCTTTTTTAAATGACTGTTTCTCTGATTACTAGTGTGGTTGAACATCTCTGTTTATGTTTATTAGACATTTGAGCTTCCTTTTCTGTGAATAGCCTGTTCATGTTCCTTTGCTTACTTAAGTTGGTGACTGTGTGTGTGTGTGTGTGTGTGTGTGATTGTTAGTATTAATCCTTTATCTGGTTTTGATGAGTAGTCTTTTTTTCACCCTATAACTTACTTTTAAATTATATAATTTCTTTTGACAAACAAGTTTTAAATTTTGATACTGTCACAATTGAAATTGAAGGCTTTTGCTTTTGTATCATGTTTAAGGAGATCTTTCTAGCATGTCCACATATGCTTTTACCGCAATCATTTACTGAAACTGCTGAGTCAAAGATCTCAAATGAACACACCTGTTAAGCAAAATCATTTGCTTTTTCTCAATCCTTAGCGTTTGGCATTATTCATGGTTTCTTCTTGGAAGTGTTTGCCGTGGCATTCTCCTGGTTTGCCTCTGGCCTCTGACCTCTTCCCTTTCCTCTTTCTTTTGGCCTCTTCCCTTTTTCCTTCTCATTTATACTTTTTCCTGTAGCCTGCTAGCAGGGGATTCTCCCTGCCTTCTTCTTCCCCTTTGCTAAGCTCATCTGCTCTCATAAAGGAAACTCTGATTTCTGTTGAGTAAAAAATTCAAGCCTACATTTCAAGTCCTACCTTTCACTTAAGTTGTTTACTTCTCCCTCTTGTCTCTATGTTGTCTCTGCTGCATATCACACTAACTTCTCAAATTCAGTATGCTCAAGGTAGAAGAAACTCATTACCATTCCTGGCAAATATATCTTTCCTCTTATGTGTATGTCTACCAATGGCATCATGATTCTCCTAGTCACCTGGACTCAAAACCTAAAGTTTGTCTTTAATTGTTTCCAACTTCCCCCACATCCAACCTATTATGAAGTCATATTCACTCTGCCTTCAAAAACTCCTTCACATCCATTCTTTCTTTTCTCTTCATCATTGCATCAACCTAGTTCAGGTGTTTGTCCCTCTTCATGTGGTGTTTACATGCATCTCTTCAACCTGTGTCACCTCGAATCCACCCAGCTTGGTCATTGCAATCATACCCCTGCCTCTGTTTGCCTGTCCCAAATCCTTATCTCCTTGGATTAGTATTAAAGGTCTTCTAGAGCCTGGCTCCAGTTTCTTTCCCTAACCCTGCTTTCTGCTGTGTCTGTCATACTCTCTGTCATGTCCAATCAGAATGGAATACTGCTACTGCTCAAATATTAATTGATCTATGCAGGTCATATACAGTTCATTGTGTTTGCTAAGAGTATATAATTACCCATGGGACTCTAAACTTTCTATTTCAATTAGAGTCTATTTTTTTGGTAATATTTCTGTAAGTAGGGGATTGATATATAAATTGGTGTTTTTAGTTATAAGTATTGCATGGGTAAGGTCTTCACTAACAAATGTATTAAAATTTTTTCTTCTGTTGTCCATGGCTAATAAATTATTTCTTACATCTTTGGGAATTAAATAAAAATAAACACATGCATACATAGAAGTTTATTTTAGGCCCTATGATTATTGTTTTGCTCCTGTTTCCCTAGTGTGTGTTATTTCCATCATTTTTCTCCTTTTAGCAATTTCAAATAGTACCTTTACTGGTGAAGTGACTTAACCTTGCTAATTTTATCACAGAGTTTGTTTCTAGATTAATGAAGTCAAAATAGGGAAATTGGCAAACATACAATGTGTAGCACTATGAATCTCATATGATCATGGAACTCTTTTTCATGAGAACCCTAGGTCCAGAGAATACACTTTTGATAAATTCTACAAGAATATCCTGTATGTCAGTGGAGTGAATGTAGAAAGAGATTTCCCTGTTATTAATTGGACCAAAGTTGGAAAATAAGAATTTAAGGAAGAAGATTGGAGAATGTACAGTTAACCCTCTGTCACCATGGGTTCCACACCCATGGTTTTAGCCAACCTCAGAAAGAAAATATTTTGGGGGAGAAAATCCCCACAAAATTCAAAAAGCAATACTTGGATTTGTAGCACACTGATTCCTATGTTGAATCCACATGAATGAAGTGATGTGTAGGCATTGTATTAGGTATCATAAATAATCTAGAGATGATTTAAAGTATACAGGAGGATTTGCATAGGTTAATCCAAATACTATGTCATTTTTACATAAGGGACTTGAACATGGGTGGATTTTTGCTGAGGGCAGTCCTGGAACCAATCCCCTATGGATACTGAGGGATGACTGTATATTCACAGAGGGAAACCATTTTCTGTCGGCTGATAGGTGTCAGTGTCTGCCAAATACAGCTTGGGTACAGTCGTGCAAGAGGAAAAGATTGGAAGAGGACAGTCATACGTTGGTAATTTCCAAGAGTACCTGTACATCAAAGGAAGAGAATTTATATTTATGCATTTAAAATTAATATACTTTAAGACACTTGAATAATGAATTATACTTTTGCTGACTCTCTCTCTCTCTCTGTCTCTCTCTCTCTCTCTCTCCCCCCCGACCCCGTTTCTTTCTCTGTCACAATAACCTAACACCAGAGATAAGGTGAAAGCTTTATTTATTTGTGTATTCATAGATTCAACTAACTGATACTGTGTTAGGTGGTAGGTCCGCATTAGTAAATAAAAACTACAAAATTGCTGCAGTTGTGGAACACATACTCTAATAATGGGACTTACTGGGACTAATCTGTATCTAGTATTATGTAAACCATCGCCACTTATCTGACAAATACCCAGGTGGCAGAGGTAGTTCTTAGTAAAGGACTCAAATAGAAGTAAGCTCTGGAATGGTTTATAATATGAAATATGTCAAATGACATCACTATGTATACCAGCCTCTCATTGTTGAACCTGTCCAGTATGCTGGATTCCCAGAATTTTAGATAGCATGAGGAATTACAACTACTGGATCTGATATTCAAGTATACACACACAGCCAGGGACCCATAGTGCCCATTTCCCACAGAAGAAGAAAAAAGAAGGCGTGTAACTGTTCATTCCAAAGCTATCATCTACTTTTAGCTCACATTTCCATTGGGAAATTCAGTTTCTCCTACTTTATACTCCCTTCCCTAAAGAATATGGATGTCAGCTGGGCGTGGTGGCTCACGCCTGTAATCCCAGCACTTTGGGAGACCAAGGCAGGCAGATCACCTGAGGTCAGTAGTTTGAGACCAGCCTGGCCAGCATGGTGAAACCCCATCTCTACTAAAATTACAAAAATTAGCCAGGCGTGGTGGCAGGCACCTGTAATCCTAGCTACTCAGGAAGCTGAGGCGGGAGAATTGCTTGAACCCAGGAGGCAGAGGTTGCAGTGAGCTGAGATCGTGCCATTCCACTCCAGCCCGGGCAACAGAGCGAGACTCCATCTCAAAAAAAAAAAAAAAAAAAAAAAAGGAATGCAGATGTCTTTAAAGGTACAAAGGTACAGACTAACTACAAATCTACTTCTTTACCTTAGAGACATGACCTATAAATGTTGGAGTGCTTATTATTCCAAGACATCTTGGAATACTTATATACATTCTCTGTGCATGTTTGTGCTGGAATCTATTAAAACAAAAGAAAATGTAATAAAAACTTTAAACTTTTCGGGATTTTTGTTTTTTGTTTTTTGTTTTACATGAAGATCTTAATTTATATATTAGGGACTTTTACAGGTACACTAATTAATGCCAATGTGACTTGTACATTTAATTCTCTATGACCTTATTGATTATGTGTGGCAGCTCTACCACCTGAGGCTGTGTGCTTAGCAGGTTTATATATACACAGAACTTGGGTGAAAAACCTTAAGGGGAAAATCTGAAAGTTGGGAATTCAGGAAATGGTCAGAAGATGGTTCTTTCTTCAGTTAAGAAAGTAAATCTTAACTGCTCAGGGATTGCTATGCTTATTTTGTTCTTTTTTTAATTTTCAAAATGATAAATTTCTTAACAAAATTTATCCTTTTTTACCTTCTTATGTAAGATCTTCCTGCCAGAATTTGGAGGAGGAGGATTTACACTTAAGCTGTGGGAGCATAGTTTAGGAATTGTCATCTATTCTTCATTTTATAGTTTAATTCATTTATGAGAGTTAAAGATTCTATTTAGATACTTCTGAAGATTGCTACCAAATTCACAAAATTGTTATAAAAAACTACTTGACCCCTACCTAACTCAATATAGTGATGAGTCATGCCAGGTATTTATGTAATAATTATGGTGCTAGGAACAGTGAGGGATTCCAGGCAGATTAAACATAATACCACCTTCTTGGTATCATTGAGTTCCTTGGAGGTATTGATGGTTGTAAGATGTGGTTTTAAAAATTCTTTCATGTTCCTTTCTTTAAGAGGTGGAGCTTAATTTCTTGAGTGTGGGCTGGACTTACTGACTCCTCAGGGATAGAACAAAGATTATATGACAGTTTTAATTCTGGGAGTAGGTCATAAAAGGCACAGTGGATTCTTCCTTGCTCTGTGTCTTGAGCACTCCTTCTGTGAGAATCCAGCTGCCAACATGAGGACACCAGGGCCTATGGAGAGCCCACATGGTAAGGAACTGAGGCCTCCTGCCAGTGGCCCTGTGAAGGTACCATCTTGGAAGCAGTAACCCTATCCCCCATCCGGCCTGTGGACAACTATAGTCCCTGTTGGCATCTTGACCGTGTAAACCAAAAAGTATCTGAAATGGTTCTCAATCAATTTAGAAGTTTATTTTGCCAATGCCAAAGACATGCCTTGAAAAAAGGACCCCAAGTTCATGGGAACAATCTGTGGTTCATGCCTTTTTCCAAAGATGATTTTGAGGGCTTCAGTATTTATATAAAGGGGAAAAGGGCTGGAGGGGAAAGAGGGAGAGTACGGTCACATTACTGAATCCATATGTTGCGAGAGAAAAGGAGCAGGTAGAGGAATAGTTAATTATGTATTCATCTAGCGCTCAGTAACCCAGCACTTTACATAAGATAGGGTGAACATAAGAGTAGCTATCTGTGGAGATTCTTAACCTTTTATCTGTAGCTATCTGCTTAGGAACAAAAGGAAAGGCAGGCCAGGTGTGGTGGCTCATGCCTGTAATCCCAGCACTTTGGGAGGCCACAGTGGGTAGATCACCTGAGGTCAGGAGTTCAAGACCAGCCTGTCCAACATGGTGAAACCGTGTCTCTACTAAAAATACAAAAAGTAGCTGGGTGTGCTGGTGCATACCTGCAGTCCCTGCTACTTGGGAGACTGAGGCAGGAGAATCCCTTGAACCCAGGAGGTGGAGGTTGCATTGAGCTGAGATAGCACCACTGCACCCCAGCCTGGGCGACAGAGTGAGACTCTGTCTCAAAAAAATAAAAAAAGGAAAGGCAATTTCTCTCATGACTCAGCTTTCAGTTTAATTTTTTCCTGTTGGCATAGTGAATTAGGGTCCTGAGATTTTATTTTCCTTTCACAAACAACTTCAGCCACATGAGGGATTCTAAACCAGAGCCACCCAGCTAAGTTGTTTTCAAATTCCTGTCCCACAGTAACTGTGAGATGTTTGTTAGTAACTAATTCAAGAGGTATGGCAGCAACCTGGAATCCTTGGACATACTAGCTTCACTTCCAGCAAATTCCAGGGTATCAGTGACCTCTATAAAAAGGGATATAAAATTATGCATATGTATGTGTGCATTTGCTTGGCAAGTGTTCATAACTTTCACCAGTTTCTAAAAGGGCTCCTTAATCTCTGAAAGGCTAAAAATCCTGCATTATGTGTTTTGTTCAGAGGAAGCAGGGCAGTGAGGCCTGGAAAATGAGATAGAAAGGTTTCATTGAGGGAAGCAGGGCTTACATATAAGTAATTGATGTGTATTTTTTGAAGATGGGATTGAATTGGGCTTTAAAAAGTAAAAAGAACTTAACATGGGCATATGGGACAGTTCCCTTTCAAAGTGTCCTTAATTGCTTTAGATCAGGGGTAGGCAAATTATAGCCACTAAGACAAATCCGGGACCTCGCCCTGCTTTTATAATTTTAATGAAATACAGCCATGTCTATTTGTATACATATTATTTGTGTCTGCATTTGCCATGGTACAGTAGAGTTGAGTAGTTGTGATAGATGCCCTGTAAACAGATAGTAAAATATTTACTATCTGGCCCTTTACAAAAAAGTTTGCTGACCTTTACTTCTGAATATTGAGATGAGTTTGGCACTCTTGTTGCATAAAAGTAGTAGCTAAAAATTATCTTTCTAACTGATGGGTGAATATACTAGATGCCATGTAGCCAACTGTCCCCAGGTAAGTAACACATTAACATTTGCTCCCCAAACCCCATCGGAGTAATTTCTCTCCTGGTCTAAGGAAGTGGCTATCTGGACAGCCTCCTGGAGAAATTAGATTTGTAGAGCAGAAGGCAGGGGTTAATGATGCTGCATCAGAGGTGAACACCCAGGGGCCTTGTACTGCTAACAGTTAAGCAGGAGAGGCCTGTGGTATTTGTTACTGTAAAGGAGCTCTTGCTTCCTCTGTATTTGTCTCTACTTGACATTTTTCTTTTCTGCCCGAAGAGTCTCATAAACCTTATCTATAAATGACACATACATTATTTTGAAATAAGATACTTGAGGGCTGGATTCTAGTCTATTTCCTTTCTAATTCTATTTTTGTGTAGTGTTGTGAACTCACTTGTCACTAAGAGTTACTGATTGATTCTTCCAGATAAAAGGGATACTCACTTTAGAATTGGGCTTAATTCTGAGACTTTAAGTCTGATTTCTTTTTTCTCTTTTTCTTTTTTTTTTTGGTAGTTAATCTCCTGGTAACAGCTGGTTTTACTTTGTACCTTAGGTTCAACTATGCTAAATGTTTATCCTTTAATATCTAAGATATTTCTCAACTTTAGAAAAAGTTTGAGAAAGTTTAGAAAAACTAAAGAAAGGAAATGGCACATGGCAGAACATATGTATGTTTTATACAGTCTTTCATGCATGCAGTATACAATATTTCTGCTGTGACAGCCCACATGCTCTATCTGAAGCCTGATGTCCCATATAGACCTCATATGATTACTGGCTGATGTCCTCAGCAGGAAGAGCAATGACAAAATTCATTCAGCTGTATTCAGAGTTAATTGTTTAAGAGATTTGTCTTCATTGCTCATTGTGTCAGTTAAAGAATATTTTTTTTTTCTCATGTCTTGTACTTCACTGAGAGGGTCAGTCTGTCAGTATTTTGGCTAATTTTCTAGAAGTTCTAACCGAATTCATAATTTAATTAATTAATTTGTTATGAACTGTCTTGAATTTACAGAAAAGTTCCAGAACAATGTAATAAAAATCAATTTTCTTACTCCCATTTTTAATAAAACTTGATAGGTAGGTAGGTAGGTAGATAGAGTTTTAAAAATAAAGCATTAACACAGTCGAAGCTTCCTCTAAGTTCGTTCTCTTTTATCCTTCCCCAGAAGAAACGTGTCTGAAATATGGAATGTATCATTGCCAAACAAAAAGAATTTGTGAAAACTTCTTAGTTGCATAACTAGGAAGACTAGAGACTATTGACTGTCATACATACTTTTACTAAATATGAGTACTGTTGTATTTTTACTATTTATAAATATTAAAATTACATACTATTAACTTGCATGTTTTTAAACAACATATAAATGGTATCACATTGTATTTTTTGCAACTTGCTTTTTTCACTTCTGACTGTGTTTTTAAGACTTCTCCATGTTGACACATGTCATTTATTCATTCGTTTTAATTGCTGTAAGATATTCTTTTGTCAGGATATACTACAACTTATATATCTGTTATTCTTTCTGTGGACATTTAAATTGTTTTCAGTTTTTACATTAAAAATAATACAGCAGTGAGCATTCTTGTTCATATCTCTTTTGAACATGTGTGAGCTTTTCTGTTCTTTACATAAGAGATGGAATGATTGGACCTTAGAGTACATCTTCAGTATTATTAGGTAATTCCAAACAGCTTTCCAAAGTCGCTATATGAATTTACACCCACACTAGCATCATAAGCATTCCCATTGCTTCACATCATGGTCAGCACTTCCTAATTTTGCCAATTCGATGTTTTATTGCTACAAGAAATATTTTCCTAATTACTAGTATAGTT
This sequence comes from Homo sapiens, assembly GCF_000001405.40. Classification (NCBI taxonomy): domain Eukaryota; kingdom Metazoa; phylum Chordata; class Mammalia; order Primates; family Hominidae; genus Homo; species Homo sapiens. Next base: position 82,987,516 of record NC_000006.12, on the reverse strand, counting down.
GAGCATTGGCTTTAATTTTTTATCTTTAACATTGTGTTGGAGATAGTAGCTAATGGAAATAGAAAGCAATTAGAGGCACAGGAATTGGAAAATAAGTAAAACCATCTTTTTTTGGGATAATATAGTTATGTATCAAGAAAATCCAAAAGCATCCATGAGAAAACTACTACAAACAAAATAACTTATTAAATTAGCAAGTTATAGGTGAGGCGTGGAGGCTCATTCCTTTAATCCCAGCACTTCAAGTAGCTGAGGTGGAAGGATTACTTGAGGCCAGGAGTTCAAGACCAGCCTGGGCAACGTAGTGAGACTCTTGTCTCAAAATAACAATAAAAAAAGAAAGAAAACATAGCAAGACCCACTCTATGCAAATTTTTTTTAATTAGCCAGGTGTGGTGGCATAGTCCCACCTGGCTACATCTGTAGCACCTGTAGTCCCAGCTACTCAGGAGGCTGAGGGAGGAGGATAGCTTGAGCCCAGGTGGTCAAGGCTGCAGCAAGCCTTGATCATGCCACTGGACTCCAGCCTGGGCGACGGATCAAGACTCTGTCTTGTGAAGGAAGGAAGAGAGGAAGGGAGGAAGGGAAGGAAAGGCGGGCAGGCTTTTTGAAAGCTATTATACATATGTATAATATAATTAATTTATTATATATAAAATAAAAATAACACCTATGAAAAACTTTGTAATTCAAACCAGAGATCAAGGCTAATAACTCCAATATATAAAAATCTACAAATAAAGAATATATATGTATAATACATGTATACATATATATGTATAATGGATATATATATAAAATATAAATATATGTATAATCACGCATATGTATAAAAGATATATGTATAATCCATACATATGTGTAAAATATATATGTATATATTTTTTTCAAGTCACCTAGAACATATGGAAGACCCCATGTACAATAACACAGAAATTAAAATGCTGAAACTTAACTAGAGGTGTAAAAAACATGTATGAGGAAAATTATAAAATACTTTTGGAAAAGAGTACAAAAGTTTTTTTTTTTTTTTTTTTTTTTTTTTTGAGACAGAGTGTTTCTCTGTCACCCAGGCTAGAGTGCAATGGCATGATCTCGGCTCACTGCAACCTCCACTTCTTGACTTCAAGTGATTCTCCTGCCTCAGCCTCCCGAGTAGGTCGGATTACAGGCATGTGCCACCACACCTGGCTAATTTTTGTATTTTTAGTAGAGATGAAGTTTCACCATGTTGGCCAGGCTGGTCTTGAACTCCTGACCTCGTAATCTGCCCGCCACGGCCTCCAAAAGTGCTGGGATTACAGGCATGAGCCACCACGCCCGCCATTACAGAAGTATTCTTAAGCAAATGGAAGTATATACCATATTATTGGATAAGACGGTAACTATCATTAAAATGTCAGTTATACCTAAGTTAATACACAAACTCAATAAACTAAAGCCCAATAAAAATGCCATCAAATTTTGTTTTGTTTTTTCAGCTAGACAAGTTGATTATAAAGTTTGTTTGGAAACAATAGTTAGGAAAACCCTTGAAAATAAAAGAAATCAGGGCAAGGACTAGCCCTATCAGATATTAATATTAAAATGTATTATTAAGATACTATAATTCAAATAGTGTGATTCTGACCCATGAATAGACAAACCATTGGAACACAACAGAAATAGACCTGATTTCATATATAAACATAATACATAGGAAAGGTGGCCTCTCAAACAGTGAGGAAATGTAGAATTTATAATAATTAGCGTTGGGGTGCTGAGATAAATGCAAAGAAAAAAATAAAATTTAATCTTTACATGTTACACGGGGATCCATTTCAAATAGATCAGAGGTTTAAAAAGAAAACCACATGGCCGGGTGCAGTGGCTGATGCCTGTAATCCCAGCACTTTGTGAGGCCGAGGCGGGTGGATCACAAGGTCAGGAGATTGAGACCATCCTGGCTAACATGGTGAAACATCGTCTCTACAAAAATTACATAAAATTAGCCAGGTATGGTGGCATATGCCTGTAGTCCAAGCTACTTGGGAGGCTGAAGCAGGAGAATCGCTTGAACCTGGGAGGCAGAGGTTGTAGTGAGCCGAGATTGCACCACTGCACTCCAGCCTGGGCAACAGAAAGAGATTCCATCTCAAAACAAAACAAAACAAAACAAAACAAAAAAACAAAACCACATAAGTACTAAAAGAAAATATGGATGAATTCTCCATTACCTTGGAGTGGGGAAAACCTTTTAACAGTGACTCAAAATCTAGAAGTAGTAAGGAGAGAGAGTGATAAATTTGATTACATAGAAATAAAAAGAAAAACTTGTAACAAAAAAGCATCATAAACAAAGTAAAAAGATAAGGAATAACTACGAGGCCAGGCATGTGTGGCCCACACTTGTAATCCCATCATTTTGGGAGGCCAGGTGGGAGGATCACTTGAGGCCAAGAGTTTGAGACCAGCCTGGGCAACACAGCAAAACTCCTCTCTACCAAAAAAAAAAAAAAAAAAAAAAAAGAAGAAGAAGAAGAAAGAAAAAAATTTAAAAACAGTCAGATGTGGTTGTGCACAGCTGCAGTCCTACCTACTTGGGAGGCTGAGGTGGGAGGAATGCCTGAGCCCAGAAGATAAAGGCTTTAGGGAGCCATAATCACCACTGAACTCCAGCCAGGGCAACAGAGTGAAACCCTGTATCTAAATAAATAAACATAACAACAATGAAAAACTCTTTATAATTTAAACCAAGGCTAATATCCCCAGCTTATAAAAATCTACAAATAAAGAAGAAAAAGGCTAACAACCCCATAGAAAAATGGAGTAGAAATATTCACAGATACTTCATCAGAAAAGAAATGAAAAGAACTCTTAAACATATAAAAAGATACCCACCCTCACTCCTAATAAAGAAATGTAAATGAAACTCTCCTAGGCTTTATTAGATTGGCAGAAATCCAAAAGTTTGACAACATATTTTTTTGGTGAAGCTGTGAAAAATGGGAAATCTCATACTTTGGTAGATATACAAAATGGTACAATCTTTATGGAGGGAAATTTGGCAAAAATTACATGTGCATTTACTTTTTTGATGGAGCAATTCCATTTCTAGGAATTATTTCAGGGACACATTGATGGAAATTAAAGGACACATGCATACGACTATTAATTTGAGCACTATTTGTAAAATGAATGAATGAGTGAATGAATGAATCAAACAACCCAAATGTTCATCAATAGGGTGCTGACCGAATAAATTATATTCTTGCAATTAACCATACAACTATAAAATTAATAATGAATATCAGTATATACTACTCTGGTGAAGAAGAAAGTGTATAGTGTGCTATTGTTTATTGAAGAATGATAAGAATATGAATATATTTGCTTATATTTTAAAAATCAAAGGCTAAACTAAGATTTAAATAAAGTTATTTATAAAGGAAGGAAGAAAAGACAGTGAACAGAACAAGGATACAAGTTAGGCTTTTAAAAATATATCTGATTTCATAGATTTGACTTGGGAACAAGTATATATTTTACATAGTTATAAGGCAAAATATGATTTAAACCATCTCTAAAAATCCAAAGGAAATGGAAAAAAAATGAACTTAAGTGCATGTAGAATTGGTGTCATAAACACACAAAGAAGTGCTCCAAGAGACTTTAAAACACAGTCATTGGACTGTATATCTCTCTTAGTATATATCCTAATGACAAAAGAAACTACAAAAACATCTTAAAACTTTTTTCATAATCATATTACTGGTGACAGTGTGGTAGTAATAAACTGAGACTGTTGTATGTGGATTTTAGGATAAGTCAAATGAGCAATTATGTTGGTGTCATGAGAACTGGGTTTTTGACGTGAGAGAGAGAAAATACTACAGATGCAAGATTGATGAGATTAAATAAAACTGTTTAGTCCTGGATTTGGAATAGAAATATTAAAATGAGCACATAATTTAACATTTAAAAAAAAATTACTACTTTTTAGCTCTATTCCCTGAAAAAGCCTAAAAGTATTGACTAACCCAGTGGCAGTGCATTCCTAGGGCCTAGATTATTTTGTCTGTAAATACCATTCCCTACTAAAAACAACCAGGGATCCAACCAGAAGTGGGTAGATCTCAGGATGTAGCATGTAGTATTACAAGAGCTTGTAATATCCTATCCTGTTTTAATAGAAAAGAAGTTATCAAACATTATTAGGGTCATGTCAAAAAGGACTCAGGAGACAACTTGAATAGGCTTCACTGGCCAAAAAATGGGTAAATTTGAGCATCAATAAGGATAACAATAAGGACAAAACAACATATATATTTACATCTGTGAGTTCATAATGATACCAAAAAAGATAAAAAAAAAAAAAAAAACTTTCAGCCAGGTATGATGGCTCATGCCTGTAATCCCAGCACTTTGGGAGGCTGAGGCAGGAGGATCACTTGAGCCCAGGAGTTTGAGGCTGCAGTGAGCTATGATCATGCCACTGCATGATCCTGGGTAACAGAGTGAGACCCTGTTTAAAAAGAAAAAAAGAGAGAAATTTCATTGGTCAGTACATTTGGAAAATGCTATGAACCATCATAGCTTTGAAAAGTGGAAGATAAACGGGGAGAAAATCAAACATTTATCTAGCTTTTCCTCTGTGAGCTGTGCCTCAGAGTAACCAAATATGTGATTAGGGGAAGTTTTTTCATAGGCAGATTCCAGTGAACAAATGAAAACAGCGTAGAATTGGGCTAACACCATTTTCTGAACCATCATGAAGTAATGGAACTTGTTGATGATCATCTTTGGATACTAACATCACAAAAGGAAAGATGGGGTGGGGTGGTGATTCCGTACCTCCTGACAGAAGTGTATAACCCCACCTATAAAGTAGTCTTCAAAACAGCAAACCCGATCAAGCTTCTAGATACAACTACCAGTTTTTAGGAAATTCGGGGGACAGGGATATGTTAAAGTATGCTATAATGTTGCAACTGGCAAAATCCAGATTGGGAAATTATAGGTCAATCAACTTGGTTTCTTCAGCAAAATATTAGCAGGAGGAGAAAAGATAGAAGGAAGGAGAACCTACAGATTAAAAGAAACATAGGCTTTACCAACCAATTAATAATATGTGGACCTTATTTGGATCTCAAAGAAAATTTAGAAAGTTAAAATGTTGAGGACATGTGAACATTTGATGAGACCAAAGTTATTGTTAATTTTTTTGATACGGATATGATATTTTAAAATAACTCTGTCTTAGAGTACATGTTGAAGTATTATGTATAATAGATGATATGATAGTATTTGTGGAATTTGCTTCAAAAAGATCCAGGGGTTGAGAGTATTGGGTGGGAATATAGCTGAAACAAGTTAGCCGTGAATTGATTGTTGATGAAGCTGGGTGATGAGGACAGTTGTTTATTACTCTGTGATTTATACTTTTGTATATGTTTGAAATTTTTGATAAAACTTTTTTTAAAAATTTAGGTTAAATGATTTTCATGAGAAACAGGGGCAGTTTATTATAGGTCTCTGCCTATTTGCTTATTACCTCATCTTTCTTGAAAACAATCACCAATGAAACAAGTCCTAATTTTAATATGACATTCCTGCAGCTGCAGTTGGTAAGATGTACTTGAATTGGAAATCAGCTCTCCATTCTTCAACTAGATGTATATACATTACTACTTTGTGCCCTTTGAAAAATGAGAATAATTTTTAAATATCCTACCATGCTTTAGCAACAGATTTTTTTTTAAGGTTCTTCTCAACTTAATGGTTGTATTCCAAAAGCTTTTTTCTAAGGCAATTCTTTAGAACTAGAAGAATGTTCTGTCAGAGAAATTATGTTGTAAACGTCAAGTAGGTTCTCAGGCCAGTTTACAGAAATCTATTAATGTATAACATAATGGAATTAAAAGATGACAGAGTACTAGGAGTTCAGTACAGGCATAAATTTAAATTTTTTTTTTTTAGGAAAATGCTTCCTTCATTGACAGGACTCCAAAAGATGAGTGACTTGCCTACTACTTTATAGGAGGCATTGGTCTTGTTATACCACTGGATCATTTAGTTGCCATATGCTTTGCATTCTGGAGGTAAAAAACAGTAACATTTTTAACACCTGTGACTTGGACTGCTCCCATTCATAAATTATATTCTTAAGAGAGCAGAAATTTTCTGCATATGAATGATCTTGGTAATAAAAACCTATCCTGTATGCTGTGTTCATACATTCTTTGATATTCACAAGAAAGCTTTGAAGCTTAAAGGGCAAATATTATTACCCCCGTTTTACAGCTAAAAAGACAGCCTCAAAGGTGTGATAGAAAACACTTGAAGTTCTGGCTCTTCTGGGAGAAACGTGCATGTTCATTTAACCTCCTGAACTTCAGTTTCCTTGTTTTTAAAATGAAACCCTATTTTACAATTATGTGAAAGAATTGGATAACATATAAGGTACTATGCAAATTTTCATTTGTCACTGAAGAAGATCATGGTAGGATTATTTTAATAAATGATCACTACGTTGATTAAAAACAACAGGAATAGTAAGGAAACTCATCCATATGATATGAAATCACTGTGGGAACATGGTACTGGTATAAAAATAGACACATAGACCAATGGAAGAGAATAGAGAATCTAGATAAAAAGTCACATAATTATAGTCAACTGATTTTTGACAAAGATGACAAAAATATACACTGAGGAAAGGACACCCTTTTCGATAAATGGTGCTGGGAAAATTGGAAATCCATATGCAAAGAATGAAACCCTCTCTTACCATATAGAAATCAAGACAGATTAAAGACTTAAATGTAAGACCTAAAACTATAAAAATATGAGAAGAAAACTTAGGAAAAAGTCTTCTGGACATTGGCCTAGGCAAAGAATTCATGACTAAGCCCTCAAAAGCAGAAGAAACAAAAACAAAAATAGGCAAATAGGACTTAATTAAACTAAAAAGCTTGTGTACAGGAAAAGAAATAACTTAGTGAACAGATAACATGAAGAAGGGGAGAAAATATCTGTAAAATATACAACTGACAGAGGACTAATATCCAGAATTTACAAGAAACTCAATGCAACAAAAAACCCCAAATAACTCCATTAAAAAGTGGGCAAAGGACATGAGTAGACATTTTTCAAAAGACATACCAATGTTCAACAAGCATGAGAAAATACTTAACATCACTAATCATCAGGAAAATGCAAATTAAAGCCACAATGGGATATCATCTTACACCAGTCAGAATGACTATTAAAACGTCAAAAAAAAGAACAGATGTTTGTGAGGATCCAGAGCAAAGGGAACACTTGCACAATGTTGGCAGGAATGTAAATTGGTACAACTTCTATGGAAAACAATATGGAGAATTCTCAAATATAGAACTACCATTCAATCTAGCAATCCCACTACTGGGTATTTACCTAAAGGAAAATAAATCATTATTATCAAAAAGATGCATTCATTTATTTGTTTATTCCAGCACTACTCACAATAGCAAAGATATATAATCAACCTAAATGTCCATCAGTGGATGGCTGGATAAAGAAAATGTGGTATATATAAAGAAAGGAATGCTCTTTGGCCATGAAAAAGAATGAAATCATGTCTTTTGCAGCAATATGGATACAACTGGGGGCCGTTATCTTGAGTGAGACAACTGAGAAACAGGAAGTCATATACTGCATGTTCTTACTTACAAGTGGGAGCTAAATAATGTGTGTACATGGACATAGAGTGTGGAATGATAGATGTTGGAGAGTTGGAAAGGTGTGAGGGGGGTAATGAGAAATTACTTGATTTGTACAGTGTACATTATTTTGGTGATGAATACACTAAAAACCTAGACTTCACCACTATGTAATATGCCCATGTAACAAAATTACATCTTACCCCATAAATTTATACAAATAAAAATAAATAAGAAATCAGTATTGGAAGAAACTTGGGGAATGTTTAGCTTAGAGAAAAATCAGAAGAAAGTGTTAAATGTTGTTGGATATTTTCTGAAGGGCTCAGGTTCTGAAGAGCAGATTTCACTCAGTTCAAAGAACTTCCTGGCAGTGAGTTTCCCTGTTATTGGAGTTTTTCAAACGAAGACCAGAGAGCCACATGTTAGGAATGTTGCAGAGGAGCAAAATTTCTCTCAGGTTAATGTCTACTCCAAGGTTCTATCATAGAAAATTAACACAATTTCAGAGTTGGGTTGCGATTCCTGGTTACTGGCCCAAAGTTCAGAGAAGCACTAATGATAATAGTCCTGTAATGGTATAAACATTGCAAAGGATTATCTATATGATGATTTAAAAAAAATCATTTAGCAAGTATGTATTAAGCACTTACCATATTGCAAGATGATGTGCTAGGTACTGGGGCTCTTTTAAAAAACCCTCTCTAGTATTCCATTGTTGAACATAAGATTCTGTTCTGCTAGCAATCATTGCCTAACGTTTTGAATATACTGTTTCAGTTTTGATTTTCCCAGGTCTTATAAGGGAGGAGATAAAATGTTAACATTACCCACTATGTATGTTATGTTATTCCAACTGATTTAGTTTCCAATTTTGTTGGAACTTTCCTGCATAGACTTTCATTCTTCAGAGTAGAATCAAAATGGGTCGAAATGACCTCCTAAAAAAAGAAAGGGAAAATAGATCACCTAGTACAAAATATGTTTTTGCATCCTAGGCTCTGAGGATAAAATGTGGTTACATGAGTAATGTATCAGAACCTTAATGCTGTTTAAACATACGGATGGGTGCGTTGTGTGTATTTTGTATATTTAAAATTGAGATTTTTGTTTGAACAGTGTCTTTCATTTGGTGTACTTCATGGTGATTTATCATAATAGACTGATTTAAATCATTTGAAATACTGAGACATATGAATTTTAACAATAACTTCCCCAAGGCTAGAGAAGTCAGCAGGAGCTCAAACTGCTAGGTAGACATTTTTTTTGTTTCAAACTCATATGCAAGTGTAAAACTTTTATGAGGCTGCTTTAACAAGGCCCTTTGGGATTTAAGGTTATTTATCAAGCTCTTATTAAAAATGAAAACTTTTCTATGTTTAGCCCTGTAAAGCAAAACTGATCCTAACAATACTGTAAGCTGGAAGAACAAACATTGTTCTCTAGACTGACTTGAAAATAAAGTCAGGAAACTTTGGGGTCTCTCTCCCCTGACATTATGATAATAGAATAGTGACAGCAAAGCCAGTATTTCAAAGTCTCCCCTTTAATTAGGAAAATTTAGCTCTACCATGCTTATAATTTAGGCTTTGACATGACTTATTAAGATGACTTCCAGCCCTAGAATCAAACTGTTTCACTGAGCACTCCAGTGTCTCCATTAGCGTCAACTTGCCCCAGGACTGTGTTGCCTGGTACAAGATCTGGGAGCACCTTTTCATTTGTGGTATCTGCACTTGTTGATGTATCTTTGGCTTATGCCCTTTCCCACCGAGATGTGGGGCATGAGAGAGAGGTTGTTTCTGAGATTAGTGTGCCAGAATCTCTCCATACATAACCCAGCGGAAGAGCTGGAGCTGCTACAGGAAAAGTTTTGTAATCTTGAAATATGTTCAGCTTTTTTGTAGGTATGTTCAGGTTTGATGAGTCTGGGTCCTATAGTAAATCTATTTTTAGACAGATCCTGGGAGCTAAGATTTTGTTGTTGTTGTTTTTTGAGACGGAGTTTTGCTCTTGTTGCCTAGGCTGGAGTGCAATGGCATAATCTCAGTTCACTGTAACCTCCACCTCCTGGGTTCAAGCGATTTTTCTGCCTCAGCCTCCTGAGTAGCTGGGATTACAAGCGCCCACCACCACGGCCAGCTAATTTTTGTATTTTTAGTAGATACAGGGTTTCACCATGTTGGCCAGGCTGGTCTTGAACTCCTGACCTCAGGCGATGCACCTGCCTCGGCCTCCCAAAGTGCTGGGAGATTTGTAATGCAGTACATTTGTGAGGAGTAAGAACATTATGAGAGAATAAAGCAAGTGTTATAAAATCAGGATCAAGATCTTTTGTACTCATTAAGAGCTTATCAGGGTCAATTTAGTTTTGTTGTATCCAGTACAGTTGGCAAGGATTTTAAGCTGAGAATGTAGGTGGATAGATGGGTGAAAGGATGGATAGAAAGGTTGGGTAGAGAGATGGATATACAGTTAGAGCTAAATAATCATTATTGGTAATATAATTGTTGATTAATAGGTTTGTATGCTATAGAGTAATACAGAAAAATTAGACAAATAGGCATATCTGATAGAGATCATGGTGAAAAAATGCAAGATTTTGAAGACATTTATAAAGTGATCAAAAGTGAAAATTCTGTGCCAGAGAGCATTTTTGGATTATTTTTAAGGGTCTTACCTTCTTTACCTTCTTTTTTTTTTTTTTTTTTTTTTTTTTTTGAGATGGAGTCTTGCTCTATCACCCAGGCTGGAGTGCAGTGGCACAATCTCAGTTCACTGCAAGCTCCGCCTCCCGGGTTGACGCCATTCTCCTGCCTCAGCCTCCCGAGTAGCTGGGACTACAGGTGCCTGCCACAACACCTGGCTAATTTTTTGTATTTTTGGTAGAGACGGGGTTTCACCGTGTTAGCCAGGATGGTCTCAATCTCCTGACCTCATGATCTGCCCGCCTCGGCCTCCCAAAGTGCTGGGATTACAGGCGTGAGCCACTGTGCCCGGCCTACCTTTACCTTCTGTAACCTCAGTAGTACTAGTGTAAGTCATTAGAAATAATATTTCACTTAGAAGAACCTGGAGACTCTGAGTTACTGCCTGTTTCAGAAGAAGTGGAAATGCTTCCAAGACAATAGAGGAGTAAGTGTAAAGCACACAGATGATGTTTCTAAGCGGGGAAGTACAAAACCACCAGCTGGCAATTATAGTTTAGAGTATGATGGAGACAAAGAGCAAACACCAAGAAGGTGACGGTGGCAGAAATATTGGCTGAAGGTCAGAGGTAGAGGCAATACAAGTGTAAAAACTTAAACAGGTTGGGAGATGTCAGTATGAAGTTTAGAAACTTCTATTCTGAAAGAATCTCGGAGCAGTTGTAAATGGAGGGAAAATTGTATGTACACTTGGTTTTCAACTCTTCAGCATGAGCAGCTGTTTTAACAGTTGAGTTGCTAGCCACTGTCAGGAATAGAATATTTTAATTTTGGAAAAACCCAACTGTTAAAACAGCTGTTTCATCTGATTAGACTTAAGCTGGCTCTGATTAAGTTGCAAGACCTAATGGGACCATAGCACCAGGCTATTATGGTGCTATGATTTTATGATTTTATTGAACATAATAAAAAATATGAATGGATGTTAGGTTGAGTGTTTGGTTGGACACCGATCTCCAAAGAAGCCACATTCCCCGGTTTGTTTCTGCCAAGTGCTAAGGCAAATAGCATGGGCTTTTTTACCTTGTTCCTGGTTAATGAAAATTACCTGAAATAAATTTGCCTTACATTTCTTGGATGTGAGCTTTTTTCCTGGCACTTAAAAAACATTTTTTCCTGGTTCTATTAACATCTCTTAATCTCTTAATAATCTTCTCTTGATAATAGATATTATACCTACTCAGATCACCTCAAGTAGTCAGTCATTTGTGTTACTTATTTTGTATTCTTTGTTACCTAAGAAAAGAATTCTATTAATAGCAACCTCTAAATTTGTCAATTTATAGGTAATACATTTTTTAATATCTATAGCAACTTGACTGACGCTAATGACAAAAATCTTAAATTCCAAATTTAGTGCCATAGGTACCTTTCTTCATGGAAAAGACTGCTTTTTAGGTTAGTTTTTTAAAAATTATCTTAATTTAAATAACAATTGAGTTTACTTGTTAAGATGACTTGATCAGTTTCTCATATAAAAGTAATGTTAATCCATATTTTAAAGCATTCAAAGACATTTCATTTCACATATTTTCAAAACAAAAGTAGCTCTACTTTGTATATATCACCAAAATAGTATATATTTCTTGTAAGCTATTTGAAACAATACAAGAAAAAATTGAAGAAGGCAAGCAGAATTTTTATACTCATAGCCTACACTGACAACTACTGCTAGTATTTTGGCACTCTTCTTTGCTTGCACCTCTTTATGTACATTTACACAGAAGGATATGGCTAGAAAATTTAAGTTTGCATAAGCTAAGTGAAGTTATACGTGCCGTTCTTTATTTTTTTAAAACTTATCAAAATATTATGACTGTCTTTCCATGTCAATTTAAATCTACAGTCATCATTTAGGCATTGATTTTTAGAGGTCTCATACTTTAAAGCAATGCCTTATATTTGCTAGTTTCTAAAACTTGATATTGTAAGTAATTAGGAAGCAAAATTGAAGAATATGCTTGGGGTCTTAATAAAGAGATGAACTCATATCCAAAGTATAATTTTGCTGCTTTCACTGAAAAATGTGTGTTTATCTTATTAAACTAAAGCAAGTTTATATATTTTAGATATCATTATCAAAATTTAAACAAAAGTATTTTGGTTATAAATTATTGTATTTTTGTTATTTTAAAATAAAAAAATAAGCATTTTTATTCAGATCATCAAGAAACATTGTGCTTTCTTCCTATACCCTAGGCTACCCTAGGCTGATAATTATAAGCTTTCCTCACTTTAACATTCATAAATATTTCTCATTATAGTATGAATTGATTCAGAGGATGACAGTGTTTTAATATTCACAATATGATGTTTTTAAAAGAGTACAAGTTTTTTTTTTTTAAGGTCTTTTAACATTGGTAAATTCAGGTGCTTAACTACCTTTCACAGCTTTCTTACAATTACTTTACAACGTTTCTAGAATACTGATTTCTTGAGTAGCTATATTTAACTCCTTCCCTACCCCCTGCCACACAAGGTAATACAGTCAGCCTTCTGTATCCATAGTTTCCTCATCAGAGGATTAAGCCAACCACAGATGGAAAATATTCAGGGGTTAAAAAAAATAAAAACACAACAATAAAAAAATACAAATTTAAAAATACAGTGTAACAACTATTTACATAGCATTTACATTGTGTTAGGTATTATAAGTAATCTCAAGATGTCTTATATGGGAGGATATGTGCAGGTTATATGCAAACACTACACCATTTTAAGGGTGTAGCGAGCACCATGGATGTTGTTATCTGCAGGTTGTTGTGGGGGGTCCTGGAACCAATCCCCTATGGATACGTAGGGATCACTGTACACACATACACTGTACAGCAGCAGTCCCCAACCTTTTCGGCACAAGGGACCGGTTTTTGTGGAAGACAGTTTTTCCACAGACCAGGATGGTAGGGGGATGGTTTGGGGATGATTCGTACACATTACATTTATTGTGCACATTATTTCTATTGTAGGTTGGTGCAAAAGTAATTGCAATTTTTGCCATTCCTTTTAATGACAAAAACCCCAATTACTTTTGCATCAACCTAATATTGTTACATTGTAATGCATAATGAAATAATTATACAACTCACCATAATGTAGAATCAGTGGGAGCTCTAAGCCTGTTTTCCTACAACTAGACAGTCCCATCTGGGGGTGATGGGAGACAATGACAGATAATCAGGTATTAGATTCTCATAAGGAGTGCGCAACCTAGATCCCTGGCATGCACAGTTCACAATAGGGTTCAGGCTCTTATGAGAATCTAATGCTGCTGCTTATCTCACAGGAGGCAGAGCTTGGGCAGTAATGTAAGTGATGGGGAGTGGCTGTAAATTCAGATGAAACTTCGCCTGCTTGGCTCACAGGCCAGTATTGGTCTGTGGTCCAGGGGTTGGGGACCTCTGCTGTACAGGGATGATTACTCACATTTTAAGTGTCTTTTTTATACCTTGGAACCAAATACTGAGGCTAGCCTCTTCAAAATGAACAGAATGTGGATTAATGAAATCCAGCTATCAGAGATAGCTCATTTTAAGGGTGTGGTGACAAGGAAAGAAGCTAAGAATTCTATCATTTTTAATAAAAAATAGTGGCCTTCGGAAGTTTCAATGAAATTCTTCTTAGGTTTTAAAGCTGCCATTTAAAAATATTTTGTTCTACCTCGGAAAAATTTAGCAAACATTTTTCTCTTCAACTCAAGGTGCTCTTCGGGGAGGAGATGCCTTTTAGTGCATAAAGTCTGTGAATAAAACTGGAGTATATTTTCCAGTTTCAATAATCAGACCTCTCTGCAAGTCAGTTAATGAGTTAATAGCAGATATAAAATTTAGGAGATTGTCAGGACTGACCTGATAGATTTTGTTGGTTATATTTATTTTATCTAGGTGCATACAAATCAAATTCTTATAGGAGAATCAAATCCAAGTTGCTAGAAATGAATTTTTCTCTATGCCAAATAACTTGGGAAATTGATTCTCCTACTTTGCATAAAATGGGTGTGGCCAGTTTTGTCTTGTTTTTTTGTCTTTTGTACTATAATGTGGTGTTGTCTTTTATTCAGTCGTACAACTTTGGGGATTCCTGAATAAGCTTTTACCTGTGGTAGAAACAACAGATTTCAGAACATTAGTAGCTTCTCATTTATATAGCTTTTTAAAATAATTTTATAGCATATTCTTTAAAACAATACTGTTAAACATATGTGTTTTCAAAGTTAACTGGTAATGATTTTATTTCTATCATAGCTCATTTAAGAGAACAGTTACTTTAGAAGGATAGACTAGACATGTATTTCTTTTTAAAAATATAATTTTTGGTTATGTGAATGATTCATGTTCAGATTTCAAAAATAGAAAATGTCCTAAAGTGCATCATTTTATTTATATAACTTCTTGAAATTATAGCAGTCTGCAACATAAATGGTACAACAAAGAACACCAAGCTATATTTTTATGTACATTTAAATTTGTAGAATTATGTACCATTTTTAAGTATCTGAACTAAAACCAGGGTATTTCCAACATATAGCTTATATTTTTATATGATTATTTTTAAGAGCAGACTTAAAATCAACTCTACTAGAGTTACATTGACATGTGACTTCACAAAAGGTCTAAAGGCTTAAACTTGAGGGCTTTTTCCAAAATCAAGGGCTCTTGCACAGGTAGCATGAGATCTTGGTATTTGGATTCTCATCTCTTCCCATGGAGGGAGGGACAGAATTCTTAGTCATTAGGATTTGTCTTCTAATGGGTCAGAGAAATCCACTTATGACTTAGGGTTATGAAATTCAGTCACTAGTAGCTAAGATACCAAGATTGGTCAGGCCTTATTCATGTGAATTGAGTTATACCATTGCCAAGTGCCCTCTTGTGAAAGAACGGTATCTGGGTTTCCAAAGGAAGGGCATCTGAGGATAGACTTGGGAAGAGGTATAAAGGGAAGCCAAGGATACTGAAGATGATGGTACTCTGTGAGGGTAGGAATGGAACTCTGTGGTTGCATATGATGCAAACAACCAGAACCCACCCCGTTCTGAAGGCATGGGCTGAGAGAGCTCTGCTAGATCATCTCTCTCTTTTCTGCTGAAACCAGATGTGGTTTCACCATCTATCTCTGGTCTCACCATCTATTTCAACACAATCACTGCCAACCAATTTGAAGTGAAAAATGAAGAGAACCTATTTGTTATACCAGGTCTAGGACATCATCAAAGAAGAAAGCGTCAAACATTTTGAATACCTCTAATGCAACTCCAAATAAAGCTTCTATAAATAATGCCATTTTATCAATACCAGTAATATCAATATTAATAAATTAAATATATTTCCTGACATGTTTTTTAAAAATTCTTTCTGGCAAAAATAAACTTAAAAAAGACATCAAGAGCTATTTAAAAAAAATAGAGGCCAGGTGTGGTAGCTCATGCCTGTAATCCCAGCACTTTGGGAGGCCAAGACAGGAGGATCACTTGAGGCTAGGAATTCCAGATCAGCCTGGGCAACATAGCAACACCCTGTCTCAATATTTTAAAAAAAAGAAAACATCTTTAATCCTTGCTTTGTACCTTATGCATCCTAAACACTTTGCATTCACACTGGCAAAGGACTTCCACTTTGGGACAGAGTGGGTAATGCTGATTAATGAAAGTGTCAGCTGAGTTTGGCCCCTATGGGACAGGGAATCTAGTAATGCCAAGTGTCAGATTTATTTATGAGAATGTTATTAGAGTGGACCTAATTTATTATGTCTCAACCCACATACTTTGACTGCCACTTACTTAGGAGGGTGATTAGAGGATTAGAAATGCGTTTCTCAGCCTCCTAAGTTTTTAACTGATTTCCTCTGGTAATGTAATAGAACATAGTAAAAATGTGAGCCAAAAGACCTTATTTCTGAAAACTTTTCCTAAATGGTTATATTTATTAATGTGCTAACAAATATTATGATATATAATTAGAAGTTAGTTCAAAATGGAACTGTTTTAATTATTTTGTCAGAAAATAGTAAATTAGAAAAAGAGAATTTTGACTGAAAAGCAGCGATCCTTACTCAGGGGTCCATAAATCTTGAAAACATTATGCTAAGTGAAAGAAGCCAGACCAAAAAGGCCACATGTTGTATGATTCTATTTATATAAAAGATGGTAATGAATGGACTTGGAGAGGAGGGTGATCTGAGAAACACCCAAAATTATATGCAAAATCCTCTTTGTAAAATGAATGTTGTTGAGGAGAGAGAGTCCCTAGTTTTTGTTTTTTGTTTTTTGTTTTTGTTTTTGTTTTTTGTTTTGAGACAGAGTCTTGCTCTGTCACCCAGGCTGGAGTGCAGTGGCGTGACCTTGACTCACTGCAATCTCTGCCTCCCGGGTTCAAGCGATTCTCCTGCCTCAGCCTCCCGAGTAGCTGGGACTACAGATGCCTGCCACCACGCCCGGCTAATTTTTTGTATTTTTAGTAGAGATGGGGTTTCACTGTGTTAGCCAGGATGGTCTCGATCTCCTGACCTCGTGATCTGCCCGCCTCGACCTCCCAAAGTGCTGGGATTACAGGCGTGAGCCACAGCGCCCGGCCCAGAGTCCCTAGTTTTAACTATATTGTCATTGAGGCCTATGACCTTCAAAATGGTTTAAAAATCACTACTTAAAAACCTTTTTAAAAATGAATTTCTGTCCTTTGTCCTCTTTTTGTAAATTCATAGAGGTTCTTTCTGTCAATAAGGTTTTCTGCCCTCTGCCTGTGATTTAAAATTTTTTTTATTAGCAATACAATTTTTTAAAATTATAAAACCCTTATAGATTTGTGTTTGTGGTAGTTTTTTAGAGTTTTTGGCAAGATTTATTTTATTTTTACATATATGCCTGTGATACATCTTGAATTTATTTTTGAAAATGATATGATAGGTTTTTAAATTTATTTTCTTCCAGATGAGTGGTTTTTTGAACTATCACCCTTAATAAATAATCAATTTTTCTGTCCTTAAATTGTAATAGTATATCATTTCTAGTATATTATATCATGTTCTATTATATATAATTATATATAATTATATATATAATAGTATATCATGTTCTATTATATGACTATGAGTAAACACCATAGAAATACGTTACATTTCATTAGGGTCTATTTTTGTATTTTGTGTTTTGTTCCATGGATCTATTTGTCTACTTCTATATTAACACCATTTTGACTTGATTACATTAGTTTTATTATATGTTTTGGTATCTGGAAAGCAAATATGCCTACTGAATTCTTTTTAACATGGTCATTTTCAAACATTTATTCTTGCAAGTAATATTATTTTATCCAGTTCTGATGAAAACCAACCCTTTTGGGATTCTAACTGAAATTACATTAAATTAAAATATAAATTTTGGGACCATTGACACTTTTATGATATTAAGTATATCTTTCCATTTTTTCATGTCTTGTTTTATGTTCTTGAGTAAGGTTATGTAGTCTAATTTCTGTAGCTCTTTGTCTTTTTTGTTAAATTTTCTAAGTTTGTTTTGTTTTGTTTTTAGAGAGGGTCTCACTCTGTCACTCGGTCTGGAGTGCAGTGGGATGATCTTGACTCACTGCAACCTCCACCACCTGGGTTCAAGGGATCCTCCTACCTCAGCCTCCCAAGTAGCTGAGCCCACAGGCATGTGCCACCATGCCAGGCTACTTTTTTGTATTTTTAGTAAAGACGGGATTTCACTATGTTGCCCAGGTTGGTTTCAAACTCCTGAGCTGAAGCAATCCACCCACCTCGGCCTCTCAAAGTGGGATTAGAGTCGTGAGCCACTGCACCTGGCCTCTTTCTAAGTATTTTTATCGTGATGTTCTTATTGTAAAAGAGGAAGGTTTTTCCTTACTATTTTTAGGCTTCACTTCCACCCCACCCCACCCCCACCCCCACCCCTGCCCTGTGTAATAGAGAGATTCTTGCTTTTTACATAAATATCTTGGGCACATTTTCTTAACTCTTGTTGTTAACACAGTCTCTCAGGCTTTCTAAGTAAAACAGTCATATCACCAGGGGAAAAGGGGATTAATTTTAACATCTCCTTTACAAGAAAGCGTTAATCAATGACAGTGACCACTCCTGTCTACTTCCTGATTTCAATTGCGATAATTGTATGTTTTGCCATTTATAATTTGATTTTGAGTATTGCTTACAAACTGATGAGAAAAGGCCTAATAATTGAGGCTACTGATGGCATTCCTGAAGTTGTGCAATGAAGCACCTCTGCAAATGACTCAACAAAATTTGAAAATAAGATAAAATTTTTAAAATGTAATTCACAGAAAGCAAATCCAAACAGCCAACAAATATATGAAAAGAAACTCTAGTTCACTAGAATTAAGCAAATATAAACCAGATATATAGCACAGAATAATTTTACTTCCATCAAACTTTAAAAACCCCAACTGTTAGTTCACTGTTGGCAGGAGTATGGGGCAAAGAGTACTCTGATGACTGGTTGTGAAAATGTGAATTGGCACAGACTTTCCAGAAATATCTATTAAAATTAAAAAATGCATATACACCTCAATCTGATATTACCACTCTTGAGATTCTATTCCAAACAAATCAAAGTACCAGAATGTAAAGAAATGTAAGCAAGGACATTATTGTAATATTGTTCATAGCAGGAAAAGAAAACTGGGAGAAAAGATAACCAAGGTATAGTATTTTAGACATACACACCTTGATGTGTTATATAGCCATTAAAGAGAGTGAATTATTAGTCCCAGAGCAGTTGATTTGAGGGCAGAGAGTGGTCAGTGGATAGTGAGAGATCAGTGATGGGGTGGGGGGCAGGGGAAATAGGGAGAGGTGAGGGAGGTTAAAAGGGGGAGAATGCAGTACAATATGAGATTTGGCAAAGATTTCTTAAACAGGACACAAAAAGTGGTAAGCTTTAAAAATACAAAAACTTGATTACATTAAAATTAAGAACTTTTTAAGCATGTGCTTATCATATGACCCAGCAATTGCATTTTGGGGCCTTTTATCCTGGAGAAATGAAAACTTAATGTTCACCCTAAAACCTGTACACAGATGTTCATAGCAGCTCGTAGCTATTATTTATAATAGCCCCAAACTGAATCAGCCCAAATGTCCTTCAGTAGATGAATGGATAAACAACTGTGATTATATTCCATGGAAATTTACTCAGTTATAAAAAGGAATGAAAGCTAGGTATGGAGTTGAGTAGCCTGTAATTGCACCTATTCTGGAGACTGAGGTGGGAGGATTGCTTGAGGCCAGGAGTTTGAAACTAGCCTTGATAATATAGTGATCCATCTCTTAAATTTTTTTTTTTTAAACTTAGCCTGGTGTAACAGTGCACACCTCTAGAATCAGCTTCTCAGGAGGTTAAGGTGGGAGGATCACTTGAGCCCAGGAATTCAAAACTGCAGTGAGCTATGATCACGCCACTGCACTCCAGCCTAGGTGACAGAGCAGGACCCCATCTCTTTTTAAAAAAGAAAAAAAATATGAACTGTTGATACAATTACTTGGATGAATCCCGAGGGAATTATGGTGAGTTATAAAAAAAGACTACATATTATATGATTCTACTTATGTAACATTCTTGAAATAACAAAATTATAGAGATGAAGAACAGATTAGTGGTTGCCAGGGGGTAGGGAGTGGAGGCGATGGGGAAGGGAGGTGGTTGTGCCTCTAAAGAGTTATCTTAAGAGATGCTCGTAATGGAACTGTTCTGTATGTTGGCTATTCAGTGTTAATGTGGTCACACGAGTCTGCACATGTGAAATAATTGCCTAGAAGTAAATACACATAGACACACACAAATGAATGCATGTTTAAACATGAGGTTTAAAAAAGGTTGGTGAATTATATCAATGTTGATGTAGTTATCCAGAATGTTACCATTAGGGGAAGCAGGGTGAAGGATAGACAGCATCTCTGTATTTCTTACAAATGCATGTGACTCTACAATTATCTCAGAACAAAAAGTGGGAAGAAATGGTTTAAATATTTAAAATGGAAAAAGTGAAGGACAAGGGAGAGCAGATGCCAGCTCGACAGAGTAAATCATGTGGGGCTTGATTTTCCCATTTGAGGCAGGGAATGGAAATAAAAGATTAATAAAATGAAAAAAATGAAAAAAATATTTTTAAGGTGGTGAACTACATAGTATAGAGACCAGTTTGTCTCACATTTTGTTTGCAAGTAAAAATTTTCTAGAATTAATTACAATAGCAACCATAATATGTTTGAGTTTCTGTTGGGAATATTTACTAGTTCTCCTAGCTCACTGTTACATAATTAAATCAGTGCATTCAGCATCCATCTGTCTTGATAAGAAAGAGCTGAATAGATCTATAGGTATCCCTAGAACTGATTTAATTTTTCCACAAATTCTTTTTTTGTTAAATTTAAATATGATATACATACCATAAAATTTGTTCTTTTAAAGGGTACAATTCAGTGGTTTTTTTTTTTTTTTTTTTTTTTTGAGACGGAGTCTCGCTCTGTCGCCCAGGCTGGAGTGCAGTGGCGGGATCTCGGCTCACTGCAAGCTCCGCCTCCCGGGTTCACGCCATTCTCCTGCCTCAGCCTCCCGAGTAGCTGGGACTACAGGCGCCCGCCACTACGCCCGGCTAATTTTTTGTATTTTTAGTAGAGACGGGGTTTCACCGTTTTAGCCGGGATGGTCTCGATCTCCTGACCTCGTGATCCGCCCGCCTCGGCCTCCCAAAGTGCTGGGATTACAGGCGTGAGCCACCGCGCCCGGCCCTCAGTGGTTTTTAAGTATATTCACAAGGTTGTGCCACTATCACTATCTAGTTTCAGAATATTTCCGTCTCCCTAAAATGAAACTCTGCCCACTAGCAATCACTCCCCATTCCTCCTTCCAGCCCCTGACAACCCCTAATCTGCTTTCTGTCTTTATGGATTTGCCTATTCTGAGCATTTTATATAAATGGAATCAAACAATATGTGGCATACAGATGAGGAATGCCTTAAAAGACATACCGATCAGTTGCAATATATGGATCTTATTTAGTCCAAACTCAAACTGTAAAAAAAAATAATGAGGCGGTTGAGGATATTTGAGCACTAACTACAGACCTGATATGAAAGAATTGTTACTTTTTTCAAAGTGTAATAAATTATATTGTGGATATTCTTTTTAAAAGAATCTATCTTTAAAGATACATACTGAATTATTTCCTCATGAAATGAATGATATGTTGTCTGGGATTTCCTCCAAAATAATTCAGAGGGGTTGGGGGCGTGTGGAGATACAAATGAAACAAAGTTGGCCATGTGAGAATGATGGCTTGAAGCTGGGTCTTGGGTACATGGGTTCATTACACTTTTCTCTCTTATTTTTGAATTTGTATTTGAAATTTTCCATAATGAAAAGTTCTTTAAAATCTGAAGAAGTAGCTGGCCTCTTTAGATAGACTTCTAATTATTATGTTCTTAATTATATCACTTCTAATTATGAAGTTTCTGACAGGCTTGTTTGTAGGGTGGATTCTCCTCTTCTTCTTCTTTTTTTTTTTTTTTTTTTTGAGATGGAGTTTCGCTCTTGTTGTCCAGGCTGGAGGACAATGGCGGTATCTCGGCTCACCGCAACCTCTGCCTCCCAAGTTCTAGCGATTCTCCTGCCTCAGTCTCCCGAGTAGCTGGGATTACAGGCATGCGCCACCACACCTGGCTAATTTTTTGTATTTAGTAGAGATGGGGTTTCTCCATGTTGGTCAGGCTGGTCTTGAACTCCCGACCTCAGGTGATCCACTGGCCTCGGCCTCCCAAAGTGCTGGGATTACAGGTGTGAGCCACTGTTCTCTTCTTTAATGAAAGTGTTCCCAGTCTAATTTCTGTGTTCTTAGTGACTGCTGTCTTGCAATGATACAAGCATTTATAAAAGACAACATTTCTTATTTTTTGGCATGAAGTAATACATTTAATTTTGAGACTGCCTTATTGGTATCTTATTTAAATGAGAACCATTTTCCCAATGCTTTCTGATGTGTGGGAGATTTACCTTGACAAACTTACAGTCATATGGGCAAAGTTTGAAAGGCATAGCATTCAGGAATTGTGTACTTAAATTCTCTCAAGATCCCTTTAATTCAAAGAGAATTAAAGACCAATTTTGGCATTTGTAATTTGAAAGGGTCAAATTTTTCTTCTGTCATTTTCAAAGAAAAATTTTCTTATGGATACTGTTCATTACTTAATGAACTTTATTTGGACAAACAGTAGTTTGTGCATTTTTTCAGGGTCTATTTTTATTTAATTAATGCTTTTGAAATATTCTAAGTATAATGCAGTCAATATGGCTCATCAGAACAGACATTCCAATATATTTAGATGTTTCAAAATGTTGTATTCCTAAGAATGGCTTATAAGAATTTTAAAATTTTGGTTATGTATTAAATAGGTGAATGTTTATAAAAATTCTATCACTAAGTTGTTGCAATTTGCTTGTTTTGCTAGTTTGTGAGCTTAAATTGATGGACATATCATTGGCGTAGCTTTGAAAGTGAGCATCTAAAATTTACAGGTATAAGCAACATAATATTTCAATATCTTTAATAGGCTCTTTGCTTTCTTAGGTTCTTCTAGGGTTGAAGAGTTCAAATTATCTACTAAAATATGAGAAACGAGGTTTAAGTTAAATATTTTCATCTTGAGCTCTCTCATACATACCATTTTTTCTTCTCTACACAATAATATTTTGGATTCCTTTTAAATATTTTAATTTTGGTAGAGTTGTTATATCATTTCTATTGTCATTTTAACCTGTGTTACATTAAACGACCTCCATGTTTCCTAGAAGACTATATCACCTTTCTATTTACTCAGGTTCTTTTCTTGATATTGATTGGTTTGATTCATTCTCAATTTCACCATTTATGTTAGAAGTGATAGAAAGTGACTTTTTTCCCTTTCTCAATGCCTCTTTGAAAATAGATAGGCCGTAGTTGCTTCTCTAGGGAATTTTGACAAGGCAAAAGTTTAGAAATAAGGATGGTGTGTCCTCTACTTGTATTTTGGTCTGTTAGACTAAGGTCATCTGGCTGACAGTTCTGGTCTCCTAGGAAAGCTTTTCCTCTCTCAGTACTTTAAAAATCATAGAAGTAAGTTTCAATTGACGTTTAGTTCATTGTTCCTTTTGAAGTATCTTTCTTATTGACTTATAGTGGATGATTACTGATTTAGGTCCAATAGTCTGTGATGTCTTTATAGGAAATACCAGAAATGTTCCAGATTCTGCCCTATGGTTCTTAAAATGCTTGATCAACAGACATTTGTATTGATATTTATGATGGTTCATACTGAATGTCAACTCAGTTGGGTTGAAGGATGAAAAATGTTGATCCTGGGTGTGTCTGTGAGGGTGTGTCTGTGAAGGAGATTAACATTTGAGTCAGAAGGCTGGGAAAGGCAGACCCACCCTTAATCTGGGTGGTCATCATCTAATCAACTGCCAGCCCAGCCAGGATATAAAGCAGGCAGAAAAACATGAAAAGGCTAAATTGACTTAGCCTCCCAGCCTACCTGCTTCTCCCATGCTAGATGCTTCCTGTTCTCGAACATTGAACTCCAAGTTCTTCGGCTTTGGGACTGGGGCTGGTTTCCTTGCTCCTCAGCTTGCAAACAGCCTATTGTGGGACCTTATGATTGTGTGAGTTAACACTCCTTAATAAACTTCCCTATATATCTATCTGTCTTATTAGTTCTGTTTCTCTAGAGAACCAAGACTAATATAATATGTGAGTCATGGGCAGAGTTGCAAATGACACCTCTGGCTTTATCAACATATGTCCTAAATTCCACATAATGAGTTTGGTGATTGTTTTAGGATATACTGTATGAATTCAGTATGCCAAGCCATTTCTTCCTCTTTCCATTTTGTTCTCTTTTATTTCTTTCTCCAAAAAAAAAAAAAAAAAAAGATGAAAACTTTACCTGAAGTTTTAAGGGAAAGTTACCTGTAGTTCTTACTCTCCTAAACAACTAATTTCATTTTTATTTATTACTTTCTTTGTTCATATGTATGAATGCTTCCTGTGATTAAAGTAATATTTTATGTGATTGAAATTACAGAGAAAGTTTATAAATCATAACATTAGAAATAAGTCCTGAGACTCATGAAAAACGTACTGTGGGAATAGAAAGAGCAGGATGAACATTAGAAATGTGAGCAATATTAGACCTAGCTAGTTTGTCTAATTTCAAAAATAAGATTGCTCAAATTATTTTAAGATGAAGGGTTTTGAGATATCTAGAATTTACCCTATCATTTGCCTTTGGGGTTTTTAATCTCTTTGGGTGGAATTAAATAATGCCTAATATACTTTTGCCTTGTTCATGGAATATTAAAAAGAATGGGATTTAGATGGTAAAGATCATGCTTGAGATTTTCCTATCATTTATTGGCCCTGTGATCAAGATAACACTCTTTTCCTTTATGCGCTTCAATGGGAATAAAAATTGTTAAATCACAGAATATTTTAAGGATTAATTTTAAAATGCCAATGTTGGATTTACATACCATGCAAATGTCTGTAATTACATAGAGACATGGGTAACTAAAATGATAACTAATTGTATCTTTTTTGTGACTGTGGTTATCATTACTGTAACAATGTCCTTTTGTATAAATTTTGATAGTTTGATACATTGGACAGGTTGTATACCTGACTCCAAGGTCCTGTGAGGAAATTAGGCTCCAGAGTGCTTGTCCATGATCACTCACTGATGAGTGACAAGGCGGTGCCAATGTATTTTTATTTCTATTTGAGTGTCCATTTTTGATAGGTCATACCATAGCCATTTAGCAGCATGTTGAAACTTTTAAGTAGCATTTAAAATTTCCTTTGTCTGAACCAGAAATCACATCAACAGCATAACATTACTTGTTTTTGATTATAAAAATAACACTTGAAAAATAAAAGTATAAAGAAGAAAATGTAAAAACCAGATTATTATTTTCCTGTAGTGGAAACAACTGTGAATGTATTGCCCCCTAATCTTTTTTTCTCATCACATGGTTATTTTCACTTACTCTAACATGAATATTTTTCATTGTCTATCTTACTACCTTTCCTAGTCAAGTTTTAAAGTAATACAGACACACACACACACACACACGTATAAAAAATAAATTAGCATCTTTTTTGTTTTTTTTTTTGTTTTATTGTTGCCCAGGCTGGAGAGCAATGGCATGATCTCGTCTCACCACACCCTCTGCCTCCTGGATTCCAGTAATTCTCCTGCCTCAGCCTCCCGAGTAGCTGGGATTACAGGCATGCATCACCATGCCTGGCTAATTTTTTGTATTTTAGTAGAGACAGGGTTTCTCCATATTGATCAGGCTGGTCTCGAACTCCCGACCTCAGGTGATCCTCCCACCAAATAACTTCTTAAAAAAAGATCAAAATACTCAACTATATTTTGCAAGCCAAAGAGTTATCTTGCAGAAGAAGTAGGCATTAGCAGATTCAGTTATTAAATTCCTACTTATGGTTTGCTTGGAGAGGATAATATATACAGTGTCCTCAGCAGTCAGTGTGGTGTGGTGCGAATAGCACAGACTTTGCATTCGGGCTGACCTGACTGAATCCTGGTCCTACTTCTTGCTAACTGCATGATGTTGGACAATCACTTAACTTCTCTGCCTTTGGTTTCCTATTTTTAAAATGGGATGAATGATGCCTACCATTCAGGGCTGCTTTAGGATTAGAGACAACAAATATAACTAAAGTGCCTGACCTGGTGCCTGGATGTGTTAGGCATAGGATAAGTGATAGTCAGAAAAAACCTAAGGCCTTAGGCTTACAAGACTGAAGTAATTTTGTAAAAATTAAAGGCGACCATGTTATAGCCATAATTAACTAAGTAATGTGTCTTCAAAATATTTATTTGCATAATTTACCATTTTCCCTTTCTCTTGCAAATATATTACTGCCCAAAGAGGAATGGAAAATGATGAAAAAGTGACTGTCTTGAGATGCTTTCTACCGTGGTAGGCCATGGTCCAGGCTACAGTGTTTACCTCATTTCGAGAAGGTCCAAAGCATCATGGGCCTGGAATAGGTCTTAGAGATTCACTGATGAGTTCCCAAGGAACATTCACAATCCAGGGCAAGAGATTCAATTCAGAAAAAGCAAAAACCTTTTCACCACACTTTTTAAAAAAATTCAGAATGAAAGTAGCTTCAGTGAACCCTATTGTGGGTGGCAGGAGTTGGGGTCAGTGGTATAAATTCTGAAAACTTGAGTTGTTTTATTGAACATACAAATGTCAGTGAGGAAATTGAAAAGGTATTTATTTTAGCCAGTAAGAGGTTAATACCTGACTGTGTCTGCAGAAAAGCAACATTGAGGCAACTTTTAAATCTTTATTTCCAAAGAAGATGAGAAAGTTAGAGGAAATCACTCATGTCTGATCTAGAAAGAATTAGAGACATAGACGTATCCCAAATAAGAATACTAGTAAGGCATTTGTTTCCTTTATAAGAACTTGCCTAATACCATATTTATATCACTTACAAATGCCTTACTAGTATGTAAGTGATATAAGTATGGTATTAGGCAAGTTCTTATAAAGGAAACAGGACAATATCTCTAAGAAATGATATGTAAGTGGGTCTCACAGGATGAATAGAAATTCAGCAGCAAGGATAACTGCCTTTCAGGCCCAGTTAACTGTATATGTAAGACAATAGTGGATTATGGAGAGCATGAGGAAGGGGTGTGGGTGGTGAGTGAGCTTAGAGCCACTGCACTAGCATTAAGTTTGAATTATGGAAAAGACAGCAACATTTTAATTTTCATTCCAGAGAAATGTTGAAAATGTTATGTAATGAGTAAAAGCAAAAAGAATAGCAGAACCAGTCAATCAATGTAAGATAATTTTTTAAACACAGAAAAGACACTTAAATGTGCCTTTGCCTATGAAGGAGTGAAGGACATGCCATCCCAAAATGTGTCAGATTGGTATATTGATTATTTAGAGGTGAAAACTTTGGAGAAATTGGAGTCTCATGAGGCTGTGTGGACAGGATGCCTTCCTGAGCTAGGAGCTCCTGCATACAGAAGAGACACTGAATGAAATTGCCAAGATGATGGTGCATGTCCCCAAGGAGGAACAACTCTTTTCTTCCCGGGACTGCAAGCGTATTTCCCAGAGGATTAACTATTTCCCGTCATGAAGGCTAGATGAAGACTTCCTGGAGCTGCCTTTCTTCCACTAACAGGACCCTGGGAGGCCTGTAGGAGCACCCTGTTTGGGACTGTGAGGTGCTTGAAGGGGTGTGGACTGGCATCCAGCTGTCACTAAATACAACTGGTGTGTAAAAGGCAGGCCTTACATTCCTTAGGAGCAGAGCCAATCCTTTTTTTTTTTTTTTTTTTTTTTTTTTTGGAGGTCTCACTGAGATAGGAATTTGGATCACTGGATTCAAAGAAACAGAGCCAATTCTTAAGATCACTTGGTGCCTTAAAGACACGCATTCCAAAGTGGAATGTGGTTGAAGGAAGTGGGCCAGGTGGTTGAAGAAAGCTATGTGGGAGCTCAACAAATCAAGGGCTTATTATGACGCTGCAAATAGTCTCCTTAGCATCTCAGCTCTTCTGCAAGGAAGAGCTTGGGTGTTAGACCTCAGAGGCTGTAGGGTCCTTGGGTTACAGAGCAGGGGAGAATGAAGTTCTGTGACCCAGGGGTGGAGAGTACACTCTAGGTTTGCGGGCTGGTGGTACTACCAGAGGAAAGCCAAGCTGCTTCTGTTGTGAGCGGATCAGCAAAGAGCCTCAGGCTGAAGGGAAAAGTGCAGAGAGGAAGATATTTTACAAATCAGGTCAGTTTAGGCCAAGACTTATGCTCTACAGATTTTGAGGGGGGTGGGGGAACTTTTTAAAAACAGTTAGGGGTCTTGACAAGTTGTATGTAAAGATTAAAATTTTCTATTTTTCTAAAAAAAAAAAAATTAGAGGACATGGTTTGTCTTTTCCTGCATGCAGCAAGCGATCAAGATTCCTCTGGGAGGGGCACCCTCTCCATACCAAGGTGAGAAAACAGCGCTTATCACCCAAGACTTGGAATTGGAGACTGCAGTGGACCCAAATAAACATATTTACCTTATCTTCCATCTGTTTTACAGACGCCCACACCATATATCTCCAGTGACTCCCCTAGAAAATTTACTTCCTCTAGCCAGATTTTCCTTGTCCTGTCATTTTCCTCATTTTGGCACTCTGTGCCAAAAAATGTATAAAAGCATCTTGCTTTGGCCACTTCCTTGGACTTCACTTACTTGTAAAGATCCCCATGTACATGTAAAACTAATAAAATTTGTAGACTTTTCTCTTGTTAATCTGCCTGGTGTCAGTTTGGCTCCCAGATCCAGCTGAAGAGCCTACTAAGAGCTAAAAGGGGGTTGGAGGTGATCTATTCTCCCCTACACAAAAACTGGACCAGTGTCTTATTCCAGTCCAACTAGTTGGCCAGTACTTCAACGGAGAGTGAACTCCATCACCCCACATCAGAAATCTGTCAGCATAATAAGTAACCTGATTGATAAAACATCTAAACCATTTGCCATGACTTGTTCTGTAAATTATTTAAAATCCATTATGTCCCAAACCACTGATTCTCTCCAAGTTTCCATTATTCACCACTGATTTGGTTAAAGATTGCTTTTCAGAGAGAAGTTTATAGAAGTGGCAAAAAATACATGTATATTTATATAAACCAATATAAATATTATATACATATATCTTTAAAATTAGTGATAAGAGACACTTTGGTCGCAGATCAGAGAGGAAATAAGTAAACAGAAAAGTTGAAAACCTAAAATGCATGCTATTCTTATTATTTTATTTTCTCATAATTATTTTTTGATGTTTCCCTTTAAGCACTAGATGAGGAGCCAGGAAGCCAGGATTCTAGCCCCAGCCATATCACTTTCTACACATTGCCTCATCTCAGACAGATCCCTTTACTTCTCTAGCCCTTGGTTTCCTGATCTCTAAAATGAAAGGATTTTCAAATAGGTTCCGCAGGATATAGCAGAGATGCTTCAAGGGCCACTCTGGAAGATGAAGGGAGGCCTCCTGCCAACCTTTCCCTTCAGACAGAGCAGCTTCGCTTTTATTTGTATTATAAGTTGGGGCTGTTACAAGATTTTTTTTTTAACAAAAGGATTCTGTCACTTTTTAAAAGTTTGAAAATCACTGAGCTAAATGTTCCATAAGGGCCTATCCAGCTCAGAAAAACATTTTCATAGCTGTAGAATGGGGATAACAATAGTTCCTTCTCTTAGGTTTCTGAGGGGTAAACGAGATTACATGTAGAACAGGGCATAGAATGTAGGAAGCATTCAGTGTGTTAGCCGTTAGTCTCTGCCACCCCTTCCCCCAGCAGGTCCCACAGAACTAAGACTGCATTTCCTGTGACTGTATACTTCAGAGTATGAAATGATGGCCTGAAAAATTGCCTGATCCATCTGCTTTATATCAACAACACCATAAAAACGTCTTGGACATGTTCTCTGTGAATTTTTAATATAGTTTATTTCTAGTTTTTGTACTTTGCCTTTTTCTCTCACAATTGAGTTTTCTTCTTTCATATCAGATTTTTAAAATAATTATGATAATGCATTTTTGAAAGTTAATGTGTTGGTGTGTTCCAGACTTGTCAGCTTGTGGGAAAGTGACATCAGCGTCCACCCGCTAACCCTGCCCTCTGCAACCTGCTTGGAGCTGCTGTTGATATTGTCAAAGAGTAATGCCAATCTGCCTTCATCCCTTCGCCGTGTGAATTCCTTTCAGGTGAGCAATGGCTTCTTTTCTAGGCCGTGATTTCTCAGTTTTACTTGGAATTATTTTTTAAGGATCCTCTCTTTCACAGGAGATAGCCCGTGGAATTCCCTAGTTTCAAATCATAACAAGCATAATGCATGTATTGCTTTGTCTATCTGTTTTTTGTTTGTTTGTTTGTTTGTTTGTTTTTTGGAGGCAGAGACTCTCTCTGTTGCCCAGGCTGGAGTGAAGTGGTGCAATCTCGGCTCACAGCAGCCTCCGCCTCCCAGGTTTAAGCAATTCTCATGCCTCAGCCTCCCGAGTAGCTGGGACTACAGGTGCATGCCACCACACCTGGCTAAATTTTTGTGTTTTTAGTAGAGACAGGGTTTCACTGTATTGCCCAGGCTGGTCTCGAACTCCTGAGCTCAGGCAATCTGCGTGCCTCAGCCTCCCAAAGTGCTGGGATTACTGGCATGAGCCACCGCATCCGGCCTTTGTCTATCTCTTTTTAAATAAATGAACAAACAGATGCTCAGAATTGACTACGTAATTGTCTAGTTGTGGCAGAACTCACAGCTGTATAACTCCAGGCTTTCTCTCCAGCTCCCATCTTGCCTCTGGGAAATGGCAAGAAGATCAGGTAGACACTTGTGAATGCCACCTCCCTTCTCCCAAGTTTGCAGGAGACCCAGGAATCTTAACCATTATTAGTGGCTTTGCTGCTGTTAGCCTGAAGTCAAATTGCCAAATGGATGTTTAACAGGATTGGTCTATTTAACAGGGTTCTACTTTCTGAGCCATTTCCCTCTCTCTCCTTAGCCCTCTCCCTTATCACTTCCCTACTGCCCTTGATATTTATTTGTTCTCCTAGTCTAACTCAGTTCTGCAAATGTAGACTGGCCAGCAAGATGACCAACAGGAAGACCCCCCGCCTCCCTCGCAGTCAGCTAATTGTCAAATGAGTGTCAAATGAGAATTAAATGTTAACTTGTGGCTTAAGTTGTGGCCCTATCACTACTATATGTAATTGCACATATCTGCGACTCTTGACAATGGGAAAATACGAGCCCTCGGATGCTGGTGGGAATACAACCTACGTTGCTGAGAAATAAATAAACATGGGTTGTTTCTACTTCTGAAGGGTTATTAATGTATCCTAAGAAAACTTCAGGAGCATTGTATATTGCTTTGTACCTCTGTTATGTGGTAAAACAAGATGTGGATTTTCCTATGAATCATACCTCAAGAAATGGAGAGAAAAAAACTGCTCCAATCTTATTTACATTCCTCTCCTCTTGGAAATCTGTTACATGGATTGTCTCCGTGATGCTCTTCCTCTTTCTGAGCCTCAGGCACTCATAGAGTACAGTCTTTGGTCTTAGCATGCCTATTTATATTTGCTGCCCATTGGTCAACTCCAATCCTGGTGTCTCAAAGGACCTTAAAGAACATCTTCTCATTTTGTAGGAGAGGAAATTGAGATCTGGAGCAATGGATTGAATTGGCCAGGAAACACTCAGTGGGTCAGAGACCAAACTGGACTCACTCACCAGGATTACTCCATCTGCCACCAACTGCAGTGCCCACTAAGGTCCTGGGGGTGGAGTGAGTGTGAGTGGTGGGTGGAGGCAGGTTATTAGATCTGCCTTGGAATGTCCACAGCCTCCCCTTATTTTGCAGTAGTTTGTATTTATTTTATTTATTCATACACTGCCTTAAACCAGATATGACTTAAAATTCTGTCTATCCATATTTCTTTAAGTTCTGCTTATGGGATTGAATAATGCAAAAGTTTGTATATGCCCACAAATGTTCATGGAGGGAGAGACAAGAAACTTAACAGTGGTTATCTTTGAGGAGTGAAGCTGAAAAACAATAGTTTTATATTTCACTCCTTCCCTCATGTACTGTTTGAAATTTGCATGCCATGGGTGAGTGGGCAGCAAGAGAAATGACTCTGACTTAAAGGATTTTACGGCGTATTGGGGGAAATAGAACAGTCATCCATGGATGATTTAACTTGAGAGGAATTTTATTACAAAGTAGCCTCAACACAAGTCTTAAAGAAATTAAAAGTAAAAGAGTAATCTAAACCAAATATGGGAGGTTTGGGAGGAAGACCAATCTATATTTCTTCCCTGTGAGACCCAGAAGGCCTTGCCCCCTTTAAGGATGTCATTTCAATCTCATGGAAACACAGGTGCATGAAGCCTGGCCTGCAATTGGCGGCATTAGTGTGGTCTTAGCACCTTTAATTAGAGGAGCTCTTAGAGCGGTCTGAATGTTAATTACTCAATGCCCTTTTCTATTGGTGATTGTACTTCATGTGGTTTTAGTCCCTTTTCTGAATATTATTGTCAGAAACACACATGCTTTTCCAGTTTCACAGATACAGAGAAACTTGACAGAATCTTATGAACTGGTTTGGTCCCTGCTGTCACCCCTGGAAAGATGTATTCTTATAAGGAACATACCAGGAATCATCTTCCCTACCCAGGTCTTCACTCCAAGATGAAGGATCAGTGAAAATGGGAAAGTGTGTGTCAGGATTAGAAAGAGATGCTCTGCTTTTTCATCTTTGTACCACCCACTTCATCATTTATTATAATGGCGAGGAATGGCGCTTCTAATTTTGCCTGTGTTTAGGATTTTTTTTAAATTGGAAATTCACTTTCATGCACATTTTTTAAGAGCTATATTGGCAAGAGCTATAAAATAGCAGAATGACACTTGTTAAAGTTATCTTTACATTTCCAATTCTCTTACTTTTCTGGCTGAGTCACTGTGAGCAGTGCTTCTTTTTCTGTAAAGCTGTCATTTTAGGATTCTCTTGGTGCTCCTGCTTGAGCTGTTATCACTGCTGAATCTCAAAAAGAAGAGTTTATCTTATTAATTAAAACAACATAATATGAAATTCTAACTTCTTAAATTACATTGTAACATTTCTCTCAGGCCAACAGGGATCTCTTTTGGTGGTTTTGTTATAAATATAGCTTCCACTCTGTTATAGTACCTTACTATTTCTAATGCAATTATAAGCCAACAAAATGTAGGATTTGATTGAGATTCACTGACATATTGCTAAGCATATACTAAGTTGTTGCAGTGGTCCCAAGAAGATGGATGGACTTATCATTCCTTATCATGTCGCTTCCTGCTTAAAATTCTTCCATGGCATCCTGTTGCAATGAAAATAAAATCCAAACTCCTTATCTTGGCCAATAAGGCCGGGGAACATCTTGGCCCTGCCTCCCTTTCTGACCTCATCTCTGGCTCTCTCACTCTCACTCTGCTCCAGGCACACTGGCTCTATCTCCCTGTCCTTATCACGAGCTGGTTCTGGCTGTAGGATCTGTGGACTGGCTGTTTTCCCTGCTACTGGGAGAATACTCTGCACCAGGTCTTTGCATGGCCACCTGCTTCTTGTCGTTCAGGTCTCAGTTCAGGTATCCCCTCTGAGGAGAGGCCCAACCTGACCCCCCTTCTTCACATCACCATTACTCTGTAATCTTACCTTGTTTAATTTTCTTCATAGCACTTTCCACTATTTGATCTTGTTCATTTATTTGTTCACCTTTTTCCTCTACTAAAATATGTGTTGACTGAATGAATGGGGGAATGTCTGTTTTTGTTCAATATTGTGCCAACAGAACTTAGTATAGTGCCTGGATGTAGGAAGAAGTTAATAAATATTGGATGGCTGGCAAGATGGCTGGATGGGTGGATGAAGGCACAGTTAAAATGCAGATGGACACAGCCATGTGACATTCTAGAAATCTAAAAGACTGAGCTGGGTTACACAGAGGTACGTACAGTATACACTCA
The DNA here is from genome assembly GCF_000001405.40 of Homo sapiens. Lineage (NCBI taxonomy): Eukaryota > Metazoa > Chordata > Mammalia > Primates > Hominidae > Homo > Homo sapiens. The sequence goes on along the minus strand of NC_000006.12, from coordinate 82,953,513 downwards.
GGGCAGAAGCAGCAGCCCTTTCTCTGCTGGGGCAGTGCTAGACTCAACAGATAAGGTCTGGATTTAAGATATGTCAGCAAAGTTGAGCACAGATGGGTATCCACATTGAAACTGCAACCTGGTGTTTTGTACAAATGAGAAAAACTCGAAGAAGAGTTCAGCCCTTAGAAAGAGCTGGCAGGATTCAGATAAGCAAAGTGATCAATATATAGGATGGGACTCTCTGGGTACTGGAGACCACAGTACCACAGTAGGGAATATGGGAATGATGCCCAACTTTTGTGCCAGAAACCAACGCAGTAGGCATTAGAGGTGCAGAGGTGTCCTCTGGAGGAGGCAAGTTGCAGCCTGTTGACGTCATTGCCGTTGCTAGTTTATTTCACTCTGTGTGCTTCAGAACTCTGGGGTTAGGTGGCACAAGGCCATTTCTATACCCATCTTGCTGGGCAGCAACCAGCTCTTAACCTGAAGTCCTGCAATGGCAGCTTTAAATATAGGTAAGATGTCTGGAAGGTAGAACCTTAAAAGCAATCAGGTTGGAACCAGGACTGGGCAAGAGCTGCTGGTTTTAATGGCAACTATGTATTTTTCCTAGAATCCTGGCCTATTGCAACTAGAAGGAATAACTAGTCTAATAATCTTATTTTTATAGATAAGGAAACACATACCCAAGAATGTTAAGTTGATATTGGAGACTGAAATTCTGATTTCTTAGTTGTGCTTTTTGTGCTACAGAGACTATGTTGACTTCTCTTTGGGTAGAGAGGGGATTTTTCTATACTTAGCATTTCTCTGCTCCAAAGTAGCTCACACCTGTAATACCAGCACTTTGGGGGCTGAAGCAGGAGGATCACTAGAGCCTAGGAGTTCAGGTCCACCCTGGGCAACATAATGAGACACCATCTATGTAAAAAATTAAAAAATTAGCAGATGTGCTGGCATATGCCTGTAGCTCCAGCTACTCAGAAGGCTGAAGTAGGAGGATTGCTTGAGCCCTGGAGGTCAATCCTGCAGTGAGCCATGATTGTGCCACTGCACTGCAGCTTGGGTGAGAGTGAGACCCTATCTCAAAAAAAAAAAATTAGATATTAATAATCAGATAATAATATAAATTATAATAGCTAATTTTTTTTAGTTCTTTCTGTTTTCCAGGTACCGTTCTCAGTGATTGGTACTTAGTAGCTCATTTCATTTTCATGATACCTCCATAAGGAAGGTATATTATTGTTTACATTTTACAGGTGCAGAAACTGAGCACAGGTGCACAACATTCCCAAGCTCACACAGCTAATAAGTAGAGGAACATGAAGTACAAGGCCTGGCTCGAGAACCCCTATTCTTAACCACTAAATAATGTTAACCTCTTTTAATAAGGTTGGTTAAACAAAGTAAGATGTTTTTAAGTGGCATGACTTGTCAGCCCCTTGCATGTGCTTAAGGGGTAGTGTGATCCTCCTAGTTGAGGAACATAGTAAACAGTATTTCTCAAATGTACTTGATAGCAGGGAGACTTTTTCTAGGGGCATTTTATGGGATTAATGTTTGCAGAATACAAATGGGGAGACACTGTTCTATCTCTAAAGACCCTTATGTACATTCTTAGTGGCAGCCTTCCTTACCTCCACAAGAAGTAGTGCTGCAGTTTTAGAGGCTGATTGTCAGGAGGATACCATCTCTTTCTTTTGAGACTAGATGGTCGTCCTTTTGGTCAGGGCCTCTTTGGTCAGAATGGCACAGTAGGAACAAGATCTGCCTTTGGCATTCCTTGGTACACACTGAATCAAGCCTGAGGCCCAGAAGTCCTCTGGCTGAGCATTGCTTTCCCACCCTGTACCTGTTCCCAGTTCTATTTCAACTGGCACTCATCCACTCTGTACACTGCATACCAAAGTAGTAACGTGGCAAAGGGTTCTACTGGTAGATTAAGCCCTCTGGCTAAACTCTGCCTCTCCCCTAACTTAAGGATTGACTCTCACTGAGAATGCTCCAGAAGAGTCTTCCTTGGAAAATATACTCAACTAGGATAAGGAAGGAGTGTTTCATAGCCTTGGTCCCTGAGTGGAGGAAACCCTTCCTGTTTATTCCCACATCTTACCTCATTAACTCCAGCTCCAACCAGCTGCTCCAGGCTATCTAAATGGTATGGATAGAATTTTTAAGGACATAGCCCCAGGTTAATGACAGAATTCTAAACAATTTTAGATGTTTTCACAAACACTTGCCTTTTTCAGATCCTTGCAATTCCTATTTTGTTTATTCTTAATTTTTATGGGTACATAGTAGGTATATATATTTATGGGTTACATGAGATATTTTGATACAGGCATACAATGCATAACAAGCACATAAGGGTAAATATGGTATCTGTCACCTCAAGCATTTATGCTTTGTGTTACAAACAATCCACTTATACTCTTTTAGTTATTTTTAAATGTACAATTAAATTACTCTTTACTATAGTCACCCTGTTGTGCTAGCAAATATTAGATCTTATTCTTTCTTTTTTTTTTTTTATCCATTAGTCATCCCCACTTCCCTCATCCCTCCACTACTCTTCCCAGCCTTTGGTAACCATCTTTCTACTCTCTGTCTCCATGAATTCAGTTGTTTTAATGTTTAGATCCCACAAGTAAGTGAGAACATGCAAAGTTTGTCTTTCTGTGCCTGGCTTATTTCACTTAACATAATGACCTCCAGTTCCATCCATGTTGTTGCAGATGACAAGATCTCATTGAGTTTTATGGCTGACAAGTATTCCATTGTGTGTATGTGCCACATTTTCTTTATTCATTCATCTGTTGATGGACACTTCGGTTGCTTCCAAATCTTGGCTCTCGTAAATAGTTTTGCAATAAACATGGGAGTGCGGATATCTCTTTGATATACTGATTTCTTTTCTTTTGGGTACCTACCTAGGAGTGGGATTGCTGGATTGTGTGGTAGTTCTTGAACTCCTGACCTCAAGTGATCCACCTGTCTCAGCCTCCCAAAGTGCTGGGATTACAGCTGTAAGCCACTGTGCCCAGCTGGTAATTCTATTTTTTGTTTTTTGAGGAACCTCCAAACTGTTCTTCATACTGGTTGTACTAATTTACATTCCCACCAACAGTGTAAGAGAGTTCCCTTTTCTCCACCTCCTTGCCAGCATTTGTTAGCCTGTCTTTTGGATAAAAGCCATTTTAACTGGTGTGAGATGATATCCTGTTATAGTTTTGATTTGCATTTCTCTGATGATCAATGATTTTAAGCACCTTTTCATATACTTGTTTGCCAATTGTGTATATTCTTTTGAGAAATATCTACTCATATCTTTTGCCCATTTTTTAATCAGTTGATTAGATATTTTCCTATAGAGTTGTTTGAGCTCCATATGTATTCTGGTTATTAATCTCTTGTCAGATTGGTAGTGTGCAAATGTATCGTTCCATTCTGTGAGTTGTCTCTTCACTTTGTTGATTGTTTCCTTTGCTATGCAGAAACTTTTAATTTGATGTGATCTCATTTGTCCCATTTTACTTTAGTTGCCTGTGCTTGTGGGATATTACTCAAGAAATCTTTGCCCAATTCAATGTCCTAGAGAGTTTCCCCAATGTTTTCTTACAGTAATTTTGTAGTTTGAGGTATTAGATTTAAGTTTTTAATCCATTTTTATTTGATTTTTGTATATGGTTAGAGATACGGGTCTAGTTTCATTCTTCTGCATATGGATATCCAGTTTTCTCAGAACCATTTATTGAAGAGACTGTCTTTCCCCCACTATATGTTCTTGGCACTTTTGTAAAAAATGAGTTCACTGTAGATGTATGGATTTGTTTCTGGGTTCTCTATTATATTCCATTGGTCTGTGTGTCTGGTTTTATGCCAGTACCATGCTATTTTGGTTACTATAGCTTTGTAGTATAATTTGAAGTGAGGTAATGTGATTCCTCCAGTTTTGTTCTTTTTACTCAGGATGGCTTTGGCTATTGTGGGTCTTTTGTGGTTCCATATAACTTTTAAGATTTTTTTTTTCTATTTCTGAAGAATGTCATTGTTTAGGCAGTGATTGCATTGAATCTGTAGATTGCTTTGAGTATTGTGGACATTTTAACAATATTGATTCTTCCAGTCCATGAACATGAAATATCTTTCCATTTTTTTGTGTCTTCTTCAATTTCTTGCATCAATGTTTTACAGTTTTCATTGTAGAGATCTTTTATTTCCTCAGTTAAGTAAATTCCTAAGTGATTTTACTCTGTTTGTAGCTATTGTAAATGGGATTATTTTTAATTTATTTTTCAAATTGTTCCCTGCTGGCTATGGAAATCCTAGTGATTTTTGTTTATTCATTTTGTCCCCCGCAACTTTACTGAATTTGTTTATCAATTCTAATAGTTTTTCATTGAAGTCTTTAGGTTTTTCTAAATATAAGATCATATCATCTGCCAACAAGGATAACTTGATTTGTTCCTTTCCAGTTTAGATACCCTTTATTTCTTTCTCTTGTCTGATTGCTATAGCTAGGACTTCCAGTACTATGTTGAATAACAGTGGCAGTGGGCATCCTTGTCATGTTTCAGATCCTAGAGGAAAGACTTTTAGTTTTTCCCCATTCAGTATGATACTAGCTATGGGTCTATCATATATGGCTTTTTTTTGTGTTGAGGTATGTTCCTTCTATACCCAGTTTTGTAATGGTTTTTATCATGAAGTGATGTTGAATTTTTCCAGATGCATTTTTAGCACCAACATTAATTGAAATGTTTATGTGGTTTTTGGCCTTCATTCTGTTGATATGATATCTCACACTGAGTGATTTGTATATTTTGAATCATACTTGTATCCCTGGGATAAATCCTACTTGGCCATGAAGAAATATCTTTTTAATGTGTTATTGAATTCAGTTTGCTAGTATTTTATTGATAATTCTAAATCAATATTCTTTAGAGATAATTGGCTTGTAGTTTTCTTTTTTTAATGTGTCTTTGTCTAGTTTTGGTGTCAAGGTAATACTTCTGGCCTCCTATAATGAGTTTGGAGGTATTCCATTCTCTATTTTCCAGAATAGTTTGAGTAGAAGTGGTATTAGTTCTTCTTTAAATGTTTGGTAGAATTTGGCAGTGAAGCCATCAGGTCCTGGGCTTTTCTTTACTGGGGAACTTTGTATTATGGCTTCCATCTCATTTGGTCTGTTCAGGGTTTTTTCATGGTTCAGTTTTGGTACATGGTATGTGTCTATGAATTTATTCATTTCTTCTAGATTTTCCTATTTATTGGCATATAGCTGCTCATAGTAGCCATTAATGATCCTATGAGTTTCTGCAGTATCAGTTGTAATTTCTCCTTTTTCATCTCTGATTTTATTTATTTTATTTATTTATTCTCTCATGTTTTCGTAGTTATTCTGGCTAAAGATTTGTCAATTTTGTTTGCCTCTTCAAAAAAACCAACATTTTGTTTCATCGATCTTTTATATTGTTTTCTTCATTTCAATTTCATTTATCTCTGTTCTGATCTTTACTATTTCTTTTCTTCTACTAATTTTGAGTTTGGTTTGGTTTGCTCTTGCTTTCCTAGTTCTTTAAGATGAATCATTAGGTTGTTTATTGAAGGTTTTTCTTCTGTTTTGATGTAGGCACTTATAGTTATAAACTTCCCTCCTAGAACTACTTTTGCTGTATTCCATAGGTTTTGGTATATGTGTTTCCATTATCATTTGTTTCAAGAAATTTTTCAATGTACTTTTTAATGACTTCATTGACCCACTGGTCCTTCAGGAGCATATTGTTAATTTCCATGTATTCGTATAGTTTTCAAAATTCCTCTTGTTATTGATTTAAGGTTTTATTCCATTGTGGTCAGAGAAGATGCTTGATGTTATTTCAATGTGTTTTGAGTGTTTTAAGACTTATTTTGTGACGTTAACAGAAGGTCTGTCATTGAGAATGATCTGTGTGCTGAGAAGAATATGTATTGTTCAGCACCATAAGATAGGGCAAGAAAAAGAAAAGAAAAGAAAAGAAATTAAAAATTTAAAAAATATGTATTCTACAACCATTGGATGAAATGTTCTGTAAGTATCTTTTAGGTTTATTTGGTCCATAGTGCAGATTAAGTTTGATGTTTCTTTGTCTGTTTTCTGTCTAGAAGATCTGTTGAATGCTGAAAGTGGGGTGTTGAAGTCTCCAGTTATTATTTTATTGGAGTTCATCTCTTTCTTTAATAATACTTTCTTTACATATCTGGGTGCTCCAGTTTTGGGTGCACATATATTTACAATCATTATATCATTTTGCTGAATGGACCCTTTTATCATTATATAATGACCTTCTTTGTCTCTTTGTATAGTTTTTGTCTTTAAATCTATTTTGGATGATATAAGCCTAGCTACTTTGCTCTTTTTTGGTTTCCATTGACATAAAATATATTTTTCCATCTTTTTATTGGAGAGTTTACTTATATTCAGTGTTGTTATTGATAAGTAAAGGCTTACTCCTGGCATTTTGTTATTTGTTTCCTGGTTGTTTTGTGGTCTTCTCTTCCTTCTTTCCTTCCTGTCTTGCTTTTAGTAAAGGTGATTTCCTCTGGTGGTATGATTTAATTTCTTGCTTTTTTTTTTTCTGTGCCTGTTGTATGATTTTTGTTAACATGAGGTTTGCAAAAACTATCTTATAATTCATTATTTTAGGCTGATAACAACTAAACCCTGCTTGCATAAACAAACAAGCAAAAAGAAAACTAATAAAAACTCTACACTTTAACTTTGTCCCCCACTTTTTAATTAACTTTTTAATTTTTGTTGTTTCTGTTTATATCTTATTGTACTATGTCTTGAAAAGTTGTTGTAGTTATTTTTGATTGGTTAATCTTTTAGTCTTTCTACTTAAGAGTAGTTTACATACCACAGTTACAGTGTTATAATAGTCTGTATTTTTCTGTGTACTTATTTTTGCTGGTGAGTTTTGTACCTTCAGATGATGTCTTATTGCTCATGAACATTCTTTGCTTTCTGATTGAAGTCCTCTCTTTAGCATTTCTTCAAGGACAGGTCTGGTGTTGAAATTCCTCAGTTGTTGTTTGTCTGGGAAAGTCTTTATTTCTTCTTTGTGTTTGAAGGATATTTTCTCCAGATATACTACTCTAGGGTAAATTTTTTTTTTTCCTTCAGCATTTTAAATAGGTCATGCCACTCTCTCCTGGCCTGTAAGGTTTCCACTGAAAAGTCTGCTGCTAGGTGTATTGGATCTCCATTGTATGTTATTTGTTACTTTTCTGTTGGTGCTTTTAGGCTCCTTTCTTTATTCTTGACCTTTGGAAGTTTGATTATTAAATGCCCTGAGGTACTCATCTGTGGAATCTGGTTGGTTTTCTGTAACCTTCTGGTACTTGGATATTGATATCTTTCTCTAGGTTTGGGAAGTTCTCTGTTATTATCCCTTTGAATGTACTTACTTCCCTTATCTCTTTCTCTGCCTCCTCTTTAAGGCCTGTAACTCTTAAATTTGCCCCTTGAAGGCTATTTTCTAGATCTTGTATGTATGCTTCATTCTTTCATTATTCTTTGTGTTTTTATCTCCTTTGACTGTGTATTTTCAAATAGCCCACTAATTCTTCTGCTTAATCAATTCTCCTATTAAGAGACTCTGATTCAATCTTTAGTGTGTAAGTTGCATTTTTCTACTCCAGAACTTCTTCTTGATTCTTTTTAATTAGTTCAATCTATTTGTTAAATTTATCTGATAACATTCTGAATTCCTTCTCTGTGTTATCTTAAATCTCATTGAATTTCCTCAACACAGCTATTTTGCATTGTCTGTCTAAAAAGTCGCATACCTTTCTTTCTCCACCAGGATTGATCCCTGGTGCCTCATTTAGTTTGTTTGGTGAGGTCATGTTTTTCTGGATGGTCTTCATGTTTATTGATGCTTGTCAGTATCTGGGCATGGATATTGAAAAGTTAGGTATTTATTGTAGTCTTCACATCATGGGCTTGTTTTTACCTGTCCTTCTTGGGAAGGCTTTCCAGGCATTCAAAAGGACTTGGGTGTTGTGATCTAAGTCATATCTGTATTAGGAGACTGAAGCCTAGTAATTGTGTTATTCTTGGAGACTCATAGACTCATACTGGCATGATGGTCTTAAATAAGATCCAGAATACTTCTCTGGATTACCTGGCAGACTCTTCTCTTCCCTTACTTTCTTCTAAACAAATGGAGTCAGTCAGTCTCTCTTTCTCCCTCTTTTTCTCTCTCCCTTTCTGTCTGTCTATCTGTCTCTGTGCTGAGCCACCTGGGGCTGAGGTGACACAATCGCCCCTGTGGCCACCATCACAAAGACTGCTCTGGGTCAGACCTGAAGCCAGCACATCCCTGAGTCTCACCCAGTGTCCACTGTAACCAATACTTGGCCAACACCTATGTTTGCTCAAGGCCCTAGGGCTCTACTATCAGCAGTTGGTAAAGCCAGCAGCCTTGTGTTCTTCCCTTCAGGGTGGCAATTTCCTCCGGCCACTGGGTGGGTCCAGGGATGCCATCTGAGAGCTATGGGCTAGAGTTAAAAACCTTAGCAGTCTACTTGGCATTCTATTCTAATGTGGCTTAGCTGGTCCTTGAACCATGATAAACAGTCCTTCCCACTCTTCCCTCCCCTTTCCACAGGCAGAAGAGCTTCACTCCATGACCACAACCACCAAAAACCCATAGGGAGTACTGCCAAGCTACCGCTGATGTTCACATGAGGCCCAAGGGCACTTCAGTCAACTTGTGGTGAATTCTGCCAGACTGGGACTCACCCTTCAGGGCAGTGGGCACCCCTTTGGCTCAGGACAGATCGAGAAATGCTGTCTAAAAACCAAGTCCTGGACTCAGGGACCAAAGAACCTGCTTTGTGCTCTACCCAACTGTGACCAAGCTAGTACCTAAAGTGCAAGACAAAGTCTCCTTTACTTTTCCCTTTGCTTTCCTCAAGCAAAAGGAGTTTCTCACCATAGCCATCACAGCTTCAAATGTGTTGTGTCTCAGCTGAAGTCAGCAACTCTCAGAATCTCACCCAAGGCCCACAGCTCACTACCTGGGTATCACTACTGGTTATTCAGGGCCCAGGGGCTCTTTAGTCATCAGATGATAGGCTTTGCCTGGACTGGGTCCTTCCCTTTATGGCAACAGATTCCCTTCTGGTCCAGGATATGTCTACAAATGTCATCCAGGAGCTAGGGCCTGGAATGGGGCCTCACAACCCTGATCAGTTCTCTGTCATACTGTGGCCGAGCTAGTATTCAAGATTCAAAATAAAAATCCTCTTTACTCTTCCCTCTCCTCTCTTCAAGTGAAAGGAAGGGGTCTCTTTTGGAGTTGTGTTGCCTAGAGTTGGGGGAGGGGTGGCACAAGCACTCCCTTAGCTGCCCCAGCTAGTGTCTCAGTAGGTTGCATCACCCCCAAGTCCACTTGCTCCAAGCCCAGCTCAGCATTAAGACTTGCAGTCTCTGTGGTCTAGGTTGTTTCAAGTTTTTTTATGGCCCCAGAGCACTTCAGCCCACAGTAACAAAGCTTGACTGAACTCAAGTTCCCACCACTGGGATGGGCGATTCCCTTCTGGCTAGGGTTGATCTGCATGCTCCCTGCTTGTGTGGGCATCGGCTGAGTTCCACTTGGTTTTGCTTTCCACTGTAACCAGGAAGCACTGAGTTTAATGTGAAGTCTCATATTCACTGCACTCTCCCCCTTCAAGAGCACAGATTTCTCTGAGCTGTGCAGGTGCTGTGGGGGAATGGGAGAGGGGTGGCATTGACAATTCAAGACTGTTTCCTATTCTTTTCAGTGATATGAAGTTAAAATCAGATACCATGAGTCCTTACCTGATTTTTAGTTCTTTTTTTGTAGTTGTTGTTTGTTTTTTGTTTTGAGACAGGGTCTCGCTCTGTCATCCAGGTTGTAGTGTAGTGGTGTGATCTCAGCTCACTGCAACCTCCACCTTCTGGGCCCAAGCAGTCCTCCCAACTCAGCCTCCCAAGTAGCTGGGACTACGGGTACATGCCACCATGCCCAGCTAATTTTTGTACTTTTAGTGGACACGGGGTTTCACCATGTTGCCCAGCGTGGTCTTGAATTCCTGGGCCCAAGCAATTCTCCCGCATCAGCTTCAAAAGTGCTAGGATTACGGGCATGAGCCACCGTGCCTGGCTGAGTTTCGGTTCTTAAGAAGGTGCTTTTTTGTGTGTAGATAGTTGTCAAATTTGCTTTCCCTGTCAGGGGGACAGTGGATAGGGTATTCTAAAAAAAAGCAAGTCAGTTACTTCCTAGATACAGTGGGGTTACAGGCATTAGGTAAATACACCCATTCCACAGGGGAGAAATTGGCCAAAACAAAGGGGCTACAGGCCCCATGTAAGTCTGAAATCCAATAGGGCAGTCATTAAATCTTAAAGTTCAAAACTGATCTCCTTTGACTCCATGTTTCACATTCAGGTCATGCTGAGGCAAGAGGTGAGCTCCGATGCTTTGGGCAGCTCTGCCCCTGTGGCTTTGCAGGGTACAGCCCCCCTCCTGGCTGCTTTCATGGGCTGGTGTTGAGTGTCTGTGCAGGTGCACAGTGCAAGCTGTCGGTGGAGCTACCATTCTGTGGTCTGGTTGATGGTGGCCCTCTTCTCACAGCTCCACTAGGCAGTGCCCCAGTGGGTACTCTGTGTGGGGGCTCAGACCCCACATTTCTGCTCCTCACTGCCCTAGCAGAGGTTCTCCGTAAGGGCTCTGTGCCTGCGGCAACCTCTGCCTGGACATCCAGGCATTTCCATACATCCTCTGAAATCTAGGTGGAGCTTCCCAAACTTCAATTCTTGACAACTGTGCACTCACAGGGCCAATACCACATGTAAGCCACCAGGGCTTGGGGCTTGCACCCTTTGAAACAATGACCTGAGCTGTACGTTGGCCCCTTTTAGCCATGGCTGGAGCTGAATAGGCAGTGGCTGGGATGCAGGCCTGGGCCTGGCCCACAAAACCATTTTTTCCTCCTAGCACTCTGGGCCTGTGATGGGAGGGGCTGCCCTGAAGGTCTCTGACATGCCCTGGAGACATTTTTCCCATTGTCTTGGTGATTAACATTCTGCTCCTTGTATCTTATGCAAATTTCTGCAGCCAGCTTGCATTTTTTCCCAGAATATGGGTTTTTGTTTTCCATCACATTGTCAGGCTGCAAATTTTCCAATCTTTTATGCTCTGCTTCCCCTTTAAATATAAGTTCCAATTTCAGAACATATCTCTCAAAGTTCCACAGATCTCTAGGACAGGGGCAAAATGCCTCCAGTCTCTTTGCTAAAACATAGCAAGAGTGACCTTTCTATTCCAGTTCCCAACAAGTTTCTTATCTCCATCTGAGACCACCTCAGCCTGGACTTCATTCTTCATATCACTATCAGCATGTTGGTCAAAACCATTCAATAATCTCTAGGAAGTTCCAAACTTTCTCACATCTTCCTGTCTTCCTCTGAGCCCTCCAAACTGTTCCAACCTCTGCCCGTTTCCCAGTTCCAAAGTCACTTCCACGTTTTGGGTATATTTATAGCAGCACCCCACTCTACTGGTACCAGTTTACTATATTAGTCCTTTCTTGCTGCTATAAAGAACTCCCTGAGACTGGGCAGTTTATAAAGAGATTTAATTAACTCACAGTTCTGTATGGCTTGGGATGCCTCAGGAAACTTACAATCATGGCAGAAGGTACCTCTTCACAGGGCAGGAGGAGAGAGAATGAGTGCCAACAGGGGAAATGCCAGATGCTTATAAAACTATCAGATCTCATGAGAACTCACTCACTATCACGAGAGCAGCATGAGGGAAGCTGCCCCCATGATCCGATTACCTCCACCTAGTCCTGCCCCTGATGCATGGGGATTCTGGGGATTACAATTCAAAGGGAGATTTGGGTGGGGACACAGAGCCAAACTGTATTACTGAAGAACTTAAAAAATAATAATATAATAACTTATAGGGGCTCCTAGAAATAGATAGACAGAGGCCTGGGAATTTTACAGGTAAGTAGCAACAATGGGCTATAGACAAGAGAAAGTGAACTTTTTATCTCTGCACTCTTTTTTTTCTATATACTTTCAAACATTGTACTACATAAATGACCTCATCTGTTATATTCCACTTTCATCTCTGGGTGAATTATAGCCATTATTTTTTTTTAAGTCATGTTTTCCCCTAATTATATATATAAAATAAAACCTTTTTTCATAAAAAAAATTGGAAAATTCATAAAAATATAAAGAAAATTAAGATCACTGGGAGTAACCAGTATTGACATTTTAAAGTAATTGTTTTTTATTTTTTTGGAGATAGTCTTGCTCTGTCACCCAGGATAGAGTCCAGTGGCACGATCTCAGCTCATTGCAACCTCCGCCTCTTGGGTTCAAGCAATTCTCCTGCCTCAGCCTCCTAAGTAGCTGAGATTACAGACGCCACACCCGGCTAATTTTTGTGTTTTTAATAGAGATGGGGTTTCACCGTATTGGCCAGGCTCGTCTTGAACTCCTGACCTCAAGTGATCCACCTGCCTCGGCCTCCCAAATTGCTGCGATTACAGGTGTGAAGCACCGTGCACGGCCATTTTAGAGTAATTCTTAGTCCTATTTTTAATATCTGCTTATACACGCACACACAAATATATATATTAATATAAAATTGGGCTCATTGAAGATGCTGGCTGGGGCACAGTACTGACAATACTCTGCTCTTTCCTCTGTTTCATCTCCTGGCATGAAGACATATACTTTTCCCAAGAGACTATCAATGGGCCTTGGGGACATTATATATGAGGGTCTCAGGGTCCTGTTATTAACTGAGAGTGGGTAGGGAAGAAGGGTGTGAGTGATTCCACATGTCAAAGGGCTTCTGCAGATGTAGTCATGAAGCAGACAGACCTGAACCAAGATGGGCAGGCACTCCCTAGAATTTTCACTCAGCACTTGTGGTAATCCACGTGTGCATCCCAGGAAACTGAGATGGGAGTGGTGTTGGCACCTTCGGGTCCCTGGATGTGTCCACTATTTTTCCTTTCCTGCTAATGCCTTTGTCCTCAGTGTGCAAAGATAATCAGGACTTGAGTGCTGGTCATTGTATTTAGGAACTTCGTTCTCAAAGGTAGTGATTACTGTCCTATTTTCCATCTCTCTCCTCAAAACAATTTCTGAGAATTGCCTCAGCAATTTGGATGTGAAAGATGTTGTCATCTTCATTCCTTTTTGCCCTGCAGGGTGTTCTGTGGTCTGGGGAAATAAGCAGGTATTCTTAGTTGAATACAGTTCTCTAATCTGAATTGTCTCATCCTCTGCCTCCTTTCATTTTGGACTCTCCTTTTTGCCATACTCTAGAGAGAATGTGGAGGATGGGGCCAGGCAGACAGCCTGGAGGTTAACCAGAAATTTAGTCAGATCCACGTTGCTGCCACATCACATCTTTCAAAAGGCCGATTCCCTACCCAGATACCTGCCACGTGACCTGCCCCTCAGACATTTCTGTCCCTACCAAGGAGTTGAGGTTGTGGGCAAAGCTGGACAGTTTCTGTGCTTTCTGTAGCACTTCGTAGGGGAGGTCTGATGGGACTTAGGATGCTCTGCCCTTTGCTTTATTGAGAGAAGCAGGGATGATGTATAGCTTACTAAGTCTATAATTATGTTTCTTGTTTTGTTTGGTTGTGTTTAGTAAGTTAATTTTTTCCTGATTCTAAAGGAAATACCGTCATGTATCACTTAATGATAGAGATACATTCTGAGAAACATGTCATGAGGCATCACAGAGAATGTCATAGAGTGCACTTACACAAACCTGGATGGGCTGGGACAGACACAAACCTAGATGGGCTGGGACAGTCTACTACACACCTAGGCTATGTGGTATGGCCCATTGCTCCTAGGCTGCAAGCCTATATGGCACTGTACTGAATACTGTAGGCAATTGTAATACAATGGTAAGTATTTGTGTATCAAAATATATCTAAACATAGAAAAGGTACAGTAAAAATATGGTACAAAAGATAAAAAGTGGTGTACTCATATAGGGCAGCTCCATTATAATCTTATGAGACTACTGTTGTACATGTGGTCCCTTGTTGATCAGACATCATTATGCAGCTCATGACTGTATGTACCCACGATAGACGATGTGGTATGGGTTTTTCATTAGCAAAACAATACATATTTTTACTTTTAGCAAACTAAAAATATAGAATCTTAAAATTGAACCAATGGCTACCTAGCCCAATTCAGTCCATCTGTCCTTCATGGTGGGGAGAGAAGGCCTAGGGGCAAGGCCTGGCAGGCTCTGGGCAGCCTTTGTGATTTGAGAGCACTCACCTTCTCTTACCTCAGTATCTGTAACACAGAAATGGGGATAAGGAGAACTGGAAGACAGATAGGGTTTGTCTAATTCTGTGATGACATTATTATGAATGGTACTCGTTCTTTTTTTTTTTTTTAATAGACAGGGTGTCCAGTCTCACTCGGTCACCTTGGCTGGAGTGTGGAGTGTAGTAGCACGATCGTAGCTCACTGCAGCCTCGAACTGCTGAGTTCAAGCAATCCTCTTGCCTCAGCCTCCCATGTAGCTGGGATTATAGGTGCATGCCACCACACCAGACTATGGTGCTAGTTCTTAAATGTCAGTATACATGGGAAGCTTGTTTAAAATTTAGATTTCTTAGTGATCTAAGAAATCGGAGTCCTAGCCAGAGAGATTCCGATTCAATAGCCCTGAAGTAGAGCCCAAAAATCTGCATTAACAAGCATCCAAAAGTGTGTATGATAGGGAATTTCAAGAACGAAAACTGTAAGAAACACGTGATAAGAGAATATACACCAACTAAAGTGAGAAATGAAAGAATTTTAATTATAACAACATCTAGTCACAGGTCCAAATAGCTTAATTATTTTCCTCTTTTCTTCACTGCTCCTTATTAACCTGCACTTAACACAGTCTGTATTGCACTAAACTGAATAGTTGTCATCAAGTTTGTGTTTTTTTATTTTCCTTCTCTCTTTACCCTCAGATGTCTTGTAGAATCCTGGTGTTACCTCTGTCACTCCTCTTTCTGCCATTGGTGTGAACACCCGGCATCCCCACATCTCCTGATATCCGGGCTTCTTGCTTTTCTCAGGGATGTGCAGCCTCTGTAGTCCTCTCTCTCACGGCACGTCTGATGTGGTAGGACAGTCGCTCACGCTGATGTCAGACACTCAAGATCTAGTCTGGACTGCTGACCCTCTTCTAGGCAGATAACCCTCTATGGATCCCAGTTTCGTTATCTATGGGATGAAGGGTTGGGTTAAATTACATATGTAAGTGTTTTTAAAGTTCGTTTAAAGTAGAGGCACAGAGTCATTTTTGTCTGTTCCCAGCTGTTCCTGATTTATTCACCCAGTCTGCATAATATAACTGTATTCCTTAAATGTTATAGAACCTTATTTCTTGTGAACATCCTAGAAGTGTTTAACTGAGGAAAAATATAGATAAAGTCAGATTACATAGGGTTGTTGTGTGTGTGTGTGCGCGCGCACACGCCCGTGTGCTCTCCAAGAGGATGGAGTTGATGCCGTAAGACCTCCCTAACAGCTGCCAGGAAGGGACAGGAATGATGGGGTTAGGGTGCCATCTGGCCCTTGGCTCTTCCTGCCTCTGAGACATAGGTAACTCTTTCATGTGGAGGCTAGTAAAGGAAGAACCCTGTCCGAAGGGCTGTTTGTCACAGAAACTTGAAATGTTCTCTGACAGCCCGTAATTTCCCCCCTTTCGTCTTCCTTCTCTACCCTCCCTTAGACTTTTTGCACTTTCGGCTTCCCCTTTTATTTTTCACTCTGGTTCTTGGTGCACATTGAAACATTTATGGCTTAGGAATTTTTCAGTGATTTTGTCTTTGTATTTTACTTATAAGTATAGTTACTCCAAGAAAGATTTCTAAAATGTGAGCCTCTTCTGTTGCCTGGAGCTGCTACTGAGAGGACTTCGTTCTTTCCCACACACTGAGCATGGCTGTGTTCAGTCAAGTGGTGGGTCTTACTTCCTTGGAAAGGAGGCTAAAGATATGTGTCTGCTTTTAGAAACAAAGTGGGATCAAGATTGAAATAACTGAGCTTGCTTCACTCATGGAGGGAGCTGCTGTGTTGTTCTCAGGAGCTTTTTTTGTGTGTTTTTGTTTTTGTTGTTTGTTTGTTTTGTTTTGTTTTGTTAGAAGGGGGAAACAACAGCCTGGGGAGGATGTCAGCCTTCAAGGGAATGTAGTTTGGAAGGTGAAACTGTTCTCAAGCCTCCATTGAGAACCTCTTGTGAGCCCTCCTGGTAGTGAGTAATCATTTCAGCAAAGTGAGAATATTTAGAATAGAAGAGGTATTGGGGGATCTTTTCTAGTCTAAATGGAAATAAGCCAAAGGAAGCATGGGAAACAAGAATGAAATTATTTTATTGTCCCTTTGGTCCTTGCTCTTATAGACCTCATCTATGGAGCAGTAAAGAAAAGGGCCTGCAGTGGAGGTGGAAGATATGATTGGGCTCCTTCATGACTGTTATGAAACCAGCAACCAGCGTGACTGGACCTAAGTCACTTTCCCTGTCTATACCCTAGTGTTTTCATTCCTCCTGCGCTAAACTGATTCTAACTTCTAGTAGTTGAAAGTTTCACAGAAGTGTAAGAGCTTGTGGATTAAACTAGCCTGAAAAAGAAAAATTATCATCCAGTTTGCCCTTCTCTGAGATTAGCACATTGCTTCTTTGGGGTTTGGAGGTTGGAAGTGATGGTCACAAACCAAGTGATCATGTCTGGGCAGCAGGGAAGGGGCTTCAATTAGGGGCTTAAAGCAATTAGCATCAACAGTTGGCTTTCAGAAATTTAAGACAGTGTGATTAATCCATAGCATACAAAGGTTGTCTGGTATATAGTCCAAAGCTGTGATAACAGAGCACAGACTAAATTGGCAGAATAATGTTTCAGTGCTGGCTCCTTATCTTGACTCTTTAGAACTGAATGCAGTTCTTCATTAAAAAAAAAACAAAACCTGTATGTGTCCATAGTCCCTATATTTCTGGTTCTCTTCCTGCTGGTAGTAAATTATTATTTTCTTCTGATTTAACTTCAGCTTGAAAATCATTTGTAAAGGCAATAAATATTTGAGACATTGATCATTTGAACCATCAGCTGCTTTTCATTGAGTCCCCAAAATATGCTAATGTTTTTAGCAGAAATCAGAGCACTTAAAATAGAAGGCTTTGTTCTTGGTATTTTTATTTTAAATAGCAGAGTTAAATCTGTTTATATTACATTTTTGTTTCACTAATGTAGTTAGACTGACGTCTACAATCTTTGGCAGGGGCAGGATGGAATATATCTAGGATTTTCTAGCAGAGACTAAATTGTTCAGTATATTTACCTTTTTTAAACAAGCAAAGACCTTACCATTGTTTTTTTTTTACCACCTCTAGGCACATTCCACCCTCTCATCCCACATTTCCCCATTACTATTATGTATTATTTTTCCTGGTTCCACTTAAAAACACAAAAATCCATTATTTTAAATATTTTCATGTTCATTACCTAATACATATAATTGTCAGGCTTTTTTTTTTCTTGCATCTCACTTCCTGTAGTATTCCTGTCACTGATAGTTTGTGAATGGGAAACTCTCTTAGTCTTTGTACATCTGGAAATGTCTTCATTTTGTTCACAGTCTTTAGTGATGGCTAAGCTAAGTATAGAATTCTATACCCCTTTTCGCTTTGAAGATCTATCACTCATTGCCTGCTGACATCTATTTTTGTTGATAAGACAGCTGTTGTAAGACTATTTGCTATTTCTTTGAAGATAAACTGTCTCCTTTCTTTTTCCTGCTGGCCTGTAAGATTTTATCTTCATGCTTGATATACTATAGATTTACAGTGATGTCTTCAGTGTGGAGTTTTAAAAACTTATTCTACGTAGTACTCAGAATACATGTAAGAACTCCTGTCTTTAAGTAGTTCTATAAAATGATCAGCTATTATATATTAAATTTCCATTATCCCCACCCCCATTTCCTCATTCCGACCTTCTATTAGACATATATTGGTGATGTAGTTTGAATATTTGTCCCCATCCAAATCTTATGTTGAATTTTAATCCAAGATTTTGGAGGTGGGTGGGGCCTGGTGGGAGGCTGTTTGGGTCACAGGGGTGTATCTCTCATGAATGGCATGGGCTAGCTCCTTGGTGATAAGTGAGCACTCGCTCTGAGTTCACACAAGATCTGCTAGTTTAAAAGTGTGTGGCACCCCCACCCCTCTCTCTTGCTTGCTCTGCTTTCTCCATGTGATGAGCCTGCTTCCCCTTCACCTTCTGCTATGATTGTAAGCTTCCTGAAGACTCCCTAGAAGCCAAGCAGATGCCAGCACCATGCTTCCTATAAAGCCTGCAGAACCATGAGCCAGTTAAACCTCTCTTATTTATAAATTACCCAGTCTTAGATATTTCTCTATAGCAATGCAAGAATGGTCTAATACTATTAGAGTCATTCTTGCATTCTCCTTGCCTATTCTCCTTGTCTCTTAACTGTTTTTTCATATATATACATATATACATATATATATATGTGATTTGTAAATACACACTCATACTTACTTTTATCTCAGAGCTGTATCAGAATAAATTCCTCAGTACTAGATCTTCCAGTTCACTCATTCTGTTGTTTATCTCCACTATTGAGTTCTATTTCAGTGGCTATATATTTTCATTTCCAAGGTATCACATTTTAAAAATCTCTATGAAGATATTAACATAGCCTATAAATATTCTTAGTTGGTTCTGTTATTTTATTTTTTTCTGAAAGTGCTTATTCTTCTACTTGTTAATTTTGTGGCTAAATTAGATGTCTTCATGTGTTTTGGAATTTTGATTTGCAAGCTCACCTTGTTTAACAACTGTTTTCTCCTCCTTACTCCTTCCCACAACTTGCCCCACCCCCATGGTAGTTTTGCAGCTGCTTCTGCATCTATATCTGTGTTTTTCTATTTCTCTAGATGAGAAACCCCATGTAAGTCGTAACTTGCAGCATTTGTCAGCAACAATTTTCTTTGGTTTCCTTTCATAAACATCATGCAGTCTAAGTCCAGCCCCTCTGTTAAAAAATTAAAATAACAGAACAAAGTAAAAAGATTTACAAGCTGTGTTTAATGTCCTCATTGTATTAGTCCATTCTCACACTGCTATAAAGAACCGCCTTAGGCTGGATAATTTATAAAGAAAAGAGGTTTAATTGACTTACAGTTCCACGTGGCTGGGGAGGTCTCAGGAAATTTATAATCATGGTGGAAGGGGAAGCAAGGCATGTCTTACATGGCGGTGGGTGAGAGAGAGTGTGTGAAGGAGAAGCTGTGAAACACTTATAAAACCATCAGATCTTGTGAGAACTCACCCACTGTCAAGAGAACAGCATGGGGGAAACAGCACCCAGGATTCAATCACCTCCTACCAGGACACTCCCTCAACACTTGGGGATTATGGGGATTACAATTTGAGCTGAGATTTGGGTGAAGACACAGAGCCAGACCATATCACTCATAATGATTTTTTTTAATTTGATACCTTGGAAATGAAAAGACCTTAACTTTAGCCCCACTAGGCACTCACGTGGCTTTAGCTCTGCCTCCACACTGTGTGCTTCTGGTCCATGGAAGTGCTTAGCTTGTTTTCTGAGTATAGCTATTAGTTGGAATTCTCTCATTTTATATTTTATCTGTCATTGCCTGATATTTGAAGAAGGCAAAGACTTTTAGTGTAATCTTTGGCTCTCTATGATTTAACCTTTGTTTTCATTTCGTATCTGTAGAAGGAAAATAACAACTGCCCTTCCCATCTGTGAAAGCACTTTGTGAGTAAAAAAGGCAAGTTGTGGCCATTTGTATAGTTAATGTAATTGGTATCACATTTTACCACTACACTCTACCTATGGAGTCAAGGATGTTCAGGATGGGTGGGTGGCATGCTAGGGGAATGAAATACCTTATATCATAATAGACTTCAACATCCCTAAAGTTGTCTGCTAAATGTTGTCAGTGGTTTAGTCCACAAATTGCAGAGTGCTTTCTACAGGTAAATGGATTGTGACTGTGTATTTACTTTTAGAGTTGCATGCAATGAAAATGAAATTGTTTTTCATGACAGTAAAGCTGGCTCACTATTCACTGGATTATTCCGTTTTTCTTAACTCTGTTGTGTTGGTATCCAGAACCTATCTTGCCATTTGCTGCTTAGGAGCTTTATAAAATCTGTCTAAACTAAAGATGCATTTGCTCTGGATATAAAAGAGTTTATTAAACTTTGTCTTTCAGGTGCTTATCACCATCATTGCATAATGTTGAAGGCCTAGAGAGTCATACTGTGAAGGTGATGCCTTTTATCAGTGTTATAAACCATTTTGTTAGTATCTTCCCCCACCCCCCAAAAAAACCCAAATCTGCTTGGTCAGGTGGCAGGAATCAACAAGAGAAGCCACTGCCTGAATTTGACCCTGGATACACAAAATTAAAGGTTTTCCCCTCTCATACTGTCACATTCTTTATAACAGACAACTAGAGCCCTGCTTTTCTCTTTTAGCTATGTTTTATTAATTGAAAAGTTGTGTTCCTCTCTCTCTCCATGCTCTAGCATGTCCCCTGGTGTCTAAAAATGCTCCATACACATTTCCTGGTAGCAGAAAACAATGGCAATTGGGTAGTAATCAGTCTCCCAAACTAAAAACAAAAAACAACTTTCCAATTAGGAAAACACTGCACAAAGCCACACCCTTAGCATTACTTATAGGCAGAGAATACAAAAATACAAATAGCTGTGGATAAATAGGGAAAAAACATAAGTAAGTTCCAGTGTTCAGTTCCTCACACTTCTTCCACACTTCCATTCATGCCAGGCTTCATGGAGGGCAAAACAGACCAAGAAAAACTGTGAAAACAGAAAAGATAGCCTAGTGACAGTGCCTAAGGGTGATTTGGAATCGCCACCAGAAAGATTAAATTTAACCTAAAGTTTAAAATGCTGGGAAAATGACCAAGCAGATCACAGCATGGAGTATAAGGAAGGGATTTTAAGGTCACATGATTTAAAAAGCCAAAGGCCATATAGGACCAGATACACCATTTAAAGATACACCATTTTATAGGACCAGATACTATTTAAATGGACAATCATCATTAAAAAGGATAGGTATCATTTAATGGGTCAGTCTTCCCAAGCATTGTTTCCAGTGAAACTACTCTATATGATACTGTAGTGGTGGATATGTGTCATCATATGTATTAGTCTGTTCTCATGCTGCTAATAAAGACATACCTGAGAGTAGGTAATTTATAAAGAAAAGAGGTTTAATTGACTCACAGTTCAGCATGACTTAGGAGGCCTCAGGAAACTTACAATCATCGTGGAAGGGGAAGTGAACACATGTCACATGGTGACAGCAAGGAGAAGAATGAGAGTGAAGGTAGGAGAAGCCCCTTATAAAACCATTTTATCTCATGAGAACTCACTCACTATCAGGAGACAGCATGAGGGTAATCACCCCCATGATTCAATTACCTCACACCGGGTCCCTCCCACGACATGTGGAGATTATGGTAACTACAATTCAAGATGAGATTTCAGTGAGGACACAGCCAGACTATATCTTTTCACCCCGGCCCCTCCCAGATCTCATGTACTCACATTTCAAAACCCAATCCGAGTCCAAAGTCTCATCTGAGATAAGGCAAGTCTTCTCTGCCTATGAGCCTGTAAAATTAAAAGCAAGTTAGTTACTTCCTAGATACAATGAGTATACAGGCTTTGGGTAAATACACCCATTCCAAATGAGAGAAGTTGACCAAAACAAAGGGGCTGCAGGCTCCATGCAAGTCTGAAATCCAATAGGGCATTTATTAAACCTTAAAGTTCCAAAATGATCTCCTTTGACTCCATGTCTCACATCCAGGTCATGCTGATGCAAGAGGTGGGCTCCCATGGCTTTGGGCAGCTCTGTCCCTGTGGCTTTGCAGGGTACAGCCCCCCTCCTGGCTGCTTTCCTGGGCTGGTGTTGAGTGTCTGTGGCTTTTCCAGGTGCACAGTGCAAGCTGTCAGTGGATCTACCATTCTGGGTCTGGTTGACAGTGGCCCTTTTCTCACAGCTCCACCAGGTGGTGCACCAGTGGGGACTCTGGGTCGGGGCTCCGACCCCACATTTCCCTCCCACACTGCCCTAGCAGAAGTTCTCCATGAGGGCTCCACCCCTGCAGCAAACTTCTGCCTGGATTTCCAGGCACTTCCATATATCCTCTGAATCAAGGCAGAGGTTCGCAAAGTTCAGTTCTTGACTTCTGTGTACCCACAGGCCTAACACCATGTGTAAGCCACCAAGGCTTGGGGCTTGCACCCTCTGAAGCCACAACCTGAGCTGTACCTTGGCCCATTTTAGCCATGACTGGAGCAGCTAGGATGCGGGGCACCAAATCCCTAGGCTGCACATAGCAGGGCAGCCCTGGGCCTGGCCCACGAAACCATTTTTTCCTCCTAGGCCTCCAGGCCTGTTATGGGAGGGGCTGCCATGAAAGTCTCTGACATGCCCTAGAGAAATTTTCCCCATTGTCTTGGTGATTAATATTCATCTCCTTGTTTCTCACGCAAATTTCTGCAGTGGGCTCGAATTTCTTCCCAGAAAATGAGTTTTTCTTTTATACTGCACTGTCAGGCTGCAAATTTTTTAAACTTTTATGCTCTGCTTCCTGTTAAACACTTTGCCACTTAGAAATTTCTTCCGCTAGATACCCTAATCATATCTCTCAACTTCAAAGTTCCACAGATCTCTAAGTCAGGGGCAAAATGCTGCCAGTCTCTTTGCATAGCAAGAGTGACCTTTCTACTCCAGTTACCAAGAAGTTCCTCATCTTCATCTGAGACCACCTCAGCCTGGACTTCATTGTCCATATCACTATCAGCATTTTGGTCAAAGCCATTCAACAAGTCTCTAGTTTCCCATATCTTTCTGTCTTCTGAGCCCTCCAAGTCTCTAGGAAGTTCCAAACTTCCCACATTTTCCTATCTTCTTCTGAGCCTGCCAAACTATTCCAACCTCTGCCTGTTACCCAGTTCCAAAGTCACTTCCACGTTTTTGGGTATCTTTACAGCAGCGCCTCACTACCCAGTACAATCTACTGTATTAATTCATTCTCACGCTGCTAATAAAGACATATCTGAGACTGGATATTTATAAAAGAAAGAGGTTTAGTGGACTCACAGTTCAGCATGACTGGGGAGGCCTCAGGAAATGCACAGTAGTGGCAAAAGGGGAAATGGAACATGTGCTTCTTCACATGGTGGCAGCAAGGAGAAGAATTAGAGTAAAGGGTGGGAGAAGCCGCTTATAAAACCATCAGATTTCATGAAAACTCACTATCACAAGAACAGCATGAGGGTCACCACCCCCATTATACAGTTACTTCCCACTGGGTGCCTCCTATGATACATGGGGATTATGGGAACTAAAGATGAGATTTTGGGGGGGATGCAGCCAAACCATATCATCATGCATTTGTCCAAACCCATAGAATGTACACCACTAAGAGTGAACAGTAATGTAAACTGTGGACTTTGGGTGATAAGGATGTGTCAGTGTATGCTCATCAGTTGTAATAAATGTACTGTTCTGTGGTGGATATTGATGATGTGGGAGGCTATACATGTGTGGATACAGAGGGAATATGGGAATTCTATGCACCTTCCTTTCAATTTTGCTGTGTACTTTAAAAAAACAGTCTATTTCTTAAAAATAGCATAATTTCTGGAGAAGAAAAAAAGCAAAAAGAAGAGAAGGGCTTTTTAGCAATTGGATGAAGAAGGAGAAAAGAAGAAAGGGGGAAAGCTTAGAATTATGTAAGAGAATCACAAAATCAGAGGACTCACTCCCCACCCCCCCAACCAGAACAAACACACCAACAAAAAAACCCACTAAAGTACTTAGACTTTGCTAGACTGACAGAAAAGGGCATCTTTAGAAAGAGGAATTTTCAAAAACACTTTAATCTCATAAAAATGAACAAAATGAAATTAAAATCAGTAAAGAAATTTTGCAAAAAATAGGAAATCTTCAGTAAGAGAAAGCCCTTAATTTGTCCCTTAATTGTCAAAAAAGCTTAGCAAAAATTACAGTTTTTCAAAACACAATTAAGTGACCCTTTCCCCACAAAAGTCTTAGTTCCATGGTAAAACCGAGAATTTTATTATAGGTCAGTGTTGATCTCCATCAGATGTGATTAGGGCCCACAGTTATGTAAGACAAACATGGCTGTTGAAGAGCCACTCCTATGAATAAGAAAGTCCTTATTCTTTCTTATTGGACTGGATGTGGACTGGATGGATATCTTATGTTTACCCGAAGAAAGATTTATTATTTTTATGATTTTGATGATGTTGTTTCTACATCCTTGGATTTAGATCATACAATCAAGCAAGAATCATAGTAGCCATAGTTTTATTTTGGTCGCTATGTGGTTCTTTTGGAATTATGTTTGAAATAATTATGTTTGAAATTATAATGCAGAATAATTGATTAAGGTGTTTGTTGTCACTTCTGTATAATGTTGGGACTAGGTTTTGTTATGCATATCTTTGTTAGAATAGTATTTCCATAAGACAGTCAAATTTATATTACTTCACCTAACTACAGCTGTTTTCCCTAGAAGAACATAACTTACCATATGGACAGAGACTGCTGCTGTTTGGATTCCCATGGATATCTTTATCCAGCATTTTGTCAGAATGGAAATTGCCTTATACATAATCTGAAATAATTGAAATAATTGGAAGTATAATGAGAGCCAACATTTAGAAGCTCCCTTGTGCTTCTTTCTACTCTGCAAATAAAATGATCACTGAATGCATTCATGTTTTAAAATTTAAGCAGACTTGGTAAATGAATCTTGTTTTCTAAATGTGCAGAGGGGCTAATATAAGGTGGTTGGTGTCCCTGAAACAGATGTTAAAAGATCTTTTTAAGCTTCTCAATACATTTGCAAATTTACCATGATGAAGTGGCAATTTGCAGTGTAGAGCTCATTACAGAAATCAGGAAATAGTTGAAATGTATTTTTTAAAATTAATCATATTATTGCCTATTCCTGTGCTTTTTTATAATACATACAACAACATTAATAATGTTCTCAGAAGTCCCTGAGAGACTTGTTGGCTTGTTTTATTTTTAGTGGTTGACAGGAATTGACTTTAAAATGAAAGCCATTCATATGCGGTTCCCGGGATCCATTTTAGCATCTGACCAAATTTTGCATATTTTTGTAGCAGTTTTAGGTTCACAGAAAAATTAGGAGGAAGATTCAGAGATTCTCATATACCCCTTACCTCTACTTGGGGATAACTTCCCTCATTACAACATCCCTCACCAGATTGGTACATTTGTTACAGTTGATGAACCTACATTGACACATTCTTACCACCTAAAGTCCATAGTTTACATTAGGGTTCACTGTTGGCATTGTATATTTTATGACTTTGAAAAAATATATAATGATGTATGTACCAACATAGTATCATACAGAGTAGTTTCCATCTCCCTAAGAATACTCTGTGCTCTACCTGTTCATGCCTTCCTCCCCCCACAACTACTGGCACCGACTGATCTTAATACTGTCCGTATAGTTTTGCTTTTTTCCAGAATGGCATTTGTCTTTGTTCAGAGATGCCATGATTGTCTTATTTAGAAAATCCTGAAGAATTAAAAAAAAAAAAACCCTCCCAAACTAATAAGTGATTATAACAAGATTGTAGGATACAAAGTTAATATACAAAAGCCAATTGCCTTCCTACATACCAGCAATGGATAAGTGAAATTTGGAATTAAAAACAGTACCTTTTACATTAGCCCCCCAAATGTGAAATATGTAGATATAAATCTAGCAAAATATGTATAAGATCTCTTTGAAGAAAATTGTAAAACTCTGATGAAAGAAATCAAAGAACTAAATAAATGGAGAGATATTCCGTGTTCATGGAAAGGAAGACTACATGTGGTCAGGATGTCACTTCTTTCTAACTCTAGATTCCCAACCCATAGATTCCATGCAATCCCATTGAAAATCTGAGCAAGTAATTTTGTGTACATTGGCAAACTGATTCTAAAGTTTATATGGAGAGGCAAAATACCCCAACTAGCCAACACAATATTGAAGGAGGAACAAAGTTAGAGGACTGACACTACCCTACTTTAAGACTTACTATAAAGCTACAGTAATCACCACCAGTGTGGTATTGGTGGGGGAAAAAAAAAAAAAGACAAATAGATCAATGGAACAGAATAGAAAGCCCAGAAATGGACCCGCAAAAATATGGTCAACTGATCTTTGACAGAGAAGCAAAAGCATTTCAACAGAGAAAAGTTAGTCTTTTTAATGAATGATGTTGGAACAACTGGACATCCACGTACAAAAACAATGAATCTAGATACAGACTTTACACCCTTTACAAAAGTCAGTTCAGAATGGATCACAGACCTCAATGTAAAATACCAAACAAACCCTTCGAAGATAATGTAGAAGAAATTCTAGATGGCCTAGCATCTGATGATGACTTTTTAGATACAGTGCAAAGGCATACCCCATGAAAGAAAGAATTGATAAGCTGGACTTCATTAAAATAAAAATTTCTGCTTTGCAAAAGACACTATAGAGAATAAAAAGAAAAGCCACAGACTGGGAGAAAAGAAAACAACCTGATTTTAAAATGGACAAAGACCTTAAGAAGCATGTCACTAAAGAAGATATACAGGGAGCAAATAAACATATGAAAAGATACTACACATCACATGTCATCAGGAAAATGCAAATTAAAACAACAGTGAGAAACTACCACACACCTATTAGAATGGCCATAATCCAGAACACTGACAACACCAAATGCTGATGGAGCAATAGAAATGCTCATTGATTGCTGGGAAGAATGCAAAATGATACAGCCACTTTAGAAAACACGTTGGCAATTTCTTAGAAAACTTAACATACTCTTACCATATCATCAATACCAAAGGTGCTCAAACTTATTTCCACACAGAAACCTGCACAGGGATGTTTATAGCAGCTTTATTCATAATTGCCAAAACTTGCAAGCAAGTAACAGTCTCTTCTATAGGTGAATGGATAAACTATGATACATACAGACAATGGAATATTACTCAGTACTAAAAAGAAATAGCTGTCAAACTAGGAAAAGACACAGAGGAAACTTAAATGCATATTACTAGGTGAAAAAAGCCAGTCTAAAGAGGCTACATACTATATGGTACCAACTATATGACATTCTTTTTCACTTTTTATCTGGATTCCACTCCATTTTACCTTCAAGTTTAGAAGTCACAGTCAGGTGAATTGAAAGGGGCTTGAGTAAAGCAAGCTGGGGTTTCCTTCTTTAGGAAATATTTTTGAAAGATGATCATTAGATCATTGTTTTTATATCCTCTTGAGTAAGGGAGGTGGGGATATTTTTTAATAAGATTTTAGACTATAGAGCTAGAAATGTGGGGATTTGAATACTGGTTCTATCATGTACTTAACCACCTGTGTGACCTTGGGAAGGTTTTTTTCTACCTAAATGAGCATTTAGTCTTTACTTAGTAGGAACAAAGTATAGAACCAAGGAATGGAATATTATTTATTTAATATTTTGGTAATTTTGTGGGGTATTTATTGTTAATCCTCATATTTTAGAGGCTGACTCTGTCATCATTCCCCCTATTGGTCAGGGGTTCTTAAAAGCAACAAAATCCTCTCTGGCTAGTTTGAGCAGAAGCAGGATTTTAGTGAAGGATATTGGGCAGTTAAGCATGCAGCCAAGAACAGAGCCCAACATGCCATCCAGATTGCTTTTAGGAAAATATCACTACATTATTTACACAGGTGACTCTACCCAGATGTCCTCAGAAAGACAGATACTTCCCTTCCATGATCACCACAGGATAGGATGGATTCCCCATGTTTCCTCCTCAGGTTACTTACATCTGAAGGTAATCCTGAGCCGAGTGTCTAATCATAGAGTCTCATCACGTGCTGCTGTCCTGGCTTCACAGGAAGGTTGAAGAAACAGGTTTTCTGGCTTTTGACTTAAAGAAGTCGGGTCAGTAAGGAAGGAAATTCCTCAGACATTTTGAAAAAGTGCTGTGTAGGCAGAAAATATGACAGTACTCCAAGGACATTTTTGTTTCAGTAGATGGCTTCATAAAGATAGAAATATGTTCAAATTAAAAGGAAGGTGACTTTGGTTTATATTCCTTCTTTGAATCATTATTTTATTGTTAAGGTAGACTTTGCTTACAGATATATCTGTATCACTGGCCTTTATCATTCACTTTTTTGTACCTATATACAGGGACAAAACTATTTGAGGCTAGCATTGCAATGGGGGACCATGGCTGGAGACTGTCTCTCTTTGAACATTATGCAAGACAGGTTGCAGATTGTCAGCTTGCTATGTTAATACTATTGGGAAATATCAATCTGTAGGGGCATATGCAACTGCAACATAGCTGAATGAATTTGTGACTCAGAAGTGAGCTCATTTAGGCCCAGCAGATATGATGAACAATAAAGATGAGGTTCCATATCTTAGGAAAAGCATGACCAGAAAGCCAACAAAGATTCTAATAGAGTTTTTAGTTAGGTTCAGTCAAAGGAAGGATAATGTTTACTATAAATACTATGCATTTTCCATATTCTGCCTTAAATTGGACAGTTGAACTTCAAAATATTTTTGAATAAATGGATGAAAAAATTTTAAAGGAAACAAATGATGTTATTTAAAAATGCAGAACAAAATGAGATGTATGCCTTTATTTTTCAATTTGTGCAAAGATTCAGTGATTTTAAAGATAGAGCTAATACCCTGCTTGGCAAATATTTTTAAATGATATTCTATAAATGGTAATTAATTTACAAATTACCTAATCACTTTCCAGTGTGTGTAATTGAATTGAGAGGTAAAATAGTGTTTTGAATTTGTGATACTAGAAACTAAACAAAGTTACTATGCAGTTGTCATAATAAATTCTAGTTTTTATACAAAAAATAAATTGTTCTGTAGTAAAGATTCTTGTCCTTAAGCTTTGGCTAAATATCTGATCATTTCCTAAATCAAAACTCTGAATATTTTTGAGGTTTTTGACATTTTACCTAATTATTCTCTAAAACGTTCATATCAACCTATATTTCATCCAAGTAACTTTTCTTATCAGTTAGTAATTGTAAGCTCTGCAAGAAAATGGCTATATCTGGGTTTTGTTTTCTTTTTCTTTTTATTATTATGTACCTTTTCAAGTAAATATTTTTTAATAAGTTAGAAAAATGTGTTTAATGGCTGCCATTTGTGGACTTCCAAGTACTTTTCTTTTTTCTCCTACCTTTTTTTATTTATACGCTGCTTGTGCATATGCATGCTTCTGCTTAAGAAAAAAAAAAGCCTCTTTTCACTGCTTCACCATTTTGAAGGACCAGGTACACAGTGAGGGTATGATTTTTCTACTAAGAATATTACAAGCTGAAATTTGTTTTTTTACTTTTGACTCTAGGCTTTTCCAACACACAGTTTTTTTGCTGCATTTAATCTGTTTATATGGTGAATTACCTGTAATAATTTTCAAATGTTAAATTAACATTCTTGAGTTAAACTTAACTTGGTCATGATATGAAGGTCATGATATAAATTCATATTTTGTTTTTTATCTGTGTTTGTGTTCAGAGTCTAGATAAGTAACAGATGTTCCTCTTTTATTTAGTTATTTATTTTTATTATACTTTTAGTTCTGGGTTACATGTGCAGAACGTGCATTTTGTTACATAGGTATACACGTGCCATGGTGGTTTGCTACACCAATCAACCCGTCACCTACATTAGGTATTTCTCCTAATGTTATCCCTCCCCTAGCCCCCCACCCCCACAGGGCCCCAGGCTCTGGTGTGTGATGTTCCCCTCTCTGTGTCCATGTGTTCTCATTGTTCAACTCCCACTTATGAGTGAGAACATGCAGTGTTTGGTTTTCTGATCTTGTGATCGTTTGCTGAGAATGATGGTTTCTAGCTTCATCTGTGTGCCTGCAAAGGACATGAACTCATCCTTTTTTATGGCTGCGTAGTATTCTATGGTTTATATGTGCCACATTTTCTTAATCCAGTCTATCATTGATGGACAGTTGGGTTGGTTCCAAGTCTTTGCTATTGTGAATAGTGCTGCAATAAACATACGTGTACGTGTGTCTTTATAGTAACATGATTTATAATCCTTTGGGTATATACCCAGTAATGGGATTGCTGGGTCAAATAGTATTTCTAGTTCTAGATCCTTGAGGAATTGCCACACTGTCTTCCACAATGGTTGAACTAATTTACACTCCCACCAACAGTGTAAAAGCATTCCTATTTCTCCACAACCTCTCCAGCATTTGTTATTTCCTGACTTTTTAATGATTGCCATTCTAACTAGCTTGAGATGGTATCTCATTGTGGTTTTGATTTGCATTTCTCTGATGACCAGTGATGATGAGCATTTTTTCATATGTCTGTTGGCTGCATAAATGTCTTCTTTTGAGAAGTGTCTGTTCATATCCTTTGCCCATTTTTTGATGGGGTTGTTTCTTGTAAATTTGTTTACCTTCTTTGTAGATTCTGGATATTAGCCCTTTGTCAGATGGATAGACTGCAAAAATTTTCTCCCATTCTGTAGGTTGTCTCTTCACTCTGATGATTGTTTCTTTTACTGTGCAGAAGCTCTTTAGTTTAATTAGATCCCATTTGTCAATCTTGGCTTTTGTTGCCATTGCTTTTGGTGTTTTAGACATGCCTATGTCCTGAATGGTATTGCCCAGGTTTCTTCTAGGATTTTTATGGTCCTAGGTCTTATGTTTAAGTCTTTGATCCATCTTGAGTTGATTTTTATATAAGGTGTAAGGAAGGGGTCCAGTTTCAGTTTTCTGCATATGGCAAGCTAGTTTTCCCAAGACCATTTATTAAATAGGGAAACTTTTCCCCATTGCTTGTATGTGTCAGGTTTCTGAGTTTCCTCTTTTACACTGTCTGTGGGTTTTTAATATCAAGGTTTCAATAGCCCCATAAAATGACTTGGAGAGAGTTTCTCCTTTTTCTGTTCTTGGCAGACTTTATATAAGATTGAAATTACCGGTTTCATAAAATTCATTTGTAAAACTATCTGGGCATGGTGTTTTCTAAGTTGGAAGAATTTTTAGCTGCTGATTCGATGTCTTTAAATGTTTAAGATGATTCAGGCTTTCTATTTATTCTGGAATAAGTTTCAATAATTTCTGTTTTCCTAGGGATTTGTCCATTTCATCTGCATTTTCAGAATTTCCAAAAAAATTGTTCAGAATATGCCTTTTATGTCTGCTACAACTATTATCTGGTCTTATTCATCTTTCTTCTACTATGTCCAATCTCTTATTTGTCTAACATTAAATTTCTGGTAGCAAGTCTTATATTTTTTCCTTTCTGGATGTACTGTTTGGTTGTTTTTCAAATCTTCCCATAAGTTCTGAAAGTCTCTTGTAGCCTAGGAATACTTTTGCTATTTCTTTTATTTGTTTATACATATTATATATTCTTCCTAGTGAAAATGTCTACAGTTTTGCCGGTCTGGTTGTGTAAGTTGTTTCTGTTGACTTGCTCACATATTTAGTGATTTTATGATGGCAAGCTCATGTTCTCCTTGGGACTTTGGGAGGGTTCTTCAAGGCCTGGATGAAAATATGTTCCTGCATAGAGGACTGTTAGTGAGGCCCCATAAATAGTGTGAAAATTCCAACCCCAAACATGCCCATGAGTGGACCTGTGATCAGGAATTCTCACAAGTGCCTTTCTCCTCACCCTCCATGCCACATTCTGAGCTGAGGCTGAGACAGGCAAGTTGCTTCATTCACCATCTGCCTCTAAAAGGTAGATTTTTTTTTCTCCAGTTCATTTACTATGGGCGAGTGGTATGGAGGAAGAAGGAAGGATCTCAGGGGTGTGTGATCCAGTGTGCTATTTTGCATGGCTCCAGGCTTGTCTGCTGACCCTCAGCCTTTCATAGGTTTAAAGCACAAGCACAAGTCTAGACCTTCCAGGATGGGCAGAAGCCTTAGGGAAAATTCTGTTTTCAGCCCTGGCTTACCAAGAGGCTTCAGGAATTTTTCCTACCTCAGAGGATTTGGTTATTCTCCTGATAGCTCAGCTATGTGTTTAAAAGATTTTTTAAAAATATTCAGGGCCAGGTGCTAATGCCTGTAATCCCAGCGCTTTGGGAGGCCAAGATGGGCAGATCCCTTGAGCTCAGGATTTCAAGACCAGCCTGGGCAACATGCCAAAACCCAGTCTACTAAAAATATAAAAATTAGTTGGGCATGGTGGTGGGCACCTGTAGCCCCAGCTACTTGGGAGGCTGAGATGGGAGGATCACTTGCACCCTGGCAGTTAAGGTTGCAGTGACCTAAGATTGTGCCACTACACTCCAGCCTGGGTATCCAGCCTGGGCAACACAGCAAGACGCTGTCTCAAAAAAAAAAAAAAAAAATCAGCATTTTTAGTTTTCTATACTGAGAGGGCTTCCTCTGACATCAGGCTACCATACTGGAAAAAATGGGCGTTAAATCTTTTCTTCCTTTTTTGTTTGTTTGTTTGTTTTCCTAGAAGAGAAGTCGGAGTTGTAAATCTTACGTGGTAACTTCTTTAAACATTACATATATAGGTCAACCTCAATTTTTGAGACCACAGTCAAGAGAAAGGAAATAAGTGAAAAAGTAGCAGTGGCTAACATTTTGGGTTGATTCTTAATAATGTATGGGGCTCTATACCAAGTGCTTTATTAGGAAGATCTCATTTAATCCACCATCACAATTCTACCATTCCCATAGTAAAGAGGAGGACACCGAAACTTTGGAGAGGTTCATATCACTTGCCCAAGGTCACACAATGAACAGGTAATTCATAATGTTGACCTTGGGTCATCAAGGAAAGGAATCTGTTTATATTTGGTGCATTGTTATTTTAAAAGGCAGCAAAATGTGTAATATATCTTACATTTTTATTTAAATGGTGCTATTATAGATCAATGTGGTCTTATCATATTAAAAAGATATATGTATCAAAGGAATGCAGAAGCCAATTTACCTTGTCTCTTACTACTTTTTGTCCTCTAAGAAAAATTACTCTTAAAATACTTCCCAAGGATTTTTCTGGATGTCATATCCAAAAACACATTTGTTAGCCTGGATAAGAAGAGAAACTTTGGCCAAGGACTTTAAAGATTCATTACTAAACATGGATCCCCTTTGTTTCATAATTCATCTCAAACTACTTCTCTCCCACAGCTTCAGTCAACTGTGTGGTATTTGGTTATAGTGTTAATAGATACTTCTTCCTATGAAAGTGGTTTCTTAATATGATTTATATATATTTTTTCCATTTGAAGCATAATGTTATAAATCAGACTTGGAAAATGTAACTTTCATAGTACAGAAATTTCATTCGGTGATACTTGATGTACAGTTTTCTCAAGTAGTGTTTTCAATGAACCTTCTTTTTCTTGTGTGACATTGTTTCCCAATTGCCAGTATTGGGATAGATGTCGAAACCACAATGTCTGTGTGTTTTTCTCAAGCAAGTTCTCATTCTCCTAAAGTAACCAGGTCCATCAGTCCAGGAAAATAAGAAAAAAGATTGCTGGGAAGACACTCCTTGCCCAAATTCAAAAATAGGCAGTCTCCGTGGTGATTTTACTTCCTCTATGCCATGCTAGTAATTGAACCTTGTGCTGTTACCTCCAGGGTCTCCACTGGCATTCTTATTATCATCTGTCCTTGCATGTCCTGATACTTCTTTTTTTATTATTATTATTTTATTTTATTTTATTTTATTTTTTGAGACTGAGTCTTGCTGTGTCGCCCAGGCTGGAGTGCAGTGGTGTGATCTTGGCTCACTGCAAGCTCCACCTCCTGGGTTCACACCACCTCAGCCTCCCAAGTACCTGGGACTACAGGCGCCTGCCACCACGCCCAGCTAATTTTTTTGTATTTTTAGTGCAGACAGGGTTTCACCGTGTTAGCCAGGATGGTCTCGATCTCCTGACCTCGTGATCTGCTTGCCTCAGCCTCCCAAAGTGCTGAGATTACAGGCATGAGCCACCGTGCCTGGCCAGGTCCTGATACTTCTAAGGCCAGCCACTGAAGAAGAGCATGGGTCACCACCACTTGGGAACTTAACCCACCCCTCTTCTTATTAATACTTACATCCCAAGAAGTCTACTTTCTCCTCTTGGGGTGGCCACTTCCCTTGCCTCTGGAAGCTGTGGTCTTAAGGATGGGCAAAGGAGGCCAGGATTCAAAACACCAGGTCTTTTTGCCCTTTCTAAACATGGGTGAAGAGGAAGAAAGTGGACACTCTCATATAATGCTTTTGTGAATGAATCTGTTACCAAAACACCAGGAGATGGATCTAAGTCCTGCTACTCTCTGCACAGGAGGCCAATCATGGAGATGAGCATTACCAGGGAAGAGGCTTTATTTGGGTGCTGCAGCTGATGGGAGATCAGTCTCAAATCCATCTCCCTGACCAATTAAAATCGGGGGCTTATATATACAGCAGGGAAGAAATGTAACTACGTGCAGGTAAAGAGGAATTAGGGAGAAGTGAAGAAATAATGAGAGATGAGGGGGTCTGGCTTCTCATTGTCTGGATCTGGTGAGTTTCAGTTCCTTGATACTATCTAGGAGGCCTGAGGAAGGAACTCAGATAAGACCAATGTAAGTTTTAAGACCAGAAGGGTCAATTTCTATGTTTATTTAAAAAGACTGTAAATATCAGTTCTATGGGACATTTGGGCCGGTTTCAAATCCATAGCAACAAAGGAGACAGTACACTAGTATTTATCTCAATGATTCATCCTATTACAACAAATTCTATTTTCCATGGTATTTTGATTATTTAAGCTACT
This sequence comes from Homo sapiens, assembly GCF_000001405.40. Taxonomy (NCBI): domain Eukaryota; kingdom Metazoa; phylum Chordata; class Mammalia; order Primates; family Hominidae; genus Homo; species Homo sapiens. Next base: position 82,918,524 of record NC_000006.12, on the reverse strand, counting down.
AGGAACCTGTCTGGGAAATGCTTTGTTTAGTTTTCAACTTTTTCACTGAGTAAACTCAGATGTGTTCCTTAATACCTGATACCATCATTTTCTCATTTGTAAAATGACTTTAGAAACCTTGTACCTTTATAATAAGTCATACATATGAAGAGCATGAAAAGCTCAGACTGGTGAAGGGTTCATATGACAATGAGATTCAGGAAATGAAAGGGTTTATTTTTTTGTTTTTTTTTTGTTGTTGTTGTTGTTGTTTTTTACCCATTATCTTATTTCCCTGGTAGAAGGGTAAATGAGAATTTTTCTTTTAGAAATTAAAAGACAACTTGAAGAGAAATATACAACTATTCCCAAAAACTGAAAAGATAATTCCATTTTCTCCCTGCATCCATTTCAATTCTGTTTGTTTTACCAGAAAGTACATGAGTCCTTGGTTCTTGTCTTACTTGGGAGAAAGAATTTGGCCAAGAGACAAATTTAGCAAAGAAAGCAGAGAATTTATTGAAGGAAAATAAAGAGCAAGGAGTTTATTGAAGGAAAATAAGAGCAGAGAGTTTGTCAAAGGAAGTAGAGTTTAAGAAAGGAGCAGGCTGGTCCGGCTGGAAAACAGCTACAATAGCAGCAAGGGTTAAGCAGTGGCAGAGTTTAGAGAGACAGCACACTCCAAAAGACAAGGCAGAGTGAGCCGCTAGAAAAAGAATGAGCCAGCAGCCCTGAGAGTTCTGTGTTGAGGTTTTTCTTACATCAGACTCTTTAAGTTTGTGCTTCTGTCTTAAGTCTCTGCCTTTGTCTTTGTCTGGTTTCCCACTTCTGCCTTAAGTCTCTGCCTTTCCCCCACCTAGTTCCCATTCCAGGTTTGTGGGATTCTCCCTTACTGTCATTTGTTACAGAGGTACAGGCTCAGTGTTGGATATGAATCCTTCCTAATCGTGCTCATTACAATCACCCCAGGGAGGTCTCATAGTGGTTAAATATGTACTTACTGCACCTGCATGCCTCTTAGGAATTTCACCTTTGCCCTCTTTCCTTCCCTATCGGCATGTAGCTAGCTACCTTCTGACAGCTTAACTGCACAGTGAGCAATTACTGGGCATCTTAAGGGATGTCCGAGAGTGTTCCTTCCTGCATACGTATTTTGCCTCCTCTCTGCTCATATCTAGCATGCATGTTTTGGGTGGTCTCTGGGGTGTGAGATTTTCCAGACCTTCTTTTCTCAGGGGCTTCCCCCTCCTGTTCATGTCTAGCTATCTGCCTGTCCTAACATTTGCGCTAGTCTTGCCTTCCTTCCTTTCTCCTTTCTTCCCTTCCTTCTTTCTTCCCAGTTGAGCTCCTGTAATCTCTCAGGAGAGTGCAAATTAATTTCATTATGAGAATTTACATCTTTATTTCAATGCTGGGAATATGAATTGGGAAAAAGCTCTCATTTTGAACTTTCATTTTGTTTCACATTCTTTAGAAAAGGAGGATAAAGCAGGATTTGGAGGCAGAACCTTAGCTTTTCCTTTGGTTTTTTTAAGTGCTCCCAGGTATTCTCCCTCTCTAAAATTATCAGTGTCCGTTTTTAGACACAATAGGAGAAAGTGGCTTTTAATAACCAGTGTCTGACTTCTTAGGGCAGGAAGCTGGGTAGATTAATTGAAACATTCTAAAACTAAATAAAGTTGGTATCGGGGGTCCAGCTGAGCACACACAGGTGTTACATGCAAGACCCCCTAGTTTGTTGCCGTATCAGAAAGTGATTGTACCTTCAGCTGAAAGCATGAGATTGTCCTTAGAACTAGAGATAGATCCCATTTGTATTTGTTTTTCCTGTTTGAAAGTTACACTTGAAATGTACGTAGATGTTATTTGTCTACAGTAATTTTCTTGTAACCATATCGTTAAATCTTTGTCAGATTTGTATTTTCTGCTTTCAGTCAGCAACACAATATTTATTCATTTCAGTACTCACATATCTCAAGTTCAACTCAATATTTCATTTATTGAAGCTAAATAAAATGGCTACATAATTTACCAGTTATTAATGTATTCTGATTGTGCCAGCCTTCAGTGTGAACCTCTGGAAACTAAATAAGATGTGTGACCTATGTTCTTCTATGTTGTCTTACAGCTGCTGTAGTAATAGTAGTTAAGATGTATTAATGTAAGAAGTAGAATATTATTACATACTTAGATGTCAGTAATGTCTAAATACTTCATGAGTCTTGCTATATTTAATAATTGAAAATGCCATAGTGGATATTTTGACACAGATGTACAGAATCTCAGAAAAGGCTAGACTTGGGCAGGACTGGGGTATGGGCCTAGAAATTGGACAGGTGTGGTGTGAAATTGCAACCCTTGTACACACTGGCCACAGGACCTCAGGGAAGATGTCTTATCTGTGTAATAAGAATATTACTTACCTTATGGATATTGTAATGATAAAGTCAATGAATATATGACAAGTCCTTGGAATATAATAAATACTAAATAAATGATTATGACTTTTGTCCCTATGACTATGCCATTTCTAATTGTAAACATCTACTTCAATGACTATTAGAGACCAGGCTCTTATCTCCCAGCCCAGTGCTCTGTTGAACTCTTGTTCAACAAGCTTGTCATATACCTAATATTAGGTATTGTAAAGGATATCAAAGAAGACAATAAGATCAACACTGATATTTGCATCACTTCCTGCTCTACCTGTTGTCACATAGCATGACTAACAGCTGCTCAAGTGTCTGTCTCAGTTTCCAGTGAGATCATAAGTTCCTTTTAAAGAGGATTATCATCTTACACTTTTATAAGGTAACTTGCAACACCTGGAACATTACTGTTTGTAAGCCCAGCTGTTCAATGATAGAATATCTTTAAAAATTATAATTCAAAGAGAGCATGTTGACAAGAAGAAATGGTTGCACCTGTGGTGGGCGGGAGAGGTAGAGTTGGACCAGCTGATCTCTCACTACCCCTCCCACCCCAGGGTTCTGCCATCCTTCAGAAACACGTTCAGTGAGGCAGGTGAAGCTAAATAAGACAAACATACAAAACTTGTTGGCGGGGTGGTCATTTCCCAGTATGGTACTTATTTGTGAAGTCACATATTTAATATTTATACTCGAATTTTGTACAGACTCATACAGGCCCCGTCTGTGATCCTGATGTTTATAATGGAATCTGTAAGAGCGATTGCTTGCCAAAATATTCCTGCTAGCTGCTGCTGTTATAACTATTTTTTCTGTGATCTCCTGTAATCTACTTTTGCCATATTATAGCTCAAGGTTAATGCAACACAACATTATTTAGGCTGTGTCTTAGAGGCATGGAGCTCTAATTTTGGCTGAAAATGACCAAATATACTGCTTCCTAAGCTTTATTACTTTTTGCTAGATCTCATTTTTCCCTATCCCAAGTTATAGAACATTCTATAAAACTTAAAACTTTTTGCTTCTAAAAATATGCCCTCAACTCTTTATTGTCTGAAGAAAAAATGGAAGGGAGAGCATTCCACAGGTTATAAAAGAGAAAAAGGTGGGCAATCCACTCAGGGTTTCAGGTACAACTATAGCAACACCCAGACCTTTGGGATGAAGATCATCCTGTGAGAAGCCAGGGAAATGGAAAAAGTAATTTCCATTATCCTCTCAGGATGAGAGAGGATGGACATAGGTTCTTTTTCATAAGCAGCTTCAGTTCATCGCTCATATTTTCTTACCACCAGCAGGCATTCACAAAGATGTTGGGAAGCAAAAGGTATCGTCTTGATTGCTAAATGGGGAAGTAATAGAACAGCAGTAGATAAGGGGCTCTTTGCAGAATGCTATAAATTATTTTTTCAAAAATGAGTGTGGAAGTCACAGCTTTGTTAATATTGTATAGGATACAGTCTAACAAGGATATCAGTTCTCCTACTCCTGGCAGCAGAAGCCTTTCCTTCAGCTAATGGAGCAGAACACTAATTTGGAAAGCAGAGAGAAAGTAAAGCTGCCCTGCTTGACGCCGAGGTGCCACAGTAGAGTCCACTTTTCCAGCCAACTTCTCCCTACCCCATGTCGTCTGTGTCTGCACTGGACACATTTCCACTTGTGGCACCTTGGAAACCACTGGTCTAATTGCTCTGGTCTCTACCCAATCCACTGCATTTCACTTGGTTTTGCTCACTGACACCTTTAAGAATCTGATAAAAGCTTTGGGTCCTATTCCTTTAAAAGAGTGCATCTGCTTGAAATTTTCTGTGCTGTTTCAAAGCATTCATGGACTGCTCCACCATCACCAAGGCACATAAATTCCTCAGACCTAAGCCCTTTCTAAAAGTCAGACTGCATCTTTTTCACACTAAACAAAATAAAAATAAACAAAAACAAAATATAAGTCTAACCACCTAAACACACTATACCTTCATCATTTTAAATTAGTTTTGGAGGAAACTGAAAGAAATCTAGGTTCTGGTTTTAGCTCTGCAGCTAGTAGCTGGATTGCCTTCAGCAAGTCATGTAAGACATTTTTGGGCCTCAGTGTCTCTGTCTCTTAAACTCTAGTGTTCTGTGTTCAGCTGTAGTCTTCTGTAATTCTGTGAGCCAAAGTGAGAAGTCAGTAGTCCTCTCTATGACCAACCATATGCTGTTTGCATCCATTTATTCATTTTTAGCTTATGAGGGAATGGCCTTTCCTTTCACTCAGGCTAGATGTGAATGTTGTAGTTGATAAGCAGGTCAATATTGACATACTTATATGTAAAAAGACACTTTCTGCTGTTAAGTTTGAATCATTAAGTTCTGGGTTTGTTTTGTTTTGTTTTATTTTGTTTTGATCCAGCTATCCAGTCCTCTTCCTCACATTTCCATCACCTCCATCCCCAAGCAAAAAGTAAACTGATTTATCACCTTCCCTTCCCTTGACTCATTTAAAGTAATACACTAATGCCCTGAGTTAAACTGTATCTAAATAAGTTTGGATGATAGAGGAAAAGATAATGGTGACAGGTAAGGCCCAGTGAATGGGATGCTAATGTAAAGGGGCATCTATGGAGATAATGAATAAGTGGGTCATGGGTAAATGAAGTAGGAGCACAACTCAAGAGAGAAGAGGGGTTGGGTTAGGACATGTGCTACACTTCTTTTACAACCTAGTTATCCTCAGCCTACTTGAAATTAACCCTGTCATTCCTTTTCTGAGAAAAAAGAATTCTTTGCCTGGAGCAGTCATTTCTCCCAGGCTCTAAAACCCAGCCATAATAATGATGCTGCTAAAATTATAATTTATTGGACGTCAACCTTGCAACAGTACAGTGATAGAAACTTTGTGGATTTTAATTCACTTAGTGATTATAACCACCCTTTGGTACTTGTGCAGCTATTTCTGTTTTTCACATGAGGAAACTGAGGCTTAGAGAAGCTAAGTCAGAGCCATATTGGCCTCAAACCACAGAGCGAGAATCTAAGCACAGGTTATTTGATTCTAAAGCCTCTTTTTCCCCACTGGATTGCATAGCCACTGGGCTTTCAGTTAATAACTAGTGAAACAGTCCTGTAAAACTGTCCACCTTAGTGAATCTGCCTGCAGGTAGGTTTATTGTTACTGTGGCTCCTCATCTTTTGCAGGTGAATACCATGTATGAGATCATTTTGGAGGAGAGTGGCATGCCTAGAGTAGAGAATAACCACTGACAAGATTCTCAGGATTTAAAAAAAAGGTTGTTTGTTGTTTTATTTTGATTTGCTTTTTATTGCCTGACACATTGGAGGAACCCAATGAATACATCCAGAGGATGACTACGTGGATGTATGAGTGAGTGAAAGGCAGTTTATTCTACAAGGTTTAAATGAACTAATTTTGCAATAGCAAATACAGAAAGCAAAATTTTAGCATTATACCCTGGTATGACTTTATTTCTATATTTCAGGAACAAAACATCATATAACTTTCCACATAACTCTTTGAAGCTCTTGATAGGTCTTTTATATTCCGCTTCCCAAATCCTTCTGTGTAGTTATAAGTCGAAAGTAGAGTATTACACCACTTTCATTGGAAAAAAGACTAATTTTACATTGTAATGATTGTACCTGTTCTGTGACAAAGCCTTGATTAAAAAAAAAAATCCAAAAATTCCAGTTTAATAGCTCAAAGAAAGAAGATTGTCTCTAGGAGAACTAGGACACAGTTTTACAGTTTACTCATTGTAAAATTGGCCTTCAGTGTGCTAAAATGGAAAAAAGGATGAATGCAGAAGAAAAAAAGCATAGAATAACTGACTAAGCTCGAAGGTCATTAATGACACTAAGAGGAGTAAAAATGATAAAGTGAACATAGAAAATCATATTCTGTGAAAAATGAAATAGAATTGCTCTTAGCAAGAAAAAAAAAAGCATGGAAGAAATCTTTTTAGTACATTTGAGGGAAGGGAGGAAGGACTGTGTGCCCAAATGAGTAGCTCTGTTGGAGCCAAAGAATGGGTTCTAATCCTTATCAGAACTTCAGAACAAATTTCTTAAAAATGTAGGTCAATAAGAGCTTATAGTTAGGAGAGAAGCCTGGTTTCCTGCAGACATGTTTTCTGTTCCCCAGGAAGAAAGTCCAGTGTCAGTCAGCCTGTGAATCCAAATGTGTGATTCTAAGGAGGTACAGCATTAATTGGAGCAGCTGCTAGCACAGGAAGAGTGTCCAGCCTTTCTGACCGATGACAGGAGAAAGCTTTAAGCAGGGTAGATAATCAGCTCCTCCCATGACTTCTCCTGAGATTATAAAATTATCAGTGTAAATGTTGTGATCCCCCGTCCTAATCCTGTACATCCCCTTTTTCTACCCCCTCACCTTCATTGGGGAAAACTATTCATTATTTAGAAGGCAGCAGCACTAGTGAAATGCACAAAACTCAGATCATTGTTGAAAGAGCTGATCAATGTGTTTAAATGAAAGTCTCAAAAGAAATAAAATCTGTCTCACATGTGGCCCATGTGCTGAGTTTAAAAGGTTGCTATGGGAAACTTTCAGCTAACCTTTAGCCTCTGTGACTATATATTGCCTAGCTCAGACTTGTGAGAAGTATTCTAATTTATAAGTTTTATTTTCATGTAATTAGAAAAACAACAAAAACCAGTTATTGTCTCAAATGTTTGGGCCCTTGTTATTCCATTTAGAAGCAGTATATTGGTAATGAAGCTTTTTGCTGTGTCCCCAAATACTGCATTTCAAAACTTCAATTCTGGTCCTTTACCATGTAGGAAGATGATTGGAGAGTACACAATGAACTGATGATCAAGTCTTGCATTAAGGTAATAAATGAAAAGACTGTCACAAAATCTATTCATGTCCCCCCTGAGTTTTTTTTTTTTTTTTTTTTTTTTTTTGCCAAAATGTTCTTGCTGTGACCTACTTCTACAGATAAGAAAAATGATTTTTCCATCCTTCTATGACATTATGGCTATAGTGAACTGTTCCCAAGTGTCTTGGTGTAGGTGGCCTTGTGAGGATAAGAATTAATTATTTTTAGACTGCTGATGCATCACCTCTGTGGTGTCTATATTTGTCTTCTAAGAATGCATCATCACTCTCTAATTATAGGTGATCTGGTGGGATTAGATCTTTTGAGTTAAACAGACTAGGATGACACAAAATATGCATGGAAAGTAAACATTTGAAAAATTGGTGAGCCACAGTGATTGTTAAGATCCCAACTATACTGCAGTGTTCAGAATAACACTCAGAACAATCTTCACATTGTCAGTGTCACCACCTGCCTAATTCCTACATTTTAAATCAGTTGCCAATTGAGTTTATTTTTATGTTTTCAACTTGAAAATGTATCACCTAATTCTAATTCTTGGACTCTTGCAATGTTACCCCAACAGCTTTTGTGAAAGAAAGAAAAAAAAATAGGAAATCACCATGGAACCTCTGGAATGCTGCTCTGTGACAGCCGTCTCTGCAGAACCAGGAGAGCAGTGAGGGCTGTGGCACCTTGGTCTCAACTTTGAGGCTTGTGAGGCAGTACAGAGCAGAGCTCTGAGCAAAGTTTTAAAGAGCAGATCATTTTCTGGGCAGGATGTTTTGCCAAGTAATGTGGAAGTAATAGAGTACTGGGGTTGAAAATAACAAATCTCCCAGTCTCTTTTCAGCTCCATCCTATAAAAGGTTATTTTCTCTGATGTTGATGCAGAAAAGTAATAAACCTAGATTCTAGTTATATAATTAATTTGTCCAATCATTCATTCCAGGCAACAAATATTTACTGAAAACCTTCTGTGTACAAGACCTCATAGAGAGATATACAGAGATTTAGATAAGATGTTGTGCTTCCACATGAATGGTCCCTTTGCAGGCAGGAGTGGATACGCAAGGGTTTTATTGGGAAATCTAAAGCACAAAGTGTCGTCAGGAAGAGGCATTTGGTTCCCTACTCAGTGTCTGTGTGTGTGGACTGTGTCACAGGCAAAGTGTGGGAATTTAAAATCACCAGTGCTTTTCCTCTTTTCTTGAATCCCAGTCTAAGAAGTAGCTTTCGGGAATCACAAATTCAAGTGTTTAATCGATGATGAACATAAAGCTGGAGCATTTGAACACGTTGAGGGTAGTGACCAAAGTGCAAGGGTGCCTTTCTAGTCCCCCAAGATCACTTCTAAAACTCAGTGCCATTTTAAACAGTGAAGTTGGGAGGAAGGGGAAGGATCGCATCCAATTTCATTCCCCTACTGTGCAGCAGATGTGCCCACAGGAACAACTGCACAGTGCGATGTTGTCAGGTTTCCAAAAGAATTTAGCTAATGGGCTTCATTGCTCATAGACCTCGAATCCCAGAGAATCAACATGAAGGTGACAGACAAGTACAAAACTTGAAGCTTCTAAGAGTGAGTAAGTGATGAAGTTTTTGTGAGCAGCTTTTCCAACCTAAGAGTTCTAATTTGCCCCACCCAAAATTTGAAGCAGCTACCCTTGCACAAAGGGAAAGAAAGCAGATGTGAATGCTTATGTTAAAAGTCAGCTAATTTAAACCTAAGGAAAAAAATTCTTAGCTGTGGAGAGGGCCAGAATATTGAAGGAGCTCTGCAGCATCTCCTCTGGAGGCATTTCTGAATAATATCTCTTGAATGGCTTAGCTGTACAGGGCTGCCTCCAGGCTTAGCAGAGAATATATTCTGGGTACCATTGTAAGTGTTAGGGAAGGCCTGAAAATCACTGGCAGAAAGGCTAATGTTATACAGTTCAGATTCCCCCAAGGAAGAAAATGTTTATGCAATTCAACTTTGGTAACCTGAGTTGTAAGCTACTTGTTTTCTGCAAACATCAGAGTTAATAGTACCGGTACCCTAAACTACTAGTTCACAGCATATTTTTGGATCCATTTTTCTTTCCACTGAAGAACAACTTTTAACTTGTTATCAGGAATGTTCTCTTAGATTCAGAGAGAACCACAGAAGTCCGTTGCCAGTTTGTTACTGTGACCTGTGGGACAGGGGTAACCCCTTCAGAAGTCCTCACCCACCTGCACACTTGCCACACTCCCTGTGACTACTTCAGACTGCATTAATTGAGCACAGAGCCATGGGGCCAGGAAAAGTGTGGCACTACAGAGAGGGGCAAGTGAAATGCTGAGGCTTCCTGGGAAACCTGGACTGACTCACCTGCAGCCTGAGCCAGGCCCTGCTCCAGTCCCACACTGCTTTATGACCCCAGGACTGTCTCTGTGCCCTGGCTGTATAAATATCTCCCTGAGGCCTTCAGGAAGTTTCGAGTAGCATAGTACGTGAGTAAGTTATGCAGTGGAGGAAGGGAAGAAAGGAAGAGTGTATTTGAAAGGAGAGCTGTTGACAAGAAGTCCTATACCCCATCCATCTTTCTCCTAATATTTTTAATAAACATGTATTAAGCACAGTTTGTATATGTAATGCATTTATTGAACAGTGGAACTCATAGGATTGAAATATGAAATTTTTTCCCCCAATCTTCAACCACATTTTGGAGTTAGGAAAGGTGTTGCTGAGTTTCTTTTTGTTTTATTTCTTATTTTCGTATTTCAGTAGCTCTAGAGGTACAAGTGGTTTTTGGTTACAAGGATGAATTGTATAGTGGTGAAGTCCAGCCATTAGTGTCACCCAAATAGTGTACATTGTACCCAACTATTGACATTTTAAGATGGATTTTTTTTTATTGTAGAGAGCTGTCCTGTTCATCCCGGGCCTCTGCCTACCAGATGCCAGTAGCATTCCCCTAGTTATGACAACCAAAAATGTCTCCACGCATTGCCAAATGTCCCCTGGTTGAGAACCACTAATACACACCCATGTAACCATTATCCTAAAAGAAGATTTAGATCATATCCATTTCCCATAAAGTTCCCTTCAGGTGTCTTGCAGTTAATCGTTCCTCTTTGAAAACCATTGTCTCTATTTTCTATCATCTTAGATTCATTTTGTCTATATTTGCACTTTGTATAAATTGAATCATACTGTATGTACTCTTTTTTGTCTCGACCTCCCACTTTAACATAATGTTTTTGCAATTTATCCCTATTATTGCATTTATCAGTAGTTCATTCTTTTTTGTTGCAGAGAAGTATTTCACTGAATAAATATGCCACAATTTGTTCATCAGTTCTCCTGTTAATGGGCACTTAGGTTGTTTCCTATTGGGGGCTGTTTTGAATAAGGCTGCTGTAAATATTCTGGTAAAATCTTTTTGTGGACCTGTTTTCATCTCTCTCAGGTACATATCTAGGAATGGAATTGCTGGGTTGTAGGATAGATGTATATTTAACTTCTAATAAACTGCTAAACACTTTTGCAAAGTGCATGTGCCATTTTACACTCCCAGCAACCATGTCTGAGAGCTCCGGCTGTTCCGTGTCTTCATCAGTGACATCATTTGGTGATGCCAATCTTTTATTTAACTATTCTGGGTATCTCATTATGATTTTCATTTGCATTTCCCTAACAACCAATGATATGAGCACCTTTTCATGTGCTTTATCTTCTCTTGTGAAGGATCTGTTTTAAGGCTTTTTATCATTGATTGTAGGAGTCCTGTTCCCCTCCTACATCCCCCACCACTACCCGTAATTGGTTTGAGTTTTACAGGAAACTCAGGGACTGAGAAACCTTTGGCCATCTGAATAAATTTGATCTAAATTATAAAAACCACTGTGAAACATGCCTTCTGGATTTTGTTTGTTTGTTTCCATTTCCAAACATCCTGTGAGTTTAGAGAGTATTTTCCTTAGAGGTTAGAAATACTCCTCCTAATTAGCCAGACAGGTATGCAGAACTACTTTAATTTTCTATGGCATAGCCTTCCAGTGCTTACAGCCCCTACACAGCAACAGCCCGACCTCATCCTTCCACAGTTTTGACAAGCAAATTAACAGCAGGAACCTGTCCCCACATAAGGCAGTGAGTCACTTTTATAATTCCATGCCCAAGGGAGTTTTGTGGTGAGCCTTTTTCTGGAAGCAGTTATTTCTCACTCCTCCCTCCATTTTTCTTTTACCCATACAGGAATGTCTTTACCTAGTTTAAAAAGAATTAAGTTCTCTATCTAGAAAGATCCTTTTTTCCATTCCTATTTTCTGATAATAAAGCTTAGCTATTTCCTTTTAATTACAGTGGAAAAGGGAGGGACTCATGAACTTTCTTTTGTTTTAGTTTGTCCGATAAAATGACTCGATTGTTAAGATGGTTTTAAGACAGTATTTTCTAGCCTGTCCTACTTAGCTAACCAGATAGAAAGATTCATCTCTGAGTAGTTTAGAACCTTGTTTCTAAATAGGATACAAAGACACTTGAAGCAGGGTGTTTTCTTGCTGCACTTTGAAAAGGGAAGGCAGTGGCCTGCAGAAGGGGAGTGGCTTGTCTTATGTGTATACATGAGGTTAAGTGTTCAAAGTGCTTTGTAAGCAGTAAGGCAATCTCCAGATGTGGTGGCTAAGTACCATTCCCCACTAAAAGGAACCATGTTTCTTGGGAAAATGGCTGATTCTATGTCTGAGATAAGAAATGTACAAGACAAGACTGAGTTCTGTCTTACCATAAGTGAGGGAAAAAGTAATCAAATTATTATAAACTACTAGGATCACGTCAAAAGGACTTAGGCTCTAAGTTGAAGAGGTTTTTACTGACAAAGATGGGCAGGTTTGAGTATCAGTGAGAATGACTGCAGTGGATTAAAGCATATCAAATATATTTCAAATCCATGAATTCATAAGGACACTAAAAGCATAAAAGTGGTCACATTTCAGTCTTTGGAAAACTCTGCAGAACAAAAAGCCTGATTTCTTTGAAACACAAATTGCAAATGGAGAAAAAGGGAAGGAAGAGGGACCTATTAATTAAAAGCAGTGTAAAAGACTTATTAATTGTAATATGTGGACCACATTTGGATTCTGATTTGAACAAACGCCAACTGTTAAAAAAAAAATGTATGAGCTAGTTGGAGAAATTTGGTCACTGATAGGATATTTGGTTATATTAAGGAATTATTGATATTTTAAATGTGATCATGGCATTGTGGTTTTATTTTTATAGTAGTCTTTCTCTTTTAAAGATATATACTGAATTATATGTGAAGTAATAGGACTGGGATTTGCTTCAGAAGAGGTCTGTGGCAGGGATTTGGATGAAACCAATGGCCGTGAGCTCATAATCATTGTTTCTGGGTAATAAATGTATGTAGATTTGTTGTATCTTTACTAGAGAATATATTAACATTTGAAATTTTTTATAAGCTAAAAAAAACCAGTTAAGTACACTACAGATTGTTACTGTTAAGGGTTTATTGGAGAACAAAAGCAGATGTTTGAACAGGGAGGGAGGACTGCTGGGATGACTAGACTTGAGTAAGGAGCTGTGTCTTGCGGGCCTTGTTTGTTGGTATGTTGCAGTGAAAAAATTAGTATCCACTGATCTAACCTGCCCCAAACATTTTTCTCTCTAGCTTTTGATTTAAGTGAAAAATGTGTGGCTCTTCCTTCCACTTGAACATTTAGAGGCCACTGTAGGGTATTAATTGGCCTAATTTCAGTATTGTTTTGTGTGAGATGTTAGGGAGGCCCTAGGAGAGGGAGAAAGACAGGGTAACGGCTGGTCATTGGTACAGACAGAACAGACAACATTTATCGATTAAGTTTGTGGCTATATATGGGCATGATTTGTGGTGCCCCAAAATAATTACAATAGTAACATCAGTGATCACTGATCATAGATCACCGTAACAGGTATAATATTAAAGGAAAAGTTCAAAATATTGAGAGAATTACCAAAATGTGATGCAGAAAAATGAAGTGAGCACATGTTGTTGGAAAAATGGGGGCCAGTAGACTTGCTTAATGCAGGGTTACTGCAAACCTTCAATTTGTAAAAAATGCTGTATCTGCAAAGTACAATAAAGTAAAGCAGAATAAGTGAGATGTGCCTGTATTAGTAAAGGACTATTCAGCCAAATAGTTTCATATATTAAAGGTCCATGGCTTAATCATTAATCCTGGATTCAGAGTTGAATTTCTCAGGAGTGGATTATGTCAGCAATCCAGGATGTGCTGGTTTGAATCCCTAGGAGTGTTGCCCATTACAAACCTTTAGACGCCCCCTACACAATCCAGCCAGTGGCCTCTGGGCTTCAAGTTATTTTTCAAGGACCAGGTGATATTTTACACTAAGCAACCTACATTCTTATATTTGAAAATGCTATAGGTTTATAGTTTCTTCTTCAGATGCAATATCTGCAATTTCAGTGACTGTCACTGGTAGATGTTTTGTTACTTAGGGTAACATAGGAAAAAAAGCCTTATTTAAGCCTTGGATATTTATATACACAATTAGTCATTTATGCTTCTCCTTTAAAAATAAACAATTAAACATGAATTTGTTCATTAGCAGCAGACAGCAAAAGAGATGCATCTGCAGCAATATTTAAAAGAAACACTTAGGTTTAGTATAATAATATTAAGCTCTTCCATTTATCAAAGGCCTCATCTGTGCCATGGCCTGCCAGGCCATTTATGTCCTTTATTACTAATCCCCACAACCACTGGTGGGCAGAACTGGAGGGAGCTAAGGCTCCAAGAGGTCATTCAGCTAGTAAATGTCGGGGAGGCATTCAATCTCAGCTCTCCCAAGAGCCTATATTTTTCTGCTCTCCCACCACCTCTAGCAGTGTACAAACTGCTGACTTCTTACACTAATCTGTTTTTACTTCTCTCTGTGTAATGTACAGTAGTCCTCGTTTAACGTGGTTGATAGGTTCTTGGAAACTGTGACTTTAAGTAAAATGACGTTTGGCAGGTCCTTGAATAATATTGTTTCCTTCAATGTCATTTCATTATAACTTTGATGATAAAAAATTGGTTCATTATGCTTCATTTCACTTAAAGTCACAGTTTCCAAAAACCTATCAACAACATTAACTGGGGACTTACTGTACTTTATCTCCAATTCTCCAGTCTTTTCATATCAATTAGAATTCACCTTTCTGCACCTTCCTGGTAGCCACCTGAGACTTCCAGCTTCTCATGGAGAATCTACCGCTTTGAATGCTGAGAGTCTTTTTCTGGTCCCATACCCTACACTGTCCTTGACCTGGAAAAGTTCAGTGAACAGTTCTGTATAAAAGAACGCCCTTTGCCTTCCATGTGGCTAAAAGTAAAAAACCCAAGGCTTCTGGTGAAACATCACATAGCATCCTCTTCAGCTTTTCAGCTTGTTCCCCTCTGTGGTATGACCGTTTATAAACTCCTCATAAGCCATTATTTACCCCTCCTTTAAAACAAACAGGCTAATTACTGTTTTGCGATCCCCTCTTTATTTCCAGCAAGTCCAAACGATAGACTTAAGAAATAAATGGTATTTATTCTTAAATGGCTATATTAGCATGTTTTTCTTTTTAAAATTTGCATGTCTTAAGTATATTTTCAAAGGAATGTCTGAGTAGTAAATAGCTAAAGAAAATGAGCACCTGGTTACATTTTGATTCCTTTCTTGCCAGAACTTACCTGTTATTTAATTATTCCAAGTCATAATCGTTTTTACTGAACTGATTCAACTATGCTACTGTGACGTATCCAGCTTTCTAAACTTAAAAATTCCTTCCCAAGATTTCAGGCCAATATGTCATCTATCCTGTTGGCTCTCCTCCTCTGCCAAAGTTTTCTCCTCTAATCAAATAATTATTTTCTCTTAAGAGTAGGATTTACTTTGCCATTCTATCTCTTCTTTCTCCTCCTTACCACTAATCCAAAAGAAGTAATCTACTTTCTTCTCAAAAAAATGGGGTGCTAGCTGGGCATGGTGACTCACCCTTAATTCCAGCACTTTGGGAGGCCGAGGTGGGAGGATCACTTGAAGCCAGCAGTTTGAGACCAGCCTGGGCTACAAAGTAAGACCGCATCTCTACAAAAAAAAAAGAATGCGTGCATCATTTCAACTGCACTAAATCTGACTTAAAATTGGATTATGGATTCCTTCGTCAATTAAAGTTACAATAGCAATTATCTCTCACCATAATTAAATGGAAGGGAGCTTTTATGATGGAATGAATGTGAAGCTCAGAGACAGAGATCTACTCACACCCCTAGTCTTGTTACTAGCTTACAGCCATGATCAAAAGTTACCTAGCTTCTCTGACCTTTGAGTCTTCACTTATAATTTGGGTAGAATTAAATTAGATATTTAATTCAAGTGGATTTTTTAAGGATTTAGTGAGATGGTACCATGCTTGGCACTTAATTTCTTCACTGCACAAAAACATATTAACATTTACTAAAGAGCTTATACAAACTACTGAAAAATTTAAACAGTCTGTTGATAGGTGTACTGAGTTCTATACAATTTTATCACCTGTGTATGTTTGTGTATCTACCACCATAGTCAAGACACTGAACAGTTCTATCAACACAGGAATCCCTCCTGTTGCACTTTAATAATCACACCCTCTCTCCCCTCTCCAACATCCTTAACCCCTGCAATCACTGCTCTGTCCTTGACTTGTAAAATTTTGTCAATTCAAAAATGTTATGTAAATGGAATGATACAGTATGTAACCTTTTGAGATTTTTTTGACTCAGCATAATTCCCTAGAGATTCTTCCGAGTCATGTGTATTGATAGTGGGCTGCTTTTTATTGCTGAGCAGTGTTCCATGGTGTGGCTGTACAACAATTTAGCCAGTCACCTGGGCTGACTCCAGGTTTTGGCTATTAAAATAATGCTGCCTTAAACATTCGTGTACAGATTATTATGTGAACATAAGTTTCTATTTCTCTGGGACAAATTCCTAATTTGCAGTTGTTAGGTCATGTAGTAATTACATGTTTAGTTTTAAAAATAAACTGCCAAACTGTTTTCTCGAATGGCTCTACTCTCATAGTCCCCTCCTCAGCAATGTGTGGAAGACTCAGTTTCTTTGCCAACTTTTGGTGCCAACTTTTGAAGCCAAATTTGTGACCATTTTCTTTACCTGAGCTAAGCAAGTAAATTTGCTGGAGACCCATGTGGAGTGACTAGATTTAGAAAAGAATGTAGTCATATGTGATATGCCACAGTCTAGTCATATGCCACATCAGGGCATATCAGAAGCTGTCCCTGCTAACTCCCACCCCCCAGAAAATTCATTCACTTAACTTTTAACAGACTAGCTTTCTATGATACGTCAATTTGAATTTGAGATATTAGCCCCTTCAGTCTCTACATCGTGAACAAAAAGGGCTTGGCTTTCCTTTTGTCAACAGTGGGCCCAGGCTCCTTTATTAATATTGGGAAATAGGACTGGATATAATTTGTTTCTTTCTCCCTTGACAATTTTATTGTCTTCTAGAGGAAACAGATGTTTTTTGAAAAGATTTTTGGGCACCCAAATCAGCACCTTTGAGTTTGCACTGGTCTAGAAATGAAGACACTGGAGTAGGAGTTAGAAGACCTGTGTTTGAGTCCTCGCCTAATTAGCTATGTCACTTTAATCCAATTCCCTTCTCGAGGATGGTTTGCTCAGCTATATAAAATGGTTGGACTAGATCAACAGCTCTCAAACCTAGCAGGCATCAGAATCACCTGGACAACCTATTAAAACACCCCTTGCTAGGCCCCACCCCTAGATTCAGTAAGTCTGGAGTGGGCACAGTAATTTGCCTTTTTAACACGTTCTCAAATGAGGCCAGCAATGCTGATCCAGAGACAGCACCTGAGAAGCACTGGGCTGGACTATTTGAAAGTGTTTCCTGGGACTGTCAGTCAATACCACCCTCTCCCAAGCCCTGCTCCTCTCTGGTGAAATAAGTTATGCACTTACTCTTTTTTTTTTTTAAGTGATGCAGATGTGTAGTAAAATATAATGCAGCAATTAAAGATATCCTAGAATAATATTATTTGAAAATTACCACAATACATATTACATTTAGTTTCAGAAGCGCTATTTCACAAAACAGCTATACGGAATTGTCCAGAAAAGTAGAAATCTAGAAATATATATCCAAAATGTTAATAGTAGTTATCCCTAAGTGATGTAGCCACAAAATTTTTCTTTTTGTGTGTACCTTTCTGTGTTTTGTAAGTTTGTCTATAATTCATATAATCATAAATCACGTATTTAAACAGGAATTATAGTAGGCAATATAAGTCTTGACTTCTCTAAGTTTCAATAATTGCAATAAAGAACTTGTTGAATATCAACCAATAGAAGTAAGGCTTTTTTATTTCTGGTGTGAAATAAAATTGTCCAGGATGGTTTTCAAAGGCAGGTATGACCCTCTTTATCCCTTTCTCTTAAAAAATGTGTTAGGTCACCTTTTGCCATTCTTCCTGCTGGACAGAATTATTCCCTCATGCACAAGCAGCCCTGGCCTCAGGGCCACTCGTTAAGTATCTCAATACTGCCTGCATAGTGTTTCCATGACACTTTTCCACTGATAACTAGTGGGATCCACAGTCGCAACCTTACAAGCTATTTCCTCCTCTTTCCTTCACAGTGGGTCAGAAAGCGTTTTGTCTGCATGAAGCAAGTTTTCTTCTTGGTTGCATGTCTGTTAAAAGAATTAATATTTATAGCTAAAATAGGAATTTAAAAATTGCCACTGAAATAAATCTGTTTAAATGACAGAACCCATTCATCTGTGGAAATCTATTTTGTTCCACAATATAGGGGTTCATGGCCCCTCCTAGGATTTCCAGTTGTACTGATATTGTAAGCATACCATTTCTTCACCAGCCATGCTTCTTAACCTTAATGTAAGACTGGGCATAGTTTCCTTTAAATATGATATATTAAAATGGTTTTGCTGCTAAAGGCACCTCTCCTTAAACAATTGAAAATATTTCAATTGATACTATAGAAAAGCACTTTATTTCTGAGCTCTAGAAACTCTGTTTCTGAATAAACTTGTTTGGTCAGAGGCATGTCGCCAATAGGGCAGCACAGTGGTGATTTTCAAAACACCACTCTAGGCCAAAGCTGCAGCAGTGCCACTGTTCCCTTCTGCAGGTTCCTTCCTGCAGATATTCCATAGGAAGGAGAAATTAAAGGGACTTTTTGATTTGTGAGTGTGTGTGCATGTATTGAGGTAGCACCATTTTATATCTTGTGCTTTAACACCCACCCATACTGGTATCCTAGAATTATTTCCTTACAAATGTTTTGTGCTTCAGAGGCAATATATTTTTATGTAATATCAGAAGACTGCTATATCAATGTTGGCCCCATCGGTTTGCTCTCATTAGTAAAGTTACTAGATTTGCTTTATATGACTGGGAGCATCAGAACTGCTTGTTCACTACAGTGTTACAATAGCACCATCCAATGCCAACAATGCTGTCCGTAGTCCAGTTATTCTAAAAGAAGTGAGGAGAAGTTCACATGTAGGACCTACTTGCTTTGTTGAAGAATAGGATCAAGATCCAGTAACTGCTATAGTGGTCCTTGATTTCAGCCCCATCTAGAGATGAAAAGGCACCAGTAGTCCTCTTCCCTCTGCCACATACACATCTCTTAAAGTACTTCTCATCCTGTAAGTGGACTGCTGGCCTTTTACCTAGATGTCTGCTAGAAGACATAGCAAGGCTCAGCCTAACTTTTTAAATCAACAAGCTTTTTAGTTATATGTAAATTTTCATAGTGCCTCATGGCTTAAAGCAAATACAGGGTGAAAGTTTAATTTACGGACACCCACCTTTTTTTCTTTCTACCTTTTAAAAGTTCTTATGGAATGTGTGCAGAAAGTTCAGGGTTGGAAGGCTACACTGATGTTCCCTTAGTCTATTGTTTCTGTCCCTTACACACATAATTGTTGCCAATTTGGAGGGACAGGATCTTCTTCCT
This sequence comes from Homo sapiens, assembly GCF_000001405.40. Taxonomy (NCBI): domain Eukaryota; kingdom Metazoa; phylum Chordata; class Mammalia; order Primates; family Hominidae; genus Homo; species Homo sapiens. Next base: position 82,899,256 of record NC_000006.12, on the reverse strand, counting down.
CATTGGACTGCTTCTCACATTTTTGGTGTTTTGTTTGGTCCTTCCTTTTTGCCAGTCATTCATTTAGCAGGCCAGCATCCTAGGGGGATCAAGTGTGTGCCAAACTCCGTGGCATGCCGGGGTTTATGGCTCTCTTTGCTTCCTCCTGGGTAGTGTCTCAGGAGGCTCTCTTGCTTTCATAATGCAAAAATAGTCTTGTTTCTCCAAGCAGGTGTTAAGGTCCATCTTAAATTTACTCCACCTTAGGATTGGAATCACCTAATTCCTTGACTTCCTCTCCTACTCTCATTTTAGCAGGAGGCGGAAATTCCTTCTCAGTGTGCGCTGTGGCTGGAACAATCAGTGTCACATAGGAGATAATTAACGATTGAATGAATGAAGCTAGCCTCCCAGCCCAGAGAGAGAAATATCTTTAAAAAAAATTTTTTTTATTATACTTTAAGTTCTGGGGTACATGTGCAGAATGTGCAGTTTTGTTACATAGGCATACATGTGCCATGGTGGTTTGCTGCACCCATCAACCCTTCACCTACATTAGGTATTTCTCCTAATGCTATCCCTCCCCTAGCCCCCTACCCCCCAACAGACCCCAGTGTGTGGTCTTCCTCTCCCTGTGTCCATGTGTTCTCATTGTTCAGCTCCCACTTATGAGTGAGAATATGTGGTGTTTGGTTTTCTGTTCTTGTGTTAGTTTGCTGAGAATAATGATTTCCAGCTTCATCCATGTCCCTGCAAAGGACATGAACTCACCCTTTTTATGGCTGCATAGTATTCCGTGGTGTATATGTGCCACATTTTCTTTATTCAGTCTATCATCAATGGGCATTTGTGTTGGTTCCAAGTCTTTGCTATTGTGAACAGTGCTACAATAAACATACGTGTGCATGTATCTTTATAGTAGAATGATTTATAGTCCTTTGGGTATATACCCAGTAATGGGATTGCTGGGTCAAATGATATTTCTAGTTCTAGATCCTTGAGGAATCGCCATACTGTCTTCCACAATGTTGAACTAATTTACACTCCCACCAACAGTGTAAAAGCTTTCCTATTTCTCCACATCCTCTCCAGCATCTGTTGTTTCCTGACTTTTTAATGATCGCCATTCTAACTGGCATTTGATGGTATCTCATTGTGGTTTTGATTTGCATTTCTCTAATGACCAGTGATGATGAGCTTTTTCTCATATGTTTGTTGGCTACATCAGTGTCTTCTTTTGAGAAGTGTCTGTTCATATCCTTCGCCCACTTTTTGATGGGGTTGTTTGTTTTCTTGTGAATTTGTTTAAGTTCTTTGTAGATTCTGGATATTAGTCCTTTGTCAGATGGATAGATTGCAAAAATTTTCTCCCATTCTATAGGATGCCTGTTCACTCTGATGATAGTTTCTTTTGAGAGGAATATCTTTTAGTATTTATCCAACACAAAAAGTTGAGTCTAGGGTATCCTCAACATGGTCGCAATTAACGCCAAATTAGTAAGTTAGAAAAAACTACCTAATCCCAGTATTATTTTAAGACATCAAGTATATTTGCTAGCTGCTAGAAAAAGTTGTAGTTTTTAATTTTATTTTTGTTTTTACATTTATATTGTATGTTTGTAAAGGAAATTTGGATCTTGGAAACTAGATTTTGTTTTAATTAATTAATTAGTTTATTTATTTTTGAGATGGAGTCTCACTCTGTCACCCAGGCTGTGGAGTTCACTGGTGGGATCTCAGCTCACTGCAACCTCTGCCTCCTGGGTTCAAGTGATTCTCCTGCCTCAGCCTCCCAAGTAGCTGGGATTACAGGCACCCACCACTGTACCCAGCTAATTTTTGTGTTTTTAGTAGAGAGGGGATTTTACCATGTTGGCCAGGCTGGTCTCGAACTCCTGACCTCAGGTGATCCACCCACCTCAGCCTCCCAAAGTGCTGGGATTACAGGTGTGAGCCACCGCGCCTGGCCAAGAAACTGGATTTTATAATATAAGGGCATAAACTTTCCTTGTCCTTTTCCTTTTCCACCATAAAAACAGCCTGTTTCAGATCATAACTTTGAACATGCACTGGACAAAAATACATATCTAAAGGAAAGTTTTGTGTTTTTTTTTTAAGTCAACAATGTCCTTTTTAAAAGGAACATTTGTGTCTGTCTACTTAGTGTAAAGAGTCCTTTCTAAAGCCTTTCTATGTAGCCAGTGATGATGATATGTCTTTTTAGTGATTGAAATTCTAAGGCCAGGCAGAGTGGCTGATGCCTGTAATCCCAGCACTTTGGGAGGCCGGGGCGGGTGGATCACAAGGTCAGGAGTTCGAGACCAGCCTGACCAACATGGTGAAACCCCATCTCTACTAAAAATACAAAAATTAGCCGGCATGGTGGCATGCGCCTGTAATCCCAGCTACTCAGTAGGCTGAGGCAGGAGAATTGCTTGAACCCGGGAGGCAGAGGTTGCCGTGAGCCAAGATCAGGCCACTCTACTCCAGCCTGGGCAACAGAGCAAGACTCTCTCTCAAAAAAAAAAAGAAAAGACAAAACAGAGGATAAAAAGTTCTAAATCAATGTTGAGAAATCAGTTATTATAAATTTGTTATCTAGGGTAAAATAACATTAAAAAATGTTTAACGTGTCACACAAATGTATTAATGCATCCCAAACTTACATTTGGTCAATGATACATCAACCTGGCCATGTTTATTGTGGTTTAAGAAGATTGTTTTTAGAGATTACTCAAAGCAGAGACATCATTTTTAGACATCTTAACATCCTCTCCCTCTCTCCATTTCCAAGTGTCACTATTCAGGTGTACAGAACTAAATCAGATCTTATAACCGAGAGGAAAGGTTGTCTTTTGTTTTTTAAAATAATTATTTATACGTTGTAACTATATTCCAGAAATATAACAACCAGCAAAACCTTAAGCTGCAGCTATAGTCATATGCTCTGAGAAGCTTTAAAACTTTTACTTTGGGGAATAAAATGAAAAACATGAAATACAGAGATCTTTCTCAGTGTAGTGGAACAAAATAAAATTATCCTCTCTTAAAATAAATGGCAGTTAGGGGAAGTAATTTTTCTTGTCATGGATAAATGGTAGGGAACACAAAATCAGCGTTTGAAATATGTTAACTCACAGTCTTTTAAATATAAGGAATAAAATGCATTGTACAGTACCTGTTCCCAAGGATGATTGCAGTTTCATGTTGTCTTTAAAAATACATAATGTGCTCGGCAAATGAAACTATAAAAACCAGATGAAAAGAAGACATTAAGCCAAATTTTAAACTTTTTCTTTTTCATTGGGAAGGTCCATTTTGCATTATTTAATTTAATCAGCTTAGCCTCTTTTGTAGTTGTTCCTCATCTTGAGTTCATATTCGCAGGCATGCAAAAGAAATCTTTTGATAGTTGAGGCAATACCAAAGATTGGAAGTCTCTAAGCCTCTGTAGTTTTCTGTCATTCATCTGTAAAGTTATAGTGGGAAAAGCATGGATTAGAAATCAATTTCTTTCTAAGCCCACCATTGTCACCTAAGAGCTTTGCTATCTGAGCAAGTTTCATAAGTTTTCTGAGCTTCTGTTTCTTCATATGTAAAACAAAGATTCAAATGCCTGCTTTACTAAACCATAGGACTGTGCTGTGGATGAAAAAAATCAAAGTAGGCTTAATAAAGTGTTTTACAAATTTCATGTACATCCTGTTAGAATTCCCATTTTGTGGGTGAGGAAAGGCTGAATGGGGCTAGCTGATAATTCTTTGTTTTAGGGGCTCTCTACATTGTAGGAGAACGTCCCTGGCCTCTGTCCACTGGATGCCAGTAGCACCCCCTCCCAGTTACGTTGACAACCGAAAATGTCTCCAGATACTGCCAAACGCCCGTCAGTACACAAAATCACCTCAAGTTGAAAATCACTATTCTGTATAGCTAAAATTCTTAACCATTTTCTTTTTTTCTTCTTTTTGAGACAGACTCTCCGTCTGTCAGCCAGACTGGAGTGCAGTAGCGTGATCTCGGCTCACTGCAACCTCTACCATATGGGTTCAAGTGATTCTCATGCCTCAGCCTCCCAAGTAGCAGGGATTACAGGTACCTGCCACCATGCCTGGCTAATTTTTGTATTCTTAGTAGAGACAGGGTTTTACCATATTGGCAGGCTGTTCTCAAACTCCTAACCTCAAGCCATCTGCCTGCCTTGGCCTCGCAAAGTGCTGGGATTACAGGCCACTGTGAGCCACTGTGCCGGCCTCTTAACCATTTTCGTAATGTCATTTATCAATGTTATCCTTATGCTAAGTATTTCCTGGTTGGAATATGCCATGACATAGCAATTTTCAGAATTACAAAAGAGATAAATGGTTTTCTTCCATCGTCTTCATGTTTGAATATAAGCAGCGTCATTGTCTTCTTTGTACAGTTGTGAGCTTCCTGTCCCTGTAAACTGTCTATGTAGAAGCAGAATGTCGCCTGCCAGGGATGCTGCCCACAGTGAGCCCTAAGTCAGACTCAATGACTTCTGGTCTTCCTTCCTCTGTCTATTATAACAGGCTCTACTGGCCTCTCTTCTCATCTGGTATATTCACAGGCTTCTAATATCTCTTGTCAGCTGAGAGACAGGGGAAACACATGGATTTTCCTAATCATTATTATTAAGTTTTGAAGGGAAGGTGAGGGTTAAAGACAGAGGGAGTTGGCGGCTCTACAGAAATGCAGGTTTTATGTGCAGCACAAGACCTGCAGAGGTGGGGGACCAGTTAATGCCAGCCAGAGCCCACCGCTGCTTACAGGCTGGGGTACTTATAGGTATGGGTGGGAGGGGTCTGGGCAGTATGGCTTACCGCCCGGCAGGATATTGATAAGATGTTCCTATGATCAGGCGGTTTGGCCCTTTTTCCAGTGGGATGTCATAGGATGTTCCTTGGGCCTTTGTCCAGCAAGATATGATAGCAATGTTCCTTCAGTTGGGCCTTTGCCTGGCAGGGTATGATAAGAAAGTCAGGTGGTTGGGCAGGATGTTTCTCATGGTCCGAACCCCCATGGAACGTTTCACTTTGACCTGGGACTATGAAATGGTTGGGGGGGTGGGGGCGAGGCTTACAAAATGGTGCAGCTTGAACTAACAATGATCTCATTTGAGCTTCACAGTAAGCTCTTGAGGTTTGCATCAATTGTCCATGTTTACATTTTGTTTAGGAATCAACCTTTCCTCTTTGCTGCTCCTTCCAATTTGGTGTTCTCTTGATAGAGAAACTCAGCAGGAAGTTGATATGGAAACTCAGCAGGTGCCTTTCTCACCAGCACCGTATGAAGGGTAACATCCTTCTGAATTACTCAGCATAAAGCAGATGCTTTCTGCCCTGTGTGACCCTCCCTTTACCTTTTCTTTTAACAGAATAGTTAAATACACACCTCTTTTTACTGCATTCGGGGACTTAAGGACAAAATTTCCTGATGCAATTGACAGATGTCCCATACTTCCCCAAGAGTAGAATGTTTTTACTTCTGTTGCTCACGCCTAATACGAGCTTCCCAAGCCTCCCATACTTCACGATCTATCTCTGCTCTATACTTGACTCTCTTCCTCATATTGGCACAGTTCCCAATTTATTGTCACCCCTGAACTAAACCTTTCTAAACATTTATGATTGACTTTGTTAAGTTTGTTTCTGTTTTCAAAACTATTGGGAAATTAGATGCATTTGATCTAGGCCTCATTACATAGTCTGAAAATAGTTTGTTCGTAAGACTGTGTGAATTAATTTTTTTTAACTCTAGGTTTTAAGATGAATTGCTGCTGACCAACCAATATAAGTGAAAGTATCACAATGACCTAGGAGAGACTGGTATAATTACCTATAGGGATGAGGACCCAGAATCGCCTAGGAATGAGACTCAGAATTCTAAATATGGAAGGTCCAAAACAATAGTTGTGAATCGATGGAAATGAGGACTGGATTACTTCGTAGCAATATAACTTTAGTTTCAATTAAAACTCTATTTTTCTCCTTTAAAATGCGTGTGAATCATCTTAATTACTATATGGTTCATTAAAAAAAGACTAATTGGCTCCTGCTGTAAAATAAAATGTCTAGATCCACTAAGAGTCATTTTTCTGTTTAAACAAGCATATGATCTTATTGACCAGACTTAACCTGATTCTGATTTGATGTACATGCAGCCATTTTGTCATATTATAGAAGTAAAGCATTGTGGGTTTTTCTTCCTTCTCCAGGTGGCCTTTTTGAAGATGTAACTATTAGAGCTGGGCATTCTCCTCCCCCGGCAGACAGCTCTCAAGCAGGAGCACACCGAGGCCAGCAGTCAGCTCAGGAGGCATCAATTACAAAGACAAGAACCAGAGCTATGGGATAAGAGCATTGCATTGAAGTTTTAAGTTTACTTGTTTGCATGTATTCTCTAAGAGAAGAGTTAACTTTAGATCTTTGAAAACCCAGGACTGTGAAGAAAGTCATAGTAGCAGGTTGAGGCAAGTGTAGAAGTTACATCTCTATTTCCCACAGAGAGGAATATTCACATATGTGCAGTGTCAGCACCACCTGGAAGGTTATTACCTAATGGAGATCCATCTGTCCTGTGTGGAATCCAGTGAGGAATTTTATTGGTGGAACTGAATGTTAACTGCTGTAAATCCTAGGAAATAAACTTTTAAAGAGTTTCTCAGGATGATTTAAAACAAATTTTAAAAAAGAAAAGTAGAAAACATTTTATACTTTATTCAGAGGAGATGCTCAATAGATGTTTGTTGAATGAATGATTATCAAATTAAAGGATTTCCTATTTATGCAAATCTGCATGTTTCTTTTGTTATTTCCTTTACCATACATTATTGCAAATTAATAAATATACCTCACTAGCATCCCGTTACAGAGTTGTTCTATTCTTTGTGTACCAGCACAAGCGGTGAGGAAACCTTTCAGTGAGAAGGATAGAGCTACAGGGAATCCCACAGAGTACACGCTAGCTCCTAATTTCACAAGGAACGTTTGAGACTTGCCTAGAATCACACAGCTAGGATCAAAGCTGGGACTGGAGCCAGGCATGTCCATCTCCTCTGCCCAAGATCTGATCCATCTCTCTCTGACATCCTCCTTTCCTACTCCAGGATCAGGAGGACAGTCTGTGGATTTGCAAATATCCTTGCTGCTCAATTGGCATTAATCTCCACAGACCACCTGATATATCTTGCCTCAAAAACCCTGAGTTTTCTATCCGCAAATTTTCTAACACTTTTTTTTTTTTGAGATGGAATTTAGCTCTCGTTGCCCAGCTGGAGATCTCGGCTCACTGCAGGCTCCGCCTCTGGGGTTCAAGCGATTTGCCTGCCGCAGGCTCCCAAGTAGTTGGGATTACAGGCACCCACCATCACACCTGGCTAATTTTTTGTATTTTTAGTAGAGACAGGGTTTTGCCATATTGGCCAGGCTGGTCTCGAACTCCTGATCTCAGGTGATCCACCCACCTCAGCCTTCTAAAGTGCTGGGATTACAGGTGTGAGTCACCACGCCTGGCCTCTAACATTCTTAACACAGGTGTCACTTGGCATTTTATGATTGGGTGTACTTTTCATGATTTCTTCTTCCTGGTAGTGCAACCAAAACATTTGTCTTACTAGCAAAGCAGTGGTATGGCACTCCTAATTCTGTAACTTGTAGACTGACATAGGAATAATACCCAACTGTTGATCCTGCAGAGTCATTTTATGAAGCACAGTTTGAAACGTTGAAGTTCTTAGTGATACATCCAAGACTCACAGCCACAGAAGAGAATTAGTTTGGCTTCACTTAAGCTACTAGACTCCCAAACATCATGCTGACTTTCCATGCTTTAGATTCCTATCTGTCAGTATACAGCAGGGTTCCTCAGCTTCAATACTGTTTATATCTTGGTCTGGATAATTCTTTTTGTGGGAGACTGCTCTCTGCATTGAAGGATGTTTAGCAACATCCCTGACCTCTACCCACTAGATTCCATTAGCACAGCCCCCTCCTCCACTCCAGTTGTGTTGACCAAAAATATCTGTAGATATTGTTGTGATTGACAAAATTAATTCCAGCTGAGAACCACTGCTATGGAAGATATGGCCTGAGAAACAAGATTTGGTGACTGTCTATGGAGTTGTGTATTGCCCATGACAGATTATTACAAAATCTGAATCTTTTTCTGGCATGTAGCCTAAGCTTAGTATGCTATTTTTTTTTCACAAATGAATACATTAGTGGTGAATGCCTTTATGTGTGACTGTTTCTTAGAGTTCAGTTTGTATCGGTCTAATGTTGGAAATTGGAATAAATTAGATGAAGCAGAGTTCAGCCTGTGCATAAAAAAGAATTTTCTTCTGAGATAGTTTTTCTCCCTCTGGAAAAAAGCAATGGCCATACTACCATACTAATGTATGTTTATGATTTAGATCCTAAAGGTGCTTGTGATTGCACAGATAACTCTGTACTGCTCAAAAAAACCCAACTAGAAGAATATTCTAATTTTCTAACCTTGCCTCCCTAATAAAATCGAGTTGAGTCAAATGTAGTGAGACACCCTCATTTCACCTCTTCCTTGGGCCTTAGGAGGAACCAAGCCAGCCTTCTTTCTGATGGCATAGTGTGGGGAGTGGAGGTGGAATGACCATGACCATGAGAAGCTCTGAGGGACAGATGTAAGAGGAGGTCATGCAACACACACATGCACACAAAGGGCAGGTTTCTGGCAACACTATAGTTACTTTGCTTTAAATTGCATCTGTCATGAATCACATAAATCTTGTCATGGTGAAGTTCCCAAGCTCAACAGGTCTCCATTGGATCTTCCACAGTTGGGAAGGGAGGGCCAGCACAGCTATGCCCGTGCTCAAAGTGAGTTATTTACATCTAGTCACTGGGTAGGTCTGAGGGGTAACATGTCTGTACCTGTGAGAGTCTACTTTGGGGCTATAGGGCATGAAGGGAAAAGGGAAATGGCTCTTTCTATCTTTTTGTTGCTGTGGGTGAGTGAATTGGTGTGTATGAGACACATGCACAGAAACAAAGAGACACAGGGATAGCATTAAAGACATTTAAATTTCATTTTAAACCATGCTGGGAGGGCTACACAGAATTGAAGCAGGCTGTACAATATTAATGTTGACCCTTGGAAGTTGTTCCACATTAGCCTCCTCTGTCTGGTGAGTATAATTCCACAATCTATTCAGTAGTATTCTTAGATAAGGATACCACAGAATGCAGACATGCATTGGTTACCAAGGACCTCTTAGTAAAGCACCAAATTTCTAGTCCCTTTTTTATGTCTCTAAAATCTGCTGTAAACAAGTGGTTCTGTGAACTTGTTTTTATCTAGTATAAAGTTACAGTAAAATTACCTGTTGAAAACTTCTGTCGGCCACTCATTTTGGCAAACCTATATAGGTTTGTTCATTCAGTGAGGACTTTTAGAACATCTACTACATTTCAAGCATAGTTACAGGTACTGCAGATAGAGATAATAAGACAAAGTCCTTGCCCGCATCGAGCTTACATTCTCATGGAGGCAGCAGACAAAAATAGAAGTACTATGTTTTATCATAAAATTACTATATATAATTTCTGCAAAGCACAATAAGACAAAGATGGGTTAAGAAAGATTAGGTGCTATTTCAGACAGGGATGGCTGAAATGAGCTTAAAGTGTATGTATACTGTATAGTACCATATATGGTTAAAATAATTCAATTCCATCAAGAGCTGCATTGTTAAAGGCCAACAGATCACATGCAAACTGCAGCCTTGCATCATTTTGCCAAAAGTAGCTTGACTAAACAAGGATCCACCGATATTAGCAAAGCGTGTTTGATTCCATAGATACCAGAAAAAAGAATCCGATTAGACCCAGACATGCTGATGTAACTGGCCTTGTGCAGGCCTTTTGGTAATTAAGTCTGCTCAGTAGCCACTGTTGTAAAAAGTGCTGACAGTGTTAAATAGTTTTCCTTTTGCATGATAAAGCCAGCCTAGTTGCTGTTCCTGTACATTTGTTTTTGCGCCTAATGTATAACAAATATTAATTGAGATCCACATTTCGTTGTTATTCAGGAATGTAGGAATGATTGGTACATCTTAGTCTATAGTTAGAGAAGAATCACCATTAGTGTTACCCATCAGAGGAGTGTGTCCCACTAGATGCTTATTTAAGAGTTCTACACATTCTTAAATCTTAAATACACAAGACCACTCAATATGATTTAATGTAACCATTTCTCTTGGTTTACATTTTAAGATGCTTTTACATTTTAAGATAGGTTTTACCTTTTATGATACATTGTACATTGTAAGATATATTTGAGATTTCATCTACTGAATCAGAGCTCATCATCAAAACTTAATCTGGGAGAAAAAGTAAGAGGGAGTTAATGGAAATCAGTCATAAGAGGTAAATCCTCCAGTTTTAAGAAGAATGACAAACATAATTGTTCAAAACAACATTTTTAAAAACATCTAAACTGTACTACCATTCTTTTAAAAATATGTCCCTATTTCCATTCTGGAATAAACTAAATCAATTTGTTCTCAATACCATTACATATAAATTATGAAACCCATTTTCAAGGCCACCCTTATTCTAGGATCCTTTGGTTACAAGGTACAATAAGCAGAGGGCAGGATTTGTGTCCTAGTCGTGTCTTTTAGTAGCCTTCCTGGGACCTTTGGCAGCCTTTCTGGTCAGAATGACAACTGCTGGCCAGATGACTACATTTTCTTTATTCACCTTTCTCCCCTATTATACAAAGCCTGATTACTTTCTTTCTATAAATATTTCAATATTTTTATTTGATCCCTTTTTAACATTTCATAGATTAAAACTATTTTCTATTTTATTACTTATTTTAGAAAAAAGGTGAAAATGATTTTTATTGTCATAATTTGTATGCACTCTATTTGTGTTTTGGTTGCAAATTTCAATAAATCTGCTTAAAAAAAAAAAACCTAAATCATGAACACCACAAGTGGTTAACTTAATTTCAAGCAGTAGCAGCAGTAGATTGCCTATATGGAGGTTCTGGCTGAACTCTTCCTAAACTCAAGGAAAACAGGGCTTGTCACCCTCTGCCCAGTACCCTTCCCAGCCTAAAAAGGACATGGCAGGCTTTCTGCAGATTGAAACTGGGAAAGAAATTGTAAATAGAAAGCGCCTTATAAGTGCCCACAAAAAAAAAGGTGGAATCTTCTCTCTTTTTTCACTGGAAACCAGAGAAAGGAACCAGTCTTTGGTGAAAAGGATCTCTCAGACCTGTACCTCCCCTTACATTTCCCACACCCTCTTCCCCTCTTCCTAGGTAATAGCATTTCTAGGAAGAAGAGCCAGAAATGCCAGCTTTGATCACTCCTGTGCTCCCTTTCCTGAGCCCACACTCTGGGGTTGATCACTGTGTGACCCCTTCACTTGAAACTTTCTCTTCATAGGATGGTGATATAAGTAACAAAATTAGTCATCATTAGTTTTAAGTTCCATAGTAGTACATATTGGACTCAGAAAGTATACCATCCAATATTCTTTTCTTTTCTTTCTTTTTTTTTGGGGGGATGGAGTATCTCTCTGTTGCCCAGGATGGAGTGCAGTGGCGCCATCTTCGCTCACCGCAACCTCCATCTCCTGGGTTCAAGTGATTCTCTTGCCTCAGCCTCCCGAGTAGCTGGGATTGTAGGCGTGCACCACCACGCCCGGCTAATTTTTGTATTTTTAGTAGCAATGGGATTTCACCATGTTGGCCAGACTGGTCTCGAGCGCCTGACCTCAAGTGATCTGCCTGCCTCGGCCTCCCAAAGTGCTGGGATTATAGGTGTGAGCCACCGCGCCCAGCCCACTATTCTTTCTGAAAAAAAAAAAAAAAAAAAAAAACTGTTACTGTCTCCTCCAAATACAGGGTTTGTTTGTTTTTTCTCTCTCTCCCTTTTTTTTTTTTTTTTTGAGACAGTCTTGCTCTGTGGCCGTCTGGAGTGCAGTAGCAGTAGCACAATCTCAGCTCACTGTAGTCTCTGCCTCCTGGGTTTAAGTGATTCTCCTGCCTCAGCCTCCCAAGTAGACTACAGGCACCTGCCACCACACCCAGCTTTTATTTTTTATTTTTTATTTTTTTTGGTATTTTTAGTAGAGACAGGGTTTCACCATGTTGGCCAGGCTGGTCTTGAACTTCTGGCCTCAAGTGGTCCACCCGCCTTAGCCTCCCAAAGTGCTGAGATACAGGCATGAGCCACTGCACTAGGCCCAAATACCAGTATTTTGAATAATAAACTCAATATAGGGCACTATAAATTCTCTGAATTGTTCATTTGATTATACATACTCTGTTTAGTGCCAATGTTAAAAAAATTCTTGAAATAAGGTTCATAATGTAACAAAAGAATTGAAATAAAATTCCACATTTCAATTCAATACCATCTGAAAAGTGATGATGTCAAGAAGAAACGAAATAGTGGCCAAGCATAGACACTTTGTCTAGCACAGGCAAGAGACATTTATTGTTGATATCATGAGAAAATTAAGTTGAAACTTTTTTTAATTTCTAATGAAATCACCAGTAAGTTAGAAATGTGTGTGTTAAAAATCACTAGAGGAAACAAAGAGAACTTGATAAAGAAAACACATTTCCTACGTATCTTTCCAATCCCGTGACAATTGCTCCTGGCAATTTTAGAAGAGCAAGTTTCAATGCTTGTGTTTACTTTTTTCCCTTTATTCCATCAAGCCAAGGATGTTCTCTACATCAGGGGTCTCCAACCCCCGGGCTATGGACCAGTACCAGCCTGTGTCCTATTAGGAACTGGGCTACACAGCAGGAGGTGAGTGGAGGGTGAGGAAGCATTACTGCCTGAGCTTTGCCTCCTGTCAGATCAGGTGGCATTAGATTCCCATAGGAGGTGAACCTTGTTCTGAATTGCATATGAGAGGGATCTAGGTTGCGTGCTCCTTATAAGAACCTAACCAATGGCTGGTGATCTGAAGTGGAACAGTTTCATCCCCCTTCCACCACAGGTCCATGGAAAAATTGTCTTCCACAAAACCAGTCCCTGGTGCCAAAAAGGTTGAGGACCGCTGCCTTACGTAAGCAAAGGCTACCACCTGTGGTTTTGCCACAGTGGTTGTATTCCTTACACAGACATAAAGTGTTCCGGAAATGAGTACTGTCATTAGAGATTGCTTTGTATGAAAGTAAAATTAAGAATGGAGGTGAGAAAAAACACACAAGAGAAACTGGCAAAGCAGTGAGTGATGATATCAAACTGCTGGTGTGGACCCCAGCAGTTGTGGAGTACAAAGAGGGCCCTCCCAATGGACAGAGAAGGCATCCTTGTCTGGATGAGGCAAGATTTTATGTGGGCCTTAAGTGATTATTAAGATTTGGAAAGATGGGAAGAATAAGACACTCTGGAAGAATGAAACTTTGAAATAGTAAGAACATTTGGCTGGATTGGAGGAATTGAGATTGGACTGTGAATAAGATAGGAAAGAGTTCTTGTCAGATTGTGGAAAGCTTTGAATGCCATCATGAACCTGCAGAACAATCCCCTTCCTCCTGACTTCTCAGTGCTCAGGCACAACAAGAACAGAAAATATATATTTTTTGTACCCTTGAGGGCTTTTTGAGCTCTAAAATGTAGATGCGGTAGTTAAAAGTGAGAGGGTTCTAGAATCTGCCTGCCTGGGTTGAAATGCCGCCTGTGCAGTCTTGAGCAAGTTATTTAAGCTCATCTTTAAAATGGGGTAAAAAAATAGCATTTGTCTCATAGGGGTTATTTCAGCATTAAATGGGTTAATGCATGCATAATGTCTAGAACAGCACCTGGCACACAGTGTGCAATACATTTTAGATACAGTGATTATTCTATGAATTTGCTGGTCTGCCACCCCTCCTTGTCATCCCCTATGGAATTGATTTTCTGAAGTTTTAAGCAGGAGAATAACATAAAAGTGATGCACTAGAAAAACCAATCTGGTTGCAGAGCACAAGGTAGGTTGAGGAGAAGAAGAAAAGACCTTTTGTTGCAAAACAAGGAGAGGTTTCCCAATTCCAAAAAACTGTCAAAAACTGTCTTGACCAAATAGCTTTGTCAGTGCTTTTTTTTTTTCTATTCTACTTTTAATTATTTGTGAAGGCCATTAAAGATACAACGGAATACATAGTTTTCCATCTCCAGTCAGCTTTGCTCTAACAAGGGACGTGACAACCCATTCTAAGCATTTTCATACAGATATTTTTAAATGAGATCTTTTTCAGAATCTTCTCTTGCAAGCAGAAAAGCTTTTGCAAAAATCTTTAAGTGAGGAAAGGAATCCAGCACAGAAGTTTCTGACCACGCATCTGACAGGGATGCCCTCTGGACTAAAGTTCAATTTACTTTTTATGTAATTTCCAAAAGTACCGGGAATCTTTTTGTTCAGTGTCACTGGTTCTCAGGAGAACAAGGCAAATCATCTTCCCTGGTGAACCCGTCCTCCTCCCTTCCATTCGTATTTCCCCATGCATTTTCCTTCTCAGAATTATGCTGTGGGATCACCCCAGTGTAAAATCTCAGTGTTCCACCTGAAATACCATGATGGGAAAGAAGTTGTTGACTATGTTACTAAATTTCAGATAAGTGAGCACTTTTATTTCTATTTAAAGAATAATTCAACACATTGTTGAAATGAATTAGGATCTAATATTTGAGTAACCTGTGTGTATGGAGCCAAACATAGGGGAGTAGACAATGAGGTGAAATGAGCAGGAATAAACCCTATTTATCTGATTCTTATCCTCACTTACTATTGAAAGTCCTGCCGCTCCCTGCAAAATACTCTCTAATTATGTCTAGGGTGCCTTCTGGAGTGCCCGTATGCATCATTTACCTCATGGCATCTGTCACTTTATTCCTTTTTTTCTCCAGCATCATTTGGTGCTGATGATCTCCACTGCTGCCCCATATGAGGTGTAGGTGCCTCTACTACCTGGAAGCCTCCAATGGAGCAAAAGAGTGAAACAGTCTTGGAAACTTCAATAAGCCAAAGTTTCACTGTCTAGGGTATAGATGGAAGGAGAAGGTTGATCCTCTCCACCATGTGTTGCTCTTTGTAACACAGATCCCAAAATGGGTGTTTCCCTGCACCCCAGTGCCTATAATTATAGTTTCTAATTGAAAGCTGCTCTTTTTAATGTTTTAAAATTTGAAATTATCATCCCAGCCCAGGGGCTAGACTTGAAAACAAATTTTGAGTACCATATACTCAAATGCTAAAACACCATTTCTGAACCAAACCCAAGTGCAGAATTATCTCTTCTTCCAAAATGAGGTTCTCCCAGAAGTTCTCTTGGTCCTGCACATAAATAGATTCAGGGCAGAAATCTCAGGTGTTAGCACTGTTTGGGTTCAACCTGGGACTAAAATTTAATTACTTTTTTTTGCCTATTCTACCTTTATAGAAGTGCTATAACACAAGCTTTGACCATTCTTGTTCTCTTTTAGTTTTAAAGCAGTTATGTAGCATTACCAACTTTAAGTTTGGGACTATGGCTTTGGTGAAAGTATATTAGATTGAGGTGATTTTTGAAACTCCTTTCTATCCTGGGAAAGCTGTCTTCTCTTTATCTTAGGTCATTCGATTTTATTTTACTGAGAAAATTGCTGTGGAACAAAACTTTCAGGTGGGGCTTCCAACTAAACTTGGGAATCAGTTTATAATGATTCTTGTGTTTTATTTTATGTAATAAAATTAAGGAACAGTTGAACTTTTTGAAGCGTGGGCGCTCTTTGAGGTCAGGTCCAGTATTTTATTCATCTTCTTAATCCTGTGCTTAGGACGATGCCTAATGCAGAGAAGGAATTCAGTAAATGTTGGCTTCATTAATTACTCTACTGGGGACATTCATATTGGAAAACTAGAGAAGTTGGGTCAATAGGGTATGATCGATTTGAGTTAATCCATTCTTACAAAATGTTTATGAATCTCTCTGGCTGTTAAAAGGTTCTATATCCTTTAAGATTTATTTCCAATATCACTTCCTCTAAGAGACATTTTCCTTATTCCTCCCAGACTAAAAACATTTATTTCTTTTTTGAAAATATACTTTTCAAAAATAAAACGATGAAGTCTTTTGTCCTGTAGGAAATGTATTGAAGATATTTGCTCATGTGTAAAATGCAGATGAACCTTCACTTCTTGTTAGATTATATGGTCTTAGATGAATATAATGACCAGGTTTACAAGTCCACTCTATGTCCTGACTGTTTCTTGACCTGGTTTGGAAACTTTGTGTAAAGTGGCCATTTATCTCTTATTAATTCCAAAGATGACAGACACAGAAATTTATTGTCTAGTTAGTAGAAGCTGCATTCTCTGATTAGCTGCCTTGCCCTTTTTGAAGCTTTGATTTATTGGGGCGGAGCAAGCACTGGCTTTTGTATGTGCTGAAAGGAAACTAGGGTGAGGAATAATTTATAGTTCTCTCTTTGTGGCTGTAAAAAAAAAGGTTATTTTCATTATATTGCTATAGGAACTGTTCTAAAACAGAAGAAAGATACTGTAATAAGTAGAAACCCAAAGAATGACATTGAGCTACTGTTTCAGATAACTTAAAAACATTGTTAAAGTTATAGTTTGAAGCAGATGGGCCCTTCTGCTTCAAAATCTCTTATCTTAATTTTACAGAGAACAATGTCTTTTCCAGTCTGGCATCAGCTCTGTGCAGAGTAGCATTTCTGCAGCTCTCAGGCAAGTTACACTTGCCAAAACAAAGCATAGGTGGAAGGTAGCCGGGAAGAACTGGCTGGTAGCTTTTTTAGCTTGGGAAAGTGCTGCCAAAGAGGAATCCAAAATAGAGGTGCCAAGTATTCAATTGTCCACAAAAAAACAGTAGCAAACATTAGACATTATCACATTTGTTTGGGGTTTCCCAAACTTTTCTTTTCTCCTTTTTTATATTCCGATAAAGCCTTTATTTTGGTGAGGTGCTTTGCTATATGATCCCTCTGTTAAAAGGTTTTAGGAAAGCCCTACAGCTTGAGAGTATTTGCTGTAATAGGATAAACTCTGGATTTCCCCTTCTAAGCCAGTCAAGCCTTTTTTAATCATCACAGTGAGGGTGCAAGATTTTCCAATCTCATGGATAATTCCAAATTCAAACCCTGGCTCCTAGAGTCAAGAGTAAGTAGGATTTCAGGATCTTGTGTACAGAGTAAGATGAACAGTAGGGAATCGGTTCCTTTGGAGAGCATTGTAAGTGGAGAGCAGCAGCAGGGACAAATGACGGGAGGAAGGAAAGTTCTGGGTGTGTTCGTGGAATGGTAAATAATTTGGCTTACTAACAGCTGATATTTTTAGGCATTTCCAATATGCCAGGTATTAGCTGGCATTAATTAATTTATTTGTGGGAACATTATACAGAAGATACTTTAGTTATCACCAGTTTATATGTGAGGAAACTGATGAGGCTTAGAGAAATCCAATAACTTACCTAAGGTCATACAGCTAGAGAGAGGCAGAAATATTATGTGATTCCAGAATGGCTGAGTTCCGCATGAACTGTTAATCACAGTGCTATCTATAGCCTTCAGCTGGGACAGAGAAAGAGAAGAGGGCCTTTTTTTCAGAGGAGGAAAAAGCAGTAGAGAAGTGATAGATACTCTGGAAACTGTAGAGCACTCAGCCTCTTTTTCTAATAGTGTGCTGGACATCTCCATATGAACTTAGTATCTGCTGTTCAAATCCAACTGATCTAAAAACCAAGCTCATTATCTCTTCCTCCCCTTGAAGGTGGTATCCAGGTTATGGCGTCATCACCAGATGCTCAGGCACCCAGGCTAGAACCCTTGGAATCAAGGTACAGCCCCTCCTCATAATCCTCCTCCTCTGTGAGTCTCTCTCTGTCCTCTTATTCTAGTTTGACTGCTTCTGCTCTGCTTCCCACCCTCATATTCCTACCTGGCAACATTGTCACAACTACCAACTTACCAAAGTCCCTTTCTCCCTACATCCTCCTAGCCCCAATGCATCCTGCAGTTGCTGGCTAGAAAATTTTCCAAAACCAGGACTCTGATCATGTCACTCTCCTCCAAACTTCATAGCTCCCTCATACATGCAGGATTCTCTCCAGACCTCTCAGCCTGGCTTTCAAGGTCCTCCACAACTGAATCCTGCAACTGACTGAAAGTTTCTGTCCCCTTAAAATTCATGTATTGAAATCTGAACCCTCAATGAGATGGTATTAGGAGGTGGGACCTTTTGGAAGGCAAGTAAGTCATGACAGAAGAGCCCTTATGAATGAGATAAGAGACCTTATAAAAGAAACTCCAGTGAGCCCTCTTGTCTTCTTTCCCTCACATAAGGACATAACAAGAAGTCAGCAATCTGCAAACCAGGAAAGAGCCTGCACCAGAGCCCAACAACGATGCCACCCTGCTCTTGGACTTCCAGGCTCCAGAACTGTGAGAAATAAATTTCTATTGTTTGTAAGCCATGGAGTCCATGGTGCTTTATTATAGCAGCCTGAGCTGACTAAGACAGGTCCTAACCTATCTTTCTGGCCTTTTTGCCCACAATTCCTCACTGATGTTAACTTTCGGAGCATGCTAGCCAGACTCCCCTGAGGCCTCCCTCATGCTTTCTATTCTCCTCTTCACACCTTGTTAATGAAGTGCCCCTGCCTGAAACACCTCTGCCCAAACCCATCCCACTTCTTAAAACCTTTCCTCATTTTTTCAGGTCGAATGAGTTACTCCCCCAGGTCCCCCATAGCATTTGCTTATACCTCACATTCCCTGCATTATGTCACAGCCTTTTGGGTTGAAGACTTTCTCCCCAGTTACACTATAAGACTTTTATGATGAATGACCTGGTCTTATTCATTAGTGTGATGTCACTACTTAGTAGTAAGTCTACTGAAATGCATTTTGCTGAAATGAAGACACAATCACTTGGTCCTGAGTAGAGGCTACCTTTGAAAATGAACTTAATGGCCCCTTTCTTCTCTGAACCAGGAGATCATCCTTGATAAGAGACCATATCTTGAAGGAGTAGGTAGTTATGAAGCCACATGGAACAGGGTGGCTTAGAAACATATCCAGAGCTTTTTACTGCACAAAGCCCAAACTAGGCTAATTAACTGAAGTGAAGGAAGGAAGAAAGTTTACAGAGTTATGTACCTTGGCATATTCTTAACTATGTGGATATTTTTTCATAAAAAGGGGATCTTAAATCATTTTCTACTTTTCTTTGTGTGTGTGCAATCGGCATGGGGCAAATCTGACAGGATACTAGGATGCCACACAGAATAAAATCCATAGATATTATTTTTTAAATTATATATTGACAAATTGTATATATTTATAGGGTACAAAGTGATGTCATTTTTTAATATAATGTGCCATAATTAAATCAAGTGAAATAATATATCCATCATCTCAGCTCACTTTTTTTGTGATAAGAACATTTGAAATTTATTGTTTTAGTGATATTAAAATATACAGTACTGGGCCACGTGTGGTGGCTCATGCCTGTAATCCTAGGACTTTGGGAGGCCGAGGTGGGCAGATCACATGAGGTCAGGAGTTCAAGACCAGCCTGGTCAACATGGCGAACCCTCCTCTCTACTAAAAATACAAAAATTAGCCAGGCATGGTGGCTCACGCTTGCAATCCCTGCACTTTGGGAGGCCAAGATGGACAGATCAATTGAGCTCAGGAATTTGAGGCCAGCTGGCCAACATGATGAAACCCTGTCTCTACTAAAAGTACGAAATTTATTAGCCAGGCATGGTGGCACATGCATGTAATCCCAGCTACTTGGGAGACTGAGGCAGGAAAATCGCTTGAACCTAGGAGGCAGAGGTTGCAGTGAGCCGAGATCACACCACTGCACTCTAGCCTAGGCATCAGAGTGCAACTCCATCTCAAAAAAAAAGAAAAAAGAACTATACAGTACTCAATTATTAGCCATATTCACCATATTGTAGTATTGATCTAAAAAAAATCAAACTGATGATAGTCAAAGGGGACAAAGCCTCAGTTAGATGGGAGGAATAAGTTTAATTTCTTTTGAAATTAATTCCACAGATATTATAACCTACAGGCACACATAATGCACTAGCTACAACACAGAGGAGAAATGAAAGTAATTTATAATAAATACTCTCCACTTTAATATGGAAATGCTCAGTTTAGGACCACACTGGAAGACCTGGGGAGCAGTCTATGCCTACACCACACATGTGCAGCTGCACGTGCAGACTCACACAAGTGGGTGGTCTCAGTGACTCACTCTGGCGGCATCCCAGGGAAAGTGCCAATCCAAACAAAGTGAAATCTCCCCTCAATACATGGTAGCTGTAAATCTGGAAAATTCCATGTGTATTAAAATCATGCAAAAACATACTTTGTTTTTCTGCATAAAACGAAATTAGATTCTGGGCTCAGATAATTATAAAAACCTGTCTCACCTATAGGAATGTCTGACAAAACATCCAATATTTGTGAGGGATGTGGAACAATTCTTTGATGGGCAGTGCTGTGCTGTGCATTGTGGAAAATTTAGAATCCCTGGCTTCTCCCAAATGCCAATGGCACTCTCAAATATTACGACAACCAAAAGTAGTCCCATCAATTTCCAACATGGCCCCTAGTAGGCAAAATCATCCCCACTGAGAACCCCTGACCTAGGTGACTGGGTTTATGAGGAGGTAGACTCAAAAAATTTAAGTGAATCACCAAAGTTGACATTGCTAGGAAGTGGCAGGATCAGAACTATATGTGTAATTCACATCTGTTGACTCTCAATCCAGTGCTATTTTGTTAGGTATATTCACACACATGTAGCCATAAATGTATATGTTACATTTATATATAGATGCATACACGTATGATAAAATTTGTTTTATTGAGAAACTATCTAGTCAACATTTGACTACATCTGAATTTCATAAAAGCCTGTTCTGACATTTCAATTAAAATTAGTTCAGTCATACTGCTCAACTTAGGTGAAACAGATATGCAACACAGGCTAAAGGCAGGAAAATGTTGCATCTCCTAATTACTACAGACTCTTCCATTTCTATGTGGCTGGCTGGGTAATCAGACCACCTTTCCACTGAAGCAACCACTTTCTACTGAAAACAACTGCAGAGGTAGGGGAGTCCCCAAGACCACCCTCACTTCTGACACCAATTACAAGTTTGGGGTCCCCAAGATAGCCACAAACTTGAAACCTTGCTAGAAGGATTCACATAACTCACTGAAAGCTTTTATACTCACAGCTGTGATTTATTATAGCAGAAGGATACAGATTAAAATCTGCCAAGGCCAGAGACACACGGGGCAGAATCCACATATGGAGCTTCCATTGGCCCCTCCCAGCCAAGTCATGGACAGTGCCAACTTCTCCCAGCAAGGATGTGAGAAAATGTGCACAGAGTGTTGTCAACCAGGGATGCTCAACTGAGCCATGGCTTCCAGTTTTTACTGGGGCTCAGTTGCTTAGACCTGGCTGCCCGCCTTAAAACTGACCTTTAGTTTCCAGCCCTTCTAGAGCTCGAGCTGATACCATGTGACTCACAGCCCCAACTCAAAATCACATCATTAGGCTATTGGTGTGGACCAGGCTCTCAGGTACACAATGGCATTCATATTGGGCAGTACATTCCAAGGGCTTAGAGATCCTCTCCCAGGAGCCAAGAGCAAAGGGCAGATGGCTCTTGGTTAATAGAAGACCCATCTGCTCATAATGCTACTACCTCAAACTATAAGGGTAAGTCAGAAAAGAATTCACCTCATACCCTCCTCCAAGAGAGTGCAAGGATGTTTACCTTGGCACCAAGCAGTGACAGAAAGAGGGAAAGCTATCCCTGAGATATTACCACAAGCTAATCTTGACACAGATTTGCAACCTAGCCTCCCAGATTTGCAGTCCAATAAAACCACAGGTTGTAAATGTTGTTTAAATTGGCTTTGAAGTGGTAGTGCCTTCTAGCACTTGGCAGAAGTAAATTCCAGTCCTCTCTGGAGGAATATGCCTTTATCCTAGGCCTCGAAGAAGTCTCACAGTAAATTTTCTGAAAAAAAATGAGCAGCTTATAACAACCCAAGAGTAGGAACCAACAGAATAAAAGACAGCAAAAACAGACCTGCAAATACTTTGGATATCAGAACTATCAAAGAAATGATAAAATAACCAGGCTTCCTCTTTTTAAAGACATGTAAAACTCTAAATACTGCAAAAGACACTAAGAGAGCTTAGAAAAATGAATCTATAGAGTTTTCAAAGATTTGAGCCTCTTCACAAAACACAGGTAGACAATAAGTAGAAATTATTGTTTATAGAGCTGTGGATAAGCTAGGTTGGCTTTAGTCAAAAGTGCATTCTAATTTTTGTCCTTCTTGATTTAAAAAGTAGAGATCTTATGATAAATATTACTCAGTGCTATTTTAAAAAGAAGTGTAAATACAGCTGTTCCTCATTTACTATGCCTCACTAAAAAATAAAATTAATTGGGTCTACCATTTATTAGCTAGTTGCCATTGGACAAATTACTTAGTAACATTAGTCTAAGTTTTCTGTGAAATGAAGATAAGAATAGCATTGACTTCATTTTTAGTAAAATGAGGATGGGGATAGTATTGACTTCCTAGGAGTATTGTGAAGAGTAAACAAGATGATGCATGTCAAATGCCCAGCACACTTGGCTTATAGTAATTGATCAATATAATATGGCTTTTTTTTTTTTTGGAAAAAAAAAGGAAAATGTGATGTTTTAAAGATGACTAATTATGGGCAACTATTTGCTTGATAAAATTATACACTATGGTGTTCCTTTAAAATGAGGTATATTAACCCACATTGATTAAAACAATCTTTTACTCCTGGACAGAAAAGTCTGCCATGGAGGCAGAGAGGAGAGCCAGTGGGGCCCATTGTTTACAGGTGTTTACCTTGTCAGGTCATTATATTCTTCCAGTTCCATTTCCTTCTCATGTCTCGCTTTTCACTTCCCTTCAATTCTCATGTCTTTCCACTCAGTGAACATATAAACAGTTGGACAATCTTTAGCAAAATAACACTTAAAACATGTGAAAACTATTTTATTACCTCTTCTTTGTTGATCAAGTTGAATACATCAGCTCCTTTAAACTTTTTGCTTGGCCAGTTTTCCAAACCTTTAATCATCACTATTTTAGAACCTACGAGAGTTTTATCATATGCCATTTAAGTGTGGAGCCCAAGGAAGACATTCATTCAGTGATGGTCTGACTAATGCTGACTCATCTGGAAGGTGAGTGTCCTGCTCCTACTTATGTTTCCTAGGATAGTATTGTGCCCGATGTTATTCTTTCAGGGGTTGGCAACTGAAAGAATTTGGCCTGTAGGCCAAGTCCACCCACTGCCTGTTTTGGTAAATATTTGAGTGTTATTAGAACACAGCTACCTGTATTCATTTAAGTATTGTCTGTATCTACTTTTGTGCTGCAACTGCAGAATTCAGTAAGGTCTCTTGTGACAGAGACCTTACGACTCAGCAAAGCCTAAACTCTGGCCCTGTGATCACTGAGTGTCAACTTGATGGGACTGAAGGATACAAAGTATTGATCCTGTGTGCGTCTGTGGGGGTGTTGCCAAAGGAGATTAACAATTGAATCAGTGGGCTGGGGAAGGCAGACCCACCCTTAATCTGGTGGGCACCCTCTAGTCAGCTGCCAGCGAATATAAAGCAGGCAGAAAAACATGAAGAGGGAGACTGGCCTAGTCTCCCAGCCTACATCTTTCTCACATGCTGGATGCTTCCTGTCCTCGAACATCGGACTCCAAGTTCTTCAGTTTTGAGACTTGGACTGGCTCTCCTTGCTCCTCAAGCTTGCAGACAACCTATTGTGGGATCTTGTGACTGCGTACATTAATACTTAATAAACTTCCCTTTATATATTACATTTATACTATTAGGTTCTGTCCCTCTAGAGAACCCTGACCAATACAGGACCTTTGCAGAAAATGTTTGCCAACTCCTGCTTGAAAATGTTACTCTGCTCGTGAGCCATATTTACCCTGAATACCTTCTCTCCAGCCTCATCTGTCTCTCTCTCCTTGCTCTCATCTCTCTACCACCTCATATCTTTCTTCAATCTCTCTTGTCCACTACGCTGAAGCCACACCTGCCTCCTTTCAGTTCCAGGAAAACACCAAGACCTTTCTTGCCCAGGGACTCAGCACAGGCTATTCACTCTGTCTAGACAGCCCTCTCTGTCTGGAACAGTCTTCTTTCAAAAGCGGATTGCTTCTCATTGCTTTCCAGCTCATATCTCAGAGAGGTTTCCCTAACCACTCTACTCTGAATAGTTCTTTCTCTCACATATCAATTATTCTTTTCCACATTACTCTGCTTTTTCCCTTCAAAACACTTATCACAACTGGAAGTTTTTTATTTATTTCCTTGTTTAAGGCCCCTGTCCCCCCTTGTTCTGTGAGTTCCCCGAGTGAGAAACAATGTCTGTTTTGTTCACCACTCTATCCCCAGAGCAGAGCACATAATATGTGCTCAATAATAAATTGCTGAATAGATGAACAAATAAGAGGCAAATTTGCACGTATAATGACCTTCCTTTTATTTTGTAATTTGGATTTTCTCTTTAAATGTAAGTACTCCACTTTGATAATGTTTGTTATATTTTCTCTCCTTTGCTCCAAATTATCAAGGTCCTGTGGTATTTAAGGTTTTTTTTTCTCTCCTTCATGGTAATTTTTCTCCCAGTGTGATGCCATTTGCAAACTTAATGAATACTATTTGGTTATTTATGTGGTTAGGAGCAGAATGAGGAAGACAGGTTGTACTGACTGCTCTGTTACATTTGGGACATTTCAGTAATAGGAACACTGAATCTTCACAGAGAAAGCCTCAGCTCATTCCTGAATGAGATGCTGAAAATAATGTATTAGAATATTAATGAATACCTCATAAATTGTTTAATGTTGGTTTCTGGAATATTTGTACATTGATGCCAGTATACATTTTGATTTCTAGAAAAGCATTCCCATAAGCCAAAATTGATTATACTTACATGCTTTAATTACAAAAATTTTCTGCAGTAAATATCTCTTCACAGTAAAATGAGATACACTAGAGAAAATTGGAATTCTTAAGCAGTGTAACAATTATGGCTCTGATTAAACTCCGTCTCTGCTTTGCAGTGATGGTCCGGCCAAAATGAAAGTTTTTCTGTTGCTGGCTCCACTGTACACATCTCCTCACCTAACACCCATCAGAACAGCCCCCGAGGCAAAATCCAACAGCTCCTTAACAACTCAAGAACACTATACAGAACTTAGAAAACGTAGTTAGGGCCAGTAATTCTCAGAGTGTGGTTCCCAGACCAGTAGCAGCATCACTGGGAACTTGTTATAAATGCTAATTCCTGGGCCCCACCCCACCCTACTGAATTAGGAACTTGGTGGGCTGTGTTAGAGAAAAGCTGTACCATGACCCTTGTTAAAGATGGTAAGACAGACATTATTCAAAGGAAGGTACTACAACAGGGTTTTGTAATAGGAGAGAGATTGGGCTCAACTCCGAATACAATAAGGATGAGTGGGAATTTATAGCTGTATTAGTCAGGGTTCTCTAGAGAGACAGGACTAATAGCATAGATGTATATATGAAAAGGAGTTTATTAAGGAGTATTGACTCACACAATCACAAGGTGAAGTCCCACAATGGGACGTCTGCAAAAAGGAGCAAGGAAGTCCCAAAACCTCAAAAGTAGGGAAGCTGACACTGCAGCCTTCAGTCTGTGGCTGAAGGCCTGAGAGCCCCTGGAAAACCACTGATGTAGGTCCAAGAGTCCAAAAGCTGAAGAACTTGGAGTCCAATGTTCAAGGGCAGGAAGCATCTAGCATGGGAGAAAGATGGAGGCCAGAAGACTCAGCCAGTCTAGTCCTTCCACGTTCCTCTGCCTGCTTTTCTTCTAGCGGTGCTGGCAGCTGATTAGATGGTGCTCACCCAGATAAAGGGTGGGTCTGCATCTCTCAGTTCATTGACTCAAATGTTTATCTCCTTTGGCAATACCCTCACAGATACACTCAGGAACAATACTTTGTATCCTTCAATCCAATCAAGTTGACATTCAATATTAACCATCACAGTAGCTAAGGAGCAGGAAGGGATCAGAGGATGGGAACTTACTTGAGGAAACATCACGAATAGGGGAAATTCTGGCTAAAGGGACCTAAGAGGATTCTTGCAGAAGGCAGGCCAGGGTGATCAGACATCACCTAGGCGATGGTGGATGATCAGATATTCAGGGTAATTGTATCTGGAGGGTGGAGAATTCTAGTTAAACTGATTTAGTAGGATTCTTGCTAACATGGACAATGCAGAAACAAACACAGAAGCTTAAAAGCCAGGGTCTCATTGAGAAGAGAGTTCAGAGGAGGCTGACTGGAATTTGGTGAAACAGAGAATCTTTGTCAGGTGCTGGAGAGGCAAGGAGAAAGGAAGTCAGCGATCTGTGTTGTAACAAGCCCACCAGAAGAATCTAATACAGGTGAACTACTGAAGTAGGCAGAAAAAATTTATTCCAGGTGGTGTTTAGGTAGAAAATCTGTGTTTTAACTCACTTATGTAAAACACAGAGGTCCCCTAGCTACGTATGCTAAGGAGTGAAGCTTTCCAACTGGGTCCATTCTCTTCTGATACCTACTAAGGCATTGTTTCTGGGATGAGTCTCCAAAAGTCAGCAAATTTCTTCTCTGGTCTGGAGGGCTTTTCTTCAGGTAGGTTTTACACACACTTCTCCTGACTCAGATGTGAGTAATAATTGGGCCAGGACCTTTCTTCTCTGCAGTCTACATTACACACTTACTTGCCAGAACTTTGACTTTCCCCACTTTTTTTTTCATTAAAATTGACCTTGGACTCTCCCTTGTTAGACTTGCTCTACCTTGCGGGCTGAAATGGAAAAGAGATTTTTACATCTGAGTAGTCATTCATTAACTTGAGCATGCAGGATCACTGGATGCCTGTTAAAACAATTGCTGACCTCCCTTGATCACCACCAAGTTTTTTGATTCAGTAGGTCTGGAGTAGGTTCAAGGATCTGTATTTGCATAAATTCCCAGGTGATGCTGATGTTGCTGGTCTGGGGACCACAGTTTGAGAACTACTGTTATGGAAGAGTGAAAATTAATTTAATTCACCAAACAGTACTCAAAGTTTTTAAAACAAATGTGTGTTTACTAGGTATGTTAGTCCGTTCTCATGCTGCTAATAAGGCCATACCGAAGACTGGGTAATTTATAAAGTAAAGAGGTTTAATTGACTCACAGTTCCACCTGGCTGGGGAGGACTTGGGAAACTACAATCATGGCAGAAGGGGAAGCAAACATGTCCTTCTGTCCTTCTTCACATGGTGGCAGCAAGGAGAAGTGCTGAGCGAAGAGTGGGGAAAGCCCCTTATAAAACTGTCAGATCTCATAGGAACACACTCAGGATCATGAGAACAGCATGGTGGTAACTGCCCCCATGATTCAATTACCTCCCACTGGGTCCCTCCCATGTCACAGGGATTATGAGAACTATTGTTCAAAATGAGATTTGGGTGGGGACACAGCCAGATCATATCTCTGGGTACTTGTCCAAAGCATATCCTAACTGGGAGGATTTTAATTTTTTAATGCTTTTTTTTTCAACTTCATATTAGCCAATATGGTAAGGAGCTGATGGTATGCTACAATTCACAGGCCCCAGGTACAGAAAGCTGTACCTGAGAGATTGGATATCTCTTTCCAATTCTGTTCAGCGACATCATGTTTGTAGCTTGAAATCATCCATGGCAGCAGTATCTATATCATGGAAATCAGGCAAGCATTATAGATCAGGGTTTCTCTCCCACTCTCCCAAACTGATTGTTTAACATTTACCAGCACACTACTGGGAAGAACCATAAATAATGAGCATACAGGGTAAGATCTGAAATTTCCTTGCAGTAGTATAGACGTGAATTAGACAAGGGTTGGGAAATGAAATTTGTAAATGTATATGTCTTCCAAAAAAATGTGAAAAGGAATGATGAGGTCAAAAAGGTATTTAGCAATTGCTTAGGGTAAGTTGAGAGGCCAGAAAAGTGTACTCTTTAAGTGATGGGCTTTGGAGTTAGATACACCTGGGATGGAGTCTGACTCCATCGCTTATTGTCACTTATTGTATGTGATCTTGAGTAGGGTGCCTGACCTCTCCTGATTTTAATTTCCTCATTTGTAAAATAGAAATAATGTGTTGTTATGAGGCTTACATAAGACAAGTATTTTTAAATCTGGCATGATGCCAAACATACTTGTTACCTTAATTCAGGCAATGTTAATTATTATTACTATTTTTAAAAATTAAGTATAGAGGTTGCCAACATTCTGTAAACAAATATTTACTCAGCACCTTTTATGCACCCAATACTCTGTAGACACCATTACTAAGTTGTGGTTACTACAGTCCAGGAGTTTACAATGTAATGATGCCATCACATTTTCTATCAGCCTGCAATAAAAGAGAACTGAAATGTATTTGTTTAGGTGTGTATGCTAACTTTGAAGTATAAATATTGACAGAAAAGGAAATAGACCCAAAAGAATTAATAGGATTATAAACTAAAAGGAACAGAGGCTATGAAATATAATGTGAAACGATTGCTCTTTCTGATCATGCTTTGGCAATAACAAAAAATTTCTCAGGCACTAGGATACTTTGCAAAGAATACATAGAGGATTAAAAAATCTCATTTGAACAAGAGAAAATGTTAACATATGATTTAAAATGATTAAAAGCAAGAACGTTTTGTCACTTTTCAGTATAATATAGAATAGTGCAACATACAATATGAAATGGAGAATATTAATTGGCTTACACAATTAAAGCACTATTTGAAATATAATTCTATAACAAGGGGACTATTCATTTGGTTTTTCATGATTCCTACCAAAACATTTACTGAAATTTTTATGTATCTAGAGTTGACAATGGAGGATTTTTAACTTATACTTTTATAAAGATATAAAAATAATTCATTCAGAATCAATTTACTCCCTGTATAGAGAGTAATATATATTGCTATACCTTTTTAAAAATGTAAATATATATGATACCTACATATGCTATTGAATGGAGTTCTGATGTCAATATCATGTTCTTTTTCATTAAACATTGGACAATCATTCTTATGCAGATATCCAAGGGAAGGGTCTCTGTTTTGGATTCCTCCTCTCCACGTGTTGTCCAAATTCAGCTTGTTTTCTTTCCCATTTACATCCTGTGATCACTTCTTGTCTCACTTGATTCTGGCAGAAGAGGGTAGGCTTGTGTTAAAACCACCTAGATTTTGTCACATATATGCTATGTGATTTTGGGCAACTTGTTTGAACCTCAATTTCATCTTCTGTGTGATGGCTAAAATAATAGTTCAATTTTATAGGGTTGGTTGTGGAAATTAAGACAACACATGTAAAATACTTTGCATTCTGCCCAACACATGGTAAACACTCATTAAATAGTGGTGGGTTTTGTTTTCTCTTTCCTTTCAGGGTTCTTCTACTAGTTACAACTTGTTTTCAGTCAATGAATATGCAAATGAAAACTGTTCATTGTAAGCATAGTGTTTATAGAGGTTCTTCCTTCACTATGCTTTGCAAAATGCTGGCTGCCTGCCTTACTAGAAAACTATAACTTGAAAATTTGTCTCTTGCTGTTGTTAAACTCTATTTTGTAGCTTTCTGTCTAATCTGAGTATTCTCTGGCTGGGTATTATGGCCTGTCCTGGATTCTCCATTTAGATGGTAGGAGTTTTTTCTTGCTAAGAAATTTCTCTTCCTTTGGGCCTTACATAATAATGGACGTCCTCTGGGCATGGTGGCTCATGCCTGTAATCCTAGCACTTTGGGAGGCTGAGGAGGGAGGATTGCTTGAGCCCAGGAGTTTGAGACCAGCCTGGGCTATAGCAAGACCTCTCCTCAACAACAAATAAAAAATAAAAAAATAAAAAAATAGATGCCCATTGCAGAACATAGGTTCTAACACTTCCTGAATAACCACATTAAATATCCTCTCTGTATTCCAGAAGCACTAGGGGAAAGAAATGGATCCAAAGGCTTTAAAAACTAAAATATATATTCCTAGTTGCAGAAGTATTTAATGGAGATGAGGCTTGGGGTGGATGGAGGCAAAGAAATTTAAGTCAAAGCAACAAAAATTGAAGTGGAAAAGAAAAGTTTAGATAATGTCAAGAAGAAGAGAAGACAGAGAAGTTCAAGCAACAATAAAGGCCTCATCCCCAGAGTGCACAAGGGACAGAGAAAAGTGGGCAGTGATTTAAAGAGAGAAAAAGAAAAAATGAAGATGGTGTCAGGAATGGTTTCAAAAGAAAGAAATACAGAGGATTTGGGGGTCTGAAGGAAACAAAGGAATGAGCTGTAGATGTCAGGCCCTTTGACTGAGGTACAGACAGAATGTGGCTCCTTGTCCTTATGAGGGGACAGTTTTAAAAAACTACATATATACTTTCTCTTTTGCAGTTCCTCCCACTGTTCTGGAGAACATTCTTTGCCTTGGGGATGCTGAAGATTGTTATAGCAGAAATACAAAGTGGGAGGGGGTGTGTGTTGAGGCAAGGGTTGGGGAGAACAAGATAAAAAGAAAAGCAACAGACTTAAAATTAGCTCCTGAAATCCAAAATAAGATTTTGCAAGAAGACACAGCTCTTAAAAACCAGACTTTTTTTTAAGGCAAAGAAATTCTCTGATTCTTGTATTTATCACTCATGTGTTAAGGCCTAATGGACCTTGACCATCAAGATACATTTGATTGAAGTCCCAGAATGGAAGAAGGGTTTGAGTTGAGCTCCTATAAGAAATCCTGGGTCATGTGTGACCAAATGGGACAGAGAAATTTCTACCTGCTCCTAAGGAGGGATACAAGGGGCATGGTCAGGTTGTATCACTGGTGTGGGCAGAACTGACCCTGTGGCCAAAGACAGAGGGGGACAATCTGGACCAGGAATTGAATGGCCAATATTAACAGACCTCTGAGGTTCTGCGGATTGACAGGAGCCAGGGCAGACCTGTCTCAGCAGCTGGGCCCTAGCCTGACAAGATGAGAGACAACAGCTGGCAAGTGTACCAGACCCCTTCACAGCCACGAAACAAGTCAGGATGGTTGCCCAAACCTTAGGCTGCTTTCTGAGTGACGAGAAAAAGAATGGTGGCTGAGAAGAATGGCCAAGGCAGTAGAGCAAAATTCTTTGTAATAATATGTTTTGTAAAGACCAGAGGTGAAATTAACTGGTAGGTGTTTGTTTTACCAAAATCAGTTTTCCAGATTTTTACGGTGTATCGGTCCGTTATCACATTGCTATAAAGAACTACCTGAGACTGGGTAGTTTATAAAGAAGACAGGTTTCATTGACTCACGGTTCCACAAACTCTACAGGAGACATGGCTGGGGAGGCCTCAGGAAACTTACAATCATGGAAAGAAGGGTGAAGGGGAAGCAAGCACGTCTTCATACGGTGACAGGAGAGAGAGAGAGAAAGAGAGAAAGAGAGAGAGAGCAAGAGTGAGCAAAGGGGGAAGTGTTACACACGTTCAAACAACCAGATCTTATGAGAACTCTATCATAAGACAGCACTAGGGGGATGGCACTAAACCATTAGAAATCACCCCAATGATCCAATCACCTTCCACCAGGCCCCACCTCCAATACCTGGGATCACAATTGAACATGAAATTTGGGTGGGGACACTGAGCCAAACCATATTATACAGGAATTGTGCTTCAGTGATAAATATGTGAAAATACAGAGTGCATGATAGGTCAGATCCAGCCAGTGTAGCACAAAAAAAAAAAAAGAGTTAATTTCAGAGTACATGATAAGAGGGAGTTATACAGCTTATCTGTAACATGCAGATCAAGAAAAGGCATTGACTATTTAAAGCAAGACATATTAATGTATTTGTCTCTTTATAACCAGGCAAAGATGTGGCATGGCATCACTTAAGCATACGGGTATTTGAGAACCATGAATCCAAACCCCATCCCACCTCATTCCACCTGCACGCTAGAGCAGCATTGCCATGATGAGAACATTGCTGGGGGAAAATGTAAGTGATGGGGGAAATCCATTAAGCAAGGCCACTCATGGAACGTTTACTGGGGATTCTTCTGAAAAACATGTTTACATCAAATCTGAAGGTGAAGAGAGAGGAACAAGAAAAGGGGAGAGCAACGTGAAGATGGAATAAGCCAGAGCGTATGTAGACATGTTCGTGGTGAAAGCAAGAGAAGGGTTGGCTTAACAACCATCCTGCCCAGTTCAGTTTTATCTGCTAATGAGAAGAAAAATGAGCATCAGTGAAGGAGAGGAAATTTATTCACACATGGGATCTCTCTGTGTTCTTCTTTGAGGGGCACAAGAGCTCTGGGGCTTTGATTGATCCGTCTGCTAGAACTGCCTAAAAAAACAAAAAAAAAAATGGAAAGAACTGAAAAGAAGAAAAAACACAACAGGAACCGCTGAGTCTGTGAATTACTTGATGCCCTGGGCAGAGATGGGCACCTTGCTGCTTCTGGTCACTGCAGGGCTGTTGGAATTCAACAGTCATCAGCTGTTTCCTGTTCACTGGACTGGATACAAGACAGATTCAGGAAAGGGTTAGCTGCCCACCCAATCTAAGACTCTTGGAGGCGAACACTCAGCTCATCTGGGCAGTAACTTTCCATGAGGGCAGCTGGAGTTTATTTGGTTTTATTTGCTTTTTCACCAAATATATTTTGTGGGCCATATTTCTAGGAGGGATGGGATTTGGTGGATACCCAAGCACAACATATATTTATTTTGTGTTAAACTAGAATAATGTGTTATACAAAGAGGTATTAAACTATAATAAAAATGGCCTTGATTTAACTTTTAAGCCAAACATTTGCAATTTGAAGTAACTAGTAGTTAGGAGAATGACATCTGGTACTTTTGCAGGCATGTTTCAAGAAAATTTATATTCTATGAATCTAAACTTATATTAATGTCAATTTATTCATTGACTTTTAATGAACTTTGTTAGCCCAGTTACAAATAGTAGCCTTCTCTCACCTTGCTAATTGAAAAAGGGAGGCAGAAAGAGGGTAAATTACCTCCTCTGGACTAGTGGCTTAGTGGCACAATTAGGATAGGAACACAGAGACACTGATCTGATCGCAGGGATCTGACATTTGCGGCACAGCAGAAGCTATGTTGCAATTTCCAACTCCTGTTTGCTGTAATTGATTCCTGGAGAAATCTGTGACTTTAAGGACATGATGTTGCTTTCATGAATAATATTTACCAGATTATTTATTCATGAGTTATAGATTATTTACAGACCATAATTGTGAATACAGCCATTGGAGCTGATCATGCCATGGTGATTAGGATTACATTAACATGTGGGATGATGGAATAAAAGCAAGCAATTTTATCAACAGAAGAGGATGCCAAAGCTGAACTGATCATACGGATAGCTTCTAAAAATTAGAGGATTTGCCAGTCCTCTACTATAGGCCTTCGAATATATTAGGGAAGCCTGAGAACACAGACAGGGAGGGGCATAAAATAGAGCTGCCTACAGAGAGAACTGAGTTCTCATTTGGAACAGGAATAACTGACTGTATTATGAGCTAGAGGATTTGCAAGAGAAGCTTGCATGTGGATATTCATATTCAAATGCTTCACCGTGCATTTAAGTATTACATTGAATCCTTTACATTACATCAAAGGCCTTTACTTTCTTATCTTATCCACCTATAGAGAAAACATACATGCATTATCAACTCAATGGTTATTTCATCTTACTGTAACACATAAAGAAATTTATTGGCAAAACACCTCACAAGGATGTTCTGTTAGAAAAATGAAGGCCATCAGTGCTGGAGTCTCCAGGTAGTGCTTCTTTCTTCTCTTTTGTTCTATAGAATTGCACTGGTTTGTACTCTCTAACTTTCAGCAAAAAGCAACTTCGTAAATGGTGCACTCAAGTGCTCTGATGAAGTTATAACTGATAAAGGCACTGAGACAAAGATGCTGCAGTGAAAAATGGGGCACGTCAAAGAAAACTGATTCGTAATCACAAAATGCAGACAAGGAAGAATAAAGTGGTGTGTGTATTGCACGCTGTCAGTTGCCCACTTCCAGGTTTGTCCACAGCCTGAGGGCACTATGTCTTGTCAGAAGTGCTTGTGGATGCTAATCTGTCAACACTTGTTCAATGTCAAATTGTATCAGAGAGTTCAGTCTCCTTTTGGACTTCAGTAGTCATCTCTCAGCTCTATTACATCTCCTTTGGTTAAATGAACTTTCATTTTAAAACTGTCAGGCTTTTTTCATCCGTCTCTTTCCCCATAGAACTGGGAATATGGGCTGGATCTTAAAGCCATATATACTGTTTCTTTCTTTTAGCAATGACCTGATACAGATCTTTAATAGAAAATTCCCATCACCTCCCAGAATACACGTGACCCAGCACACTCTTTCCCCAACTTCTATGCCCCTTCATCTAATAGTACTCCCTGGTAGGGTCAAAGATTTTTGTCTTCAGTCGTGAAAGCCAATTGCTTTACCCTTTTCTGTTGTGTTTCTTTACAACCACCACTCTCTTGCAGGGGTGCCCTTTTCCTCTTTCCCGCTACCATTTCCTTTTTTCTTTCTCAGCAAATTAAACCCCTTCTTTAAGATTCATTATCTCACAGCCATTTCTAATTTATTACTACCTGAGACTTTCTTTCCAGACATTATTTTATATGAAATAAACTGCAAATCCTCTCATGACAAAATGCCTAGAAATTCTATATGAACAAATTTTTAAACCTTTCCTTTAAATGCATAGATGAGTCGATAAAACATAATCTCCATGGAGAAAGTGAATAGAAAGTCACATCTGACACCGTAGCAGTTACTGCTATGTGTGTGTGTGTGAGTGTGTGTGTGTGTGTGTATGTGTGTGTTAGGTGGGGGTGGGTGCCAGTAGTCATGAGAAGATAGGGCTATAGACTGTAACACCATGGAGCAACAGATGATGAGATGTGGGGACTGCAAGAGATAGGAATTGGAACTGAGATATATGCATAAAGCTGGGACTCTTGAAGGGCAACACTTTGTAAAAGAGTGACTAGAAAATAAATATGTTCACCCATGCAAGGAAGCCATGTGGCAGCTTTTCTAGCTAAGACTGGTTGCTTGGGAACAAAGTCTCCCCTGGAGAACTTTATAATCACAGGCTTGTCATCTCATGGTTTGTGATTCAAATATATACTATTCTTTATGTTTCATGAACCCACAAGCTGAGAGACAAGATGAGAAGTTGTCACAGGTCAGTGAAACCCATGGATACCTGGGAAAAGCAAACACACAGCCTAGGCCAAAGTGGTTTCCCACAGAATAAGATCCTCTAAAGATGAGTTCACAATCTAAAATTACAAAATAGTCAAGGAAATAATTTACCTTGAACCAGAATCAGTAAAGACAATAATAAATATCAAGCTCATGAGCCTAAGAATTCAGATGTTACATTTATCTGTTAGACTTTAAAAAGGTATATTAAAATGGTGAAAAGAAATATACTATCAAAGAGGCCAAATATGACTTCCAGAAATTGAAAATGTAAACACTAAAGTAAGAACTGAGTGAGCATTTTAAACAGGATATTGGACACAACTGAAGAGTAAATTCATAAACTGGAAGATAGATCTGAAGAAAACTGTTTGTAATGGGATGCAGATAACATTACGAATGACATAAACATTACGAATGACATACTCTATCTTTTGCATTGTGTTATGTGCCATGTACAGAGATTAAAATCTAGTCCCAAACTTACACTTCCAAAAATTGCCTAATGTTGTGTAACCACCTTCTCAATGATCAGAAGCTCCTGAAGAGAGGCAACTAAAATGTATTTAGTGTATCAATCAAGTTCTCACTCCAAGTTCTGCAATATAAGTACCAAACAGTAAAGTTAACAATCCTGAGAAAAAGGAAAGAGAAAAGATGGGCATTGTATCTAGGTATATGACTATATACATAACACAACAAGGAAGAAATGATGGGTAGATGCCATAATTCTTACTTCTGCAATGGCATGAGCCATGGTTGACATTTCCTTCAGTTAGCACCTCAGACTGTTGACTTTCTCAATGAAGCCTTCATTTCTGAGGAATATGAACTCTTGATGTCCAGTTTGTTTTGGATTGCAAGACCCTTGCATTAATCTTTGCCTCTTGACTTAATAGAGGCACCCCAGATCAGCTGGATTTTAGCCAAAGTCTTCCTGCCCCAAATGTGCAGCAGTTATTCTGTTTCTCCTAGACAACCAGGATCAAACACCACTTTTTTGTTTTATCTGGTGTCCTCAAGAGACTAACTGAGCAGATGGCAGTTGCCACTTTCAGTTTAGTGGTATTATTGTTAAACCCTTTGATGGCAGCGTTTCTCCCTTGGATATGAAAAACTCAAGTCAGTAGAGTAAAAAGTAATGGAGATTGGGAGTAAATATTTTATAAATGAGTCATGAGTTGTAGCTATAAAAAAGGCCAACCCTACTCACCCCTTCAGTGTTGGAATTCTTGTTTTCTAGCCAGTAATTGATTGCTCTTCAGAGCATTTACCAAATTCCACAGGAGAGAATTTCAAGCTTGCAAAGTGTTAGATACTGGCTGATATAGTAACTGAGTCTTTAATAGGCAATTCCAGCTACATATGGGTAATGAGAAAGCAGACGTGACCAATGAATTTTTATAACATTTCTTTATTTCTTTTTATAGTTAAAAGGACTTTCTTGGCCAGAAGTAATGTTGTGTGATACTCCATGGGATGAAAAAGCCATCTAGTAAGTCTATGGTAGGTGCTACTTGAGGAGATTATGAGACATGGAAGGCATACCCAAATCCAGAATAAATGTCTGTTCCAAGGATGTAGCAGGATTCAGTGTAATGAATCTGTGACAGGTGAATTCCTGGTTCAATTAGAGTATTCTTCCTTACTGGAGGAGTCAGGGTCAGTAACTTGTTGGCAGACTTGGCACCTGACTCTGACAGAAACTTAGTCAACCATAGTAAGAGTAGGTCTTTGTTGATGACCTTGTGTATAACCTCTGTCCTTGTCAATATGGATGATTTTAGAACCCACTGAACAAAAATGGGTTGGCTGGAGAAAGAGGCTAACTAATACCACAGGTTAGCTGAGCTTCACCTGACAACTAAGAACCTTCTCTGCAGTGGAGACATTATAATGAGCATCTCTATGAGACACAGATATTTTTCTTGTCATCAATCCTCTGATCCTGTTTCTTTTAAGAGCTTGATGATCTCTTAAATCTAATCAATCTGCCCTTCTCCTAGCCAATGTGGACAAAGAAATGTACTTGAAGTTCTGCCTACTGGAAAAAATTCTCTCTTCCACTTCTCTTCCTGAGTGCGCTCTAATATCATGGAGGTCTGTCTCTGCCTATTGTCAGCCACAGGTTTCTCTTTTATATCACTGCATCATAGGGAACTTTCCACACAGCAATGTGGGCCCATGAAGTAAGCTGAGGGGAAGATGGCAGCATGGGAGATTCAGGCCTGCTAGAAGAGTAGGTAACATTCTTATTCAACATTTTTTTTTTTTAGGATCTGTCTAAGGCTGGTCTCTAATACACTAACTTCTCCTTGACTATGGAATGTATTGTTTGCAGTCAGTTTAGGGCTAGGTAGATCTGGTAACACCAAGTTTATAATGGTCAACTGAGTCCCTTATCATCAGGTATACCATGGTTAGCAGGGCCCAGTGGCAATCAAACTACTGTTTTCCAAAAGAATGACAGCTACATACCAAAGAGGATGCGGTTTTCTGTCAGATTCTTAGGAGACTTCATTGTGATTCTTCTAATGGGAATTTCTCCAGCCTTCATATATTATCTTAATATGCCCAAGGCATTTAATTTGCCATAGCATTGGCTGAGTCATGGGGATCAAGGTGCAGAGAGCTGTTTGCAGTGTAGCTAGGACAAGATGAAGACTCTTCTCTTGCTCTGGGCCTTACTCAAATTAGGCAAAGTTTCAGGTCACCAAATAAACAAGTTACCTTGTAAATATAGCTTGTGTTACTTCAAAAATGCAAAGATCCCACCAAGAATTGTATTACAAAATATTGCAACTTATTTTTTATTCTGGAAGGAATATGCTGAGCCAGTCTACTGGTCTGCCAAAAACTTTACTGAGCTTTCAGATTTTTATAATTTTGTGGAGGACACCTTCCATCTTCTGATGAGCCTGGCTTCTAGGCAACCAGCTTCTTTTTGCTCTTCAGGTTGTATTATTACCAACAATGTGATGGACCAGGGAGATATCTTGTGGAATGGGAAATAGTCAGATCCCTGAGAAGTAAATTGTGGCATAGCACTGAGGAGTTGCCGTGTCCTAACACAGAATAACAAAGATGTACAGCAGGTCCTTGAATAACATCTCTTTATTCAATGTTGTTTCATTATAAATAAACCTGATGAGAAAAAGAAGAATTGATTCTTCGCTGGGGCCTCTGTCTGTATGAAGTCTCCATGTTCTCCCCATTCTGTGTGGAGTTTCTCCAGGTACTCTAATTTCCTCCCATATCCCAAAGATGTATACATTATGTTAATTGGTATATCTTCTAAATGGTCTCAGTCTGAGTAAGTGTGGGGGTATGTGTGAGTGCACTCTGCAGTGGAATAGTGTTGGTGCCAATCTCGTGCCCTGACAGGTTCCATCCACTGGCAACCCTGAACTGGAGTAAGTGGGTTGGGAAATGAATGAATAATGAATTCTGTTATTGTCCAATAAAAATTCATAAAGTGTACAGTAATCATCCAAATGCATGACAATAAATGATGCCAGATGAAAGAGCTCAGTGAGCCTGTCATAGTTGTTATTGTGTGATTTTGAACTGTGTGGTGGTAGGAGGTGCTCTTTTCAATTTTTGACTTGCAAACACTTATTCCTTGATTTAACCCATCACTAGGACTGCTGTTACTCACCAGTTCACCAAAACCAGTAAACAATTATCTGGGTAAATAATTACCTTACTTGCTTCTATTAATCTTTCTTAAATGTATGTTTAGCTCACATTTATTTCAAATGTTAATACTATAACTGTTTTGAGCCTTTAGAAGTTTAGTGATGGTTTTGTGACCAAAAATATGCTGTAGGAACTTAGCTCTTGTTTATGTCAATTAGCCTATGATAAAATTGGTTTCAGAGCATGTCGTCTTGCATAAAGTCACAGTTTCCAATAACTTATTGACAACATTAAAGGATGACTTACTGTACTAATCTCTTTTTCCAGGGAAGCTATTGGTTTCTGGTATTTTTTGCTTGTTGGGATTGAAAAAAAGTCACCGGATCTATAACTGGTTATTAGGTATCCATGGTTGTATTAATTTAGTCCATTAAAAATATTACATCTGGAACAGTAGCTTTTATTGGAGTCACCAACTAACTCAGGTTATGAAAATTCACTATTGCTCTCTCAAAATCAATCATGTTTTGCATTAACTAAACTAGAGAATTACACTGAGCATTTTATAATTACCACTCTGCATTTTCCAGCCTTCCATGGTAGCAATAATCTCTGCACTTCTCCTAGGGGTGTAGTATTGTTCTTGACTTACTATTCTGTATGGAAAGAGAGATAGCCTCTGCATGTCCATATTTTTCTATAGCTCTTACTCTGTGAGTTGGGAATCTAATGTGAGTATTTTTCTAGCTGCTGAAATGTATTCAAACATTATGGTCAGGACCTGGGGAAATAACCATGTAATGGGATGAGAGTCACACGCAGCCAATTGTGAGGGAGACTCAGGTGAAAATTATTATCATGACATGTGGCTCTGGGAATATAATGGATTGAGTGTGTGTGTGTGTGCGTGCATGTGCACACAGGTCTTCTTATTGGGGACTAAAGTTAGATACTTCATAAGACATAGTTCTTATGTTTTGGGGTTTGAAGAAAGTAAGAGAAATTTCCAAAGGACCGGAAAAAAAGGAAAAGCTGCGAGGACTTAAAAAGCAATTAAAGCAAAAGTAATGAGGGATTCCAACAAAGGTAGGAGCCAAATTGTCACTGCTACTAAGAAACTGTACTTTGGTCTGGTGAAAAGACGTATGTGGGAAGTTGCTAAACTTGAATGTCCCAGGTTAAGTGTAAGAAACTTCAAGGTGATTTAAGTCATGATAGAAGTTGGTAGCCTATCCTGGCTTGTGTTTGATGGAAACCAAATCCACTTTGGTGAAAATATCTTTATTTTATGCTCTCATGTTTTCCATTGATCAAGATCAGCCAAATATGAACCCATAAAGAAAGATTACCAAACATGCAAAGAAACTAAACCATATCAATGATAGTTAGCATAGGTAACCTACAATACATATGAACCCTCAAAGAGTTGAGACATGATAATCATAAAATATAGTTGCATAAGATGTAGGATATAAAACAACATATTATGAACTATTTAAAGGAATGGAAGATGGAACAACAAAAAATGTACATGCAATAAAGCACTTAAAATTTTCCAAGAATATCAAATGTAAATTTTAGAAATAAAAAATGTAGTTGTTGAAAAACAGAGGTTAAAGAACATTATAGATATGAAAGAAGAGAAATAAGTTAATTGGCAGACAGGCTTGAAGAAATTAACTAGAATGCAACACAGAGAAATGGGAGGTGTAAAATGAAAGAAACGTTAAGAGATGTGGAGGATAAAAAGAGAAGGTCTAGTACTATGTCCCTTGTGACATGTGCAAGAAACAATAGCAAGAGATCCACCTGGGAGATTGTTAGAAATTCAGATTCAGCCTTACTGCTGACCTCTTGAATCAGAATCTTTATTGACTAGGAAGCCCCTCAGGTGACCATATACACCCAAGGTTTGAGAAGAAGTAGGTGAATAAATGTATAGTTAGAATCCCAGACTGAAAATAAAGAGAATGAAGAAGAAGCAGTATTTCAAGAGATAACAATTACACATTTTCCAGAATTGAGGGAAGACATCAATCGATTTATACCAAGCAGAATATCTATCTATCTATCTATCTATCTATCTATCTATCTATCTATCTATCTATCTATCTAGATTGTAGTGAAACTGTAGAACACCAAAATTCAAAAGGAAATCACAAAAATGACCTAGAGAGAAAAGACACTTGGACTGCTGACAATTAACACTACAACTGTAACTTCAACAGCAACAACAGAAGCAGAAGAGAGTGGAATAATATCTGAAAAACAACTCTTCTGTACCAACCAAAACTATCTTTTAAGAATAACGTGAAACAAAATAAAGTCATTTTCAGAGAATCAAAAACTGAGAGAACTGTCCATGTGTCATACTTAGGAATGTCTAAAGCATATATTTAAGAAAAAAGAAAGATTATTCTAGAAGAAAGAGCTGAAATGAAAGAAAGAATGGTGAACAAAGAAATCAATAAAGTCATAAAACAAGTCAAAACAAACATCATTTTTATAGAGTGATATATAATTTGTGAGGGCTTAAAACAAAGGGAAGAATTAAAATACTTGACAACTAATATGTAAGTTGGGAGGGGTGGTTAGAATTAACATTTTTTTCTTAAATTTTAATTTCTTATTTTTAATTTTGTATGTAAAAAATATACATTTCTATACATATTTATAGGATACATGAGATTTTTTATACAGGCATACAATGCATAATAATCACATCAAAGTAAATAGGACATCTATCACCTCAAGCATTTATGTTTTCTTTGTGTTGCAAACTATCCAATTATATTCTTTTAGTTATTTAAAATGTACAATAAATTATTGTTGACTGTAGTCATCCAGTTGTGCTATCAAATACTAGATCTTAATCATTTTCTGTAAATATATTTTTGTACCCATTAACCATGCTCCCTTCTCCAACCTGCCCAACTACCTTCCCAGCCTCTGGTAACCATCATTCTACTTTCTGTCTCCACTAGTTCAATTATTTTAATTTTCCCATAAATAAGTGAGAACACGCTAAGTTTGTCTTTCTGTGCCTGACTTATTTCACTTAATGTTCTCCACTTCCATCCATGTTGTTGCAAACAACAGGATCTTGTTTTTTTGTGGCTGAATAGTACTTCATTGTGTATAGGCACCACATTTTCTTTTTTTTATTATTATTATACTTTAAGTTTTAGGGTACATGTGCACAATGTGCAGTTTTGTTACACATGTATACATGTGCCATGTTGGTGTGCTGCACCCATCAACTCGGCATTTAGCATTAGGTATATCTCCTAATGCTATCCCTCCCCCCTCCCCCCACCCCACAACAGTCCCTGGTGTGTGATGTTCCCCTTCCTGTGTCCATGTGTTCTCATTGCTCAATTCCCACCTATGAGTGAGGACATGCAGTGTTTGGTTTTTTGTCCTTGCGATAGTTTGCTGAGAATGATGGTTTCCAGCTTCATCCATGTCCCTACAAAGGTCATGAACTCATCATTTTGTATGGCTCCATAGTATTCCATGGTGTATATGTGCCACATTTTCTTAATCCAGTCTATCATTGTTGGACATTTGGGTTGGTTCCAAGTCTTTGCTATTGTGAACAGTGCCGCAATAAACATACGTGTGCATGTGTCTTTATAGCAGCATGATTTATAATCCTTTGGGTATATACCCAGTAATGGGATGGCTGGGTCAAATGGTATTTCTGTTTCTAGATCCCTGAGGAATCGCCACACTGACTTCCACAATGGTTGAACTGGTTTACAGTCCCACCAACAGTGTAAAATTGTTCCTATTTCTCCACATCCTCTCCAGCACCTGTTGTTGCCTGACTTTTTAATGATCACCATTCTAACTGGTGTGAGATTGTATCTCATTGTGGTTTTGATTTGCATTTCTCCGATGGCCAGTGATGATGGGCATTTTTTCATGTGTCTGTTGGCTGCATAGATGCCTTCTTTTGAGAAGTGTCTGTTCATGTCCTTCGCCCAATTTTTGATGGGGTTGTTTGTTTTTTTCTTGTAAATTTGTTTGAGTTCATTGTAGATTCTGGATATTAGCCCTTTGTCAGACGAGTAGGTTGCGAAAATTTTCTCCCATTTTGTAGGTTGCCTGTTCACTCTGGTGGTAGTTTCTTTCGCTGTGCAGAAGCTCTTTAGTTTAATTAGATCCGATTTGTCAATTTTGTCTTTTGTTGCCATTGCTTTTGGTGTTTTAGACATGAAGTCCTTGCCCATGCGTATGTCCTGAATGGTATTGCCTAGGTTTTCTTCTAGGGTTTTTATGGTTTTAGGCCTAACATGTAAGTCTTTAATCCATCTTGAATTAATTTTTGTATAAGGTGTAAGGAGGGATCCAGTTTCAGCTTTCTACATAAGGCTAGCCAGTTTCCCCAGCACCATTTATTAAATAGGGAATCCTTTCCCCATTGCTTGTTTTTCTCAGGTTTGTCAAAGATCAGATAGTTGTGGATATGCGGCATTATTTCTGAGGGCTCTGTTCTGTTCCATTGGTCTATATTTCTGTTTTGGTACCAGTACCATCCTGTTTTGTTTACTGTAGCCTTGTAGTATAGTTTGAAGTCAGGTAGCATGATGCCTCCAGCTTTGTTCTTTTGGCTTAGAATTGACTTGACAATGCAGGCTCTTTTTTGGTTCCATATGAACTTTAAAGTAGTTTTTTCCAATTATGTGAAGAAAGTCATTTGTAGCTTGATGGGGATGGCATTGAATCTGTAAATTACCTTGGGCAGTATGGCCATTTTCACGATATTGATTCTTCCTACCCACGAGCATGGAATGTTCTTCCATTTGTTTGTATCCTCTTTTATTTCATTGAGCAGTGGTTTGTAGTTCTCCTCGAAGAGGTCCTTCACATCCCTTGTAAGTTGGATTCCTAGGTATTTTATTCTCTTTGAAGCAATTGCGAATGGGAGTTCACTCATGATTTGGCTCTCTGTTTGTCTGTTATTGGTGTATAAGAATGCTTGTGATTTTTGCACATTGATTTTGTATCCTGAGACTGCAGAAGTTGCTTATCAGCTTAAGGAGATTTTGGGCTGAGAGAATGGGGTTTTCTAGATATACAATCATGTCATCTGCAAACAGGGACAATTTGACTTCCTCTTTCCCTAATTGAATGCCCTTTATTTCCTTCTTCTGCCTGATTGCCCTGG
This sequence comes from Homo sapiens, assembly GCF_000001405.40. NCBI lineage: Eukaryota > Metazoa > Chordata > Mammalia > Primates > Hominidae > Homo > Homo sapiens. The sequence continues at coordinate 82,855,071 of NC_000006.12, read as the reverse complement.
CCAGAACTTCCAACACTATGTTGAATAGGAGTGGTGAGAGAGGGCATCCCTGTCTTGTGCCAGTATTCAAAGGGAATGCTTCCAGTTTTTGTTCATTCAGTATGATATTGGCTGTGGGTTTGTCATAGATAGCTCTTATTATTTTGAGATACGTCCCATCAATACCTAATTTATTGAGAGTTTTTAGCATGAAGGATTGTTGAATTTTGTCAAAGGCCTTTTCTGCATCTATTGAGATAATCATGTGGTTTTTGTCTTTGGTTCTGTTTACATGCTGGATTACGTTTCTTGATTTTCGTATGTTGAACCAGCCTTGCATCCCAGGGATGAAGCCCACTTGATCATGGTGGATAAGCTTTTTGATATGCTGCTGGATTCGGTTTGCACAGTATTTTATTGAGGATTTTTGCATCAATGTTCATCAAGGATATTGGTCGAAAATTCTCTTTTTTTGTTGTGTCTCTGCCAGGCTTTGGTATCAGGATGATGCTGGCCTCATGAAATGAGTTAGGGAGGATTCCCTCTTTTTCTATTGATTGGAATAGTTTCAGAAGGAATTGAACCAGCTCCTCCTTGTACCTCTGGTAGAATTCAGCTGTGAATCCATCTGGTCCTGGACGTTTTTTGGTTGGTAAGCTATTAATTATTGCCTCAATTTCACAGCCTGTTATTGGTCTATTCAGAGATTCAACTTCTTCCTTGTTTAGTCTTGGAAGGGTGTATGTGTTGAGGAATTTATCCATTTCTTCTAGATTTTCTAGTTTATTTGCATAGAGGTGTTTATAGTATTCTCTGATGGTAGTTTGTTTTTCTGTGGGATTGGTGGTGATATCCCCTTTGTCATTTTTGATTGTGTCTATTTGATTCTTCTCTCTTTTCTTCTTTATTAGTCTTGCTAGCAGTCTTTCAATTTTGTAGATCTTTTCAAAAAACCAGCTCCTGGATTCATTGATTTTTTGAAGGGTTTTTCATGTCTCTATTTCCTTCAGTTCTGCTCTGATCTTAGTTATTTCTTGCCTTCTGCTAGATTTGGAATGTGTTTGCTCTTGCTTCTCTAGTTCTTTTAATTGTGATGTTAGGCTGTCCATTTTAGATTTTTCCTGCTTTCTCTTGTGGGCATTTAGTGCTATAAATTTCCATCTACACACTGCTTTGAATGTGTCCCAGAGATTCTGGTATGTTGTGTCTTTGTTCTCGTTGGTTTCAAAGAATATCTTTATTTCTGCCTTCATTTTGTTATGTACCCAGTAGTCATTCAGGAGCAGGTTGTTCAGTTTCCATGTAGTTGAGCAGTTTTGAGTGAGTTTCTTAATCCTGTGTTCTGGTTTGATTGCACTGTGGTCTGACAGACAGTTTGTTATAATTTCTGTTCTTTTACATTTGCTGAGGAGTGCTTTACTTCCAACTATGTGGTGAATTTTGGAATAGGTGTGGTGTGGTGCTGAGAAGAATGTATATTCTGTTGATTTGGGGTGGAGAGTTCTGTAGATGTCTATTAGGTCTGCTTGGTGCAGGAATTGCACCAAGGAATTGAACTCCTGGGTATCCTTGTTAACTTTCTGTCTCATTGTTCTGTCTAATGTTGATAGTGGGGTGTTAGTCTCCCATTATTATTGTGTGGGAGTCTATGTCTCTTTGTAGGTCACTAAGGACTTGCTTTATGAATCTGGGTGCATATATATTTAGGATAGTTAGTTCCTCTTGTTGAATTGATCCCTTTACCATTATGTAATGGCCTTCTTTGTCTCTTTTGATCTTTGTTGGTTTAAAGTCTGTTTTATCTGAGAGTAGGATTGCAACTCCTGCCTTTTTTTGTTTTCCATTTGTTTGGTAGATCTTCCTCCATCCCTTTATTTTGAGCCTATGTGTGTCTCTGCACGTGAGATGGGTTTCTTGAATACAGCACACTGATGGATCTTGACTCTTTATCCAATTTACCAGTCTGTGCCTTTTAATTGGAGCATTTAGCCCATTTACATTTATGGTTAGTATTGTTATGTGTGAATTTGATCCTGTCATTATGATGTTAGGTAGTTATTTTGCTTGTTAGTTGATGCAGTTTCTTCCTAGCCTCGATGATCTTTACAATTTGTCATGTTTTTGCAGTGGCTGGTACCGGTTATTCCTTTCCATGTTTAGTGCTTCCTTCAGGAGCTCTTTTAGGGCAGGCGTGGTGGTGACAAAATCTCTCAGCATTTGTTTGTCTGTAAAGTATGTTATTTCTCCTTCACTTATGAAGCTTAGTTTGGCTGTATATGAAATTCTGGGTTGAAAATTCTTTTCTTGAAGAATGTTGAATATTGGCCCCCACTCTCTTCTGGCTTGTAGACTTTCTGCCAAGAGATCAGCTGTTAGTCTGATGGGCTTCCCTTTGGGGGTAACCCGACCTTTCTCTCTGGCTGCCTTTAACATTTTTTCCTTCATTTCATCTTTGGTGAATCTGATAATTATGTGTCTTAGAGTTGCTCTTCTTGAGGAGTATCTTTGTGGCATTCTCTTTATTTCCTGAATTTGAATGCTGGCCTGCGTTGCTAGATTGGGGAAGTTCTCCTGGATAATATCCTGCAGAGTGTTTTCCAACTTGGTTCCATTCTCCCCGTCACTTTCAGGTACACCAATTAGACGTAGATTTGGTCTTTTCACATAGTCCCATATTTCTTGGAGGCTTTGTTCATTTCTTTTTATTCTTTTTTCTCTAAACTTCTCTTCACGCTTCATTTCATTCCTTTAGTCTTCCATCACTGATACCCTTTCTTCCAGTTGATTGCATCAGTTACTGAGGCTTGTGCATTCATCACGTAGTTCTCGTGCCATGGTTTTCAGCTCTATCAGGTCCTTTAAGGACTTCTCTGCATCGGTTATTCTAGTTATCCATTCATCTAATATTTTTTCAAAGTTTTTAACTTCTTTGTCATTGGTTCGAACTTCCTCCTTTAGTTCAGAGTAGTTTGATCTTCTGAAGCCTTCTTCTCTCAATTCGTCAAAGTCATTCTCCGTCCAGCTTTGTTCCGTTGCTGGTGAGGAGCTGCGTTCCTCAGTTGGAAATGCGGAAATCACCCGTCTTCTGCGTCGCTCACGCTGGGAGCTGTAGACTGGAGCTGTTCCTATTCGGCCATCTTGGCTCCACCCCAGCACCACATTCTCTTTATTCTTTATCTGTTAATAGAAACAGGTTTCTTTCAAATCTTGGCTATTATGAATAGTGATGTAATAAACATGGGAGTGCAGATATCTCTTCTATATGTTGATATCCTTTCTTTTGGGTAGATAGCTAGAAGTGAGATCACTGGATCATGTGGTAGTTCTATTTTTAGTTTTTTGAGGAACCTCCAAACTGTTCTGTATAGTGGTTGTGCTAATTTACATTCCCAGCAACAGCGTACAATGCTTCCCTTTTCTCCACATCTTTGCCAGTATTCATTGTTGCCTGTCTTTTGCATAAAAGCCATTTTAACTCAGTTGAGATGATATCTCGTTGTTTTGATTTGCATTTCTCTGATGATCAGTAATGTTGAGCACCTTTTCATATAACTTTTTCCATTTGTATATCTTCTTTTGAGAAATTTCAATTCAGAGTTTTTGCACATTTTAAAATCAGATTATTAGTTTTTTCCTAATGAGTTGTTGGAGCTCCTTATGTATTCCAGTTATTAATCCCTTGTCAGATGGCTATTTTGCAAATATTTTATTCCATTCTGTGGGTTTTCTCTTCACTTTGTTGATTGTTTCCTTCGCTATGCAGAAGCTTTTTCACTTGATGTGATTTCATTTGTCCGTTTTTGCTTTGGTGGCCTATGATTGTGTGTATTACTCATGAAATCTATGCTCAGTCCATATCCTGCAGTGTTTCCCCTATGTTGTCTTACAGTAGTTTTGTAGTTGGACATCTTAGATTTAAGGCTTTAATTTTCATTTTTTTATATGACAAGAGATAGGGGTTTAGTTTCATTCTTCTGCATATGGATATCCAGTTTTCTCAGAACCATTTATTGAAGAGACTGTCTTTTCCCCAGTGTATGTTCTTGGCACCTTTGTAAAAAATGAGTTACTGTAGATGTATGAATTTCTTTCTGGGTTCTCTATTTTTTCCACTGATCTATGTGTCTGTTTTTATGCCAGTACCATGCTGTCTTGGTTACTATAGCTTTGTAGTATAATTTGAAGTCAAGAAACACATTAGTGTTTCCTCCAGTTATGTTCTTTTTGCTCTGGATGGCTTTGGCTATTGTGAGTTTTTTTTGGTTCCATATAAATTTTAGGATTGTTTTTCTAGTTCTGTGAAGAATGTCATTGTTATTTTGATAGGGATTGTACTGAATCTGTAGATTGCTTTGGGTAGTAGGGATATTTTAACAATATTGATTCTTCCAATCCATGAACATGGAATATCTTTTCATTTTTGATGTCCTCTTCAATTTCTTTCATCAATGTTTTATAGTTTTCATTATAGAGATCTTTCACATTTTTAATTCCTAAGTATTTTATTTTATCTGCAGCTACTGTATATAGGATTGCTCTCTTGATTTTCTTTTCAGATTGTTTGTTGTTGGCATATAGAAATACCACTGATTTTTGTATGTTAATTTTGTATCCTGCAACTTTACTGAATTTGTTTGTCAGTTCTAATAGTTTTTGGTGCATTCTTTAGGTTTTTCCAAATATAAGATTATGTAATCTGCAAAGAAGGATAATTTGGCTTTCTCTTTTCTAATTTGGATGCCCTTTATCTCTTACCCTTATCTGAGTACTCTAGGTAGGACATCCATTGCCACATTCAATAACAGTGGTGAAAGTGGGCATCATTGTCATGGTTCAGATCCTACAGGGAAGGCTCTCAGTTTTTCCCCATTCAGTGTGATACTAGCTGTGGATCTCTCATATATGGTTTTTATTGTGCTGAGGTTTGTTCCTTCTACACCCAGGCATTTGATAGTTCTTATCATGAAGGAATGTTGAATTTTATCAAATGCATTTCAGTATCAGTTGAAAGGAGTATGTTTTTTCCCTTTATTCTGTTGATATGATGTATCACATTGATTGATCTGCATGTGTGGAACCATCCTTGCATCCCTGCATTAAGTCCTGCTTGGTTATGATGAATGATCTTTTTGATGTGTTGTTGAATTCAGTTTGGTAGTATTTCATTGACGATTTTTGCATCAATGTTCATCAGTGATATTGGCCTATGTTTTTTTGTTTTTTGAATGTATCCTTGTCTGGTTTTGGTATGAGGGTCATACTGGCCTTGAGTAATGCATTTGAAAGTATTCTCTCTCCCTCTAGCTTTCAGAGGAGTTTGAGTATGATTTGTAGTAGTTCTCCTTAAATGTATGGTAAAGTTCAGCAGTGAAGCCATTGGGTCCCAGACTTTCCTTTGCTGGAAGTCTTTTTTATTGCAGCTTTGATCTTATTACTTGTTATTGGTTTGTTTAAGTTTTGAATTTCTTTATGGTTCAATCTTGATAGGTTGTATATATCTAGGAATTTATCCATTTCTTCTAGGTTTTCCAATTTACTGGCATATAATTGCTTGTAATAGTCTCTAATTATGCTTTGAATTTCTGTGGTATTGGTTGTAATGTCTTCTTTTTATCTCTGATTTTATTTATTTGGGTTTCTCTTTTTTTAGTTGGTCTGGCTAAAGTTTTTTCCACATTTATTTCATTTTTTTTCTTCTTCTTCTTCTTCTTTTTTTTTTTTTTTTTTTTTTTTGAGATAGGGTCTCCCTCTGTTGCCCAGGCTGTAGTGCAGTGGCATGATCATGGCTCACTTACAGCCTCCACCTCCTGGGCTCAAGTGATCCTCCCACCTCAACCTGCTGAGTAGCTAAAACCACAAGTGCATGAGATCACACCCAGCTAATTCTTTGCCTTTTTGTAGAGATGAGGTCTCACTGTGTCTCAAACTCCTGGGCTCAAATGATCCTCCCACCTTGGCCTCCCAAAGTGCTGTGATTACATGCATGAGCCACCATGCCAGGACTGATTTTATTTATCTTTAAAATAAAGGCTAACTTTTAAGTTTTTGATCCTTGTGTTGTTTTCTTTATTTCAAATTCATTTATTTCTGCTTTGATCTTTATTATGTCTTTTCCTCTACAAACTTTGGGTTTGGTTTGCTCTTGCTTTTGTGGTTCTTTAAGATGCATTGTTAGGTTGTTTATTTGAAGTTTTTTTACTTTTTGGATGTGGGTGCTTATAGCTATAAACTTTTATCTTAGTACTGCTTTTGCTATACCCCATAGGTTTTGGTATGTTGTGTTTTCATTATCATTTGTTTCAAGAAAATTTTCAATTTCCTTCTTAAGGTCTTCATTGACCCACAATCAGGAGCATACCATTTAATTTCCACATGTTTTCAATGTTCCTTGTGTTATTGATTGCTAGCTTTATTCCATTGTGGTCAGAGAATATACTTGATATCATTTCAATTTTTTTGAATTTTTAAAAACTTTTTCCTGTGACCTAGCATGTGGTCTATCCTTAGTAATGATCCATGTGCTGAGGAGGAGAATGTATTCTTCAGATGTTGGAGAAAGTTTTCTGTAAATATCTATTAGAACTATTTGGTTTATAGTGTGGGTTAAGTCTGATGTTTCTTAGTTGATTTGCTGTATGGATGATCTGTCCAATGCTAAAAGTGGGGTGTTGAAGTCTCCAGCCATTATTTTATTGATGTGTATCTCTCTCTTTAACTCTGACAATATTTGCTTTATGTATCTGGGTAATCCACTGTGGGTATGTTTATATTTATAATTGTTATAACCCCTTTCTGAATTGACCTCTTCATCATTGTATATTATAATAATCTTTTATGTCTCTTTCTATAGTTTTTGTCTTGAAATCTATTTTGTCATATATAAGTATAGCTACTCCTGCTCTTGTTTTGGTTTCCATTTGCATTGGTTATCTTTTTCCATCTCTTTATTTTCAGTCTATTTGTGTCTTAAGAGGTCAAGTGTGTTTCTTGTAGGCAGTAGATCACTGGGTCTTGCTTTTCTTTTTTAATCCATTCAGCCACTCTGTGTCTTCTGATTTCAGAGTTTAGTTCATTTACATTCAAGGTTATTATTGATAAATAAGGACTTACTCCTGCCATTTTAAAATTTGTTTTTTGGTTGTTTTGTGGTCTTCTCTTCCTTCTTTTCTTCCTTCCTATCTTCTTTTTAGTGAATATGATATTCTCTGGATATGATTTAATTTCTTGCTTTTTATTTTTGTGTGTGTATCTTTTATATTTTTTTATTTGAAGTTACCATGAGGCTTACAAATAATATCTTATAACCCATTATTATAAACTGATGACAACTTAACATTGATTGCATATACAAACAAGCAAATAGGAAAGTAATAAAAATTCTACATTTTAATTCATCATTCTGTTTTTAACTTTCTATTGTTTCTATTTATATTTCATTTGTACTTATATATCTTAAAATTTGTTGCAGTTATTTTTGACCATTTATCTGTTAGTGTTTCTAGTAAAAATATGAGTGGTTTACACACCGCAATTAGGGCATTATAATATTCTGTGGTTTTCTGTGTAGTTACTATTACCAGTGAGTATTAGACCTTCAGATGATTTCTTTTTGCTCACCAACAGGCTTTTCTTTCAGACTGAAAAATGCCCTTTAGCATTTCTTGTAGGACAGACAGGTCTGATGCTGATGAAATCCCTTAGCTTTTATTTGTCTGGGAAAGTCTTTGCTTCTGCTTTATGTTTGAAGGATATTTTTGCTGGATGTACTATTCTAAGATAAAAGTTGTTTTTCTTCAGCACTTTAAAAATGTCATACCACTCTCTCCTGGATTGTAAGGTTTCTACTGAGAAGTCTGCTGCCAGATGTGTTAGAAATCCATTGTATGTTGTTTGTTACTTTTCTCTTGGTGCTTTTAGGCTCCTTTCTTTATCCTTGACCTTTGGGAGTATAATTATTAAATGTCTTGAGGTAGTCTTATTTGGGTTAAATCTGCTTGGTGTTTGATAACCTTCTTGTACTAGGATATTGATATCTTTCTCTAGGTTTATGAAGTTCTCTCTTATTATCCCAGTGAATAAATGTCCTACCACCCTTTCCTCTTTAAGGCTAATAACTCTTAGATTTGCCCTTTTGAGGCTATTTTCTAGGATCTCATATGCATGCTTCATTCTTTCATAATTCTTTTTTCTTTGGTTTCCTCTGTGTATTTTCAAACAGCCTGTCTTCAAGCTCACTAATTCTCTCTTCTGCTTGATCAATTCTGCTATTAAGAGACTCTGATGCATTCTTCATTATGTCAATTGCATTTTTCAGCTCTGGAATTTCTGTTTGATTCTTTGTAATTATTTCAACCTCTTGGTTAAATTTATCTGATAGGATTCTGAATTTCTTCTGTGTGTTATATTGAATTTCATTGAATTTTCTCTATGTGGCTGTTCTGGATTCTCTGAAAGGTCACATATGTTTGTTTCTCCAGTATTGGTGTCTGGTGCCTTTTTTAATTTGTTTGGTGAGGTCATGGTCTTAGTCTTGATGCTTGGGGATGTTTGTTGGTGTCTGGGCATTGAAGAGTTAGGTATTTATTGTAGTCTTCACAGTCTGAGCTTGTTTGTACCATTCTTTTTGGGAAGGCTTTCCAGGCACTGAAGGGACTTGCGTGTTATTATGTAAGTTTTTGGTCACTGCAGCTATATCTGCATTACAGGATACTCCAAGCCCAGTAACATTGTGGCTCTTGCAAACTTGTGCCAAGGTACTACCTTGGTGGTCTTGGATAAGAGCTGGAAGAATTCCCTGGATTACCAGGTGGGGACTCTTGTTCTCTTCCCTTTATTTCTCCCAAACAGAGTCCCACTGTTTATTCTGAGCTGTCTGGATCTAGGGGAGGGGTTACACAGAACAGAAGCACTGAAGCCAGCAGAGCACTGGGTCTCCCCCAAGGCCCACAGTAACCAGTGCCTGGCTACTTCCTATGATAGCTCAAGGCCCTAGGGCTCTACAATCAGCAGGTGGTAAATCCAGCCAGGCTTATGTCCTTGCTTTCAGGGTGGCAAGTTCCCACAGTTCCCAGGTAGGTTCACAGATGCCATCTGGGGGCCACGGCCTTGAGTGGGAAACCTTAGGAATCTACCTGGTGCTCCATTCTACTGCTTCTGAGCTGGCACCCAAGCCACAAGACAAAGTCCTTTCCCTCTTTTCTCCCCATTTTACAAGTAGAGGAGTCTCTCCCAAAGGCTCCCACCACCCCAGCCACATGGCCAGAGCTGTCTGGCTACCACTGATGTTCATTCAAGGCTCAAGAGGTTTTTGGTCAGCTTGTGGTGATTGCTACGAGGCCTGGGTCTCTCCTTTCAGAGCGGTGGGCTTCCCTCTGGCCCAGGGCAAGTCCAGAAATGCTGTGTAAGAGCCAAGGCCTGGAATTGGGGACCCCAACAGCCCAGTTGGTACTCTACCCCACCGTGGCTGAGCTGACACCAAGGTAAATTTCGATTCCTATGAAAGTGTTTTCATGTGAATAGTTCAATTTAGTGTTCCTGAAGGAGGACAATTGGTGAAGGCTTTTATTCAGCCATCTTGATCTAAAGTATTTTTTAAAAAATTAAAACAAAAATATTTTTTTAAACATGGGGTCTTATTATGTTCGTCCTTGAATTTTATTGATGTAGGTGTTTATTGCTATAAACTTCTCTCAACACAGCTTTTTATGTATCCCACAGGTTTTAATATGTTGTGTTTCCGTTTTCATTTGTTTCAAGAAATTTTTTTATTTTCTTCTTAATTTCTTCATTGACCCAATAATCAGGAGCATGTTATTTAATTTCTATGTATTTACAGTTTCCCATTTTCCTCTTGTTATTGATTTCTAGTTTTATTCCATTTTGGTCTGAGAAAATAATATGATTTCAAATTTAAAAAACTTTTTGAAACTTTTCTGTGGCCTAAAATATGGTATATCCTGGAGAATGTTCCATGTGCTGGGGAGAAGAATGTATATTCTGAAGCTATCAGATTAAATGTTCTGTACATTTCTATCAGGTCCATTTGGTCTAAAGTGTAGTGTAAATCCCTAATTTCCTGTTATTTTCTGTCTAGATGATCTAATACTTAGAATGGGGTGTTGAGGTCTCCAACTATTATTGTATTGGAGTCTATTTCTCCCTTTACATCTAATAATATTTGCTGTATTTCTGGGGTGCTCGGATGTTGAGTGCATTGTGGGGTGCAATTTTAAATTGTTATATCCTTTTGCTGAACTGATCCATTTAAGAATAGTATTTTCAACAAATAGTACTGGGACAACTGAATATTCACATGCAAAAGAATGAAGCTAGACCCTTACCTCCCACTACACACAAAAATTAACTCAAAATTGATCACAGACCAAATGTAAGAGCTAAAGCTTTAAAAAAAAAAATCTCAGAATAAAACAAAGGAGCAAGTCCTCTTAAACTTGCATAGGCAATAATTTCACAGCTGTAACAGCAAAAGCACAAGCAACAAAAGAAAATTTAGATAAATGGCCATGTATCAAAATTAAAACTTTAGTGCTTTAAAGGACAATATGAAGAAAGCAAAAGGACAGCCTCCACAGAATGGGAGAATAGTCTTGCAAATTATATATTCAATAAGAAACTCTTTAGAACCAAGAATATATAATGAACTATCACAATTCAACAATAAAATGATAAATACCTCCATTTAAAAATGGGAAAGGATTTGAATAGATATTTCTACAAAAATATATACAAAAAATAATGTCCAATATAGCACAATGAATTTCTCATTAGGGAAATACAAATCAAAACTGTTAGATAACACTTCATATCCACTAGGATGGCTATAATAAAAAGATGGATAATAGCAAGTGTTGACGAGGACAGAGAAGGTAGAACCCTCATATATTTTGGTGGGAATGTAAAATAATGCAGCTGCATTCAAAAACAGTGGAAGTGCCTCAAAAAGGTCGACATAAGAGTTACCATATAATCCAGCAATTCTACTCCTAGATATATACCCATGAGAATTGAAAACAGATGTTCATCCAAAAGCTTGTACACAAATGCTCGTAGCAATATTATTGACAATAGCAAAATATGGAAACAACCCAAATGTCCATCAATTGATGAATGGATAAATGCTATGTGATTATATTCATATCATGGAATAGCATTTGGTGACAAAAAGGAATGAAGTATTGATATATGCCATGATATGGATGAACCTTAAAAACTTTATGCTAACTGAAAAAAAACAGACACAAAGGTTACATATTATATGATTTCATTTATATGAAATATCCAGATTAGGCAACTTCATAGAAATAGAAAGTAGATTAGGGATTGTGTGGCTGGGGGAAAGGGAAAATGAGGAGTGACTGCTTATGTGTCTGAGCTTTCTTTTTAGGGTAATGAAAATATTCTGTAAGTAGATAATGGTGAAGGTTGCACAAGTCTGTGAATACTAACAACCATTGCATGATATGCTTCAAAAGTTTTAGCCTTATGGAATGTGAATATCTCAACAAAGCTGTGATTAAAATAAAAATAAAATTTAACCTGGCATCAGGGTATAAACAAATGGGGGTGGATGAAGAAAGCAGAATAGCCAAGTTAATAGATTATTAATTGACAAGTGCTTAAGCTCAGTGTTAGTGATGGCAATGGGGAAAAATGCAAGAACCATAACCAAAGTTAGATTTCAGAATGTAGAAACTCCAATTGCAAGAGAAGTGAGAAAGGGAAGAATCAATAGGCTTTGCTTCTGGGTAACTCAGAGAATGGCTGTGCCATGAAGGAGTGAGAGGTTGTCAGGGGTGAAGGGGGTGAATGTGATGTCCAATATAGCATAATGAATTACTCATTAGGGAAATACAAATCAAAACTGTTAGATCTGAGTGGAATGTGACAGAGAGTAAAAAAGAGATGGCTAAAAACCAGTAACTGCCTTTACTTAATGTAACAGCTAACTTTTTTCCAAGAGAAAGTCTCGCTCTGTCACCCAGGCTGGAGGGCAGTGGCATCATCTCGGCTCACTGCAGCCTCAGCCTCCAGAGTTCAAGCAATTCTCCTGCCTCAGCTTCCAGAGTAGCTGGAATTACAGGCACGCACCAATTATGTCCGGCTCATTTTTGTGGTTTTAGTAGAGATGGGGTTTCACCATGTTGGCCAGACTGGTCTCTAACTCCTGGCCTCAAGTGACTCACCCCCCTTGTCCTCCCAAAGTGCTGAGATTACAGACACGAGCCACTATACCCAGCCAACAGCTAACTTTTATATAGAACTTGCTGTGTGTCAGATAGCATCCTAAGCACTCGACATGTATTAATTCATTTAACCCCTACAATGACTCTATGAGGTACAGACTATAAATATCTCCATTTTATAAGAGCAGAAAATGAGGCTCTGAGAGGTGAAATAATTGCCCAACATTGAGCATGAACTTATGCTCTAACTTCTATACTCTATACCGCCCTTTTAAGTAACAAGAAGGCACCCATCATTTATAGGTAATATTCATCTCCTCAATTCACAGTTATTATTGATTAACCATTTGTTTACAAAAATGCAAATTATCATGGAGTATTTTAGTCTTAATTTGTATAACTTGATTTTGGAATCTACCTGAAAATGAAACCAGTCAACTTAGTGGCATACACTTGCCGTCACTGAAGTTTGACACTTCAGGAAGATGTGGAAGGCAAGTTTCAGAAGGATTCATGTATTAGCCAAGGGTAGAGCTGATGTCTTCTCATATGCCCTCAGAGATATCATTCTCTGTGAAAGAATTTCTTCCCTGTTGGTCTCTCTGACTTCTGTAACATATGCAGAGATTTTCTGGAGAGCTTGAGATTTTATTTCTACTAAGCATTATGAGTTTTGTAGCTACCTTTCTGGCATGATTTTTAAAGCTTAATTTGCAAAAGTAATGATTCCTTTACTACTAGTGGTTAACTGTATTCCCCTAATATTTATAATGACTTACTTCTATCACCGACTATGAGATAATTACATTTCCTTTACTTCCTTTTTCAAAAGGAGATTACAGTGTCTAGTGTATATTCCTATGAATGAAGGCTGTTGGAAAAAGCAGTCATGCACAGGATACTGACCCTTGCATGGCTGCATAAAAGAGTGCCTCAGTCCTGACACATTTTCCTACATGGAGGTAAGGAGCCCTCACAGCCTGTGCTGGGCATATCATCTTGTTTGGGAGTATCTTTTTCTGCTCCAGGTTCAATGTATACTTTTTTCTTCCGTGTAAAGTGTGCTCATCCTATGACACCTGGTCAATGGCACTGCTATTTCTGTTCCTTGCAGAGGAAGAGATAGCGTCCTTTGCCTATAGCACAAGAGGGGCCCATGCAGACCATCTCCCTGTGTTGGCTGTGGGGCAAGACCTGCTGTTCATGGCACCAGTTTGAAGCCGATCTTGCTCTGCTTCTTCTCTATAAGAGGAAAGTGTTTTTCCATTCAGCGCCTGTGTGAATCATGTCTTTCTTGGTGATGCTTTCTTGGTGACTTGATGCAGTGAGGTGACATCCTGGGACTGCTGCTCCTGGTGGTAGGCATTGTCATGCTCTTTGCTGTCCTCCCTGCAGTGGACTCCTCCCCTAGAGGTGGTAACAGGTGTCATTTGCTTGCCAAGGGCCAAAATGCTACCTATCTGAAGAGGCCAGAGACCAAATGCTGGGACTGTTAGGTTAATATCAAACCTTCAAGAGCTAAAAATCAAAATTCACTGATATCATTTTAAAAATATAGATAAGCAAAAAGGAAAAACTATTTGTAATCCTGCCACTAAAACACAACTACTAATAGGGTTTTGAGGCATATCTTTCTAGTTTTTTCTTCTTTTTAAATATATACATTTTTAAAAAAGAATAGTTCTAGATTTACAAAAAAGTTGCAAATATAGTATAAAGATTTCCATATACCTTATACCCAGTTTTTCCTATTTTAACATCTTATGTTAGCACGGCATATATGTTACAGTTAATGAATTGATATTAATACATAATTAATAACTAAATAACATTTTGTTCATATGTCTTTAGTTTTTACCTGATGTTCTTTCTGTGTTCCACAATCCCATCCAGGATGCCACATTACCTTTAGCTGTCATGCCTCCTAAGGCCATTCTTGGCTTGACAGTTTCTAATACTTGGCTTGTTTTTGATGACCTTGATAGTTCTGAGGAGTACTGGTCAGGAATTTTGTAGAATGTATTTTAATTGGGATTTGTCTGACATTTTTGTCATGATTAGACTGAGGTTATGTGTTTTTGGAAGGAAGACCACAAAGCCACAAAGGTAAAATGCCATGCTGACCACATTGTATCCAGGGAAACATACTATACACATGACTTATTACTGTTCAAGTTAACCTTGATCACCAGGATGAGGTAATGTTTGTCAGATTTCTTCATTGTAAAGTTACTCCTAACCCACCCCATACTGTACTCTTTGGAAGGAAGTCACTATGTACAGCCCAAACTTATGGAATGGGGAGTTACGCTCTACCACCTTGAGGGTGAAGTATCTATATACATTATTTGAGATTCTTTTGCATGGGAGATTTGCTTCCTCCATTTATTATTTATTTATTTATTTATTCAGACATTTATTTATATCAGTATGGACTCATGGATATAGATTTTATACCTTGGGTTGTAATCTAATACTATTTTCCTTGTTTTCTTGCTCAAATTGTCCCAACTTTTGCCATTGAGAGCTCTTTCAATTGGCTCCTGTATGCTTGCCCTTTGAAATACCACTATAACTGTGGGTTTGTTTTGGGGGATTTTTTTTTTTTTGCAGTAATTTTTTACTTTCTGGTACTGCACTTACTCATCTTCAATGGGTCATATTCATGACCCCAGGCCTAGAATTGGCCATATCTTTACTGAGCTTTTGTCTTTTAATGAAATAATGGCATTAGAAAGCAAGATCTGGGCATTAGGGGTGTTTATTAATATGGGGGTGCCATTTCTTCTAGGTCCTTTAAGCAGAAGAGAGCAAGAAAACATATATATGTATATATCAACTTGTGTATATATATATATATATAATATTTCTATATGTAACCATCTATACTTATTTTAAGCTAAAACATGAGTTCATACTGATTTCTCCAACTCTAATTCATTACCATAGTGATCATTCTAGCTTCCTCTTTTTGCTTGTCAAAAACCTCCTACTCCAACAGTGAAAAACGTGGCTCCTACCATCTGCCATCCATTTACATATGCTTTAATCCCAGTATACATGTATAGCAGAATCAGAATTGTTAACCTGTATTCCCATGGAAACAACTTTATTAGCTGGGGTACAGTAGTTATATGCAATTTATTTTGCCTTTAGTCTTCCTGTATTCACTCACTTCTGAACTTACTTATTAGTACCTTTTCTCCCCTACCCATTTCACTGAAATTATTTCATACATTTGTAATAAGTTAAATTCTTTGGTCACATTCTGCATTCCAGGATCACATGCTAAGATCCCCTGAACTCCTAAATGCTTTTTTAAAAATTTTCACCCATTGAGGTTCACTCTTTGTGTTGTAAAGTTCCATGGGTTTTGTCAAATATATAAAGAGATGTACCCACCATTACAGCATCATACGGAATAGTTTCACTGCCTTAAAAATACTGTGCTGCACCTTTTCAACCCCCGCTCCTCTCCTTGAAACCCTGTTAACAACTATTCTAAAATTATTTTGCCTTTTTCAGAATGTCATATAATTGGCATCATACAGTATGTAGTCTGTTCAGACTGACTTTTTTCACTTAGCAATATGTGTTTAAGATTTATCCATGTCTTACTATGGCTTGATAGCTCACTTCTTTTTGTCACTGAATAATATTCTACAT
Source organism: Homo sapiens (assembly GCF_000001405.40). Taxonomy (NCBI): domain Eukaryota; kingdom Metazoa; phylum Chordata; class Mammalia; order Primates; family Hominidae; genus Homo; species Homo sapiens. The sequence goes on along the minus strand of NC_000006.12, from coordinate 82,839,223 downwards.
TTTTACCATTGAATAATTGTACCACTGTTTATTCATTCGTCTGTTGAAGGACAAATTGGTTGCTTTCAATTTTCAATTTAAACTTGCTAGAAACATTCACATGTAGGTTTTTGTGTGAATATAAGTTTTAAAATCTTTTGCATATGTACCTAGGAGTGCAATTGTTGGATTATATGGAATGACTATGTAAGAAACTGCCAAACTCGGCCAGATGTGGTGCCTCATGCCTGTAATCCCAGCACTTTGGAAGGTTGAGGTAGGAGGATCACTTGAAGCCAGGAGTTCCAGACCAGCCTGGGCAAAAAAGAGACTTCATCTCTACAAAAAATTTAAAAATTAACCAAGCATGGTGATGCGCGCACCTGTATTCCCCGCTACTCAAGAGTCTGAGGTGGGAGGACGGCTTGAGCACAGGAGCTTGAGGCTACAGTAAACTATGATCGATCGTGCCACTCTACTCCAGCCTGTCTCTTAAAAATAATTAAAATTTAAAAAATTAGAAACGGCCAAACCCTGATTCAGTACCATAGTTATCATTCTTGCTTCCTCTCCTTTCTGCTTCTAAATGACCATCCCGTTTTGTATTCCCACCAGCAATAAAAGAGTTTTTGCTGCTCCACATCCTCAGCAGCAATTAATGTGATTAGCTTTTTGGATTTTAGCCATTCTAACAACTGTAGAGTTGTATTTGTATTTTTTTTTTTTTGAGGCAGGTTCTCACTCTGTCGCCCAGGTTGGAGTGCAATGGCACAATCTCAGCTTACTGCAATCTCCACCTCCCAGGTTCAAGTGATTCTCGTGCCTCAGCCTCCAGAGGAACTACAGGTTTGTGCCACCACACCCGGCTGATTTTTGTATTTTTTGGTAGAGACAGGGTTTCACCATGTTGGTCAGGCTGGTCTTGAACTCCTGACCTCAAGTGATCTGCCCACCTTGGCCTCCCAAAGTGCTGGGATTACAGGTGTGAGCCACCACACCTGGCCATTCATTGTTATTTTAATTTGCAGTTCATGACAGCTAATGTTGAGCATCTTTACATATGCTTTTTTTTTTGCCATTTGTATATTTTGTTTGGTGAGGCATCTGTTGAGAACTTTTGCTCATGTTTCGGTGAGTTGTTTTCTTGAGTTTTAAGACATCTGCATATTTTAGATACAAGTCCTTTATCAGATATGTTTTGAAAATATTTTCTTACTGTTTGTGGCTTATGTTTTGATTCTCCTAACTGTCTTTGACAGAGCAGAATTTTTAAATTTTAATACAGTCCAACAATTATTTTTCTTTTATAGATTGTAATTTTGGTATTATATCTAAAAACTTATCACCAAACTCAAAAATCACATAGATTTTCTTTCCAGTCTTTTTTATGCCTATATATTTTATCAACATGAGATTGTACTGTATGTATATACTGCACTGCAACTTGCTTTTCATTCTTAATGATATATTGCAAACTTTTCTCACACTGTTAGATATTCTTCTAGAGCATCTTTTCATTAACTGCTTGGTATTTTCTTACATAGATGTACCAGTAAGTATTAAGTCAACCCCTCTAATGTTGAATAATATATTTTTAGGTGTACTGAATCATTATACACATTTCTGAAAAGTTGTTTCAAATTAAAACTTATTGGACTAAATAAAGGTTCTCAGTCTCTGACGTGAAGAAACAATTATAGCCTTTCTTTCTTCCTTTCACAGATATTTAATGAATCTGTGCAGTATATGAGGTTCATGAGAGGCTCACTCTATTAAACCCTGGGATTGCAGCAGTGAATTGGAGTTCCTGCCCTTAAGGAGGTTACGCTCTAGTAGAAGAGTCATAAAAAAAAAAAAAACAGTATGACTTTTGATAGTTATCATTGTAATAAAGAATACAAAGGAGGGTAAGGGGGTAGTGATGGAACATGTGTCTTGAGGCTTTAGGCAGGAAAGACAATGAACACATTAAGGACTGGTAAATTGGAAGAGAAAAGTGTTAGGGGCTGAGATTTCTGAACTGCTATAGCAGGAGTAAAGAAAGGCAGAGCCAGAAGGTTAGAGAATATAGAGAATGAATTTTCAAAATAGGAGCAATTCTGAGCAATGACAAGTGCCCCAGTGTGATTAGGGGAAGGGATAGATGGAATGACAAAAAGCTACAATCAGTGGAACTGTGAAGAACCATTAGGTTAGGGCCCTGAATGGTCATCTGCATGAAGTCTCACAGGATGGCAACGGAACTCAGAGTTGAGGAAAAATTCGAGTAGGTCAATGAACAGTTCAGAATGAGGTGGAGTCACTGGAGGTCAGAGCTGACGGAGATGAGTGGAGTAAGAAGTCATATGGCCGGGCGCGGTGGCTCATGCCTGTAATCCCAGCACTTCGGGAGGCCGAGGCGGGCGGATCACCTGGTCTCTACTGAAAAAAAAAAAAAAAAAACAAAAAACAAACAAACAAAAAAAACCAAATATTAGCCGGGCGTGATGGTAGGCGCCTGTAATCCCAGCTACTTGGGAGGCTGAGGCAGGAGAATTGCTTGAACCCTGGAGGCGGAGCTTGCAGTGAGCCGAGATCGCGCCACTGCAGTCCAGCCTGGGTGACAGAGGGAGACTCCGTCTCAAAAAAAAAAAAAAAAAAAAAAAAAAAAAAAAAGTCATATAGCCAAATGACAGTGTCCTAAACGGAATGGGGATTTTTGTACAATACAACAAAACCCAGTGGTCTGGAAGTGGCATGTATGATTTTTTTTTTTTTTTTAATGCCGACTCCAATTCCCAACCCCCAGGCGCAGAGTAAGAAAATGAGCTGGAACTGTCTCCTGAAGCCTGTCAATGGTAAGGAGCAGCCATTTTAGGCGAGGCGGGTTTTAACCAGGGCAGTGAGGCAGGGAAGGGGAAGCTTTCTGTGAGGAGCTGAAGGGTGCAGGGGGAGCTTGTTTATCATGTTTCAGTGAAAATCTCTGGGAAGGAGGGAAGCGTGAAACCTGAGGGTGGGGAGAGGAAGCACAGAGCAAAACCGGGACGTGGGTGGAGGACACAGGTGATAAGAGTTGCTTCTGTTTTGAGCCATAGCCAAGGAAAATGTAGACCTCAAGGTTTTAAAGGAACTCTGGGAGAAAGTGCCTTGATGTCAGCGCAATTTGTGGCTGAAATGAAGCTCATGGTTAGCGTCCTGCTGTGGTCATTAGGTCAAGTTGAAGCCGTTGCTGGAAAGCGATAAAGAAAGCCATGCTATAAACCAAATTATAGGCAGTTGCTTATATTCAGAGGAGAACAAAATCTTTTAAATACCTTCAAGCACTTCAGAAATGCCCATTTATCCTCAAATTGATTTGTTAATTACAAGTGACTCAGAATTTCTTTAAGGCAATTCCCTTGAGAAACTGTCTAAATTATACTTCCTCACCTTACCTGCTGGTAGTGTGTACCTGAAAATAATGGAACTATATTTCTTTAAATATGTTTAATAATTACAAAATCCACCTGACCACTTGTTCTGAAATAGCATGTACCTGTGCCACTCCCACCCCATAGCTATTTTCCTCAGCTGTCAGCCAGAACAAATTCTCCTGAGTTCTCCACTCAAGTTCCAATATTTCTTTGTGCTTCCTCTCCCCTCTCCCAATGGCTTCAGCAGTGTAGGTTGGAGGAGAATTCTGGCTAATCTCACCTCCACAGGGAGAGGCAGTATTAGGAAGCATCACTACCCAAATTAGGCGACAGGTCATGATTTTCCCATAACTGGAGATGGCAGGTTTTCAAAATTTTTTTTAATTTGTAACCTACCTTTTCATCACATAAAAATGGCAGTTTTGAAGTTATATTTCTTATGCCTAGATCATGATTCTTGAAATGCTACTCCAGTATTAGGGAAGTGATAGGTTCCAATACATTTGCCATATTATGCAGGAATAGTTTCGTATTTGAAAGAGCCTGAATCTAAATATGTAGTTGTTGCTATTAAGGTTACTATATTTGAACATATTTGTCTTAAAAAAGAGTATAACACAAAATATAGTTAAATATGTATAAAATAATAAAAATAGGTAAAATAATAAAAATAGGTAAAATAATTGTAGATAGGTAAACATTTATAAATTTAAATGTCTAAAACAATGACATTAATTATAGAGGTATGTAAAATGTACAAATAAAATATGTATAAATAAAATATAGTTAAAATCATTAAGGAATCTCTGTTATATGTAGTCACAATAAGATTTTGAAAAAAATTTTGGAAAGGTTTTTTTTTTCCTAACTCTACCAATTATATTTAAATTATTTGTCAAGAGTTTGGTCCAAATGCTGTAAATATATTGTTGCTTTTGTCATAATTTTCAGCTGAAAGGCTGGTAGCCTTTTCAGTACATAAACTTTTGGAGGGGATGAACATTACTTAGGATAGGAGGAAAAAACCTCTAAACAACAACAGGAACTTCCCAATTTGATATAGTTTGGATATGTGTTCCCTCAAATCTCATATTGAAATGTAATCCCCAATTTTGGAGGTGGGGCCTGGTTGGAGGTGTTTGGGTTATGGAGTGGGTCCCTTATGGCTTGGGGCCGACTTTGCAATAGTGACTGATTTCTTGAGAGATCTGGTTGTTTAAAAGTGTGTATTACATTCCCCCACTACTCTCTTGTTCTTGCCTAGTGAGATGCCTTGCTCTCCCTTTGCCTTCTGCCATGATTGTAACCTTCCTGAGGCCTTACCAGAAGCGCATGCCGGTGCTATGCTTCCTGTACAGCCTGCAGAACGGTGAGCCAATTGAACTTCTTTTCTTATAAATTACCCAGCCTTGGGTATTTCTTTATAGCAGTGCAAGAACAACATAACATACAAGTAAACAAACACATGGGGCCAGGTAATAAAAAGTCAGGCTCAAGAGGTCAGGGGAGACAATCTTCCTTAGGTTGCAAGAAGGTTAAAAAGATTATACTTATCTGGAGAAAAGTGATATGTTAAAATGGACTCCCTGTACTAAAACCAGAAAGGGAGTAGCAAAATTGAAATGTGAATATACCAAAGCTTATGGGAGGACATTCTGCTGGATTGATGTTGTCTCTTAACCTGAAAATTAAGAGTACTTCTGTGTAGGTTGAATCTCCGTTTCCCCCAGATAGGTAACAAGTAAGCTTGCAGTTGTGCAGTGTGATATGCAACATACCCAGAGAATATTCTATGAGGGATTCAGAATCTTGAGTCTACTCTGTTGGCTTAGTAGATTGTCAACCAAAATTCACCCAATCTTGAATCTACTGTTTCACTTAGTTCAGGTTAGCAGCCGATCTCCATATGACAGTTTTGTTAATTATAACTGAACTCATACATTGAAATGAATTTTGGGGGATCAGGGGCATAATATTTTGGACTGTCATCTCAGTAGATCTGGAAAGCAGAGCATTGCGTCAAAGAAGATTATTCCTGAGGTTTAAGATCTCATAGAGTTGGCCTTGCTAGGTTTTGAACTTGCTTGAGGCCTGTCACTCTTCCTTTTCTCTTTTGTCTCCCTTTTGGAATGAAACTACCTTTGCAAAGATAATGACAGTGAGAGAAATCTAACATGACTGACTCCATCTTGCTGCTAGTCTCACAGGCTGGCTGTCCTTGCTCATTCCTAGGTGTAGGCCAAGCTAACTTTGGGAGACATTTAGTTTATAGTTTAATCTTAAAGCAAGGATGATAATAGCACCTCCCCAAACTAAACTGCCTTTTGTAAAACTAATGAAAGGCCACGAGGTTGGATTATGAGAGGGGCATGAATTTTGCTAAAATGTAGATGTAGTTAAATGATACCAACTATTGTTCTGGAGGTCACAAGATTTGTGACTTCCCCAATTACTTCTGTAGATAATGTCACTACTGTAGAACTTAAGATTGGTCTTTTGAGATGTTTTTCAGACTTTTGCATATTGGCAAATGACTAACCCCACTCACAGGTGACTGACCCCACCCAGAGGCAGACTCAGGGCATAAGAACGATTTTCCACACTGCTATGATTGCATCCCCAACCCATCAGCAGCATCCATTCCCTAGTCCCCTGCCCACCAAACTGTCCTTGAAAACCCCTAAACTCAGAGCCTTTTGAGAGACTGATTTGAGTAATAACTCCAATTTCTGCATGGCCAGACTTGCATCAATTAAACTATTTGTTTATTGCAATGCCACGGTCTCACTGAATTGATTTTTGCCTGTGCAGCAGGTAGGAAGAACCGGTTAGGCGATTACAGGAATGGGATGTCTCTTCTATGCCTGAATCACCATTGTATTTTGGAAGCACATAACTTGTTTAGCTTCACAGGTCACAGCTAGAGAGAAATTTTACTTTAGGATGAATAGTACCTTGAGACTCACCCATATCACATTTAGATGATATTGAGATGAAACTCTGGACTTTAGATTTTAGAGTTGATTCTGGAATGAGTAAAGACTTTTGGGGCTGTTGGGATGGAATAAATGTATTTTTCATGTGAGAAGGACATGGATTTTGGGGAATTAGGGGCAGAAAGTTATAGACTAAATGTTTATGCCCTCCCCGCCAAATTCATATGTTGAATCCACCAGTGTGATGGTGTTTGGGGACAGGGCTATGGAAGGTAATTAGGTCATGGGGGTGCAGCCTTCATGATGGAATTAGTACCCTTACAAAAAATGATATGAAAGAGCTTTGCCTCTTTCTCTGCTCTCTGCCATGTGAGGCTACAATGAGAAGATGGCCATCTGCAAATCAGAGAGAGGGCCCTCACAGATACTAGATCTGCCAGTGCCTTGATCTTGGACTCCCCAGCCTGCAGAACTGTGAGAAATAAATGTCTGTTGTTTAAACCACCCAGTCTCTGATATTTTACAGCAGCCTGAACAGACTAAGACAATATATATAAAGGGCCATAAGTGGTCTAGAACTGAGACTTAATTGAGTGTAATGTGTGAAATGTGTAATTGTCTCAAAAAACTATTTATATCCACTGATATACAGAGGGGTCAAAGAATCTTCTGGAAGCAACAATAATAACCTGTCTTTTGCTGTGACTTCCAAGGAAGTTCAGGTGTGTGTGGGCATGTTATGAAAATGAGGGTAGAGGACAATGAAATTCAGGTTTCATGTAGGAACTGTGAAGATGCTGAGGGTCTGAGGAAGTTATGATTTCAGATATAAGAGAAAGAATGTTACATACACTTGAAACTGACCCTATCCAGCCAGGAGGAGTGTTACTTGGAGGAAGCACTTGTCTTTTCACTTCAAAAGATTCTACCAAGCTCTCAAGACACTAGAAAATGGGAGACCTACAAGGATCTGTACTTAGCATAGCAGAAGCCAATGTGGCACAAGTTAGGACAGCACAGGTGACAGTTCAGAACCAGAGGCCAGCAGAGGTGAGGACTGATGGGGTCTTCTGATCAGCTGAGGTCACTGGTTGCCTGCTAATCACAGATCATATGATTAGTCTTTGCCTAGTAACCCCAGGGATGGCTTTGTGGGGCTGTAGATGTTTGTATCTTTAATCTGAGCGCTCTAAATCTATGCTCTTTCTGTAGGATCTGCATTCTTCTGTATACCATGGTGGTGATGGCTGGGGGTTGAGAGGTGGTAGCAGAGGGTATAAATCTTGGTTGGAAGAAACATTTGCAAACTGGAGTTGAAGTTGAAAATGCATCTACTATTTGACTAACCAGATGATACTTCCTATGTAACCCCTCTAAACACTCCCTACTTGCAGTGCCTCAGGAATAGTTTAGGAGTATTTCTGTTTAACCATTTCATGCCTGATATCTTGTGGGTTACATTTGCTCTAAACTGTGTCTCTTCAGACTGGTATATCTTTGTCACACAGAGTCTGATCACCCCTGAGGACTTTTGAGACAGTTTTGAAAATTCAGTTCTAACCGGGTGACCATCTTGTGGTGTTTATACAGATTTGATATTTTAGATCAAGTTACAAAGAACTACTAGTTCCAAGGGAGCCTATCAAATTATAGAAAATTACTAGTTCCAAAGGATATTATATGGTGCTCCCCGTAAGTTTGTGAATCACTTGGTTAAATGATGTAAAACAAGTTTCTTTATTGCACTATTTTTCAGGGTCTTTAATATGCTAATATACATCGGAAAAAAAGAGAAGATGATATAATATTAGGCATTTCACTAATTTATTTGAATATTTTTCACAGAATACTTATTAACATCTTTTTCTCACATAATTCTAGTTAATAACTTTCAGGATAATAGTGTTCTAAGAAATAAAGTTTGAGAAATATTGTTTTACAGAAATTAAAAACATTAGCCTGGCCTTTTGAATTTCTATCAACCCCTGGCAGAGCTGAGCTATTATTTTTGGTGAAATTCCAGCTTCATTAACAAGATTATATTAGCCAAATTACCTCTCTGAGCCATTGAGGGACAATCTGTCACCTCCTGTCCTAAACTTACAAATTATTATCTTGGGAATTAACATCTAATTCACTAAAAGAAAAACAAATTCTTCCCAGTGGAAGAACTCCAGTTGCTTGGTTTATAGTCATGGTTACACAGTTTTCCTATTTTTATTAATTTTGTTAAAAGATTTGCTAAAACAAGAGTAGGACACTGCCTAGGTCTTACTGTTGAGTTTTAGAAATTTGTTTTATTATAATTTGGTATAGTAGAAAAGTCATTTTCCAGAAGGATGATTGTCAGAATCAGATCTCTTTCTTAGCCAAAAATAGGAGCAGCCCCGACTACTCTCTCTCCTGCTTGAGATGGCATAATTTATCAACAAGGGGCCTTTGAATGTGATGTTCTCAGATGGAGGCTTGCAGTAGAACTTGAACTTTCTGGTTCTTTAAATTCTAGGAGTGAGAAATAGCTCCAATCATGAGTCTCTAGGTGGCACAGAATCTTACAATCCCCAGGTACTTGTGGTTGGGGACAGGTGTCTCTAAGGTCTGTGGATAATGTAATACGTGATATAAAGGAAGGGCAAAAAATTAGCATGCACTCTCTGATGGGTTAAAAGAAAAGCCCTGCATGAATGTATATTTTTAAAATGGTGTTCGTGACCTCTAATTGTGGGTCTACAAACTGTTTTACCTTTACTATCTAGCAAGTAGTCATTTGATAGACACAAAGCAATATGACACAATTTTTTTCAAGGTATCTTTAAAACCAAATATTTGATAATCCATCTAAATATTTGAAAAGTATTTAATCAATTGTTTGCTTTTATGAAATGACACTGGGTAATACGGTATTGTATTAGTCAAAATGGTCCAGGTTTTCTATGTTAACGAACTTCTCCAAAACCTCAAAGGTATAGCCTAAAGGTTTATTTTTCATCCACACTACATTGATAGCATAAACAGGTTCATCAATGGGTAAACTACAAATCTGCTCCCCATAATGTTGACTCTGGGGTCAGGCAGGTACAGTAGGCTTTACCTGGATCATTGCTAGCTTTGTGACAGAGGGGGAAAAAGACAGCAAGCCATGTGCTGGTTCCTATAGCTTCTGTCCAGGAGTAACACAAGTCACTTTGGCACTTTTTATTGGCTGAAAAGAAATCACAAGACCAAACCTGACATCAGTGGGGGTGGGAAAGTATAATCTTTACCCAAACAGGAGCAATGAATATTTTTGAACAAGAATGCAGTTTACGGTGGAGATCCTGACTTTGTGTTAAAGGGGTGCAGGCTATGGGCAACAAGGGAGGGTAGTCTCAAGGAACCCATTGCTACGCTTGAAGCTTTCTGGGTGCCAACTCTAGTCTAGATGCTCTTGGGTCCAGCAGCTCAATGTTTTATCTTACTTTTTCAACACACACCAATCCCCTCAATGCTTGAGAGTCCCAGCTCCTGAAGGTAGGTTTAGAAGTATTCTGGTTCAGTCTAGACAGATATTACAGCATAATCTTTGCTTTGGAGGTTATCTGGACTCCAGAAAAAATGTGCAGCCTTGAAATGGCTGTAAAGCTAACCTTGAAGTGCCAGAGCATCCAGATGTCAGTGCCATCTTCTTGCCAGCATGGCAAGAACCTTTTGCCATGGCTCCTCCTCTGACCCATATGCATGCTAAGGAAATCCTGGGTATGAGTGTGTGTGTGTCTATGGGGGGATAAAGACCTAAAACCTACACCACTCTTTCTAAAGAGCCAGAGGAGCCCTCATTGAAATACAAACTTAGTAGGCACCCCACAATTCCTGAGCTTATGAGAGAAGGAGAAGGGAGGGTGAGTAAACTTGGATTTTTTTCATCCAGAACCATTATTTTATCCAGAGTAACTCCATTTTTACTGCTTACATAATTGGGAAGCCTCACAAGATTGAGTTTGTGAATAGAAATCTATTGAAACCACAGTGTTACAGAGCATGAAGGCAGATGCTTAAATCGGTTAAATATAGAAATAAAATTTAAGGAAATTTCTACTTGTAAAAGCGTTTAGAGCAGCTGGGCATGGTGGCTCATGCCTGTGATCCCAGCATTTTGGGAGGCTGAGGTGGGAGGATTGCTTGAACACCAGTCTGGGCAACATAGTGAGACCTTGTCTCTACTAAAAATTTTAAAAAATTAGCTAAATGTGGTGACTGGTGCCTGTAGTCTCAGCTACTGGGGAGGCTTGGGCAGGAGGATTACTTGATCCAAGGAGATTGAGGCTGCAGTGATTGCTCCACTGAATTCCAGCCTGGGCAACAGAGTGAGACCAGGTCAATCAATCAGTCAATCAATGCTTTTAGGGCCTCTTTTATTAAAAGGAGATGGTATGTATTTTCTTTTTTTAAATTTAAATTTTATTTTACTTTAAGTTCTGGGATACATGTGCAGAACGTGCAGGTTTGTTACATAGGTATACATGTGTCATGGTGGTTTGCTGCACCTATCAACCTGTCATCTAGGTTTTAAGCCCCGCATGCATTAGGTATTTGTCCTAATGCTCTCCCTCCCCTTGACCCCCACCCCCTGTGAGGCCCCAGTGTGTGATGTTCCCCTCCCTGTGTCCATGTGTTCTCATTGTTCAACTCCCACTTATGAGTGAGAACATACGGTGTTTGGTTTTCTATTCCTGTGTTAGTTTGCTGAGGATGATGGCTTCCAGCTTCATCCATGTCCCTGCAAAGGACGTGATCTCATTCTTTTTTATGACTGCATTGTATTCCATAGGGTATATGTACTACATTTTCTTTATCCAGTCTATCATTGATGGGCATTTGGGTTGGTTCCATATCTTTGCTATTGTAAATAGTGCTGCAGTTAACATACGTGTGCATGTGTCTTTATGGTAGAATGATTTATATTCCTTTGGGTATATACCCAGTAATGGGATTGCTGGGTCAAATGGTATTTCTGGTTCTAGATCCTTGAGGAATTGCCACACTGTCTTCCACAATGGTTGAACTAATTTACGTTCCCATCAACAGTGTAAAAGCATTTCTATTTAAGGAGATGATATATATTTTCACTCATATATTTTTTTTATTTTTTATTTATTTTATTATTATTATACTTTAAGTTTTAGGGTACATGTGCACAATGTGCAGGTTTGTTACATATGTATACATGTGCTATGTTGGTGTGCTGCACCCATTAACTCGTCATTTGGCATTAGGTATATCTCCTAATGCTATCCCTCCCCCCTCCCCCCACCACACAACAGTCCCCGGTGTGTGATGTTCCCCTTCCTCTGTCTATGTGTTCTCATTGTTCAATTCCCACCTATGAGTGAGAACATGTGGTGTTTGGTTTTTTGTCCTTGCAATAGTTTGCTGTTCACTCATATATTTAATCTTTCAGTTTAAACCCATTTCCACTCAACCTGTCATTGGCAGTGACCTGGAAAAGCATTTGTGTGAATGTGTCAAAAACAGTATGGAGTTTATCCTTTCTGCTCTTCTCTTAACTCTGCAAACACTCCTTTTGGGACTTTTAAGTTGTAATATATATTTTTATTTTGAAACAATAAAAAACTTACAGAAAATTTGTAAGTCCATTTCAAAGAATATTTTTTCCTGAAACACTTAAGTATAAGCTAGTAACCTAAAACCTCATCACTCCTGTTTCTTTAATTTCCTTCAAACAAGAAGTCTCTTACATAACCACAATATAATCATTATATTAAATTGAAAGTGCTGTCATAACAAACTATCACAGACTGGGTGGCTTAAACAACAGAGATTTATTTTGCTCACAGTTCTGGAGGTTGGAAGTCCAAGATCAATGGGTCAGCAGCTTTGGTTTCTCCTGAAGTCTCTCTCTTTGACTGGCAGATGGCTGCCTTCTCATTGTGTCCTCACATGGCACTCCTTATATCTCTCTCTCTGTGTCCAAATTTCCTACTTTTATAAAGAAACCAGTCAGATTGGATTAGGGCCCACCCAATGGCCTCATGTTAACTTAGTCGCTTCTTTTTTTTTTTTTTTTTTTGAGACAGAGTCTCACCCTATCGCCCAGGCTGGAGTGCAATGGCACAATCTCATCTCATTGCAGCCTCCGCCTTCCGGGTTCAAATGATTCTCCTGCCTCAGCCTCCTGAGTAGCTGCGATTACAGGTGTCTGCCACCATGCCCAGCTAATTTTTGTATTTTTAGTAGAAACGGGGTTTCACCATGTTGGCCAGGCTGGTCTCGAACCCCTGACCTCATGATCTGACCGCCTCGGCCTCCTAAAGTGCTGGGTTTACAGGCATGAGCCACTGCAACCACCTACTCTGTCACCTCTTTAAAGACCTTGTCTCCAAAAACAGTCACTTCTGAGGTGCTGGGTGTTAGGCTTCAGCATGTAAATTTGGGGAGAAGGATACGATTCAGCCATAACAACCATCAAAGTCAGGAAATTAACATGAATGAAGTATGACCATCTTATCTTCAGACTCCATTCACCAAATGTCCTAATAATGTACTTTATAGCAAAATAATCCAGTTCGGAATCACAGGTTGCATTCAGTATCATGTCTCTTTAGGCTCATTCCCTCTGGAGCACTTCCTTACTTGTTTGTTGTTGTTGTTGTTGTTGTTGTTGTTGTTGTTTTAACTTTCACAGCTTCGCTATTTTTGGTTACAAGTCATTGTTTTTGGAGAATGTTCCTGAATTTAGGTTTGTCTGATGTTTTCTCATGATTAGATTCTGATTATACATCTTTTGCAGGAACATCACAGAAGTGATGCAGGCTTTTTCTCATTGCATCCTCGCACATGGCACCAATTCTGATCAGTTCCATTACTGATGATGTTCACTTTCATCACTTGATTAAAGTAGTTTCTGCCAGGTTTCCCCACAATCTTATTCTTTTTTTCCTCTGTAATTAGCAAATATTTTGTAGGACATTGTTGTGAAACTGTAAAAATATGTAAATATTATACTTTCAATTTGCTTGCATATTTATTTCTAACTCGATTTTCTTAGGGTTTCCAAATTCAATGCATTTTAATTCATTATTACCATTAAGTATTTTAATGACCCAATTGTCTTAGATTTGACCAGTGGGAACCCCTTCAGGATGATTTCTGTATTCTTTTGAAATATCTCATTCATTCTGTGAGCATTTTCTTGTTTTCTGGCACAACAAGATGTGCCATCCAGCTCATTTCATGTTTTCCCTGCTCTGGCCCTGGAATTAGCCACTTTTCCAAGGAGCTCTCATTTCTTTCAGTGAAGAACGGTATTCAGATCTGAGTGCTCATATGGTCCTTGCTACTGGGATCACAATATCAGTAGACAGAGCTAGAGAATATACGTGTGTGTGTGTGTGAATACATACATGTATACACACATTTTTATGTATATCTATTTCTGTATGAAAACACACACACACACACACACACACACACACACACACACAAAACTATGAGTTCACCCTGATACCTTCCAATCCAACACCACAGGCCTCATGCTAGTTTCCTCTCTTTTCATATTGGTAGTTCCCTTTTCTGACAGGGAGACACCTGGTACCCAGTATGCTTAATGTATTTTTTATTTGATCAGTTCTCCCAAAAGTCACCAATTTCTTATCACAGCTATCACACCCTTCATTGGGCATGTTCCCTCATCACCCAGCTCTGGCTCTGACACCCCACACAGGGTCCTTTCTGACACGTATACCTTCCTCACCCTCCTTGGGCTCTGATACCTGCTGTGGACCACTGTGCCTCCTGTCCCCGTCCTGGTCTGGACACCTATGTTATTCTGTCCTACCTAATGGCTTTAGAACTAAGTTTCTAGGGAAGGGAAAGGAATGGAAGGGGAAGTGGAAGATGATGGGTCTGGAATCACCTTAAACCCATGCAAACTATAGAATGGTATCTACAGTATTGTTAAGCATGTGAAAGTACCACATAACCCAGAAAGAATATATAGGGTTTTTTTTGGTTGAACTCATTGTACATGTTACTATGTTCTTTCTGTCACATATTCATAATCAATGCTAGCTTCTGCGTTTGACTCTCAAATGAGAAGAAATATACACCTGCTGGACAATGTCAGTTACCTAGAAAGTACCCAAGAAGGGAAGTGCATTAGGAGTTGTCCCATCTTGTGTCTGTGCTGGAAACCACTCTGGTTTTTTTAAGCAAGCAGTAACTCAAAGGACAAGTATATACCATATGTCTGGGACCTGTGGACACTGCTATCTTGGATTTGTAGAATTCTTTCTTAAATATTGTATTCTGGGGAATGCTCATATAATGCAAACAGCCTAGTTATACATGACAGCTACAGAAGAAACAAAAATTAATAATAGAAAGATCAGAAACGAATGCTATTTACTGTTCACAATTTTTCAAAACATGGCATTTTGCCTATACATTTATTAATGTGCTTGTGTGGATAAACGTGTATGTAGTGGAATCCATTACAAGGTAATGTTACCTGACAGTCACACTGGGCCTTATTGAATCAGAAATTTTACTGTATTGAATTACAATTTAGGGAGCATATTTTGACAGCAGTATTCTAAATCCATCTATTTTAATGGTATCTCACTGTAACAGTATAAACACCATCAAGTATTAGTCTTTAACCTCTATAGGAATTTGACATCTGAACAGATTAACACTAATCTTTGCTTGTGTGATTGTTCATTTTAGTATTTTTGTGGGAAAATATACAGATATGATATTGTATATAAAAATAGCACAACCAGATATCTATACAGAAATTAGCATAAATGAATCCTAATTCTAGAATTCACTTTCGTGAAAGAAATGAGACTCATTTCTTTCCAAAAGGACAAGTTAGATAAGAAATCCAATTAGTTTCCCAAATCCTCCTTTCATTCTCAAATCATTTCATCAGAGCTGCTGCCTTGGTACCACTGCTTGGATTGGGTAGGAGAGCCAAATGTCTAGCAGGCGTACTCAGCCATTCCTAACACTAAGACATGAAATATAATCTGTATTTATAATGCAGTTTGAAAACGTTTGCTTAGAGTGTGTTTTTCCCCACAAGGACAATTGCATTTAAGTTAAAAACAGCTGATTCTGAAGGGATGTCTTTTTGTTTATTTACTGTATCTTACTGAAAAAAAAAATTTCTGATTTTCTTGAGTTCTGTTTATATTCAAGGTAGTTGGAAAAATAACTATTTACTTCCATTACTTCTATTTCTGCTATGGAAACTGTTCTTTTTCTGTTTTTCATTATGCTTTTTACTTCCTTTTGTCCTTCTCCTTCCTGCCCTGTCTGGGTTTTGTTAGTTCATATCCTCTTTGGATATGGTCAGAGTCATCAGTGATGGAAAATGTGACTGCCAGAAAGTCTACCTTCATCTTTAAAACTAAATAACTTGACAGCCTTTTAATTTACACTGTTGTCAGAGATGGCATGGAACATATAGGCTTTGTTACTGATTTCTGACATTTAACTCATTGAACAGTGTGGCAAATGAAATCCAGGAACTTCATATTGGTAAAAAGACATATTAATTTTTTAATAACACATGTCTTTTAATGTTTTTCTTTTAAGGAACTGTGACTATGATCTTCTAGAAATGAATATTTTTGAGAGCTATAAGAATGTGTGTCTAGTCCTTGTGACAGACGACTTGTAGACAATTGACCAGTTAGAAAAAGCCTAGAAGCTATGTTATCTATAAATGCAACCTTCAAATTCCAATATTTATGAACAGGTCTCTCACACTTTACCATGACAAATGATGTTACAGGAGCTAATTAAAAATGACCAACTTTTAAAATAACTTTCATGTCTACAATTCTTTAGACCCTATGACTCAGGAATCACATTTCCCTTACATGGTGTTTGGTAAACTTCAATGTGTGTGCTGTAGTTGATATCCAGGATTAGCTTGTTTCTTTTAAATTGTCTAGGGATGTGTCCAAAAGAACATTTAAAAATGTGCCTTGTGATACATAAACAGTTTAAAGGTCAATGGAAATTTAAAAATCCAAACATCCAATAGAAAGTATAATGAAATAGCAAATCAGAATTAATTTTCTCTTATTTTTCATCCACATTTACTTTGGAACATAAACCTACTTTCTAGGTTAATAGATACTTACAAGCTAATATATGTTTGATGTTAACTGTTAAATGTATGATCATTTAAACTTTTTAAAAATCCTTTAAAAATTTTTTATAAACAAAGCTTTCTTTTTAGAAATCACATCCTTTTCAATAAAAATCATTTTTATTTCTTTTCTTTTTTTTTTTTTTCTTGAGACATGATCTTGGCTCACTGCAGCCTTGCCTTCCCAGGCTCAAGCCATCCTCCCACCTCAGCCTCCCAAGCAGTTGAGACTGCAGGCATGTCCCACCATGCCCAGCTAATTTTGTTTATTTTTTGTAGAGATGAGGTCTCTACTCACTGTGTTTCCTGGGCTGGTCTCCAACTTCTGGGCTCAAGCACTCTTCCTGCCTCAGCCTCCCAATATGCTGGGGCTACAGGTGTGAGCCACCATGCCTGGCCGATAAGCAGCATTTAATATATATAAATATATATAAATATAATATATGTAATTAATATATTAATAGAATATAACCTGTTCACAGAAGGCTGAATGATAATATAGCTCAGTTATGGCTACCATTTATTGAACATTTATGACACATTAGGCTCTTTCATATATCTCATTTAATTCTCATGTCAGCTCTACAGGTAAATAATATTATGTTTCTTTTACGGATAAGGAAACTGAGGCTCAGTGAGCTTAAGTAATTTTTCTGTGATCCACAGATAGAAAATGATAGAGTGATACAGAAACTTAAGTCTCACATTTGAAAAATCCAAAAAACCCTACCATTATACCACATAGGTTTTGAATAAGTTACAATGCAATTTCACATATATTTATCCCTTAAACTTGCTCTCACTATTTACGTTCTGAAATCTGAAATATGGTTCCTAGGCTCATGCTTTTGCTTTTCTCTATATTCAGTTAAGTATTGTAGAAAATTATGTAGAAGTATTTCTATTGAACATAATAGCCCTCCAATAAATACAGTCAGCCCTCCAGATCCACAGGTTCCTATCCAACTGCATGGATGCAACCAACTGCAGATTTTACAAATCTTTTACATATTTTTGAAATATTAAAAAAATCCACAAAGGTCCAAAAAGCGAGATTTGAATTTGCCATATGCCAAGCACTATGTTGATTCTATGTGAATGAAGTGATATATAGGCATTGTATTATGTATTAAATGTAATCTAGAGATGATTTAGAGTATATGGGAGGATGTACATAGGGTATATGCATATACTACCCCACTTTATCTAAGGGATGTGAGCATCCGTGGATTTTGGTATTTGAGGGGGGTCCTGGAACCAATTCCCCATGGATACCAAGGGACGACTGCATTTACAGACTGAATGCAGAATTGATCCTAGAACAATATCATTTTTGTCTCTTTAAAAGCACCCTAATAAACACTGATCTGTGGAGCGTTGCGTGTTGATAGAGACTGGACAGCTCTGGGTCTCAGATCTCTACAGCAGCATATAAAAAAATAAGGCATTCATTACTGATGCTGAAACAACTTCTCCTCCCTGTGGACTGCCTCTTAAGCCACAATAACATTTTACAAATACAATATTATTCAGCCAATCATTTCCCAAGATGCGTAGAAATCTGAATGCAGATCATATTTGTGTAAGTCTCAGCACAGTTTTATGTCTGAAAAGTGAATTCAGTGACAGTTATTACAAATGTCTCAGCCTCCTTTTGAAAGGCATCTCACTAAGGTCAAGAATTAAGAAACTAACTTTTTGTTCCTTTGGTCTCTGTCATGAAAACTTGAGGCTAAACATATTTGTACTATGCAAACATTCAAAGCAGCAGCTAGGTACTACATGTTTTAATGTAATTTTTATCTATGATATGCTGTGAAAATATTTCTAAGAAAACATCTAACTGCTGAAACTTCTCCATTATATCAATTATATTGAGACACTGAATAATAAGTACATTTTTACTCCTCATTGGAATTTCTTTCATTTTTTTCCTTAGTTTTCTCATTTTTCCTAAAAGAGATGTACTTGTCACACAAAGTAATTATTAAGCATTGTGAGATTTGTGCTTCAATTGGAGATAAAAAATAATATGAAAATGAGATGAAAATAAGATTAAAACGTTACCTCTTTCATCTCCATGGATTGGAATCAAAATGTCTGTTTACCTCAAGTACCCATCATATCATCTTTTCCTTTCTGCAAGACCACAGTGGTAGAGGATAAAGCTTGCTCTCCTGGCACCATGGAGCCCAGAAAATTGCTGTCTTTCTCTTGTTTGTATTTCTGTACTCTGCACTAGGTACTACCAGAGGTTGGCAGGAAGCATGTTAGAAATGAGACTAATGCTTTCTATTTCAAGTGGGTGCTGGAGGATATTAGAGGTAAAAGCTGCCCTTGAAGAGCCCACTTCATCTTGTAACGAGACTTTGCGGCCCGTCCTGCTGGAATCTGGGTTACTTTTGGAAACCCAGTTTATTACCTAGAGATGTGAGAAGTCTTGATTGACCTGTCCTCCCTCTATGGCTAATAGAACTGTCAGCTCTCCTGTCACTCGGCCATCTCCAGCCCTAGAATATAATAAAGACCTTGAAGGTAATACGGGAAGTGGAGCATCCCAAGGGTATAGCCTTCTCAAAAATAAGGCTGCTTGTTGAACCCAATACTCTACTTCAAAGGTTTGAATTCATAGCAAAGGGGAGTGAACTTGAAATAGCCTTGCTTTTTTAATCAGTATAATTTCCTTTTCCATTTCAGCATGTGCATATCACTTCAATCTATGAATGTCCCAAATGTAGCAATGAAAAGTTGAGCCTGGCAAGGTGAGAAAAGATAACTCAGAGGAGGCCATGATTTGTGTGTGTGTGTGTGTGTTGGGGATATGAATAGGTAATAGCAGTTAGTTGTAAGGGGTGCTTTGTCTGAAGGAAAGCTAAAACCCAGGTTTTAGTAAATAACTATTAAATTCTATTCCATTTATTGAACCAGGCAATATACATTGACCTCTTGATCTTAACTGGTATCATTCCCTCTGCTGAAGTTAGAGACAGAAGATGCCCTGACAGAGATGATTAATGTTCACAAAACATTCATGTTCTCTCCTTTACATTTACACCCAGTCTCCCTTGCAGGAATGTTTGAACCATGAGACTAAGTTCTCATCAATGGGAGCTGAGCAGAGATAATAAACCATTTCCAGAACTGACTGCTGAAAACATCTCAAGTGACTCTCCATGTCTCTCTTCCCTTGCCTTTTGACCTTAGAGGCCACAAGTTCCAGATGGCATTACTACAAGGGAGGAGCAACCTGGATTCCTGGATTTCTGCTCAGAAGAGGACTGCCCTGGAGAGCTACTCAGTTACACTTCAAATAAGCGAAAATAAACTTTTATTTTATTAAGCCAATGGGATTTCAGGGTTTGTTATCACACAGCATAGATTATCCCAGGAGTTCTCAAAATGTGATTCCCAGACAGCAGCATCAGCATCTCCTGGGAATTTGTTAGATATGCATATTTTTGAGCTCACCTGAAGTCTAGTAAATCAGAAACTGAGGGTGGGACACAGTGATCTGTGTTTTAGCAGGCCCTGCAAGTGATTCTGATACACTCTAAAGCTTTGAGAACCATAGGTCTAAACTACCTCATCAATATGGCAGAATCCTTGATCTCCAGGATCTCACAGTCTAATAGACAGAGGCCCTTGTATCCTAACCTCTTCTCAATTTTCCCAAGTCCTTCTTGCCTTTGCTGAAACCAGCCCATCTTCTGAGGACAGGACGTTTCTTATAGCTCTCTCAAAGCAGTGCTATTTATTCTTTTACTACTCGTGCCAAACCTGCGGTTGGTGATGAAACAAACTGTTGTTATCTTTGCTTCTTCCAACTTAGCACTCTCTTACTCTTCTATAAGAAAAAAATATTTTGAAACTCATGCCATTCAGCTCTATCATTCTTTTTATTTCCTGGTTTATGTCATCTGGCAGCCTCTGGGTGTCCATTTATTAATGACTTTGGCATGTGGATCACAGTCTTCACCTCCACCATGAGTATGGATCATTTCTATGCACACTTATACTTGTTTAAATCTCTCTTAGATAAAATAAATTCCTGAACCTCACATAACCCTCCTAAGTTTTTGTCCTATTTCTCCTCTCCCTATTCACAACCACATTTCTTGAGTTGTCTATAATCATTGTCTCCATTTTTTTTTACTCCTCTCAAATCCATTGCAATCTAACTTATGCCCTCAACAATCTACCAAAATACTGTTTGTGAACATCACCAATGTCTTCAATGTAGCTGAATTCAATGAATAATGTCAGAGCTCAATTACCTGATCTGACTCTGATAACCACACCCTTCTATTTGAGATAATTTCTTCTCTCAACTTTTCTTGTACACTTTTTTATTATTTTAAATTTTCTGACCAGTTCTTCTGCGTCCTTCATGCGTGCCCATCTTCCTCAAAGCATAGTCCTTGCTCCCCACCCCCCGTTTTTCCTTATGCTATATTCCTCCCCTAAGAAATCTCAGCCCAAACTATATTTCAATTACCATGGATGCCCAGATGACTGACAAAGGTATATTTTCATTTAAGACCTCCCATCTAAATTCAATCCCCTATGTCCAACTGTCCACTGACTTCTCTTGATATCTCAAGCATATCTTAAACTCAACATGTCCCACCCAGAACTTAGAATTTTGCCGTGCATCACTCAGTACTCTTTATCTCAGTAAAGGATATTCTCATCGGTCTATTTCTATTAGCCAGAAACCCATGAGTTGTTCTTGATGCTGACTTCTCCCTTACTCTTCATATCCAATATATCACCAACTCCTGTCAATGTGATCATACTGAATATCTCTCAAATGTTCCTGTTTTTAACCTTTCCACCAGCATCATTCTTGTCCAAGCTACTATCTACTTTTATCTGGACCACTACATTTGCCCCTCAAGTGACGTATCCACATCTATTCTATGTCATCTCATTCTTTTTTTCTAAAAATCTTCCAGTAGCATCACATTGTTCTCAGAATAAAGAATAAAATGTTTATTATCCATATGACACCTTTTATATATTAGTCCTTCTTTCCACTTACACCTCACTTCACACTCTTCCATTTGGTCTCTTTCTAATTTTTAGCTGCGTGACCTGTTGCAAGTTATTTAACTTCATTGATTTTCAGATATCTGTAAAATGGTGACATTAATGTCAATTTAATTGGGCTCGGTATCTGAAACAGAGCATATCATAAATGGTAGGAAGGGTTCTAGTGATTATTAAAGATTTACAGCAATTCTAATTCTGAGTTTAGATCTCTGATCAAATGGATTGTTCAATACAGATCACAAAATACTATGCTACAAGTCATCTGTCTTCAGTGTTTTAGCAGGACCATTTGTGATGATAAATATAACTCCTGAGGAATTCTGGGTGGATCCTCGAGATGTGTGATTCCTCCTAGTCCTGAAAATGCTGCACCAGACAAGTCACACACATCCTTAAGGATTCTTTGTTGTAAATTCTTTTTGCTGAATTAGCTGACAGAGTTGAAGATTTCTTAGCTCAGCAGTTCTTCTGGGTTTCAGTTTGGGCCTGCCATCAATGATTCATGAAGAACATATTAAAGTTTAGGTTTCGATCATAAAAAGGCAATGTGAATGCTTCACATAGGGGGTGTAATTAGATCAATTACATGAAGTCTCAAGGTAATTATAAAGGGAATATATATATATATTATATATATATAAAGGGAATATATATATAATATATATGTAAAGGGAATATATATATATTATATATATAAAGGGAATATATATAATATATATAAAGGGAATATATATAATATATATATAAAGGGAATATATATAATATATATATAAAGGGAATATATATATAATATATATATAAAGGGAATATATATCTATATAATATATATATAAAGGGAATATATATATATAATATATATAAAGGGAATATATATAATATATATATATAAAGGGAATATATATATATAATATATATATAAAGGGAATATATATATATAATATATATATTCTACTTTAAATTCTGGGGTACATGTGCAGAATGTGCAGGTTTGTTACATAGGTATACAAGTGCCATGGTGGTTTGCTGCACCCATCAACCTGTCATCTACATTAGGTATTTCTTCTAAAGCTATCCCTCTCCCAGCCCCCCACCCCTGACAGGCCCCAGTGTGTGATGCCCCTGCCTCCATATCCATGTGTTCTCATTGTTCAATTCCCACTTATGAGTGAGAACATGTGGTATTTGGTTTTCTGTTCTTGTGTTAGTTTGCTGAGAATGATGGTTTCCAGCTTCATCCATGTCCCTGCAAAGGACATGAATTCATCCTTTTTCATGGCTGCATAGTATTCCATGGTGTATGTGTGCCTCATTTTCTTTATCCAGTCTATCATTGTTGGGCATTTGGGTTGGTTCCAAGTCTTTGCTATTGTGAACAATGCCACAATAAACATATGTGTCCATGTGTCTTTATAGTAGAATGATTTATAATACTTTGGGTATATACCTAGCAATGGGATTGCTGGGTCAAATGGTATTTCTAGTTCTAGATCCTTGAGGAATCGCCACATTGTCTTCCACAATGGTTGAACTAATTTATGCTCCCACCAACAGTGTAAAAGCGTTCCTATTTCTCCACATCCTCTCCAGCATCTGTTGTTTCCTGACTTTTTAATGATCACTATTCTAACTGGCGTGAGATGTTATCTTGTTGTGATTTTGATTTGCATTTCTCTAATGACCAGTGATGATAAGCTTTTCTTTTCATATATTTGTTGGCTGCATAAATGTCTTCTTTTGAGAAGTGTCTATTCATATCCTTCACCCACCTTTCGATGGGGTTGTTTTTTTCTTGTAAATTTGTTTAAGTTCTTTCCAGATTCTTGGTATTAACCTTTTGTCAGATGGATAGATTGCAAAAATGTTCTCCCATTCTGTAGATTGCCTGTTCACTCTCATGATAGTTTCTTTTGCTGTGCAGAAGGTCTTTAGTTTAATTAGGTCCTATTTGTCAATATTGGCTTTCGTTGCCATTGCTTTTGGTATTATAGTCATGAAGTCTTTGCCCATGCCTATGTCCTGAATGGTATTGCCCAGGCTTTCTTCTAGGGTTTTTATGGTTTTAGGTCTTATGTTTAAATCTTTAATCCATCTTGCATTAATTTTTGTATAAGGTGTAAGGAAGGGATCCAGTTTCAGCTTTCTGCATATGGCTCACCAGTTTTCCCAACACCATTTATTAAATAGGGAATCCTTTCCCCATTTCTTGTTTTTGTCAGGTTTGTCAAAGATCAGATGGTTGTAGATGTGTGGTGTTATTTCTGAGGCCTCTGTTCTGTTTCATTGGTCTGTATATCTGTTTTGGTGCCAGTATCATGCTGTTTTGGTTACTGTAGCCTTGTAGTATAGTTTGAAGTCAGGTAGTGTGATGCCTCCAGCTTTGTTCTTTTTGCTTAGGATTGTCTTTGCTATGCGGGCTCTTTAATTTCATGTTGCTCAGATTGTTTCCAGCTTGAGAAAATGTCATCCCTGGATCTTTAGGTCCATTATTTATCTAACATCTATCCTATGTTAACCTTTTGGATGATACTTGTTTGGAAAAGCTAACTGAAGTATATTGTCTTAAAGGACCATTGAATATGGGATGCCAAATCAAGCCTATGTGTTTGTTCTTTAAAAGATTTTTCTTCCCTTTTATCCTCTAACAATATAAATGTAGGAAAGAATTAGAATAGACCTATTAAGTATCATCATGCAAAGTTAAGGAGAATTAATAAGCTGCACAATTCCAGCATGATGATTCTAGTCACCCTGGTGATGCGCATCTAACAGATTTTTCAGGGTCACATGTAATCTACCTGGGCACTTCCATGTGTGAGCAAAGATGCCATGAGGATTTTCATGACGTGGGCTGGCTCCTTCACTGACTTAGTATAATAACTGCTCTTTTTGCACTATATAAATTATTATTATTTTTATTCTGAAATAAGCAAGTCAAAATCATGTTAAAATCTATGAAAACATTATAATTTGCCAAAACAGCTGTGACAATAATGAAACACTTTCATTTATTCACCAATGGAACTATAAACTGAAAAGAGCTTAATGAGTAAGGATGAATATAATGTCCCTATATAGGAGTTCCTGACACAACAAAATGGGCACAACACAGTGAAATGGGAAATAACATTATTTTATTACTCACTATGATCTGTCCAGCTCTATTACATGAATAAATGAACCACAGACAATTGACAGGGTGGGAAAGCCTAGTGGGTGTGCTTAATAAAAAGACAAAGTGAAAACGATGAAGGTCCGGGTAGAGTATTTTGGGGGAAACATCCTATTAAAGATACTCATGCAGCCGGCTGGGAGGCTTTTAATGATCAGATGGTCTAAGAATCACTTTGATAACTAGTGACTGTCTTGTTAATAGAAATCTCTCTTCATCATTGTTAGGCAGTAAGTAATCTTTCATAGATCAGCGAATTTCCATTAAATTCTACAAGTACTTATTGATCCACTATCACGTATGTATTTAGTATTGTGTCAGCGACTGAGAATGCTAGAATTTAGTATTGTAAGGCTAATAGCAGCTAAATAGGGAGATGTAACATCTGATGACCAAATAGTTAAGAGTCAAAGGCTGTGAATTATTTTCTAAATTAATGGTATACATTTTTTACATGCTCTAAGAATTAAGAGGGGGATGAAAATGCCATGAGATGCAAAATATTGAGGATGGTTTCATGTATGACATGAAGTTTGAACTCTGTCTTGACTGTCTTGGAGAACAGATACAATTTTGAATGGGAGGAGAGGAATGGAAGAGACTATTCTTTGATAGAGACCAGCTTGAATAAAGCCACAATGATTAGGTAGACTAAACCTGAATTTCCAAGACATGAGCATAACCACCTTGTTGTAGTGAAGGACTCACGTTTAGAAGAGTGAGAGAAAAAGTTTTTGAAAGGTTTATTCAAGATTGCTTCACTAGTAACTGCAAAACGAAAACAGAGCCTGGTTCTCAGTTTTGTTACTCACACTTTCTTGCTTTAACATGTAATCTTCCTCTTTTTTCTCTCCACACCTAATTCATCTGTCCCCCAAATCACTTCAAATCCATTTATATTTTCTACACACCTTCATATTATATTGTGTAGACCGAAGCTTATTAGCACATATACTTGATATGAATTCTTATCCAAGCACTGAATACAGTTTGCCCCTACTGAATGCAAAAGTTGGTTACTTTTAGCTGCTTCTTAAGTATTATAAGTATTTTTTTTTTAGGAAAAAAAATATTTGTATGACATATTATCTGGATACCTGACTTGAAGCAAGTATGAAGGTCTTACACAGGTGATTATACCACATACGCTGTGGTTTTGTACACAGAAGATGCTCAATTTCTGAATACGTAAATATATGAATAAATACATGTAGGCTTCCTTACCAACTTTAATCCTAGAATGATTGGCATGTGTTGTTGTGAGTTTAGAGATTTCATAGTGAATAATGAGAGGATTTTAACTTATGCAACAAATGAGAGAGAGAACTCCCTAGATTACTTCATAGACAACTTGGCTCCTTGCAAGTATAATCAGAAGTAACTTTTATAAAAATTATCAATGACGTAGTCAAATTATAGAAAAGTTATATTTTACTAGTCATAAATTAGAACAGAAGTCTATATCTAATATTTATTAAACTGTCTCAGTCCACCTCTGGATGTGGCTTGGAATCATTTCGCATGACCCTCAATTATCTTCTGGTCAATTCCTATTAAAATTTAAGTTGATAATGTGGCTTTTTATTTTTATTTTTGATGGAGTCTTGCTCTGTCACCCAGGCTGGAGTGCAATGGTGCGATCTCAGCTCACTGCAACTTCTACCTGCCAGGTTTAAGCAATTCTCCTGCCTCAGCCTCCTGAGTAGCTGGGACTACAGGTACGTGCCACCATGCCCAGCTAGTTTATTGTATTTTTAGTAGAGACGGGGTTTCACCATGCTGGCCGGGCTGGTCTCAAACTCCTGACCTTGTAATCCACCTGCCTTGGCCTCCCAAAGTGCTGGGATTACAGGCATAAGCCACCACGCCCGGGCAATAATGTGGCTTTTCTATAATGACTGATTGAAATTTCATGTTTCTTTGGACTTCAGGAAGCTTGGGGTCAAATTTACAACCCAGTTATAATTGTTCATGCTGTACCTTTTTGTTTGATTGGAGTTTTAGAATGCATTTGTCATATTGTGTGTGTTTTTGCAAAAGTGTGCCTCCAATTCTCTTTTAAGAGTGATAAGATATAAAGCAGTAAACATTTTCAAAACACATGTCCTGTTCCAGGCACTGTGTTAGACACTGCAGATGTAAATAAAAACTTGATTAACAAATCATAGAAAAGAATATTGAAGCTTAATAAAAATTGGTAAAATTTCTCCATTCCCTAAAGTTATGTCAGTTCAAAGAGATAATATGGCAGATAGATGCAACCATAAATTTTCATTGGATGTTGAAGTAGAAAGGACTAAAGAGGGTATTTAATACAGTGTTTCCCAGATATGTTACATAAGGCACTATTGCAGAAGATAGTAGTCATTTTGGGTGACAGAGCAAGACTCTGTCTCAAAAAAAAAAAAAAAGAGAGAAAAGAAAAAAGAAAAACATGAATATAAACCCTTTCTGTGGTCAAATAATGGCAGTGCAGGCAGGGCGAAGGCTCATGCCTGTAATCCTAGCACTCTGGGAGGCTGAGGTGGGCAGATCACTTGAGGTCAGGAGTTTGAGACCAGCCTGGCCAACATGGTGCAACCCCATCTCTACTAAAAATACAAAAATTAGTCAGGTGTGGTGGTGCGTGCCTGTAGTCCCAGCTACTCAGGAAGCTGAGACAGGAGAATCTCTTGAACCCAGGAGGCGGAGGTTGCAATGAGCAGAGATTGCACCACTGCACTTCAGTCTGGGTGACAGAGCGAGACTCCATCTCAAATAATAATAATAATAATAATGGTAGTACAAAATTAATGGTAGGCAACATAGCTGGTGCCTTGGGAAAAATTAAGGAAGTGGTTTCAAACTGCATTAATTGTCATTGCCACACACTTGCAGTTTAAAAAACAAAAGGCCAGCTTTACTTGATAGGATCTTCAATAGAATAGTATAAATTATTGTTGCTAAATCTTGGCTATTGAGCATATATGTTTTTAATCCTGTTTGACTAAGTGGAAAGTATGCATAGAAAACACTTCTACTGCATGTGAGTTATGATGGTTATCTTGAGGAAAAGGATTTGTGGAGTTGAACTAACCATGTTTTTCTTGGAACACCATTTTCAGCTGAAAGAATGACCAATGAACAAACTGTTGGTATTAAGAGATGACTACTTGGCTAATTTTTTTTTTTTTTAATGAACAAATTGCTTCTGTCACTTTAAGGAACACTGATAGCATTTGTTGCCAGTGATAAAGTTTGAGCTTGCAAGTGACAATTTGAGTTTTGGAAAATTTGTATTTGCCACCATGAACTTCATAACTTTCCAATACATAAAGACTTTTCTGATGAGAATGGTGGGGATATTAATGAATGTGTTTTTGATATTACATAATGAAATGCACCAACATTTGGGAGATCTCCGTAACTCAGGGAATCAAGATAGTCCAAATGTTACAAAATTATGCCTGGGTAAAAGATCCATTCAAAGAGTAAGAAAGAACAGTGGATTTTAATGTAACAGAAAATAAAAGTTCATTGATATGGTTTCTTATTCCGTATTACAGTTAACCTTTCAGAAAGGACCACTTGTTGAGTTTTGCTGTAGTGTAAAAGAGGGATAGCCACAATTATCTGGAAGAATATTAAAATACTCTTCCTTTTCTAGATCATAGATATTGAGATGCCAGATTTTCTTTATATGCTTTAACTAATACCACATATCACAACAATGTACATGCTGAAACGGATATGACATCCTAGCTGTCTTCTATTAAGGCAGGCTCAAAAAAGATCTTCAAAAATATTTTTAAAATGCAACTCTTTTTATTAATTTTATTTTTTAAAACAAACTTAATTTTTCTAAAGTATTTATGATAAAATGTAAAGCTTTGTTATTTTAAAGTGAACTAATATTTTTAAGTTCTCTCAGTTTTAGTTTTTAAAAGAGTATCAATAGAAATAACCCATATAAACAAAAGCAAATTGGATTCTCAGAAATTTTAAGGATGAAAAGGAACCATAGGACAAAAAAATATGGGGACTGCTGTCCTAGAAGAAACCTCCTGGGGTCACATGCATCTTTATTTGGTCATATGAAAATTAAAATCAGCACCCATAGTTCCATCTCAACCAATGTTTTAAAAAAGCCATAAAAAACCTCAGTAGTGTTACAACTGCTAAAGCTAGGTACAAACATTTATGGAGAAAGGAAATCCTGAAATATTATTCTTGTATTACTTTACCAAAGATACCATGTGTTTATGTATCAAATAAAAATTCTTGGCTGGGCATGGTGGCTCACGCCTGTAATCCCAGGATTTTGGAAGGCCAAGGCAGGTGGATCACCTGAGGTCAGGAGTTTGAGACCAGCCTGGCCAACATGGCGAAACCCCGTCTCTACTAAAAATACAAAAAAATTAACTGGACGTGGTGATGGGCACCTGTAATCCCAGCTACTCAGGAGGCTGAGGAAGGAGAATTGCTTGAACCCGGGAGGCAGAGGTTGCAGTGAGCCAAGATCATGACATTGCACTCCAGCCTGGGTGACAAGAGTGAAACTCCGTCTCAAAAAAAAAAAAAAAAAAAAAAAAAAAAAGAGATACCTGGCAAGATGGCCGAATAGGAACAGCTCCAGTCTGCAGCTCCCAGTGAGATCAACGCAGAAGGCAGGTGATTTCTGCATTTCCAAATGAAGTACCTGGTTCATCTCAATGGGACTGGTTAGACAGTGAATGCAGCCCATGGAGGGCAAACAGAAGCAGGGTGGGGTGTTGCCTCACCTGGGAAGCACAAGGGGTCGGGGAACTCCCTCCCCTAGCCAAAGGAAGCCATGAGGGACTGTGCCGTGAGGGACAGTGCATTACAGCCCAGATACTACGCTTTTCCCACAGTCTTCACAACCCACAGACCAGGAGATTCCCTCAGGTGGCTATACCACAATAACCCTGGATTTCAAATACAAAACTGGGTGGTGATTTGGGCAGACACTGAGCTAGCTGCAGGAGTTTTTTTCATACCCCAGTGGCACCTGGAATGCCAGCAATACAGAACCTTTCCCTCCCCTGGAAAGGGGACTGAAGCCAGGGAGCCAAGTGGTCTGGCTTGGTGGGTCCCACCCCCATGGAGCCCAGCAAGCTAAGATCCACTGGCTTGAAATTCTTGCTGCCAGCAAAGCAGTCTGAAGTCAACCTGGGATGCTCCAGCTTGGTGGGGGGAGGGGTGTCTGCCATTACTGAGGCTTGAGTAAGTGATTTTCCCCTCACAGTGTTAACAAAGGTACCTGGAAGTTCGGGCTGGGTAGAGCCCACCACTGCGCCACAAAGCCACTATAGCTAGACTGCCTGTCTAGATTCCTTCTCTCCGGTCAGGGCACTTCTGAAAGAAAGGCAGCAGCCCCAGTCATGGGCTTATAGATAAAACTTCCATCTCCCTGGGACAGAGCACCTGGGGGAAGGGGCGGCCACGGGCACAGCTTCAGCAGACTTAAACGTTCCTGCCTGCCAGCTCTGAAGAGAGCAGCCGATCTCACAGCACAGTGCTTGAATTCTGCTAAGGGACAGACTGCCTCCTCAGGTGGGTCCCTAACACTGGTGGCTCCTAACTGGGAGACACCTCCCAGGAGGGGTCGACAGACACCTCATACAGGAGAGCTCTAGCTGGCATCTGGCAGGTGCCTCTCTGGGATGAAGCTTCTAGAGGAAGGAGCAGGCAGCAATCTTTGCTGTTCTGCAGCCTTCACTCATGATACCCAGGCAAACAGGGTCTGGAGTTGACCTCCAGTAAATTCCAGCAGATCTGCAGAAGAGGGGCCTGTTAGAAGGAAAACTAACAAACAGAAAGCAATAGCATCAACATCAACAAAAAGGACGACCATGCAAAAACTCCATCCACAGGTCACCAACAGCAAAGACCAAAGGTAGATAAATCCACGAAGATGAGGAAAAACCAGCACAACAAGGCTGAAAATTCTAAAACCCAGAACACCTCTTCTCCTCCAAAGGATCACAACTCCTCGCCAGCAATGGAACAAAACTGGATGGAGAATGAGTTTGACAAATTGACAGAAGTAGGCTTCAGAAGGTGGGTAATAACAAACTCCTGCAAGCTAAAGGAGCCTGTTCTAAACCAATGCAAGGAAGATAAGAAACTTGATAAAAGGTTAGAGAAGTTGCTAACTAGAATAACCAGTTTAGAGAAGAACATAAATGACCTGATGGAACTGAAAAACACAGCACGAGAACATCGTGAAGCATACACATACATCAATAGCCGAATCAATCAAGCAGAAGAAAGGATATCAGAGATTGAAGATCAACTTAATGAAATAAAGCATGAAGAAAAGATTAGAGAAAAAAGAATGAAAAGGAATGAAAAAAGCCTCCAAGAAATATGGGACTATGTGGAAAGACCAAACCTATGTTTGATTGGTGTACCTGAAAGTGACAGGGAGAATGGAACCAAGTTGGAAATCACACTTCAGGATATTATCCAGGAGAACCCCCCGCAACCTAGCAAGACAGGCCAACATTCAAATTCGGGAAATACAGAGACCACTACAAAGATACTCCTCGAGAAGAGCAACCCCAAGACACATAATCATCAGATTCATCAAGGTTGAAATGAAGGAAAGAAAAAATGTTAAGGGCAGCAAGAGAGAAAGGTCAGGTTATCCACAAAGGGAAACCCATCAAACTAACAGTGGATCTCTCTGCAGAAACCCTACAAGCCAGAAGAGTGTGGGGGCCAATATTCAATATTCTTAAAGAAAAGAATATTCAACCCAGAAATTCATATGCAGCCAAACTAAGCTTCGTAAGTAAAGGAGAAATAAAAACTCTTACAGACAAGCAAATGCTGAGGGATTATGTCACCACCAGCCCTGCATTACAAGAGCTCCTGAAGGAAGCACTAAATATGGAAAGGAACAACTGGTACCAGCCACTGCAAAAACAAACCAAAACGTAAAGACCATTGACACTATGAAAAAACTGCATCAACTAATCGGCAAAATAACCAGCTAGCCTCATAATGACAGGATGAAATTAACACATAACAATGTTAACCTTAAATGTCAATGGGCTAAATGACCCAATTAAAAGGCACAGACTGGCAAATTGGATAAAGAGTCAAGCCCCATTGGTGTGCTTTATTCAGGAGGCCCATCTCACAAGCAAATACACTCATAGGCTCAAAATAAAGGGATGGAGGAAGATTTACCAAGCAAATGGGAAGCAAAAAAAAGCAGGGGTTGCAATCCTAGTCTCTGATAAAACAGACTTTAAACCAACAAAGATCAAAAAAGACAAAGAAGGGCATTACATAATGGTAAAGGGATCAATGCAACAAGAAGAGCTAACTATCCTAAATATATATGCACCCAATACAGGAGCACCCAGATTCATAAAGCAAGTTCTTCGAGACCTACAAAGAGACTTAGACTGCCACACAATAATAGTGGGAGAATTTAACACCCCACTGTCAATATTAGACAGATCAATGAGACAGAAAATTAACAGGATTTTCAGGACTTGAACTCAGCTCTGGACCAAGAGGACCTAATAGACAGCTACAGAACTCTCCACCCCAAATCAACAGAATATACATTCTTCTCAGCACCACATAGCACTTATTCTAAAATAGATCACATAATTGGAAGTAAAACAATCCTCAGCAAATGCAAAAGAACGGAAATCACAACAAACACTCTCTCAGACTACAGTGCAATCAAATTAGAAATCAGGATTAAGAAGCTCACTCAAAACTGCACAACTACATGGAAACTGAACAACCTGCTCCTGAATGACTACTGGGTAAGTAATGAAATTAAGGCAGAAATAAATAAGTTCTTTGAAACCAATGAGAACAAAGACACAATGTACCAGAATCTCTGGGACACAGCTAAAGCAGTGTTTAGAGGGAAATTTATAGCACTAAACGCTCACAGGAGAAAGCAAGAAAGATCTAAAGTCAACACCCTAACATCACAATTAAAAGAACTAGAGAAGCAAGAGCAAACAAATTCAAAAGCTAGCAGAAGACAAGAAATAACTAAGATCAGAGCAGAACTGAAGGAGATAGAGACACAAAAAAACCTTCAAAAAGTCAATGAATGGGCTGGGTGCTGTGGCTCATGCCTGTAATCCCAGCACTTTGGGAGGCTGAGGCAGGTGGATCACAAGGTCAGGAGATCAAGACCATCCAGGCTAACATGGTGAAACCCCATCTCTACTAAAAATACAAAAAAAAAAAAAAAATTAGATGGGCATGGTGGTGGGTGCCTGTAGTCCCAGCTGCTCAGGAGGCTGAGGCAGAAGAATGGCCTGAACCCAGGAGGTGGAGCAAGGCTCTGTCTTAAAAAAAAAAAAAAAAAAAAAAAAAAGTTCAATGAATCCAGGAGCTGCTTTTTTGAAAAGATCAACAAAATATACTGCTAGCCAGACTAACAAAGAAGAAAAGAGAGAAGAATCAAAGAGACATGATAAAAAATGATAAACGGGAGATCACCACTGATCCTACAGGAATACAAACTACCATCAGAGAATACTATAAACACCTCTGTGCAAATAAACTAGAAAATGTAGAAGAAATGGATAAATTCCTGGACACATACATCTTCCCTAGACTAAACCAGGAAGAAATTGAATCCCTGAATAGACCAATAACAAGTTCTGTAATTGAGGCAGTAATTAATAGCCTACCAACCAAAAAAAACCCAGGACCAGACAGATTCACAGCTGAATTTTACCAGAAGTACAAAAGAGCTGGTACCATTCCTTCTGAAACTATTTGAAACAATAGAAAAAGAGGGACTCCTCCCTAACTCATTTTATGAGGCCAACATCATCCAGATACCAAAACCAGGCAGAGACACAACAAAAAAAGAAAATTTCAGGCCAATATCCCTGATGAACATTGATGCAAAAATCTTCAATAAAATACTGACAAACCAAATCTAGCAGCACATTAAAAAGCTTATCCACCACGATCAAGTCGGCTTCATCCTTGGGATGCAAGGCTGGTTCAATATATGCAAATCAATAAACGTAATCCATCACATAAATGGAACCAATGACAAAAACCACGTGATTATCTCAATAGATGCAGAAAAGGCCTTCCATAAAATTCTATACCCCTTCATGCTAAAAACACTCAATAAACTAGGTATTGATGGAACATATCTCAAAATAATCAGAGCTATTTATGACAAACCCACAGTCAATATCATACTGAATGGGCAAAAGCTGGAAGCATTCCCTTTGAAAACCGGCATAAGACAAGGATGCCCTCTCTCACCACTCCTATTCAACATAGTAGTGGAAGTTCTGGCCAGGGCAATCAGGCAAAAGAAAGAAATCAAGGGTATTCAAATAGGAAGAGAGGAAGGCAAATTGTCTGTTTGCAGATGATATGATTGTATATTTAGAAAACCCCATCATCCCAGCCCAAAATCTCCTTAAGCTGGTAAGCAACTTCAGCAAAGTCTCAGAATCCAAAATCAATGGCAAAAATCACAAGCATTGCTATACACCAATAGTAGACAGAGAGCCAAATCATGAACAAACTCCCATTCACAATTGCTGCAAAGAGAATAAAATACTTAGGAATCCAACTTACAAGGGATGTGAAGCACCTTTTCAAGGAGAACTAAAAACCATTGCTCAAGGAAGTAAAAGAGGACACAAATAAATGGAAAAACATTCCATGCTCATGGATAGGAAGAATCAATATCATGAAAATGTTCATACTGCCCAAAGTAATTTATAGATTCAATGCTACCACTGACTTTCTTCACAGAATTAGAAAAAATTACTTTACATTTCCTGTGGAACCAAAAAAGAGCCCATATAGTCAAGGCAATCCTAAGCAGAAAGAACAAAGCTGGAGGCATCACATTACCTGACTTCAAACTATACTACAAGGTTACAGTAAATAAAACAGCATGGTACTGGTACCAAAACAGATATATAGACTAATGGAACAGAGCAGAGGCCTCAGAAATAACACCACACATCTACAATCATCTGATCATTGACAAACTTGACAAAAACAAGCAGTGGGGAAAGGATTTCCTATTTAATAAATGGTGTTGGGAAAACTGGCAAGCCATATGCAGAAAACTGAAACTTGACCCCTTCCTTACACCTTATACAAAAATTAACTCAAGATGGATTAAAGTTTTAAAGGTAAGACCTAAAACCATAAAAACCCTAGAAGAAAGCCTAGGCAATACCATTCAGGACATAGGCATGGGCAAAGACTTCATGACTAAAACACCAAAAGCAATGGCAACAAAACCAAATGGGATCTAATTAAACTAAAGAGCTTCTGCACAGCAAAAAGAAACTATCATCAGGGTGAACAGGCAAACTACAGAGTGGGAAATAATTTTTGTAATCCATCTGACAAAGGGCTAATATCCAGAATCTACAAGAAACTTAAACAAGTTTACAAAAAAACCCAACCCTATCAAAAAGCGGGTGAAGGATATGAACAGACACTTCTCAAAAGAAGACATTTATGCAGCCAACAAACATTTGAAAAAAAGCTCATCATCACTGGTCATTGGGGAAATGCAAATCAAAACCACAATGAGATACCATTTCATGCCAGTTAGAGTGGTGATCATTAAAAAGTCAGGAAACAACAGATGCTGGAGAGGATGCGGAGAAATAGGAATACTTTTATACTGTTCATGGGAGTGTAAATTAGTTCAACCATTGTGGAAGCCAGTGTGGCAATTCCTCAAGGATCTAGAACCAGAAATACCATTTGACCCTGCAATTCCATTAATGGGTAAATAGTCAAAGTATTGTAAATCATTCTACTGTAAAGATACATACACACATATATTTATTGCAGCAATATTCACAATAGCAAGGACTTGGAACCAACCCAAATGCCCATCAATGATAGACTGGATAAAGAAAATGTGGCACATACACACCATGGAATACTTTGCAGCCATAAAAAAGAATGAGTTCATGTCCTTTGCAGGGACATGGATGAAGCTGGAAACCATCATTCTCAGCAAACTAACCCAAGAACAGAAAACCAAACACTGCATGTTCTCACTCGTAAGTGGGAGTTGAACAAGGAGAACATATGGGCACAGGGAGGGAAACATCACACACTGGGGCCTGTTGTGGGGTAGGGGGCAAGGAGAAGGATAGCATTAGGAGAAATACCTAATGTAGGTGACAGGTTTGTTGCGAAGTAAACCACCATGGTACATGTATACCTATGTAACAAATCTGCACTTTCTGCAGATATATCCCAGAACTTAAAGTATAATAAAAAATTTTTTTCCAGAAAGCTTAATAATATTAATATTAAAAGAATGTTGGCACCCAGGTAAAAGCTGAGACTCAAGAGATATCAGGATAAACAGAAATTCAATACTTAGGAATACATTCATTATTCTTTCCCAATGGCTTTTTATTCATGGAATTATGACATCTGACAAATCGCTGCAGGGAAAGTGTGCCAAATGAGTTCCCCTGTTGTTTACAGCTTGTAGCAGGCAGGTGCCACATGAAAAGAAGATGAATACATCTTTCCCACTCCAGATTGTTTCTACTCATAAAAGGAAGCTACTCTCTCCCCATCCCTACAATGTTTGACTTAGATCACAGCAGCTTAATGATGTAGTTGCTTGATGAGTTTATGGAAACAGAGCAAGGAAGATGTAGTTCCACTCATGGATTTCCCTGCAAGGTGATCTCACAGTAGCCAAAGCTAAAGAACATTGTTTCTGTTTCCTACAGGTTCCACTTTTTGTGTCTCCAAATTGCCCTCTGGGTTTTTCTGATTAAATTAATGCCACCCTTGCATGTTGCTGTCTACTGGAGCCTTTCTGCTCCAGGTGTGTTTCACAGACCAGCAGTCCTGGCATTCCCTGAACTTTTTAGAAACATAGATTCTTAGGCATCACTTTAGACCTCCTGAATCAGAATCTGCATTTTAATAAGATCCCCAGGTTATCTGTATATTTATTCATGTTGGAGATGCGCTGTTGTATATCAGATGATTGCAATTATGACTGAAATTTGAAATCTCCTAGGGAGTTAAAAAAAAATCCTAACACTTGGGCTATACTGCCTAGCAATAACATTAGAATCTTTGTCAGTAAGACACTCCCTGAAGAACAGTATTCTCCAAGCTCTGACAGTGTCACCTTTTTCTACTGTCTCTATTTTTCATAAATGCACCTTTGGAATTATTAATGGAAGTTAATAGGAAAACATACTTCCCTTCACAGATAGCTTTTCAAAGGCACTGAGTTGCAGGTGGCGTAATGGTACCCATTTGGGCACCATTTTAACCATCTCCTGGACAGTCCTCTGTGCAGTCCTCAGATTTCCTGCAGCCTTAAACCTCTCCATTTACCTCACCGAAAGACATCCTGTTGGGAAAGCTGGCTTGCCATTCAGTGTTAGGTTGGAACAAGAAGGTTCATTAAATTTTTAGCGGATCAGAGTTCACAACCTAAAATTGGACCTAATCTCCTCCTTGCCAAAGACCTTTGCTTAGAACTGGAACTAAGTACAGGCGTACCTCAGAGAAATTGCCTATTTGATTTTAGACCACTATAATAAAGCAAGTATTGCAATAAAGCGAGTCACATAATCTTTTTGGCTTCTCAGTGCATATAGAAGTCATGTTTACCTATACTACAATCTGTTAAGTGTGCAATAGCATTATATCTAAAAACACGATATACACATCTTAATTAAAAAATACTTTATTGCAAAAAATGCTAACTATCGTCTAAGCCTTCAGTGAGTCCTAATCTTTTTGCAGGTGGAAGGTCTTGCCTCAATGTTGATAGTTGCTGACTTATTAGGGTGGTGGTTGCTGAAAGTCGTGGTGACTGTGGCAATAACAATGAAGTCTGGGCATGGTGGCTCATGCCTGTAATCCCAACACTTTGGGAGGCTGAGGCGGGTGGATGGCTTGAGCTCAGGAGCTTGAGACCAGCCTGGGCAACATGACATAACCAGACCATGTATCTACTAAAAAGACAAAGAACGAAAAAGAAAAAGAAAAAAAAAGCTGGGCATGGTGGTGCCTGTCTGTGGTCCCAGGTACTTGGGAGCTCCGATTGACTTCCTTTTACAAAATATTTCTCTGTAGCATGTGCTACCATTTGATAGCATTTTACCCACAGTGGAACTTCTTTCAAAATTGGAGTCAGTCCTCTCAAATGCTGCTGCTGCTTTATTAACTATGTTTATGTAATATTCTAAATCCTTTATTGTCATTTCAGCAATATTCACAGCATCATCATCTCCATGAGTAGATTCCATCTCAAGAAACCACTTTCTTTCTCATCCATAAGAAGAAACTCCGCATCCATTCAAGTTTTATCATGAGATTGCAGCAATTCAGTCCCATCTTCAGGGTCTATGTCTAATTCTAGTTCTCAGTATTTCCACCACAGCTGCAGCAAATTCCTCCATTGAAGTCCTGAACCCCTCGAAGTCATTCATGAAAGTAGGAATCAGCTTCTTTCAAACTCCTGTTAATGCTGATATTTTGACCACTCCCTAAGAATCACAGATGTTCTTAATGGCATCTAGAATGGTGAATCCTTTCCAGCGGATTTTCAATTTACTTTGCCAGATTTGTCAGAGGAATTACTGTGTATGGCAGCTATAGCCTTACAAAATGTATTTCTTAAATAATAAGACTAGAAGGTTGAAATTACTCCTTGCTCTATGTGCTGTACAATGGATGTTCTGTTAGCAGGAATAAAAACAACATTAATTTCCTTATGCATCTCTATCAGACCTCTTGGGTGACAAGGTGCATTGTTAATGAACAGTAATATTTTGAAATAAATCTTTTTGTTTCTGAGCAGTAGGTCTCAACAGTGGACTTCAAATATTCAGTAAACCATGCTGTAAACAGATGTGCTCTCATTCAGGCTTGATTATTTTATTTATACAGCACAGGCAGGGTTGATTTCATACAACTCTTAAGGACCCTAGGATTTTCAGAATGTTAAATGAGCACTGGCTTCACCTTCAAGTCATCAGCTGCATTCGTCTCATTAAGAGAGTCAGCCTGTTTTTTGAAACTTTGAAGCCAGGCATTTATTCTCTCTGGCTATGAAAGTCCTAGCTGAATTATTCTTCCAATAGAGGGCTATTTTGTCCACATTAAAAATCTGTTGTTTAACGTAACCACCTTCATCAACGATCATAGCTAGATCTTCTGCATAACCTGTTATGGCTTCTGTATTAGCACTTGCTACTTCACCTTATACTTTTATGTTATGGAGATGGCTTCTTTCCTTCAACCTCATGAACCAATCGCTGCTTGCTTCCAACTTTTCTTCTGCAGCTTCCTCACCTCACTTAGCCTTCATAAAATTGAAGCAAGTCAGGGTTAGGCTTTGGGTTAAGGGAATGTTGTGGCTGGTTTGATGTCTATCCAGACCACTCAAACATTCTCCATATTAGCATTAAGTCTGTTTCTCTTTCTTATCATTTCTCTTTCTTATTACTTGATAATAAAGATTACTTGATAAGAAAGATTACTTGATAATAAAGATTACTTGATAAGAAAGAAAAATAGCCTTAATGCTAATATGGAGAAAGAAATAGCACTTATAATTTACTTCAAAAACTTTTTCCTTACATTCACAACTTAGATAACTGTTTGGTGTAAGAGGTCTACCTTTCAGCCTATCTTGGCTTTTGACATGCCTTCCTCACTAAGCTTAATCATTTCTAGCTTTTGATTTAAAGTGAGAGATGTGCAACTCCTCCTTTCACCTAAACACTTAGAGGCCATCGCAGAGTTATTAATTATCCTAACTTCAATATTGTTGTGTCTCAGGCAATAAGGAAGCCTGAAAAGAGGGAGAAAGACAGGGGAGCAAGGGAGCAATCTCTTTTTGATCAAATTTACTGTCTTGTATGGATGTGGCTCATGGCACCCCAAAACAGTTACAATAGTAGTATCAAGGATCACCAATCACAGATCACTCTAAGAGATACAATAATGAAAAAGGTTGAAACATTGCAAGAATTACCAAAGTGTGACACGAGAGACATGAAGTGAGCACATGTTGTTAGAAAAATTGTGCTGATAGACTTGCTTGATGCATGGTTGATACAAACCTTCAATTTGTAAAAAATGCAATATCTGCAAAGAACAGTAAAGTGAAGCACAATCAAATGAGATATGCCTGTACCGTATTTAACATCATACTAATCTGTATAAATTTGCTAGGGCTGCCATAACAAAGTACCACAGACTGGGTGGCTTAAACAACAGAAATTTATTTTCTCACAGTTCTAGGTGCTAGAAATCCAAGATTGAGGTGTCAGAAGGGTTGGTTTCTTCTAAGCCTTCTCTCCTTGGCTTGTAGATGGCTGTTTTCCCCCATATCTTCACCTGATCTTCCTTCTATGTATTCTATGTTCTAATCTCCTTTTCTTATAATGATACCAGTCCAGATGGATTAGGACCCATCCTAATGATTTTATTTAACTTTCATTACCTCTTTAAATACCCAGTCTTCAAATACAGTCAGTTCTGAGGTACTGGGGGTTGGAAATTCAGCATATAAATTTTGGAGTTGGGGTAGGGACACAATTCAGCCTATAACAATTAAAGGCCTGGTGTGGTGGCTTACGCCTGTAATCCCAGCACTTTGCGAGGCCGAGGTGGGAAGATTACCTGAGGTCAGGAGTTTGAGACCAGCCTGGCCAACATGGTAAAACCTGTCCCTACTGAAAATACAACAATTACCCAGGCGTCATGGTGCATGCCTGTAATCCCAGCTACTCGGGAGGCTGAGGCAGGAGAATCACTTGAACCTGGGAGGTGGAGGTTGCAGTGAGCCGAGATTGCACCACTGCACTCCAGCCTGGGCGACAGAGCAAGACTCTGTGTCAAAAACAAAAAAACAAAAAACTAAAAACCCAAAAGACAACAATAATTAAAGAAGAAAAGATTACAGGAGACAGAAAACTATTGATGCTTTCAGCATTGTCAGTAGTAACAAATGACATCAATAAGAATGGTGGCACACTTTTTAGATGTCAATACACCTAAATATTTACATTACATATTAAATACAATATATTTAATATTTTTAGGTTTAGAACTTTTCAATAGAGAGGACTACATGCAAGGTTTCTTGCACAGTTGGTCCCTGCTTCTTCATCTTGTATATTTTACCTGAAAACAGAAAAAAATATTTTATAAACGTATAGCAAAGCAGT
Source organism: Homo sapiens (assembly GCF_000001405.40). Lineage (NCBI taxonomy): Eukaryota > Metazoa > Chordata > Mammalia > Primates > Hominidae > Homo > Homo sapiens. Next base: position 82,798,316 of record NC_000006.12, on the reverse strand, counting down.
ATGGTTGACTTAATTTGATGTCTGAGTCGATTATCAATGGACTTTTAAAATACAACCTTTAATTTTAAAATCATTTAAGACTTAACTAAAGTTGCAGAAATAGTACAGAGAGTTTGTGCGCGCCCTCACTCAGCTTCCCCTGATGTTTACCTATCAATTTAACAAATATTTGTCACTAATTGATATAGCTTTCTTATGTTTTAATATCATTTAAATAATTATAGGAAGGAAAAATGAAGATTGACAGTGCTGGCTTGTTTTTTTAAAAAAATGTGCAAAAGACTCATACAAATCAGACTTAGAATACAAAAGCCTAGTCAAAGAAAGTGAAAAATTTCCTGGTAGTTAAGAACTTGGACTTTGGAGTGAGAAAGTTGTATTGGTCAGAACTCTTTGGTTGCACATAACGGAAGGCCAACTCAAGCTGCTGCATCCAGAGACTTTAATAATGTTATCGGCATCATCTCTTTCAACTTTTCTTCCTTCTATTTTAGTTTCATTTGCAGTCATGCTCTCTCCATCTCGAAGCTCCAACCATATGTTGTGCATACAGTTAGTGAGCTCAGAGAAGAAAGAAGGGTTCTTTGTGTAGAGGATACTGACTAGACTAGCTTGGTTTATTTATGTGCCTGTGGGAGGCAGAATTCTAAGATAGTGCTCAAAATTCCCAGCCCCTGGTGTCCATAACACCTTTTCCCAGTTATTTCATCAGGCACTAATCTAGATGTTGCTGAAAAAGGGTTTATAGATATAACTAAGATCCCAAATCAGTTGATATTAAGCTAGAGAGATTGTCTGGGTGGGCCTTACCTCATTACATGAGCCCTTTAAATCTGGATCTAGAGGTCAGAGATGGTGATATCAGAGATGTAAAGTATAAGAAGAATTCAACACACTTGCTGGCTTGAAGATGAAGGGGGCCTTATGGCAGGGAATGTGAGCAGCCACTAGCAACTGAGAGTGGCCCCTGGCTGAGACTCAGCAAGGAAATGGATCCTCAGTCCAACAATGGCAAGGAATTGAACAAGAATGAACTTGGAAGCAGATTTCACCCCTGGAGCATCTAGATGAGAACTCATCCTGGCTGACACATTGATTTTAGGCTTATGATGCTCTGTGCAGAGAAGGCATCCATGTTGTGACTGGACTTTTGATCCTCAGACCTATGAGCTGATAAACTGGTGGTGTTGTTTTTAACCTTCTGTGTTTGCAGTTGTTCGTTACGCAGCAGTAGAAAACTAATACGATGCCCATCCCTGAATTAATCATTGTGGCTAGAGGAATGGGATTCTTTAATTGGCCAGCCTAAGTCACACCCCTAAACCTATATTGAGAGAGGCTGGGACTGAGCATTCCTAGGAATGAAAGATGGTAGTCACCAATCTTTCATTTTTGTGACTTTCCCAGAGTCACCAAAAGTAACTCTGGGAAAATTGCTTAACCTTGTTGTGCTTCAGTTTCCTTATTTATAAAGAGACATTAAAGAGTACCTACCCTCTATTGTTATTGGGTTGGTTAAATGAGACAGTGAATGCCAGTCAAGTACTTAGTATAGTGCCTGGCACATAGTCCTAGCTCAATAAATGTTAGATATTATTATTATTAATGAAACTAGTAAGGACAAACTGTGCAACATTAGTTAAAATTTCAAAAGTTGGAGATAAGGGTGAGTTACCATCTCTTCTCCATGGCTAGCTTTCAGCCTAAAAGGATTGTACCACTAGGGTGTCTGGCCATTATTTTAAGGCTCATTTCTTTTTATCTAGCATTTTGGCTGGGATCTGGGAGTGGAGAATGAAGAACAAACTCTGGAGGCTTGCAAATAAACAGATACAAAGAACTACATGAATAGAAGTCCACAAAATAATGGGATTCAAAGAGTATGGTTTCTTATGTAGAAATATTTTTCTTTTGGGACTCAGGGTTTCTGTGAGTCCCATAATCACTCTTGGAGCACAAAATGTAATAATAATTACATGAGCCAAAGAAGGAGAATGCCGTGTGGACATTCTCTACAGGAGAGTATGTTTTTAAATTTAAAACATAAGCATATGCTTGTTCTGTATGAAAGCACATTGCAAAGCTCCTGGTTGCCACTAATTGGTTTAAACCTCAGATCTCAGTAGGGATCCACAGATGTTAACTGCTCATTGATGCACTAAAGCTTCCTAAGTTTCTCACAAAGGTTCAGAGTAATTGTAAAATGTCTTCTGGAAGACCATGGATTAGTGAAGTTGTTAGTTGGGAAGATGCTGTGAGGCCTGAGTTAATTTTGGACTAACATGTCTCTTCTGAAAGACAAAATATTTTGGTTGGTTTGTGAGTCATAGGGGTAAGTAATCAGCTGAGAAACACAGGTAATGTTTTAATGTAAATCTAGCACAAGAAGGAATTCCTGTTTTGCAGAATCTGAAGCTTATAAAATTTGAGTAATCCTCTTTAAAGTCAGAGTGAAGTTAGGTTTCAATGTGCACCTTTGCAATTTTTACAAAGTCATACACTAAGTGAGGTTATATGGGCTCTGCTTCCAGGGCTCTGAAAGGGATGTATGCGTATGTGGGGCTCTGGAGTTTAAGCTTCATTGGATTCAGGATAAATCCACTTCTGCCCAGAAGTGAGATTAAATAACCAAATTTTAATCAACACAACATAACTTGGAATTAGGGTCCTGCAGCCTGTTTTCATTCTTACCTTTGGCTCACTGAGTGGTTTCATTCAAATCACTTGCTCACTTGGAGTCTTAGCATCTTAGCTTGTTCTGGAAAACACAGATACTTTTTACATTTTTTTTCCCCAGCAGTGTTGCTGCAGCAAGCAATGACTATTTATAAGACACAGTATATTTTCTTTGGAAAAAGTTGTACCAATATGCTATAATATTATATTTTTCATCCTAAATTAATTTTTGAGTGACCTTGGACTCAGTGAAGCAGAGGCTCTAATTTAAAGTCTTATTTTATGTCTTTATATATCCACTAAAACAACAATGGAAGGGAGACAAGTCTGTGTCTTGAAAACTTATAACTTATAGACAAGACCTATTTAATAAAAATTGTATATTGCTGCAGAGACTAAAGCATTATCAAATACCAGTGAAGTAAAAAGATAAGATAAAGGTGGACCTTTTAAAAAAAGTATTTCTAGGGTTAACTCAATATAAATTTAATAAAATGTAGGTGAAAAACTGTCTTAGTTAAAACAAAACAGAAATATGGTGCACCAAATACAGAAACCCAGCTTATTCAGACCAAATATTAATTCAATTTTTAAAAAATTTTTAATTTCTGTGAGTACATAGTAGTTGTATATACTTATGGAGTGCATGAGATATTCTGATACAGGCATATAGTGCATAATACTCACATGAGGGTAAATGGGGTATCCATCATCTCAAGTATTTATCCTTTCTTTGTGTTACAGACAATCTAATTATACTTTTAGTTGTTTTTAAATATACAATAAATTGTTGTTGACTGTAGTCACCTTGTTGTGCTATCAAATACTATAATAGCTCTTATTCATTCTATCAAACTGTATTTTTGTGCTGATTAACCATGCTCCCTTCTCCCGACTTGCCCAACTACTCTTCCCAGCCTCTGGTAACCATCATTCTACTTTCTGTCTCCATGAGTTCAACTGTTTTTATCTGTAGCTCCTACAAATAAGTGAGAACACGTGAAGTTTGTCTTTCTGTGCCTGGCTTTCACTTAACATTATGTTCTCCACTTCCATCCATGTTGTTGCACATGACAGGATCTCATTCATTTTTTTTGTGGCTAAATGGTACTCCATTGTGTATATGTACCACATTTTCTTTGTCCATTCATCTGTTGATGGACACTTAGGTTGCTTCCAAATCTTGGCTATTATGAATAGTGCTGCAATAAACATGGGAATGCAGATATCTCTTCTATATACTCATTTTCTTTCTTTTGGGTACATACCTAGCAGTGGGATTGCTGGATCATATGATGGTTCTATCTTTAGTTCTTTAAGGAACCTCCTATCTGTTCTCCATAGTGATTGTACTAATTTACATTCCCTCTAACAGTGTACAAAGATTTCCTTTTTCTCCACATCCTTTCCAGCATTTGTTGTTGCCAGTCTTTTGGATAAAAGCCATTTTAGCTGGGTTGGGATGATATCTCATTGTAGTTTTGATTTGAATTTCTCTGATTATCAATGAAGTTGAGCACCTTTTCATAAACCTATTTGCCATTTGTATGTCTTTGAGAAATGTCTATTCAGATCTTTTGCCCATTAAAAAATCTGATCATTAAGTTTTTTTTCCTGGTTGTTTGAGTTTCTTGTATATTCTGGTTATTAATCTCTTCTCAGATGGGTAGTTTGCAAATATCTTCTCCCATTCAGTGGACTGTCTCTTTATTTTGTTGATTGTTTCCTTTGCTATGCAGAAGCTTTTTAAATCGATGGGATTCCATTTGTACATCTTTGCTTTGGTTGCCTATGCTGTGGGGTATTATTCAACAAATTTTTGCCCAGTCCAATGTCCTGGAGAGCTCTCTAAGGTTTTCTTGTGGCAGTTTCATAGTTTGAGTCTTAGATTTAAGTCTTTGATCCAGTTAATCTGCCTTTTGTTTATGATGAGAGATGGGAATCTAGTTTCATTCTTCTGCATATAGATATCCAGTTTTTTCAGCACTATTTATTGAAGAGACTGTTTTTCCCTTAATGTATGTTCCTGGCACATTTGTAAAAAATGAGTTCACTATAGATGAATGTATTTCTTTCTGGGTTCTCTATTCTATTCCATTGGTCTATGTGTCTGTTTTTATGTGAGTACCATGCTGTTTTGGCTACTATAGCTTTTTAGTATAATTTGAAGTCAGGTGATGTAATTCCTCCAGTTTTATTCTTTTTGCTCAGGATATCTTTGGCTATTCTGAGTCTTTTGAGGTTTCATATAAATTTTAGGATTTTTTTCTATTTCTGTGAAGAATATCATTGGTATTTTGATAGGAATTACATTGAATCTGTAGATTGCTTTGGGTAGTAAGGACATTTTAACAATATTGTTTCTTCCAATTCATGAACATGGAATATCTTTCCATTTTTTGTGTCCTCTTCAATTTCTTTCAACAATGTTTTATAGTTTTCATTGTAGGGAGTTTTCATTTCTTCAGTTAAATTAATTTTACGTATTTTGTTTTATTTGTAGCTGTTGTAAATGGGATTTCTTTTTCATGTTGTTCACTGTTGGCATATAGAAATGCTACTGATTTTTGTATGTTGATTTTGTATTCTGCAACTACTGAATTTGTTTATCAGCTCTAATAGTTTTTCATTGAAATCTTTAGGTTTTTCTAAATATAAGATTATGTCATCTGCCAACAAGGATAATTTGACTTCTTCCTTTACAATTTGGATGCTCTTTATTTCTTTCTCTTGTCCGATTGCTCTATCTAGGACTTTCAGTATTATGTTGAGTAACAGTGGTGAAAGTGGGCATCCTTGTCATGTTCCAGATCTTAGAGGAAAGGCTTTCAGTTTTTCCCCATTCAGTATGATATTAGTTGTGGGTCTATTATATATGGCTTTTATTGTGTTGAGATGTGTTCCTTCTATACCCGGTTTTTTAATGTTTTTTTTTAATCATAAAGGGATGTTGAATTTTATCAAGTGCTTTTTCAGAGTCAATTAAAATGATTATGTGTTTTTTTTACTTCGTTCTGTGATATGATGTATCACATCTATTGATTTGCATATGTTCAACCACCCTTGCATCCCTGAGAGAAATCCCACTTGATTATGGTGTATTATTTTTATGATGTGTTGTTGGATTTAGTTCACTAATATTTTGTTGAAGATTTTTGCTTCAGTGTTCATCAGGGATATTGGCTTATAGTTTTCTTTTTTTGATATGTCTTTGCATGGTTTTGGTATCAAGTAATACTGGACTTGTAGAATGAGTTTGAAAGTATTCACTCTTCCTCTATGTTTTAGAATAGTTTGAGTAGGATTGGTGTTAGTTCATCTTTAAATGTTTGCTAAAATTCAGCAGTGAAGCCATTGGTTCTTGGACTTTTCTTTGATGGGAGACTTTGAATTACAGCTTTGATCTCATTAGTTGTTCTCAGTCTATTCAGGTTTTGGATTTATTCATGGTTCCATCTTTGTAGGTTGTTTGTGTCTACAAATTTATCCGTTTCTTCTAGGCTTTCCAATTTACTGGCATATAGTTACTTACAGTAGCCTCTAATAATCCTTTGAATTTCTGTGGTATTGGTTGTAAAGTTTCCTTTTTCATCTTTCATTTTACTTATTTGAATTTTCTCTCTTTTTTTCTTTCATTTTGTTGATCTTTTGTATTATTCTTTTAGTTCAATTTTGTTTATTTCTGCTTCAATCATTATTATTTCTTTTCCTCTACTAATTTTGGGTTTGGTTTGCTTCTGCTTTTCTGGTTCTTTAGGATGCATTGTAAGGTTGTTTATCTGAAGTTTTTCTACTATTTTGATGTAGGTGCTTATTGCTATAAGTGTTCCTCTTAGTACTGCTTTTGCTACATCCCATAATTTTTTGTATGTTATGTTTTCATTAGCATTTATTTCAAGTAATTGTTAAATTTTCTTCTTAATTTCTTTATTGATCACTGGTCATTTAGGAGCATATTATTTAATTTTCATGTATTTGTATAGTTCCCCAAATTCCTCTTGTTATTGATTTTTAGTTTTATTCCATTGTGGTCACAGATTATCCTTGATATAATTTCAATATTTTTTGAGAATTTTAATACTTGTTTTGTGGCCTAACATATTGTCTATTCCTTTAGCAATTCTTGTAGGACAGTCCTGGTGTTGATGAAATCCCTCAGCTTTTTTTGTCTAGGAAAGTCTTTATTTCTCCATGTTTGGAGGATATTTTTGCTGGATATGCTACTCCAGGATAGAAGTTTTTCCTTCAGCACTTTATATATGTCATGTCACTGTCTCCTGGCTTATAAGGTTTCCACTGAGAAGTCTACTGACAGACATATTGGAGTTCCATTGTATGTTATTTATTTATTTTCTCTTGCTGATTTTAGGATACTTTCTTTATCCTTGACCTATGGGAATTTGATTATTAAGTGTCTTGAGGTAGCCTTATTTGGGTTAAATCTGCTTGGTGTTTTATGACCTTCTTGTACTTGAATATTGATATGTTTCTCGGTTTGAGATGTTCTCTCTTATTATCCTTTTGAATAAACTTTCTCCCCTGATCTGTTTCTCAATCTCCTCTTTAACCTATTACCTGTTTAGGAAAAAAAAGTGCAGCTTGCTGCCAAGTGCTCATTTAATTTTATATCAACATACTCTTTGAGGCTGAAACAAATCTGACTGATTTACAATGTAAAAATAAAATATAAAAACTGTTCTTGGAGTTATTTCTAAATAGAACTTGTCTCTAATCCTAATGTAACAGAAATGTATATGATATTACATTAGGATTAGAGACAAGAGTATTTTTGGGCAAACGGGAAATGGGTTAAGGCCAGTAACTCTTAGATTTGCCCCTTTGAAGCTATTTCCTAGATCTTGTAGGCATGTTTCATTCTCTTTTATTATCTTTTCTTTTGTCTCCTCTGACTGTGCATTTTCAAATAGCCTATCTTTAAGCTCACTAATTCTTTCTTGTGCTTGATTAGTTCTGCTCTTAAGAGACTCTGATGCATTCTTCCATATGTCGTTGCATTTTTCAGCTCCAGAATTTCTGTTTGATTCTTTTTAATTATTTCAACCTTTTTGTTAAATTTATCTGATAGGATTCTGAATTCCTTCTGTGTGTTATCTTACATTTTGCTGAATTTCCTCAAACTGCTATTTAGAATTTTCTGAAAGGTCACATATCTCTGTCTCTGGGATTGATCACCAGTGCCTTATTTATTTAGTTCATTTGGTGAGGTCAAGTTTTCCTGGATGGTCTTAATGCTTGTGGATGTTTATTGGTGTCTGGGGATTGGTGAGTTAGGTATTTATTGTATGTAGTCTTTGCAATGTAACTTTGTTTGTACCCATCCTTCTTGAGAAGGCTTTCCAGATATTTGAAGGGACTTGAGTGTTATCATCTTCATGTTTGCTCAATGGAGCCATATATTCATTAGTGGGCATCCCAAGCCCAGTAATGCTGTGCTTCTTGCAGACTTGAAGAGGTATCACCTTGGTGGTTTTGGGTAAGATCTGGAAGAGTTCCCTGGATTACCATGCAGAGATTCTTATTCTCCTCCCTTCCTTTCACCCAAACAAATGGAGTCTCTCTCTCTGTGCTGAGCTGTCTGGAGGTGGGAGAGGAGTGACACAAGCACTGGTGTGGCTACCACCAGTGGGACTGTGCTGGGTCAGACCCAAAGCCAGCACAGCACTGGGTCTCTCCCAAGGCCCCACAGTGACCACTGACTGGCTACCACCTATGTTCTCTTAAGGCTCTAGGGCTCTACAAACAACAGGTGGTGAATACAGTCAGGCTTGTGTTCTTCCCTTCATGGAGGCGAGGTTCTCCCAGCTCCAGGCAGGTTAAGAGTTGCCATCCAGGAGCCAGGGCCTGGATTTGGAAAACTTTTGCATCTACCTAGTGCTGTATTCTACTGTGGCTGAGCTTATACCCAAACCCTGAAGACAAAATCCTTCCCATTCTTCCATCTCCTTTCCACAAACAGAAGAGTTTCTCCTCATGATCACCACTACCCCAGGCCTGCAGTGAGTACTGCCTGGCTGTTGTTGATGATCACTTAAGGCCCAAGGGCTATTCCATCAGCTTGTGGTGAATGCTTCTGGGTCTGGGTTTTTCCTTTCAGGGCAGTGGGCATCCCTCTGGCTCACAGCAGTTTCAGGAATTAAGGCCTGGAATAAGAGACCCCAGAAACCCACTTGGTTTTGTACTGCACTGTGGCCATGTTGGTACCCAAACTGTAAGATGAAGTTTCCTTTACTCTTCCCTCTCCTTTCTTCAAGCAGAAAGGGTATCTCCCCATAGCCACTACAAGTAGGAATGTGGTGGGTCATAACTGAAGGCAACACAGCTCTGAGTCTCACGCAAGTTCTGTGGTGAGTATTACCTGGCTACCACTGCTGAGTATTCAGGGCCCAAGTGCTCTTTAGTCAGCGGGTGATGAATCCTGCCACAACTGCATCCTTCCCTTCAAGGCAGCAGGTTACTTTCTGGCCCAGGGTGTCTAGAAATGTTATCTGGCAGCTAGGTGCTGGAATGGGGCCTTAGGACTTTGATGGGCACCCTATTCTACTGTGGCTGAGCCAGTATCCAAATTGTAAGACAAAGTCTTCTTTACTCTCCCCTCTCCTCTCCTCAAGCAGAAAGAAAGAGTCTGTTCTGGAGCTGTGAGCTGTGCTGCCTGAGGTTGGAGGAGGGGTGACACAAACACTCCCTTGGCTGCCTTGGCTAGAGTCTCACTAGGTTGTATGCACCCCAAGTCCACTGGCTCTGATCCAAGCATAGCACCAGGACTTGCTCAGGAATTGCAGTCCTTATGGCTTAAACTGCCTTTCAAGTTCATTTAGCACCTCAGAGCTCTTTAGCCCATGGTGGCAGGGCTTGCCAGAACTCAGGTTCTAACCACTGGGATGGATGATTCCTCTCTGCCCAGGGCTGGTCTAAATGTTGTTTTCAGCTGGCTGAATTCTGCTCAGTATTGCTTTCTGCCATGACAGGGCAGCACTGAGTTCCAGTGCAAATTCCGACAAGCTCTGCACTCTCCCTCCTCTGAATGCACAGATTCTCTCTCTGTGTCATGAGGCCACTACCAGGGAATAGGAGAGGGGTGGTATTGGCAATTCAAGACTTTCCTACCCTCTTCAGTGCCTCTTTCCTTAATATGATGTTCAAACCCGGTGCTGTAATCACTCACCTGATTTTGGTTCTTATTAAGGTGATTTTTGTGTGAATAGTTGTTCAATTTGGTGTTTTTGAGGGGAGGATGATTACTGGAGGCTTCTCTTCAGTCATCTTTCCTTGTCTGTCCTCCTAATTCTGAAGATATTTACAGAATTGTTATGTTTTGTCCTCATTTCATAAGGCAAGTATGCCAAATACTACTTTTGGCTTTTGAACAAATATGGTTGATTTTTTTAGTTTTACCTCAAAATTGCTTGTTAAATCAGTTTTGAGCCTGATTGATATTCAGTTCTGAATAACTGTCTGATTGAATTGAAACAAAGGTTCTGAAAACTTGGCTCTTGTTAAGAATTGGATGAATATGTCTTAAACTGTTTGAAACAGACTGTTTACTTACTCTTCTAGGTTCCCATGACATGATCTAATAAAGTTATCTTTTTTTTTTTTTTTTTTTTTTTTGGAGACAAAGTCTTGTTCTGTTGCCCAGGCTGGAGTGCAGTGGCATGATCATAGCTCACTGCAGCCTTAAACACCTGGGCTTAAGCCATACTCCTGTTTCAGTTTTCTGAGTAGCTAGGACAACAGGTGCAAGGCCACATTGCCTGCTAATTTTTATTTATTTATTTATTTTAGAAGTTTAAAAATTTTAATTTTTTTTGTAGAGGCAGGATCTTGCTTTGCTGCCCAGATTGTTCTTGAACTCCTGGGTTCAAGTGATCCTCCTCCTGTGGCCTCCCAAAGTGCTAGGATTATAGTCTTGAACCACTGCTCCCAACTATTTTCTTTAAATATCCTTAAAATATGCAAAACCAAACCAGTATGGTCTTCCCTTTCTGCCATAGGTTTGGGACCTTTTGTGTTAGGGTGGACTCTCCCAGAAGAACACTCCAAGGCCAGGATTTGAGTGCCAGTAGGGGTAAGTATTCAGTGGACACTGGTGGGAAAGTGAAGTGGGTCAGGGAAGCTCCCACAGGGTGTGTCAGCAGGCACTGTACCCGACCTCTGAGAGATGGTGTAAAGCACACTTCAGGGTTGTCCCACCTGAGGGTCAGAAGCTGGTTAATAATCTAACTTCTTCTGTCATTAGCTGAGAGCTGGTATGCAGAATTAACTTTCCAGCGCCTTCTTTCTACTTATGCATAAACTCAGTATGTTCTGTGGCCAGAAAAGGGAGATACGGGAACCCTTAGGAAGGGCTGCCATAGGAAGCCGTGGTCAGATATAGGAACCCTGATTGGTGAAGTGATCATTCTGGGCACCAGGAACCTCTGCTGTATGAAGCAAAAACCGATTTCAGGGCTGGAAGGAAACTTTGAGTTCACTCCAGAGAATCCGCCTTCTTTAAATGCAAAATGAGGACTGTAGAATAGATAATTTCCAGTTATCTTTGTCTCTGAGTTTTCAGTTCTTTCACTGTTCTGGTCTTTCATGCATGTGTGGTCCTGTACAAAGTAATATCTCTGTACAAAGTCATGTTCTGCATGCCCTTGGTAGAAGTATATTTGCTGGAAGCATAATACAAGTACCAGGAGGCTTACAAATTCTTCCGGAATTCACAAATTCAAGTGTTTTTATTCTATACCAGCATTAGCATGGGGGCTTTTTTTTGTGTTATAATGTATGATGTGAATCAAGTGTGTCTGAATCAAAATAACTGCTCTAAAAGGAAATGTATACTGAATAAAATCAAGTGGGGAACTTAGTATTCAACTTGAACTTGTCTTTAGAAGCAGTCTCAACTCAGGCAATTATTGAAGTTAAACAAAGTTAAAGGTTAGATATTTGAAAATAGTAAGAGAATGATTTTCTGTATTTATCTCTGAGCTCTCCTTTCTTAAAAAGGAACTGGGGAATCAGCATATGGCCTTGCTGTCCCTCTCAGTAGCCATGTTTGAACTTTAAACTTGCCTGGGTAGTATTTTTTGTTGTGTCTGCCGTTGATCGATGGCAACCAGAGGATTTATGGGTGCTTGTCTTTGAGCAGCACCAGCCAGAGATGCTGCAAAAATCCCTCTGTGACTCACTTGCAGCTGCCCTTCTGAGCCAGTAGTATCAGTCAATAAATAATAGCAAGGCAGGTGGCCAGAGGCACTGCCTGTTCAGTGAAGGTGGGCACCTGGCTAGGAGGAGACCTATATGAGGTTCAGAGATTTTTACCCAATGCGTAAGCAGTTCTAGACTCACTCCATCACTGGCATACATGGCTTCCAGATGCTTTGTGCACTCAGAGAACAGGACTATTCTAGGCCTATTAGACTGAGGGCAGGCTCCTCATGCCAACCTTAGGAAAATTTCCAGTGGTTTGGACTTTGAATTACCCTAATACTTCTGCACAGATGTGACTAGTTTGACTGATATATTTTAGGGATTAGATGGGAAAAGCCTTCTGCCATGGAGGCAGTTACCCTAGAATGGTAGAGCTCCTCATACTTCAGTCCCTTTAGAAATCATCTAGTGGGTTTGCTAAAATACAGATTTGGGGGCTCTTGATAGCTCTAGAAATCCTCATTTTAATGTTTCTCAGGTAGATTTTGAGGTGGGCAGTCTATAGATCACACCTTGATATATATATTTCCAGTAAATATGTTTATCTGTCATGTGGATCTGTTTTACTTCAATGATTGGGGATGATTGGGTGGATGGGTACTTGCTTCACCTTTGAGTAGAAAACAGCAGCTGAAAAATAGACCAATTATTGGATTATTTTGGCTAGTTTGGAGGAAAATACACTATCTTCCAATTTCATATTGGGATGTATCTAGTTAAAAATTATATATTTAATATATTGCATATATCTAGTTCAAAACTTAAAAGCTTGGAGACTGTTCTGAAACCTATATACAAATGTAGCCCAAGCAAGTAAACAAACAAAACTAAAAGTGTATTGATATAATAGATGTCAGAGGCAAACAAAATTTTGAGATCTAAAAAAACAGCAGCAGCCTAATGCTCTGGAGGGTGGTGGGCTTGAAACCACCATGACTGATAAGAGAGGAGAGGAGACTGATGGCAGACGATGATTCAACTCAGAAGGCTAAATTATATGTACTCTATTCTGATCTGTTGTCTTTGCCCTGCTGCTGCCTCTGTTCTCAAGTTGCATTCTTTAGCAGGGAAACAGCTCTTCTTTAACACAGACAACAAGTTGTTACTCCCATCATGCATCAGTGTCACAGTTTCTGTGTTTGTCGCAACTCTTCTGAATTGATCATTATGGAAAGTTAGTGTTTGTATGGTGTATTCTTATATCTGTGGGGAATTATATTGCTTTAGTCTATTATTTTCTCCATGTTTGTTCTAATTTCAACTATTGTTACTGGTATCACATACAACACACATGCAATCCAGAAATTCTCAAACACTTTGGAGTGGCAGCATTCAATATTTAATTATTTGAACTTACATCAGGGACCCTCACCTCCTTTTAAATATAACAGGAAACTTTAGGGAATTTCCTGCAAATATTTGTGGCTTGCTTAGGCTTTTGCAAAGCCAAGGTTAAGATTAGTCATAAAAAAATGGTTCTATTTGAATGCAAGTCCTTTTCTTAAACTTTAAGAACATGGGCAATATTGTCTATTGGTTGTTTTTAAGTTCAAATGGCATATTGTGTTTGTTAGAAACTAGACTTTATTTGTTGCCTGAGATTAATGATGTGTTTAGTTATCTTTCTGTGTCCAGTGCCTAGCATTGTGCTGGGCTTATACTCAAATCTAATGAACTCATATTCAAGTTCAGTTAATTGTTGAATGAACTAAATAAACTTTGCAAGCCCTGTTGGTTGCATTGAGGATATTGGAATAGTAACTTATCAAATGAGAGAGTAAGGCAGATAGGGCAAATATATAGCGTGTATATTGCCACTCTGTATTCCTGATTGCTTAGTAAGACATTACTAATGCATAATAGCACTAATTCTTGTTGGGCCAGAATGCTATCTCTTGATCACCTTAAACAGTGCTCCAGAAGAGCCACTACCAGTCAATCACAGTGGCAGAAGGGGCAAGAAATAAAAAAAGGAAATCTTTTTTTTCCAGTTCAATACTGAGGCTTAAGTTAATACTTTCTACTGCCAGGAGGATAAAAATTCCCTAGAGGTTGCAATAGGTGCCATCTTCCATGTCCACTCTTATTAATTGGTGGTGGCTGTCTCTAGCCATGTTTTAGGATTTTGAGATTGCAAGTAAGAGTCTTCAAAATCAGCTAATGACTTGTCCTAGGCAAGTGAGACAAGAATGGTGGCCCTTCGCCGAGTATTTTCTATCCCTGCCCAGCAATATTTTTAGCTCATGGGCCATTGTGAGTGCAAGCAGGGAAATTGAAATAGCTAAGTGAGGGAAGAAAAAAGAGGATCGGAGTAGAACCAGAGGAAGGGAGAGAGGAGGGGCTGTGTGAGGCACAAATAAAAGAGGGCTATGCAGTAGGTAGTGTGAGAGTGTCACCACTAGGGACTTCATGTGCCACTTGGTAATTTCATTGCCACAGGCTGCCTGTTTCTGCATTGAACTGCAATGGATCTTAATTGCCATTCTTTTGCAGCACCTGCCACATTCAGAAGAGAGTTATATTGTGAATCTAGAAGTTACAATTGCAATAGAACTTAAGAGGAAAAAGAGAACTATGACTGTGAGATTGAGAGGCACTCAGGGGAAATTAAGTGCTTCAACATTCCACCCCCTCTGCGTTGCCACCCACATCACAGTGCTGCTGTGGGGATTAGGCAGAAGCGAGAAGACTACAAACCTCTGGCTACAAGTTTTCATTATTCATTCATCTATAATGTGGGAGGCTCTGCGAAAGTCATTGGAGCTTACATGAAGATAAAGAAGATCTGTTCTCCACTCTCAACAGGAGGGTCCCAATCTGGTGAGAACAGAAGATCTGTCAACAACAGCACCTATTGAAAATGTGAGAAGGAGTATGATATATGTGTCTTAGTCTATTTTCTGCTGCTATAACAGAATACTACAGATTGGGTAACTTGTAAACAAAAGAGATTTATTTGGCTCATGAATCTGGTGGCTGGGAGGTCCACGATAAGGGGTCCAAATCTGATGAGGGCCTTCTTGCTGTGTCATAATGTCGTGGATGGCGTCACATGGCAAGGAAGTGCATGTGAGAGAGACAGAGAGGAAAAGAGGGTCAAATTCCCATAATAACTAACCCACTCCCATGGTAATGGCATTAATCCATTCATGATGATGGAGGTGTCATGACCTAATCACCTCTTAAAGGTCTCATCTCTTAATATAGTAGTCCCCCCTTATAGCTGGTTTCACTTTCTGTGGTTCTAGTTACAATATTTTGAGAGAGATCACATTCATACAACTTTTATTATAGTATTTTATAATAGTCCTATTTTTATTAGTTATTATTCATCTTACTGTGAGTAATTTATAAATTAAGCTTTATCTTTGGTATGTATGTATAGGAAAAAACAGTATATATAGGGTTTGGCACCATCCATGATTTCAGGCATCCACTGAGGGCCTTGGAATATATTGTCTGAGGATAAGGGGGCTACTGAGCCATCATAATGGCAATTAGATTTCAACTTGAATTTTGGAAGGGACATTCAAACCACAGCATTCTATCCCTGGTCCCCCCACACTCACATCCTTCTCACATACAAAATATATTCATTCTGGCTGGGTGCGGTGGCTGATGCCTGTAATCTGGCTGGGAAGCACTTTGGGAGGCCGAGGTGGGCAGATCACGAAGTCAAGAGATCAAGACCATCCTGGCTAAAATGGTGAAACCCTGTCTCTACTAAAAATACAAAAAAAAAAAAAAAATAGCTGGGCATGGTGGTGTGTGCCTGTAGTCCCAGCTGCTTGGGAGGCTGAGGCAGGAGAATCGCTTGAACCCGGGAGGCGGAGGTTGCAGTGAGCCAAGATTGCGCCACTGCACTCCAGCCTGGCAACAGAGTGAGACTCCGTCTCAAAAAAAAATTATATATATATATAATCATTCTATCCTAATAGCCCCAAAAGTCTTAAGTTATTCCAGCACAGATTTAAAAGTCCAAAGTTTAGAGTCCCATCTAAATCAGATTTGTGTGAAACTCAAGGCATGATTCATCCTGAGACAAATTCCCTCCAGCTGTGAGCCTGTGAAATTAAATGAGTTATCTATTTTCAAAATATATTGGTGGGACAGGCATAAATAGACATTCCCATTCCAAAAGGGAGAAATATGTAAGAAAAGAGGGGTAACTGGTTCCAACTAAGCCAAAATTCCAACAGGGGTAAAAATCACATCTTAAAGCTGCAGAATAATCTCCTTTGATTCTATGTCCCACAACTTGGGCACACTGGTGATGGAGGGGTGGCTTACAGACAACTGGGTACCCAAAGCCTTAGGAAGCCCCATCCCTGTGGTCTCGCCAAGCTCAGTCCACCCAGCAGCTCTCATGGATTGGCATCTTGTGCTTTGCAGCTCTCCTGTGCTGGAGTTGCACACTGGTGGCCCTACACTTCTGTGGTCTTGGGTTGGTCCCACTTCCATGGCTCTACTAGGCATTGCCCCAGGGGGACTCTTTTTGTGGTGGCTCTGACCTCACATTTCTACTCAGCATTACCCTAGCTGGGACTCTCTGTGATGGTTCTGCCCCTGTGACAAGTCTCTTCCTGGGCCCCCAGGCTATCTGTGAAACTGTTTGAAGCCTGCATGGAGGCTGCTAAGCCTCCGCAACTCTTGCATTCTGTGCTTCTGCAGAATTAGCATCACATGGGTATTGCTAAGCATTTATGGCTTGAACCTTCTGGAGTGGCAGGTAGAGTCACAGCTGGGCTCACCTGAGCCACAGATGGGGCAGTTGAGGAGCACTGTGTGGATCCTGAGTTGGATCTGGGTAGTGGGTCCATGGAGGGTCCCCAGGAAACCATTCTGCTCTCTGGGCCTGTGGTGGGAGGGACAGCTTCAGAGATCTTTTGAAATACCTTTGGGATCTTTTCCCCATTGTCTTTATGAAGATACTTGGCTCCCTTCTAACCATGGCTATCTCTTTAGCAAATAGTTGCTTGGCCACACTCTTGGTTTGCTCTCCTAAAGATGCCTTTTCACTCTTTACATGGCCAGGCGTAAGTTTTTTAAATCTTTGTGTTCTGTTTTTTTATTATTATAAATTCCATCTTTAATCATTTTCTTCATTTTGCATCTCACTGTATGTGGTTAAAAGTAGCCACACAGCAGCCTGAATGCTTTGCTGCTTAGGTATTTCTTCTACCAGGTATCCTAGCTCATCAAGCCCTCAGGCATGAACGTAATTCAGCCAAGGTCCTAGCAACTATATAAAAAGAATGGCCTTTACTCCAATTTCCAATACCTCGTTCCTCATTTCCCCCTGAGATCTAGTCATACTGGCCTTTACTTTTCATATTTCTACTGGTTAAGTAACCCTAAGCCAAAAGTCCAAAATCTGAAATGCTCCAAAGTTCAAAACTTTTTGGATAACAACATGATGCCACAAGTGGAAAATTTCACACCTAACCTCATGTGAAGGGTTGCAGTGAAAACTGAGGTGCACGACACATGGTTTATTCAGCATCCTTAGGGATAAAAGACCCTCCCAGTCCCCTTCATCTGCAATATATTTTTTCTTGTCATACCCAGATTCCCTCACAAAAGCACACCCACAAAGGGTAATACAATAGTTTAATGTAAATAAATTTTGTTTCATGCTCCAAATTATTTAAAATATTATATAAAATTATTTCAGGGTATATGTATTAAGTGTATATAAAGCATAAATAAATTTCATGTTTATACTTGGGTCCTAACCCCAAGATACCTCATTATGTATATGCAAATACTCCAAAAAAATTTCAAAACCTGAAATGCTTCTGGTCCCAAGCATTTTGGATAAGGGATACTCAACCTGTACTAACATTCTGATCACTACTACTCAAGCACTCTCTAAGAGTACTTTCCCTACAGCTCTTTTCTTCTTCTGAGCCCTTACAAGAGTCGCTCTTATTGCTCCACTTGCAGCAATCTAGGTTTTTAATTAGTATAAGCTCCTTGGAGGCTGATGGTGTGACTTCATAGCAGATAATAGAATGGACCTAAGAAACAGTGCTAAAATTAAACATTCCTTCCAAATGTTTAAGCTGTGAAATGCCTGCTTCCCCAAATTCTTCTAGCCTCTACCCATTACACAGTTCTAAAACCACTTCTACATTTTCAGGTATTTGTGATAGCAACAGCCCCATTTCTGGATAACAATTTTCTGACTTAGTCCCTTTTCTGCTACTATAACAGAATAGCACAGACAGGGTAATTCATTAAAGACAAATTTATTTGGCTCACAGTGCTGGAGGCTGGAAAGTCCAAGATTGAGGGGCCACATCTTGGAGGGACTGTCTTGCTGCTTCATAACATGGCAGATGAGATCATATTGCAAGGAAGCACATCAGAGAGAAAAAGAAGGCTGAACTTTCCCAATAACTAATCCACTCCCATGAAAATGGCATTAATCTATTCACAAGGGCAGAATATCTTGATCTTATCATGTCTTAAAAGTCCCACCTTTTAATACCATCACAATGGCAATTAAATTTCAACATGAGTTTTGAAGGAGATATTCAAACCATAGCAATATGTATGAACAAAGGGCTATTAACTCTGTGTGAGGGGGCTGGGTAATTTCAGCTGTGAAAAATATTTAATTACACTGTACCATAGGAGATATTTATTTTGATAGATTAAATAACTTGCTGTTGAAAGAGAGATTCTAACCTAGTATAGAATTGTAAAGTAGATACAGTACACACTACTGCATTGATGGATTTATTAGGAAGAGCCTATAATGCTTCAGTATGTTTTTCCTCTTAAAAATAATGTACAATACATGAGCATTACATTTAATGAAGCAAACCAAATGACATGGATAAATGTGCTGGTCAGTAAAAGACCAAATACCTTTTCCACAAAACCAATCTTAATGTCTGTGATTTGAATTGAATTTCTTAAAGAAAAAGCCTTGTTATTCAAGATGACCCTAGAATGCTCCTGTTTAATATCAGTACTCAAGTGATTCCTAACGGCAAGAACTCAATAATAATCTAATTCTATACATGTGAAGCCATCTTTTCAGTTTGGGGCTTGTGAGTGTTAGTTTTTGCAGGCCTAATTGCTCACTGAACCATCTACCAAAGTTAGAGGCACAGATAAAGGGAATCCATTCTTCTGTACAAATGTGCTTATATTGTAGACTGATTGCCCATTGTGGACTTTCATTAACTGGTCTTTCCAGTGGGCGGTTCTGCTTTATATGCCCAGTGGTTGCTCTATTGATCTTCTCAGGGGGTTGGCAGGCATTTCACGGCTTAGGGATTGCCTGAAACATTTGGAAGGAATGTTTAATTTTAGTACTGTTCCTTAGGTCCATTCTGTTATCTGCTGTGAAGTCACACCATCAGCTTATAACCTCCAAGGAGCTTATACTAATTAAAAGGCAAAGTTCAAGAGACCATACTCTTGTTTCACCAAAAACCTTTTGTATGAAATAATGGCCCAGAGCATATAGGTAAATAGTTCAATAAAGACTTTGGGTAATTTTAGCTTGTATGATGAGAAGTTGAAGCGGACTTTTGGGAAGAAAAGCTTTAAAATGAGCTCACTGTGTGGATACTATTTGCACTATGTTCTTTAGACGTAGCACTAAATATTACTTGAAATAGGAGGTATCAGTTTGGTCAAAACCCATTACAAATTTAATTGGGAGTGAGACACATACAGGTAATTGTGTGTCTATGGAATATAAGCATTTTGCAAAGGTCGAAAGGCCTTCAGATCTGAGAAATTTGAACCATTCAGAGACTGACAAAAGAGACTTGAATCTACAGAGCAATTTGGGAGTCAACACAGGATGGGTTTTTTCCCCTAACTTTTCTGGTATAAAAATAAAAACTTTGTTTTGAGATTATGCTGTCAGATATGATTAGTTTTTTTCTCCTTCTTTTATATGATTACTTATGATTTTTCAACGTTTACGCTTTTAAACTCTTGCCCAAATATGAGCAAATGTAGCTTATATTTCTCTTGAGAAATGAATAGAGCAAAATAAACCTTTCCTTTTTTTCTCTTCCCTGAATTTCTAACAGGACAGATTAAAATTTTTTTTCAGTCTGAAAGAATTCATCTACACTATAAAGTTATCAAGTCAGAGGTAGACAGGTTGTAAGTGAAACCCTGTATAATTTAGTTTGCAACAGAATAATCTCTTCTGTGACATACTGAAATGTTTTATTTTTATAGTAGACTCAAAATTTAGGGCATTAGAAGTTAGAGCGCTTGCATCACAATAATTGTTCATACCTGGATAAAGTTGACTGAGTAATGCAAATATTATATGGGTTGTAGATAAATTTAAACAGGAAGTTAGCAATTTTATGATAAAATGATCCCTTTTGGCTTAATGACCATTAATGAGATTACAAACTAGCAAATCACAGGCCAAATCCAACCTATAGGCCCAAAAATAGATTCTTTTTAAAAAAAAAAATTTAAGATACCTTTTGGCTATATAGTGAAAGGCAAATCTTTCTTCCACTATTGTTCCCCAGTTGAGAAACTAACCAATTTCTAATGGATTCTTCTGGAGACAGTTTGTGCAAATGTGTGTATAAACAAATATGTGTGTCCATTCCCCAACCCCTACTTTATACACACTTTTCTACACCACTTTCCTTCTTCTTTCCTTCTTTCCTTCCTTCCTCCCTCCCTCTCTCCCTCCTACCCTCCCTCCTTCCCTCCCTCCCTCCATCCCTCCCTCCCCTCCTTCCCTCTCTTTTTAAACATTATGTCTTGGAGTCCATTCCATTTTAGTGCATTCTTATCAGTGCATTTTTATTCTTTCTGATTCTATTATATAAATATACTAAAAGTTATATAACAATTTCCATATTAATAGGGATTTTGGATGTTTGCCAACGTTTGCTATTTTTATGTGACTATGCATACCTTTGTACAAATACCATATCAGATATGTGAGTACATATCTATCTGTAGGATACATTTCTGGAAGTGCAACTGCTGGGTCAGAGGGTAAGGACATTGATAATTACACTAGATTTGTTAAATAGCCCTCCAAAATGGTTGTATGGATTTAGCCTCCTAGCTGCAATGTATGAGAATGCCTATTCCCTCACTCTTACCAGCCCACTGTGTTATCTAATTCTTTGATCGTTGCCAATATAAGTGAAAAAATGTAATCTCCATCTTGTTTTAATTTGCATTTTTTTAAGAGTGAAGTTTAGCATCTTGTCATATGTTCAAGAGCCATTTTTATTTTCTCTTCTGCAAACTGTTCATTGCCTTTTAAAATTAAGTTGTTGCTCTTTTACATATGGAATTGTAAGACTCCTTTTAATTTAGAAATAGTAGCCATTTGGAATATGTGTTGCAAATATTTTTAACCGTTTTTTTCTTTGTGTTTTGTCTTTAGCATGTGGTGGTTTTAGCTATGCAAAAATGTTATTTTATGTGTTTTAAATTATTAGTCTTTTCATTTATGAATTATGGATTTGGTGTCATACTTAGAAAATTGTGAGCTATATGTATCTCATAATATATCTCACATATATGTATGTTTATAATAGATGTATGTATAAACATAATTTCTATATATCTCAATATATCTCACATATATGTATGTTTATAAACTGAAACTATTTCTAGATGGAATTTCTATTTAATTGTATTGTTATTTCTACTTTTTTGAACTTACAAAAGTTATCTTTGGGGTCTAATATATTGTTAATTTTTATGAATGTTTATGTTTGTATGAAATGAGGTATAATTTTCATGTTATAGGGTTTTACATTTATTAATCAGATTTCTATTTACCGATTTTCATTTTATTATTCTATAACCTTATTTTTTTTCCTACAAAATTTGTCAAAAATTGAGAGAGGTGATTTCAAGTCTCTTACTACTAATGAGTTCCTAGGTATTTCTCTTTGAAGCTCCTATCATTTCTGCTTTGTTTATGATGCAGCTGTGCTACTTGGTGCATAAATATTTGTAGCACTTGAATCTTCATTGTGAATTTTACATTTTGTCATTATAAAGTAGGCTTCTTTGTCTCGTTTAACACTTTTAATTCTGAATTCCATTCTGCCAGATGTTAAAATTCTAAGTCTTGCTTTCTTTTTATTTGCTTTCTTATTATAATGCTGACTATCTTTATATTTTCACTTTCTGACTCACTTTGTTTTGGAACTGGGTTTTGATTTGTGGTTCAGTTTTTGTCTTTTAATTGGTGTAAGCCATTTAAATATACTGAAATGACAGATGCTTGGTCTTGATTCTGTCATGTTAGTTCATTTTATAGTTTCTGTTTTGAAAAGTCTGACACATTCTGATCTGTTTTCATTCATTTTGCCTCATGCAGTTTTTTTGATATTGAGAAATTTACACTTTTGTACTGATTACCTTTTAATTATATTTTTATATAATAACTTCAGCTCTTCCAATTTTGAGTGTACTTATTAGTTTCCTAATGTACAAAATAATGAAATTAGCATGAAAGAAGATTAGAATTTTCTTTCCCCTCCTCTTCTACTTTATCAACGAATTTCAGTCAATAACATTAGCTTTCTTAGTGTTTCCATTTGTACTGCCAAGTATGTTTAAATTTATGTTATTTAACTTCTTACCTTTGAGATACTTGGATTTCCAGGTATAAAAGCTGAAACAATCAGAGAACTTATTTTACCTATCACCTTCTTTTGACCTTTTTATAAAAAAAATTCTCTCTGAACTTTCGTTCTCTTTTAGTTTACAATTAAATACATTCAGTGTTTACCATCATTTCTTTTGCTAGATTTTCCTCAGCTATATTTCAGTTGGAGGAAACTTGTCATCCAGCCATTTTCTTAAGGAGGAATCATGGCAAAAAAATTCCATGAATTTTTGCATATTTTAAATGGTTTGACAGAAGCCTTCATAAAATTTGGAGGATAGCTTACTGGATATGAATTCTTTGGCTCACAATTCTTTCTTTGGAGCACTCCTGTGTATTGATTTACTGGATTTTGGCATTGGATTCTGTGGAAAAATACAAGGTCAGCCTTGTTTCTTTTTCTTTATATATTATTTCATATTTTTGCCTAGGTGTTCCCCAAATTTTGGATTTAAACTTCAATAACTTTCCTAGGATACATCTCAATTTTGATCATTCTGGATTAATTATTCTTAGGTCAGTATGTGCTCTTTTACTCCAAAGAAAAAACTAATGAGATTAGATGTGTTATATTTGTTATAAAACATTATTTAAAATGGAAATATCATTCAACCAATACATAATAAATGCTTAAAATTTCCATTACCACTAAAATAATTATTCAAAGTTATTTTTCATTTAATGTCTACATGAATATTTATTACAGGTCTAGTCTCTCCAATTCAACAAAAATGTGAATGCCATCTATGATAATATTAATAGTTGATATGAGTAATTCCAGTCCCTCCTATGTATTATTTTGTCTCCTCTTCCAAACAAACTATGTGTAAGTACTGTTATCCCCATTCTGAAGAGGCAGGGACTGAGGCTTAGAGAAGAGAAATAACTTGCCTAACATTAGTAAAAGTTAGAGCCAGGATTTAAACCTAAGCCATCTGACTCTACAGTCAAATTTTTAACCACTAGGTCACCCACTTATTGAGCTAGAGGGCTATGTATTTGGATAGTTCTTTGGATGCTGAGCTATTATTCGATCTATTAGTGTATCTCTTTCATGAAAACTATGTGCTTGAAGGTTTTCTCAGAGCTTTAGATCCTTTAATTAGTCAGTCGTTCTCAACCTGAGGTGATTTTGTTTCCCAGGGAACAGTTGGTAATGTCTGAAAAACAGTTTTCGTTGCTACGGCTGGGGCAAGGGGTAATGCCTCTGGCCTCTGCCCTGGCTTTAATGCACAGGAGAACCCTCACAGCAAGTAATTATTCATCCCAAATGAATGAATTTGGCATCCCAAATGCCAAGAGAGCTGCTGCTGAGCAAATCTGAATTACATGATAATTTTCTTGAGGGAAAGTCTTTGCTTTTACTTGTATCACTCCGTATCATTTAATCTAGTGCTATAACTGAGAAGATACATAGTAGCTGTCAACTGGCTAATGTTTTAAACAAAAATAATATTTAAACTTATTTACCAAAGTTCTAATACTCTTTAGAATTGTATTGTTTCAGGGACAAAAAGGACAAGCAATCAGCTAGGCCTTATTGAATATTTGACCTTTAAGAAAAAAGCTTTTTTTTCTCTTTCTGATCTAATTTTATATCAATAAATATTTCAGTAATAGTTATCTCATCATTGAATTAAAGTGAGGCTGTTCATTAAGGAATTTCATCCCCATTATTAATGAAGAGCTCTAAATTAATTATTTCCTGATTACTTAGCACAGTGTTTATGAAAATCAGTAAGAATAGTTCATTTTTCTTTGGGAGTGGAGAAAGGTTGTTAGGATAATGAAATTGGGCAGAATTATCTATGTTTCTATTTAAAAGACCATTTTATTAATTAGCCTTTCTCTTCCCTCAGAGAATGAGATCAAGATCTGTTCCCTTACCAGAAGCTTACCTTTCAATTCCACCCCACACTTTGGAGCAACTGTGAACAATAGCAACCCATAGTTGTAATAAAGTCTGGCCACTTTGAAGACAAGGCCGACTGCCATGATGATAACTTAAGAATTACTGACTATATCCTTTTATTCCCCTTGCAGGTCACATATATCCAAAGCAAGAACATGTATTAATTGCTTCTGGATAGGGGTATGGAGCTGTCATAGAGCTCTAAGCACAGTATCTTTTTGAAAGTGAATTAGTCAATAATGTCCAAAAGGCAAGTTCCTACTATCTGGCTCCAGTATTCAAAAGTATTTGTTTGCAACTCCCTTATGCAATACGAGGGTCTAGCTACCAATCAAATATGTGGGAAATTTTTTGAACATTTCAGGGAAATGATTCCTATTGTAGGCTTTAACGAGCTCAGAGGATGATTTTTTTAAAAACCAGTGATAAATCTTTCTTGTCTTAAGGAGTTCTGTTTGTAATTGAAGGAAATTGATTTAGGAAGGATGAATTGTGCATTTTAGAACAAAAATAAGGCATGTAAGTAAGGTGTTTATCAGTATGAATTCCTCTGAGTGCTGGTAAATGCTCTTCATAACAAGTTCTCCAGCTAAAGGCTCCCATTAGCAGCTGTTCGGTCATTAATTGTCTTTCTTCAACAAGTAGTCACGGAAAGGTTTCATAGTGCCAGAGTTCTTTCTGTGTGTCTCCTCCATCCAAATTCAAAGGCATCATTAGAACATCTGGAGGACAGTATGACAGATAGCAGAATCCTTCTGGTACTTGCACTTCCCTGTGTCTCTCTATGTCTTCTTAATTAGGATGCAAAGTAAAAGTGACAGAGCCATTGCTAGTGAACAGGCAGCATCTGGCACCTCCATGAGAGGGGGCAGATTTAGCGGTGAGGGGAGTAGGATAATAATTCATATGCCCTGACAGAGAGGAACACTTTAAAAATGGAATGTTGCAAGGTTCTTTGCTACAGTCAAATGTGACTTCCTTGCTACATTTTGCAGTTTTGTGTGATGAAAGTGGGGCCACTCAGGTTCCAACAGATCTCTAACTTCTGAAGAACTCAGAACTGAGTTCAGGGGAGTTGAGTTTCCTTAGGAAATAGTGGGAAGAATTGAGATATTTCTTTGGGAAAGATAACCTGAATATAGTGGAGTAAAAATGTCTTCAAGTCAGTCTAGAAGTTCTTGGTGATGGAGTTCATTGGATGTATTGACTAATTTTTAACAGGTGAAGGTCAGAAAAGTAGGCAAGACAAGTTATGGGGTCAGAAGGCTGTTTGTAAATTTTAGAATAAGATTATACAAGTCTGTGGATTGGAAATTATGTCTCCTCTCTTATTTGTTGTAAGGCTGTAATAGACAAAGAAAACGTGATTTTGTACTATAATCCATGGATCTTTAATACATCCAACCAAAATGTGAAAATTAGTCTTGTCAGCTGGTAAAAATTCAATAAATTGTTTACTTTTCTGTATATGTAATAAAACCTTTTAAAAAGTCACTCAACTGTTTCATTCTTACATTACCAACTGAACAATCTGAATTTTTTCTCTTTTAATTAACCAAATTTTTTATTAAAATGACTTATTTACCATTGAGGTGAGCTAATTTGTTACCAGATAAAACATCAGCTTTGATATCCCACTATTTTTGCCCCTGTTTAGCTATATGATATTTGGGGCAATATCCATAATCCCTCTGAAGTTGATTTTCTTCATCTATAAAATGGGGCTAATAATGTCTTCCTTATAGCAATGTTCTAAGGATGAGAGACCCCCCAGCTCCCAGTATTGCTTCAGGCACATGGTAAATACACCATAATTGGTAGCTAGTATGATGATGATGATGATGATGATTGATGATGATGATGATAAAGCCTGTAGTCATGAAGGAAATGGAAGTGAAACAGGTGTAAAGTAGCACAAAAGCATTTTCATTTAGTTACCTAGAGAATATATTATGAATACTTACCTTCTGTTATAGTAGTAGTTTGAAGAATTATTACAAATATTCAGAACTACATTATGCTGGCTGTGTGGGGTCTCACATTAATCTTACTGCCCCAGACCTTGTATCTGATATTCCTGAGCTGTGATCTAGGCATCAGATGGCTTTGCACCAGGCCTTTTCTGGCTCCTCTTGGCATGGCTAGGACCATTCTTCATCGGCCTTAGCATCTCCTAAGCACTCTCACACTGAGAGGGACTGTACCCTATGTTGAGCCCATAGCTGGGCCTTTGTCAGAGGCTTTTCCAGGCTTGGGCTCTCATGGCCAGAGAGGAAGGCCTGGAACTATGGTTTTGCTCACCCTCTAACTTCAGATGCTCTCTGCTGTCTGGGCTTCTGTTGTGTGTCCACCCAATTGATGGGAGTTCAGTACCAGGACTGAAGGAGGGTACAAATCCTTCAAGCTCCTTTATACACTGTCCTTTAGATTGTGAGCTTTGGGGCCAGTTCTGTCTGGTCAGTTACTCTAGCTTCCATTTTTGCCCAAGTTAAAATACTCCATCCTTTCTATGTGTCCTTGATCCTCTCAGAAAATTTACTCACCTTTCAAGGCCCAGAGAAACCATTATCTTTTTTTGATATTCTGTCTGGCAATTGCAGGACAAGATTTTCATGCTTTTCTTTATGCCCTAGCTTACTTAGTTCATACTTCTCTGATAGCCTTTATCACTTGGTATAATTTATAGTTGCCTATGTAAGGATGGTGCATTTCTTGAAGGCAGGAAATGTCTACTTCATCTCTGTATACTAGTATCTACCAGAGATTAGCACATATTAACTGATTAGTAAATGCAGGATAAATAGAACTGATTTAAACATGTTATCATTTGACTTCAAAACAATTATTATAGTCAACACTAGGAAAATATAAGTTGTTTACATTTGGCTTTGGAATGTACAGGGCCAAAGGGAGGCTTATAACTGAATGTGGATGAGTATAGTATCCTGGGAATTTATTAATGAAGCTCTAAAGCATCTCAATTCTCTCAGTTCAACTCCCTATTGAAACTTCTGCTTCTCTCTGAAGCTGTTATATGGGTTTCATCTTTCCCTTTGTATCAATGGGGAAGGTAATTAAGTGTTTCAAAACCAAATTATGTTTCAAAGTTCTGTCTTTGTGCTGTGTCAGGATAAGGACAAAGGAGGAAATTAGTGACTTCCTTTAGTGACTTCTTGGTATCGTAGGAGGGCATTACAAATTTCTTGGCCTCTTTCTAGACCAGGCCTGTGCCCTGTTGGGCCTACCCCATCTTCACACCCTGAAGTTCCTTGTCCCTTACTCTCTTCCATTTAAAATTACTCCAGTTGTATTTCCATGATATCTATATTTTCATATTTCTACCTCAAGTGTTTTGTGACAAGGAGACTGTACCACCATACATGAAAGGAAATAGGCTGTGGAAAGGGCGTCAGATTGGGCAGCTTGAAATCTACTTGTGATTCTTCAATGTGTGATGTAAGCAAGTCGTTTAACCACCTGGAGCCTCAATTTCCCATCTGTAATAGGACAATCGAATCTGTCTCAGAGTGTCTAAAGATCAAATAAGTGAAACTTCCGGTACAATGGCTGGAAAATAGCAGCCATTCAATGAGTAGTGGAAGTTGTAATTACTATTATTATTATTTCTGTGCCTTTTGCTCTTTTCTCTAGTACTATGCGTATAGTTTCAACCCTAGTTATTTTCTTTTCTAAATTTTCTTTGACCTTTCACCCACTGTCCATTATCATATCTCTAGTTGTCCCACAAAATATGGATGTTACACTTAATCTAAAATCTAGCATTGAAATGATTTGCTATCTGGCCCCCTCAAAGTCGCTTCCACCTACTTTCCTCATTGCTCTCCAGAGCTCCTCCATCCTTCTAGTGTCCTCCCAAAGACATGGATCTTCTCTATTCTGTTTTCTACCTACACGTAGCTCTGAACAGTTCTTTGTCAGATTTGTCCCATTCTACAATTATCATCAAGTCCTAGCAATTATTTTCTTACATTTTAAATCATGCTAACAGCATGAAATAGTAGGCTTTCTGTCTTCTCTTTTCTTTGTAATTCATCCTACACACTGCTGCTGAAATCTTTCAAGGAGGAAGACTGATTTTATCACATCTCTGGGTAAATCAAGAATCTTCAAAAACTCTCGGTTCTATAATGCAAAGATCTTAACTTTTTGGCCTTGTCTTTATTTTCCAACAGTAACAAGAATCATTTACTCCCAATTAATAAGAGACAAGTTAGTATTTTCAAAAAGAACTATTACTCAACTGTAAAAGAAAAGCAAAACAAAAATAAATATGAGCATACATAGATTAACAGACTTTTTTTAAAAAAATATTTTAGGAAAACCATTATCTACTTTATTGATACAACCCTCAGGATTGGAGCTTTGAATTTCTTTCCTCACTCTCAACCCTCAGGTTGGCATGGCTTTTGGGCTGATAGAATTCTCTGTCCCTCTCAGAACCTTTTTCTGTTTTTTGTTTTCTATCTGGGTGTGGGCCCAAGGTTGTCGTCTCCTTAGATCCAGGCCTGGGTTACACGTCAGAGATGTATGGTGGATTCCCCTCCTAGACCTGACCAGCCTGTGTTGACCTCCTGTACGAAAAATATTCTAATCAGAATACCCTTGTCTCACTGTAACGTGATGGGCTGGGACAGTGCAATGAACACTGTCTTCTGGGGAATCTGTTGCCAGAACACGTCCGCTCCATTATCCTATTCCACAAAGTCCTTGCTTTGTAGGGGCTTTCCCATTCTTTCCTACATCCAGTCTGACTGATGGTTCTTGTTAGATAATTTGGTAAATAGAACTGATAGGCCCTGATCCCAATACTTGTACTCTTCTAGGCTCTGTTCAAATGCCATTCACTGCTTCACAGGTTCCCCTAATAGGCTCTCTTTGGGACATTGATGTTAAATAATTTAGTTCTTACAAGCTATGCTGATAACCCTGGGGAGGTCCTTTCGTTCTCTGTTCCTAAAAGCAATGGTGGTGACTTTCAATTTTTATTTGACCCTAATATGGGCAACTTAGTTCTTAGCAGCAGGTCAAGGCGGAGCTCACCTAGTCCACCTGATTCCTTTATCTGCTTCCTTCGCTTGAGCTACAGCTCTGATTTCTGTAACCTGCTGAGCCTTGTCCTGTTCTAGCTCCTGTACCTGCTGCTGGCTCTCAGATGTAGGTCTTCAGCAACAATTACTGAAAAAGAAAAATATGTTTCTCCAAAAAGAAAACAGTTTGCAAAGTTCTGCCCTGCCCAAATCACCAGGGTAATGGATTCCCACAGTGATGCTAAGTGTTTTCATTCAGAATGACTCAAGAGTCCAGGGATCAATCAAAGCTTCCAAACTGAACTTTTCTTTTCAATTCTTTTAAAGAAATAATTGCTGTGGAAGCACTCCCTTGCCATTTCAGAGAACAAGTTTGAATTGTGCTGAAGTCTCCACTAGGTTTCTTTACTTGAAATTCAAAAATGACTGTTTAGTTCAGTTTTAATGTCATTGGCTCTTTTTACTTGTTAGCTGCTTTTAACTTGAATCGGAATCCATAGTTTCTCAGCTTCCAGAATCCACGTGAGATTCAGGCTGAGCCACGCTCTTTGGCACAGCAATGCCCCCCCCACCCCCCATTTTCCCACTTTGCCCTTTCTCTCTTACACCCACTTTATCTCTTCCAGTTTTCTTTATGTATATAGGAGGTAAGCAAATTTGTCTTTTCTTTCCTCCACATTCCCGTTTTCTCAGTTCTTCCTGGCTATGGAAGATTTTTTTTCTCTAATCCTCCTCCGCCAGATCTATAAAACTTACTTTGTTCCAAATATGGCTTACAGCTGATATTTCCCGGGAAGAGAATAACCACAGCTAACTTCCTGTAGTGATGTGCAGTTCACAAAACACTTTTGCAAGGTATCAAATGAACTTCATGTGGCTCAGTTCACCCTTCTCCTTAGTGAGTCCTCAGAATGTCAATACTCAGCACTGTCGTAGCTTGCATGAAGATATATTACTTTGTGGGAGTTGTTTATGTCTTTGTGTACACTCAATCTTCCCACAAAAGTGGTAAATTTCTTGAACCATCATTATTTAATTACTTTAAGAAATACTAAGAGCTTCCACTAAATTAGAATTACCTCTTAATGGGTGTAGTTAAGGAAAGTCTAAGTAGCAACGAGCAGACAGTGACTCTGATGAGGATAGCGGGACACACTGGTGTGGGTGTGTGCTGCAGCGAGGAAAGAGGGCCGAGGCTGGCTTCAGGGACCCTGGCCCTTGGCCCACTCCCACCTCCTGATGCTGAAGCAATATCTGCAGAGCCAGACTGCAGCCTGAGGTGAAAGGGAATGTCAGTTACACTGATCCTGTCTTTATTGAGAATTTTAGTATTTTATTCATCATGACTTTTTTGCATTCATATGATTTTTTAAAATATTGCATTAAAATATTATTCATCTTGATTGTTGAATGTTTTGGCACCTCACTGGCCTCACTCTTGTCCCAGTCTTATGCTGAACCTCCATCGTCAAGCATGGGAGTCTTTTGCTTGTGTATCTGTGTGTCTGGGAGGGATGTGGGGTAGACATCCATTGACTTCAACAAGCATCTGAATCACCTGAAGGGCTGGTTAAAACATAGCTCGCTGGGCCCCGCCCACTCATTCAGCGAGTCGCTGGAGCCCCAGACTTTGGGTTTCTATCAAGTCCCAGGTGATGCTGCTGCTGCTGCTGTTACATATCCCACACTAAGAATCAATGACATGGAGATTCCTCTATCTGAGACTGTTCAGCATGGATAAGGTGGGTCCCTTTATTTAGCCTCTGGACAACTTTTTCTTTATTTTATGTGCATGTGTGTGAACATGTGCATGTGTGTGAATAACATAGTAATGAAACTGATTACATCTAATCTGAAGGTAATTCCCAACTTTTAGTATTTTATAATGACTTTTTTCAGGAAAAATTAATATTTATATTAACTAAGTCTCTGAAACAGCTCTATAATATTTGTTAAAGTGTAAAATTTGATAACTGTTTTTAAATGAATAGACTTCATTTTTTAATGCAGTTTTAAGTTCACAGAAAATTTGAATAGGAAGTACAGAGTTTCCATATACTACTACTCCCAACCCCTGAATAGTTTTCTCTATTACTAACATCTTGTATTAGTGTGGAACATTTGTTATAACCGATGACTCAATATCAATACTGATGCATTACTAATAACTGAAGTCCATAGTTTACATTAGGACTCACTCTGTGTTATACATTCTACAGGTGTTGACAAATATGTAATGACAATATCTGCCATTATATTATACAGAAGAATTTCACTGCCTTAAAAATCCTTTGTGCTCCACCTATTTATTCCCCTCTTTCCTCTACAAAACACCTAGCAAACACTGATCTTTTTTTTACTGTCTCTATTGTTTTGCCTTCTTCATAATGTTATATAGTTGGAACCACACAGGATGTAGCCTTTTCAAATTGGCTTCTTTCTTCTTTCACTTAACAGGGACCTGTGTGGTCCCCATACATTTCAGGTTCCTTCACATCTTTTTGTGGCTTGATAGCTCATTTCTTTTTATCACTGAATGATATTTCATGGTATGGATGCACCACAGTTTATTCACCTACTGAAGGACATTTTGGTTGCTTCTAAGTTTAGGCAGTTATGAAGAAAGCTGCTATAAGCATTTGTATGCAGGTTTTTGTGTTAACGTAAATTTTCATCTCATTTGGGTGAGTATCAAAATTTTAAATACAAGATGTTTTAAAAGTTTCCAGTGCTCTGTTTTTGATGGAGAAATGGTGGGCATGGGAATGGGGTCCTCAGACTGAGTACCACCACTACTACAATTACTTCTGCCCGCTACTATCTATTGAGTAAATGTGTTTATTCATGTAAAATGCTTAGACAAGGGCCTGGAAGTTGCAAGCAGTCAATAAAGGTTGTTGATGTTATCATCATCATCACCATTACTAGGTGACTGGACCTTGGGCTAGGGGATTTTTATACATTATCTCTTCTCCTCAAAAAAATTCACAAATTAGGGCTTCTTTTCCTGTTTTACATGTGGCGCTCTGAAGCTCAGTGAGGGTAACATGTCCAATGTCACACAGCTAGAGTGGGAGAGCCACGATATAACCTAGGCCTTTCTGACTTTTTAAATTTTAAAAATATTTCCATGAGAAGGGGAAGGAGTTTTACCAAAAATGTTAGAGAGAAATAAAAATATTAATAATTAAACAAACAGTGGAATTTTTAAAAAGGCATTATTGAAATACCAAGTAAAAGATTAATTTTATCAACTGTTGTAAAAAAAATCCATTGTGCTATAATTACATGCCATGATCATGGCTCTTATATTGTAAATAGTTCATTATGCATATTTATACAAATTACAAAATGAGTTCTAATTATTCTCATGATGTAAATAAGTAAGTGGCTAAATGCTGCCTAAGAAACATAATGGAATGACTTTTCAAGTATATTATTCTTATTAAAGCAAAGGAATTCCATATTACTGGAATTAAGTTTTGCCTAACCCAAAGCTTAGCATTCCAGGCATAGCCACAGTTTTCTAAGTTGCCTTGCCTGTCTCTACCATTTCATGAAATTAATACATTTCTTTACTATTTTTTCTCACCTCTCACAGTCTGGAGAACTCTGCCTTTAGGATAACATAGTAGCTAAATGCTTAGGCTCTAAAGGCATAAGCGTGTGGATCCAAATCCTATGTCTTCCCTGTATTCCCTGTGTCCTGAAATAGGCTTGTTATTTCTAGGCCTTGATTCTTTCATGTGTTGCAGTGATGATAAAGGTATCTAATTAATGCATTGTTGTAAGGATAAAATAATGCAACATGTAAGTAAACACACACACACACACACACACACACACACACACACACACACACTCTTAGCATGTGATTTGGAACATAGAGAGGAATTAATCCATGTTGCTAATATTATCAAGGCCAGGTTTTCATTGATGTTCTTTAAGTACAGAGTGAAAGATTCAATACCTTAGGAAATGGGAGTGAACATGTATGAAAAACAAGAAATATTCGATATCATTCTTGCAGGATAGACTGTCCACTGAGTAACCTTATTTTTTTCATTTATTCAATACTTTTAAACAAAAATATATTTTCAGATATTTTGCATAGCACTAGGGAGACAAAGAACAATAAGACACATCCCTGCCCTCAGAGAACTCATATTCTGGAGAAGGAAGATAGACATGTAAATATATAAACTCACAAACAATACCATGAGTGCCATAACAGGGCTATAAACACTGGGATGCCAGATATTTTTTGTCTCCAGTGTTAGTAAAGGATGTAAGAGCAATTAAACCTGCTTATAGTCACCTGATAGGGACCTGCAGCTGAATTCCAGTCAATGCAAAATGAAGCTTTAAGGGGGTAGAGCCAATACTCTACCTATATAAACTTTGTGCCTCTGTCTGAAAATCCAGCTGGGAATGTGAATACAGAAGCTGTAACGCTGATGTACATAAAATGGTGTTAAACCTGATCTGGGCATGGCACGACTCTAATTTTGGTTGCTGATATCACTCACCAGAAAAGAGCATGTACCAAAACTACGTTTTATGCCTTTGGGACCTCGCTTCCAACCTTCATTAACCAAAAGAGCCAAATGGCCGGGCGCGGTGGCTCACGCCTGTAATCCCAGCACTTTGGGAGGCCGAGGTGGGCAGATCAGGAGGTCAGGAGTTCGAGACCAGCCTGGCCAATATGGTGAAACACTGTCTGTACTAAAAAATACAAAAATTAGCCAGGGGTGGCGGCAGGTGCCTGTAGTCCCAGCTACTCAGGAGGCTGAGGCAGGAGAATCACTTGAACCCAGGAGGTGGAGGCTGCAGTGAGCAGAGACCACTCCACTGCACTCCAGCCTGGGCGACAAAGGAAAAAAGGAAAATAAAAAGGAGCCAAATGACTCCTGGCTACCTTGAAACACAGCCTAATAACTTCATGTAGAAATGAGAAGATGCTAAAGCCCCACAGGCCAATTGTGAAAGATTCTGATA
Source organism: Homo sapiens (assembly GCF_000001405.40). Lineage (NCBI taxonomy): Eukaryota > Metazoa > Chordata > Mammalia > Primates > Hominidae > Homo > Homo sapiens. The sequence goes on along the minus strand of NC_000006.12, from coordinate 82,763,824 downwards.
TGGATGCAGACTCTCCTGTGAATTTCCTGGGGGTCATTTTGCTGTCTTACTCACCTTTGCATCCCTCCGGTCCTTGGCAAAGGTCCTGTCACAGAGATGCTCATCAAAAGTTTGTTCAATCTAAGTGAACTGAATTACTAGAATTTAAAGACTGGCAAAATAGTGACTTTTCCTATAAAGAAATTACAAGTAAAACACGAGAGGCTTATGATACAGAAATAGGAATCAACGCCCCTATAATTCAGTATTTTAAAGGGCTGTAAAGTAATGCTCTAGAACACCCCTTTTTGTTTGCTAATATATTTATTAATAATAAATATAATTAATAAATTATAGTAAATAATACTATGCTCTCCTTTTTATAGGAATACAATGCTAACAACTCTTTCTTTATAGGGAAAATGTTTTTATTTCTTCCAGAATTGATGCATAAGTGGATTGTTCAATTATTCACTTCCTTGACCAGTTCTGCTTCTTTTTACAATGAATTTGTTATTTTAATTTTTAAATTATAAAAAATGCAAAATTAATACTTACCCAAAACAGATGTGAAAATAAAAAATGAAACTCTTTCCCTTCCTCCACCTACTGCTCCTGATTCTGATCTTTCAGAGTACGTCCTTCCAGTCGTCTTCCTATACATGTATAAATGTATTTTCCTAATGCATATATTTATGTCTATTAATATATAATGTTTTAACCCTGAAGTGACATATTATATATATTTTCTTAGGATTCAGTCTCTGTACAGAAGTTTTATATAATTATACACTTATTTCTATGTTTATTTATCGTTTATTTTCCTTGCCAGCATGTAAACTGCATAAGAACTGTTATCCTTCAATATGCACCTAATACTTAACACAGCGCTAGGCATATGATAGGCCCTTGATTAATATTGAGTAAATAAATTAACAAATAAATGAAAACATTTCCACCGACGTCACATTATGGACATCCTTCCATGAGGGCCCTGACATCCTCTTTTGTCTTTCCAGCATCCACACAGGACTCCATTGCATGGATACCTTATGAACTATTGGAGGATATACTACTAATTCTCTGTTAGGGAGGCCCACCTTCATTTTAAGCTAGTCTTTTATAAAAAAAATTAAGTTTTATCTAGGCATAGTGAAAGTATCCAAACCATAAGAAAAATATATGAAAAGAAAAATAATAGTTCTGTCTTCCTACCTCTAATTCCACTTCCCAAAGAAAACACTAGTACCAGTTTTAACTATTTCTATTTTATGTCCACTGGCACTTTTCTTTATAATTTAAATAAAACATTTATGATTCATAACTTATAATTCATAATTTGGATGGTACCTTTCACATCTTAACTATGAAAAGTAAGGAATTTAGTACACAATCCCTCAACCACAACCTCTTCAATTTCTTGCTTTTAACAAAAGTTTTATTCTTATTTTTTATGGTCAAAGTTTATAACATTTAGAATGTAATCTTCAGCTAGAATTCAGCATTCCCTGATTTATCTGTAGAACGACTCTGAAAGTTTAAACCCAAATTAAAATAACATTCAAAGTATTAAAAAATTTATTCCCAAAATCAAATTTATTTTGTTTTTAAATAAACCACCATAGTACTCCTTCTGAAATCTAACTACTGGGAAAAAAGAACATCTCAATTGCACTTTCAGTTTCTTTTCTTCTTTTAGGTATTACTCGGTTGCCATGGTTGCTTGTATCTCAAGTCATATTCTTTCTTGCATTCCTTTTTAGTTTTGCTGAAATTTTTTTTTCCCAGGGAAATAGTTTTCTTATGGGATGCATGTGTGTAAACTTTCTGAATCCATACATGGCTGAAATTATCTTTATTTTATTCTTATAATATTTGATAGTTGAGATGTACACATGCATATATATATGTATATTTATAGATGTATACAACTCTGGGTTGAAAATTATTTTTCCTTGGGCTTTGAAGGTGTTGCATCTTGGTAGTCTAGTGTGCAGTGTTGTTGATGGCCTGTTGCCAGTTTGTTTCTCATTTCTTTGTAGTTAAGTGTGAGTCTTTAAAATTTATTTTTAGCAAAGTGGTACATGAGTCCTTTCAAGTTGCTATTGCTGTTTTCTGATTAAAGAGTCAAATAGCTCTAACAAGCTTATTAAATAACATGTTTTACTGACACTTTCTTCTTTCTTCCTTTAAAACTTTTTTTTCTTCCTTCCTTCCTTTCTTTCTTCTTCCTTTCTTCCTTCTTCTTTTTTCTTTTTTTGATTGAAGTGTTATCTATTGACCTTCCATTGTGGAGATTGAAGATGTAGCCTTTTTTCATTCTTCTGCAAGTAGCCTTCAATTCCTTCTATCCTTTTGACGAACTTTTACTTAATTTTGGTTAGATCAATATTATATTTTAATGATTGGATCATGTAAACTTTATTCAAAGCTCTCTTACACCTCTTTTTGCTCTCCCTGGAATTATTTGTTTTAGTTTCAAAATATATACTTATCATTAATTTATACCCAGACTCTGTCAGTTGTTTAAATATCCTTTTGATATATTTGAGCACATCTGGTATGCTATCAATTTTGTCTTTCTGGAAAACTCTGTACTGGAAGTTTCTGAACTTTTCCAACTTGGATCTGTTTATTCCTAGGCTTCCCACACAGCTATCATCCTAGGGTCTCCTTTCACCATCATTTGGTGAATTTCCTTACCCACTTGGGTTGAATTCCCTGTTCTAGAATCCCATATATTGTATCTTGTTTCACTTACTCATTTTGTAGGAACACCTCCTCTAGTAGCTCCCTGAGAAAGAGTGCATGGAATATAAATTTTTGAGACATTTCATGCCTGAAAATGTCTTTACTCTGCCATCATAATTAGTTGGCAATTAGCTGGATGTGAAATTTTTTGTTGAAATCCATTTCCCCTCAGAATTTTTGAAGGCATTGCATCATTCTCCAAGTTTTCCAATTTTCCAAAGTTAAAAAGTCTGATGAAATTTTGATTTTTTTTTCTTACACACAACCTCTTTTTGGCCTCTGAAAGCTTTTAGGATTGTCTCTTTGTTCCCAGAAATTTATTTTTATTTTTATTTCAATAATTTTTGGGGAACAGATGGTTTTTGGTTACACGAATAAGTTCTTTGGTGGTGATTTCTGAGATTTTAGTGCACCTGTCATTCAAGCAGTATACATTGCATCCAATATGTGGTCTTTTTTTCCCCTCACCTCCCTCCCACACTTCCCCCACCGAGTTCCCAAAGTCCATTATATCATTCTTATGCTTTTGCGTCCTCATGGCTTAGCTCCCACTTAAGAGTGAGAACATAAGATGTTTGGTTTTCCATTCCTGAGCTACTTCACTTAGAATAATGACCTCCAGCTTTATCCAAATTGCTGCAAAGGCCATTATATTGTTCAGTTTTATGGCTGAATAGTATTCCATGGTGTATATATACCACATTTTCTTTGTGCACTTGTTGGTTGATGGGCATTCAAGTTGGTTCCATAGTTTTGCAAACGCAAATTGTGCTGCTTTAAACATGTATGCACATGTGTCTTTTTCATATAATGACTTATTTTCCTTTGAGTACATACCCAATAGTGGGATTGCTGGATTGATGGCGGTTCTATGTTTACTTCTTTAGGGAATCTCCATACTGTTTTCCATAGCGGTTGTACTAGTTTACATTCAACCAGCAGTGCAAACGTGTTCCCTTTTTACCACATCCATGCCAGCATCTATTTTTTTTTATTTTTAAATTATGGCCATTCTTGCAGGAGTAAGGTGGTATTGCATTGTTGTTCCCAGATACATTTTACCATTTATCCACCATATGTTTAATTTTTTCTCTTTTTTTAAATTATACTTTAAGTTCTAGGGTACATGTGCACAACATGCAGGTTTGTTAAATATGTATACATGTGCCATGTTGGTGTGCTACACCCATTAACTCATCATTTACATTAGGTATATCTCCTAATTCTATCCCTCCCCCCTCCCCCAACCCCATGATGGGCCCCGGTGGGTGATGTTCCCCACCCTGTGTCCAAGTGTTCTCATTGTTCAATTCCCACCTATGAGTGAGAACATGTGCTGTTTGGTTTTCTGTCCTTGCAATAGTTTGCTCAGAATGATGGTTTCCAGCTTCATCCATGTCCCTACAAAGGACATGAACTCATCCTTTTTTATGGCTGCATAGTGTTCCATGGGGTATATGTGCCACATTTTCTTTATCCAGTCTATCATTGATGGACATTTGGGTTGGTACCAAGTCCTTGCTATTGTGAATAGTGCCGTAATAAACATACATGTGCATGTGTCTTTATAGTAGCATGATTTATAATCCTTTGGGTATATACCCAATAATGGGATTGGTGGGTAAAATGGTATTTGTAGTTCTAGATCCTTGAGGAATTGCCACACTGTCTTCCACAATGGTTGAACTAGTTTACAATCCCACCAACAGTGTAAAAGTGTTCCTATTTCTCCACATCCTCTCCAGCATCTGTTGTTTCCTGACCTTTTAATGATTGCCATTCTAACTGGTGTGAGATGGTATCTCACTGTGGTTTTGATTTGCATTTCTCTGATGGCCAGTGATGATGAGCATTTTTTCATGTGTCTGTTGGCTGCACAAATGTCTTCTTTTGAGAAGAGTCTGTTCATATCCTTTGCCCACTTTTTGATGAGGTTGTTTGATTTTTTTCTCGTAAATTTGTTTAAGTTCTTTGTAGATTCTGGATATTAGCCCCTTGTCAGATGGGTAGATTGCAAAAATTTTTTCCCATTCTATAGGTAGCCTATTCACTCTGATGGTAGTCTCTTTTGCTGTGCAGAAGCTCTTTAGTTTAATTAGATCCCATTTGTCAATTTTGGCTTTTGTTACCATTGCTTTTGGTGTTTTAGACATGAAGTCCTTGCCCATTCCTATGTCCTGAACGGTATTCCCTAGGTTTCCTTCTAGGGTTTCTATGGTTTTAGGTCTAACATTTAAGTCTTTATTCTATCTTGAATTGATTTTTGTATAAGGTGTAAGGAAGGGATCCAGTTTCAGCTTTCTACATATGGCTAGCCAGTTTTCCCAGCACCATTAAATAGGGAATCCTTTCCCCATTGCTTGTTTTTGTCAGATTTGTCAAAGATCAGATGGTTGTAGACGTGTGGTATTATTTCTGAGGGCTCTGTTCTGTTCCATTGGTCTATATCTCTGTTTTGGTACCAGTACCGTGCTGTTTTGGTTACTGTAACCTTGTAGTATAGTTTGAAGTCAGGTAGCATGGTGCCTCCAGCTTTGTCCTTTTGGCTTAGGATTGTCTTCGCAATGAGGGCTCTTTTTTGGTTCCATATGAACTTTAAAGTAGTTTTTTCCAATTCTGTGAAGAAAGTCATTGGTAGCTTGATGGCAATGGCATTGAATCTATAAATTACCTTGGGCAGTATGGCCATTTTCACGACATAGATTCTTCCTACTCATGAGCATGGAATGTTCTTCCATTTGTTTGTATCCTCTTTTATTTCATTGAGCAGTGGTTTGTAGTTCTCCTTGAAGAGGTCCTTCACATCCCTTGTAAGTTGGATTCCTAGGTATTTTCTTCTCTTTGAAGCAATTGTGAATGGGAGTTCACTTATGATTTGGCTCTCTGTTTGTCTGTTATTGGTGTATAGGAATGCTTGTGATTTTTCCACATTGATTTTGTATCCTGAGACTTTGCTGATGTTGCTTATCAACTTAAGAAGATTTTGGGCTGAGACGATGGGGTTTTCTAAATATACAATCATGTCATCTGCAAACAGGGACGATTTGACTTCCTCCTTTCCTAATTGAATACCCTTTATTTCTTTCTCCTGCCTGATTGCCCTGGCCAGAACTAACAACACTATGTTGAATAGGAGTGGTGAGAGAGGGCATCCCTGTCCTGTGCCAGTTTTCAAAGGGAATGCTTCTCTTTGAAAGCATTATACCACAAAAGCATTACAATTTGGCCTGTTCAGTATGATTTTTTTGCCCATTCAATATGATATTGGCTGTTAGAAGGAAAACTAACAAACAGAAAGGACACCCACACCAAAACGACATCTATATGTCACCATCATCAAAGACCAAAGGTAGATAAAACCACAAAAATGGGGAGAAACCAGAGCATAAAAGCTGAAAATTCTAAAAATCAGAGAGCCTCTTCTCCAAAGGAATGCAGCTCCTCACCAGCAACAGAGCAAAGCTGGATGGAGAATGACTTTGACGAGTTGAGAGAAGAAGGCTTCAGAATCATCGATAATAAAAAACTTCTCTGAGCTAAAGGAGGATGTTCGAACACATCACAAAGAAGCTAAAAACCTTGAAAAAAGATTAGACGAATGGCTAACTAGAATAAACAGTGTAGATAAGAACTTAAATGACCTGATGGAGCTGAAAACCATGGTATGAGAACTACATGATGCATGCACAAGCTTCAGTAGCTGATTCGATCAAGTGGAAGAACGGGTATCAGTGATTGAAGACCAAATGTATGAAATGAAGCAAGAAGAGAAGTTTAGAGAAAAAAGAGTAAAAAGAAATGAACAAAGCCTCCAAGAAATATGGGACTATGTAAAAAGACCAAATCTATGTCTGATTGGTGTATCTGAAAGTGATGGGGAGAATGGAAACAAGTTGGAAAACAGTCTTCAGGATATTATCCAGGAGAACTTCCCCAACCTAACAAGGCAGGCCAACATTCAAATTAGGAAATACAGAGAACACCACAAAGATACTCCTCGAGAAGGGCAACTCCAAGACACATAATTGTCAGATTCACAAAAGTTGAAATGAAGGAAAAAATGTTAAGGGCAGCCAGAGAGAAAGGTCGGGTTACCCACAAAGGGAAGCCCTTCAGACTAACAGCTGATCTCTCGGCAGAAACTGTACAAGCCAGAAGAGAGTAGGAGCCAATATTCCACATTCTTCAAGAAAAGAATTTTCAACCCAGAATTTCATATCCAGCCAAACGAAACTTCATAAGTGAAGGAGAAACAAAATCCTTTACAGACAAACAAATGCTGAGAAATTTTGTCACCACCAGGCCTGCCTTATAAGAGCTCCTGAAGGAAGCACTAAACATGGAAAGGAACAACTGGTACCAGTCACTGCAAAAACATGCCAAATTGTAAAGACCATCAATGCTAGGAAGAAGCTGCATCAACTAATGAGCAAAATAACCAGCTAAATCATAATGACAGGATCAAATTCACACATCACAATATTAACCTTAAATGTAAATGGGCTAAATGCGCCAATTAAAAGACACAGACTGGCAAATTGGATAAACACTCAAGACCCATCAGTGTGCTGTATTCAAGAGACCCATCTCCAGTGCAGGGACACAGATAGGCTCAAAATAAAGGGGTGGAGGAAGATCTACCAAGCAAATGGAAAACAAGCAAACAAAAAAAGGCAGGGGTTGCAATCCTAGTCTCAGATAAAACAGACTTTAAACCAACAAAGATCAAAAGAGACAAAGAAGGCCATTACATAATGGTAAAGGGATCAATTCAACAAGAAGAGCTAACTATCCTAAATATATATGCACCCAATACAGGAGCACCCAGATTCATAAAGCAAGTCCTTAGAGACCTACAAAGAGACTTAGACTCCCACACAATAATAATGGGAGACTTTAACACCCCACTGTCAACTTTAGACAGATCAACGAAACAGAAAGTTAACAAGTATATCCAGGAATTGAAATCAGCTCTGCACCAAGTGGACCTAATAGACATCTACAGAACTCTCCACCCCAAATCAACAGAATATACATTCTTCTCAGCACCACATCACACTTATTCCAAAATTGACCACATAGTTGGAAGTAAAGCACTCCTCAGCAAATGCAAAAGAACAGAAATTGTAACAAACTGTCTCTCAGACCACAGTGCAATCAAACTAGAAATCAGGATTAAGAAACACACTCAAAACTGCTCAATTACATGGAAACTGAACAACCTGCTCCTGAATGACTACTGGGTAAAGAACGAAATGAAGGCAGAAATAAAGATGTTCTTTGAAACCAGTGAGAACAAAAACACAACATAACAGAATCTCTCGGACACCTTTGAAGCAGTGTGTAGAGGGAAATTTATAACACTAAATGCCCACAAGAGAAAGCAGGAAAGATCTAAAATTGACACCCTAACATCACAATTAAAAGAACTAGAGAAGCAAGAGCAAACACATTCAAAAGCTAGCAGAAGGCAATAAATAACTAAGATCAGAGCAGAAATGAAGGAGATAGAGACACAAAAAAACCCTCCAAAAAATCAATGAATACAGGAGCTGTTGTTTTGAAAAGATTAACAGAATTGATACACCGCTAGCAAGACTAATAAAGAAGAAAAGAGAGAAGAATCAAATAGATGCAGTAAAAAATGATAAATGGGGTATCACCACCGATCCCACAGACATACAAGCTACCATCAGAGAATACTATAAACACCTCTATGCAAATAAACTAGAAAATGTAGGAGAAATGGACAAATTCCTGCACACATACACCCTCCCAAGACTAAACCAGGAAGAAGTTGAATCCCTGAATAGACCAATAACAGGCTCTGACATTGAGACAATAATTAATAGCCTATCAACCAAAAAAGTCCAGCACCAGATGGATTCACAGCCGAATTCTACCAGAGGTACAAAGAGGAGCTGGTATTATTCCTTCTGAAACTATTCCAATCAATAGAAAAAGAGGGAATCCTCCCTAACTCATTTTATGAGGCCAGCATCATCCTGATGCCAAAGCCTGGCAGAGACACTACAAAAAAAGAGAATTTTAGACCAATATCCCTGATGAACATCGATGCAAAAATCCTCAATAAAATACTGGCAAACTGAATCCAGCAGCACATCAAAAAGCTTATCCACCATGATCAAGTGGGCTTCATCCCTGGGATGCAAGGCTGGTTCAACATACGCAAATCAATAAACGTAACCCATCATATAAACATAACCAAAGACAAGAACCACATGGTTATCTCAATAGATGCAGAAAAGGCCTTTGACAAAATTTAACAGCCCTTCATGCTAAAAACTCTCAAACTAGGTATTGATGGGACATATCTCAAAATAATAAGAGCTATTTATGACATATATTTAATTTTTAAGAGAGCTTTTTGCTCTGAATGTTCCTTATTAAAAGCATCATATTCTTATTTTATGGATGTAATATTTTCTTATTTCTCTGAGAATATTAATGAATGAATTAATGAATACAGTTTAGAAGTTTTTTTTTTAAAAAAAAAAAGAAAAAAAAACAGACTCTGTTTCTTCCAGCTTGCTTTATTTTGTATGTGGTTGTGATCTTTCCTATTAGGCTCTCCTCTATACTCATTTAATCATGGGGCTCTAACAAGCAGATGGGAAACTCTGTGAACTTGGTTAGGACTTGTTGACTGTTGGTCTCCCAGCAGGGAGATAGACTAAGTTTAATTGGGAAATTGCTAATGTCAGTATTCTTAGGTCTTTTTCTTCTAGACTGTTCTTATTTCCCAGAAGAGAATCTCCTAGTATTCTATCTAGAGGACAGAAGCATCACTGAAAATATTCTGAGATCCGACTGGGAACAGGGTGATGGGTCTCAAGATTCTGTATGTACCTAGACTTTTACTTATTTTTCTGTTTTTAATACAGTGGCCGATCCTTCAGCTGTGCTCCATTTCCTCCAGTCCAGAGACTTTCTATTTCGTCTAAGTTTTGCTAAGTCAGTAATCATTTATTTTTGTTTCCAGCTTCCAAAATCTTATTGTTATAATCTTTCTGTTCCTTTTGTCCTTATTGGATTAATGTCTTTTATTTGTAGTCTTTTAACTCATTCATATTTATTGTGATTAGTGATATATTTTGATTTATTCCACTTGCCATCTTATTTTGTGTTTTCTAGTTGACATTCTTTTAAGATCTTTTTTTCCTTCTGTTAGGTCTTTCTTGGACAATCATTTTTCTGTTTCATTTCCACCCCTCATCCTAAGGTTTGGAAATTTTACAGTCTTTATATTTCTAATCTTCTGGTGATTGATCTTTAAATTTTAATATCAATAATTAAACATATGTTTCTATTGGTATTATTAAGTTAATCAATATCTATATCATTTCTCTTCCAAAAAGGAAAAGAACCTTAGAATGTTATTTCCTTTTCTACTTCTCCTTCCTATTTTGAGATTATCTGTAATTTTAGTTCCAGATTGTTAGAAATATTTGTATACTTGACATATATTATTTTATTTATATTATTATATATTCTATATTACATTTTATATATTTTATATATTATAAAATTTACCGTATATAATAGGTACATAAGCATATCAATATGTAATATTTATATATAATATTTTATTTATTATGACTATATATGACATAGTCTACATATAATATATTATATTTTAATATTATTTTTAATATTTAATATTTTTAATATTTTTGCGTATTGCTTTTTTGTATCAAACTACTTTCTCTTGGCTTTTTTGCTAATGTACTTTAGTAATTCTTTGAGAAAATGTTAATGTGTTAAAAAAATTCTGATTATTTTGTGTGTTCAAAATATCTTTGATTTACTCTTGAATGATAGTTTACTGGGCATAGAATTCTAGGTTCAAAATAATTTTCCCACATAAGTTTTTAAGAGGCAGCCTCAAGAAGACATTCTTTCATGTGCTGTGGATGATGAGGTAGCCTATGTCAGTCTGATTCTTGTTCCTTTATACAGAATCAAAATATTTTAATTCTGTGATGCAATGAAGTTCTGCATCACAATAATTCTTTATCAATGAAGTTCTGCATTTACACCATAATGTGTCTTTTTGATTCATGCTGCTTGACACTTAGTGGGTGCTTCTACCTACCTTGAGGATGCCTGTCTTCAGTTGTGGAAATTTTTGTTTCATTATTGCTTTGAATATTTTTTTCTATATAATACTATATAATCTCCTTTCTGGGATAATAGTTAGATAAATATTGGAAACTTTGGGATCTTTCCTCTGAACTTCTTACTTTTTTGTTGTGTATTCAAACTCTCTGTCCTTTTGAGTTCTGTTGTGAATTCCTCAGTCTGATTATCTAGCTAATTAATTTGCTTTCATTGTCCATTTTGCTACTTAGTTTAGCCGTTTATTTTTAATTTAAATGATTAAACTTTTAGTGTTCAAGATCTAGACTTGATTCACTTTATGAATATCATGTTCACTGTTATATCTTTGAGGATATTATTTATACCTATTCTAAAGTTTTATTCTTTTTTCTTGATTTCATTAGGAGGCAATTCCTTCTGTTTGTTATGTTTGATGACTCTAATCAAATACTAATGATTCATGGTTTTGTTTTGTTTTGTTTTTTGAGGCAGAGTCTTGTTTTGTCACCAGGCTGGAGTGCAGGGGTGCAATCTCTGCTCATTGCAACCTCCGCCTCCCGGGCTGAAGCAATTCTCCTGTCTCAGCCTCCTGAGTAGCTGGGATTACAGGCATGCACCACCAAGCTTGGCTAATTTTTGTATTTTTAGTAGAAACGGGGTTTTACCACATTGGTCAGGCTGGTCTCGAACTCCTGACCTCAAGTGATCCACCTGCCTCGGCCTCCCAAAGTGCTGGGATTATAGGCGTGAGCCATTGCACCTAGCCTGGTTTTGTATTTTTCTCCAGGTTCCCCAGTAGCCTGTCTATGAAGCCTGCTTTTGGGAGAGGGTCAGCATGTGCTGCCTACCTAGGTATATTCTCCAGTGACTGTGGAGAAGGAGAAGTAGTGCTTATGTCTAGAGCATGTAGGTGTTTTCTGGGTCTAGTAGATACCTGATTCCCCTCATTTTACCCAGGGCTTTGCTCTGTGTCTGTGACCCAGGTGATTGCAGTCCAAGTTCTCCCTGAGGTGCAGCATTCCTGTTGGGGTTAGAGGGGTACTTGCTCATTAGCTGCCCCAAGGCCCATTCCTCTCCATAGTAACTGCTGCATCTGGGTTTCAAGCACCTTTGAGCCTCCTTTTTTTATTCAACAGTCCCTTTTTTGCATATGCTTTAGTTTGTGGTTTCCTTCTTTAACCTGATTCCATTTGACTTCTGTCTTTAGGAGTCTTCAAATTTTCTGGCCCTATAAGGACATTTTTTCTCACTGTAGAAATGAATGCTAATTTTTTTTGTTGCTATTTTTTTGAAGGATGGCACATTCCTTGTTTTTCACTGTAAAGATAGTGCTAAAACTTTGGTTACTGTTATTTCTAAGGATGGTGCAGAAAGGTAAGGCTGGAGCTTGTTCTCAGGCTGCCATTCTGAATCTGAAGCCCCCTAATTTAATAAAGGCAGTTTTCAACTGGCCTTCTATGGCAGTATAGCATGGTTATTGAGGAACATGTTTTCTGGAGCCAAGCTGTTCTTGGGTTTGAATTCCTGTTCTATCAGTCATTAGCCATGTGACCATAAGTTGCTTATCTCAGTGCCTCAGTTTCTTTATTTAACAAATAGGATAATAATAGGGCCTACTTCAGAGAGTTGTAATGAAGATTCATGAGTACCTGACTTTTTTGAGTCTTCGATAAAAGTCTTCCGTTATAACTCTGGAAATTGCAAGGGACCAATTGGCTTAGCTCTTCTACATTCAATTCTTTATTAATTACTTTGGTGGGTGCCCCAGGTCCCATTCCTGCTTTTTGTGTTAGTTGACCCAGATCTTGGAGTTTCAGTGGGCAATGTGGTTTGGAAGTGTTGTTTTTCCTACTCGGTTTTCTTTGTACATCTGATCGTATTTGCTTTCTCTCTTCCTAGTTCCTTTGAACTTTCTGTTCTTTTGCTTGATTCCTTTCTTACGAGGATTGTTGTAGGCTCATTAAAAAAACCAACAACTTTTCTACCATTTCATTAGGACACAAGAGGTGTAAGAGTAGTTGATGCATATGTTTCGTCTTTCATCTTGAATCTGGGTCCTGTCTTGTGAATTCCTCAACTTTCTGGCTAGCATTGGAATGTAATCTTTGGCCACTGGCAATGAAATAGCATTTTATCCCTGCATGCTGCACTAAATTACAGTTTTGGGTTTTTTTGGTTTTCGTTTGTTTGTTTTAATTTGCTTGCATTTCAATGGCTCACAGTTTTTCCTCTCTGTGACTAATCACACAACAGCATGGATATTTATGAAACTCAGCCACCCGTTCAGGCCAGAATATTGGCACTTTCAGATCTTCAGCCAGAAGGCTGAGCAGTAGGCTCTGTTTCTAAGTTAGCCTTAGTGTCTCATAACCCACACATTCTGTTTCTCTCCAGTTCCACGACAAGGAAAACATGATTCTTTCAAGAAATTTTTCTTGCATCTCTCCAAGAGCAAACACAAAGTCTAAGACTAAATAAACCTCTTTAGTTTAAGCTTTCAGATGGAAAAGAGGAAAAATGAGCAGAGTGTGACAAATTCAGACTGATCTGAATTTGTTAGATTAGAGACCACTCTCTGATTTGGAAGGGCCTATTTTCCAAGAGATTAAAACAAGCTGTATTAATGGATAACACTATGTAGGAAATAGTACAACTTGAGCATTCTTAACACTTGCCTTTAAAAATAAGGTTTGCATGGAAATGAATTTATGAGTGAAAATAGTAATATGTATAATTTAAAAGAAGAGCTTAAGTTGCAAAGTGCTGTGTAGTTACTCATTTTCACTCAATAGTTAAAATGGTTTAACTGTTACTTGTAGTGCTGGAGAAAATGTTTAGAGCTATGGAGGATTAGTACGGATATCTTTCTGCCTGCCTCCAACCAAATAAAAGGTTCTTTCTCCTTTCTGAAATGTAACAGTCTTAGACTTAACTGTGTGGAGCACATTTCTGTAAATAAAGATACCGCTGACAGTCAGACTGAAGAGAAATACAAATAGCTGCTGAAAAGCTATTATCCAGATCCTTAAAACTATGGTTTTAGCCAGAACTTTCTTAGAAAATACATTGCTTTCACATCTGTAATTACTAAGGTGTATAAATAGCCCCCAAATTAAAGCATAGTACTTTCTTTATTCTTTCCACTTGGGAGATTGAAGTAAGCTTGACACCAGGGCAAGACCTCATCTATAATACTCCCATGGCACTATGCTTGCTTTGCTCAATTTAGACCCAAATGGATTGTATCTATCTTTGTAGTATTATGGAGGATGTCTGCAATTAGATGTTAACCATTAGATGAATTCAAACCTGCAGAACATTGGATCTTGCAGTTTTGCTGTCTTATGCCCCAATTCAGAAATACCCTGTGTGACTGCCATCTGTGCCACTCACTACCAAACGAATACTAAGGATGGGCTAACAAGTAAGGTAAAACATAAATTTCACTTTGAGCCTTTATTCATTAAGTAAACCAAGATAGTGTTAAGGATTACAGTAATTTGAAATGAAATAAGGGTAGGGATTTCTGTTTGGTTCTAACTTCTCAATAGATGGTGACCCTACTGGTATCTAATATGCTGATTTTTCCAGAATTACACATTTTTCTATTTGGCCGATGAAAGAGCAAGATCACAGTTATTAGTGCCTTAGCAGACTGTTCCTAACAGCTTTACTGCCCTGGAATGGGAAGGCTTATTTGTCCCTTTAGAACAGAAGTTTTCAAACAATCCTAGCAAATTCTGGAATTATGCTGGGGCCTTTGGGGGATGTGTAGGAGGTGGGTTGTTAGAGAGCAGGCAAGCTGACTAGAGGCCAGACCCTACCTTAGTCTAAACCCACACACCTTCACCACTGCATATGCGCAGTGTTTACTGATTTTATAGAGATTATGCTTCAACATAAAACTCAGTTTAATGAGGATTTCACTCCTTACAACACAATAAAACAAACTCCCGGCTGGGCACAGTGGCTCACGCCTGTAATCCCAGCACTTTGGGAGGCCGATGCGGGTGGATCACGAGCTCAGGAGATCTAGACCATCCTGGCTAACACGGTGAAACCCCGTCTCTACTAAAAATACAAAAAATTAGCCGGGCGTGGTGGTGGGTGCCTGTAGTCCCAGCTGCTGGGGAGGCTGAGGCAGGAGAATGGCGTGAACCCAGGAGGTGGAGCTTGCAGTGAGCTGAGATCACGCCACTGCCCTCCAGCCTGGGTGACAGAGCAAGACTGTGTCTCAAAACAAACAAACAAACAAACAACAACAACAACAAAAATAAATTTTAAAACTCCCCTCATGTTTGGAAACTGATGTTTTCAAAGAAAATGTATGATGCTTTACTTTCTGAGAATAAAGTTATGTCCAAGAAACTTCTGAAGGAAAAATGAGTTTCGTGGATTGGAAACCCACTACTCCCTAGAATACTACTCCAGGGATTTGGGGTGAGGTAGGGGCAACGTTTACAACCAACATTTCAGCCATATTTAGCCAACATTTACAGAACTCTATTTGTGTGTCTAGGCCCATGCTGTGAGCTTTCATGCATGTTCTTTTACCCATTCCTCATAGCACCTTTGAGGTATGCGTTATTGTCCCTGTTTTATAGCCAAGGAAACAACAGCTCATGGAGGATAAGTGTTTTGTGCAAAAACACAGAGCTCATAGTGGTAGAGCCAGAATTCAAATTCTGGTAGAGCCAGAATTCAAACACATCTTCCCATAGCTTGCTTTTACAACATGATTTAAGTCTTAGAACCTAAAACTCTGGGAGTTTATACATGACATCCTACTTCTATATTTTCACTATTTATGATTCAAAGTATATTATTATAGGGGAAAAATTATACTCTGGATGAAATTATGCATTTATACAGTGACCCCATTGAGATTCCTTTGTACTTTCTGGGCTTTCCTATCCCTATAATAACAAGCTACTAGGACCTGGGGAACTTTTGGAATTCAAAGTATAAGGACACCCAGCTTTGAGAACTCATAGAGCTACTCCAGAGGATCAAGATACCTACACCCTCCATCTCCAAACAAATTCTCCATTTTTGAGGTTTTTCAAATGGGTCCAATATTAATAAAATACATTTTAGAATGGGCTACTACAGAGATTGATTTTAACATGAAAGAAATTTTCTATCTAGTTTTTAAGACAGGTTGCAATAAAAGGTAGATTTTATTTATAAGAAAACTAATAGTTTTCTGACTTCTCAACATGATTATATTTGATGAGGTCTTGGTAGTTTACATGCATTTTCTCAAGTTCTAAGATAGCTATCGAAACTATAACCAGAAATATTCTTTTCTTGTACATCTAATATATTGTTCCAAATTATGATGCTTTCTCAGCACTATTCAGTATTATTGTGTGTTCTTGCTGTTTTTAAAATTTGTATTCGTATATCGTATTTATAAAATGTTAAGCACAAGCTGGCTTGTTAAATATAAGAGCTACTGCAAATATTTCTTTGAAGAAATGAAAACACTGAATCATCAATGCTGCAGCAAAATTGGAATCATACGGAAACTGAATTTGTTTTCTCTCTTCTCTCATATCATTGGCCTCTGCTTTGTTTCTGAATGTCTCCCCTGAATCTCACTGCAGATTTTCCATACCCAATCTACCTACAGTTTTCTTAGACAAAAAAAAATTATACGGAATTTAGTATACAGTATACATATACATATGTGCATATATGTATATGTGTATATTACATGTGTATATAGGTAATATATGTATATATAGTGGACATATTTTGTGTATGTTTTGTATGTGTGTACATATATATTCTTACGTATTTCAAGCTATGAACCTGATCAACCTAGTATGGTGGGAATGTCAGTTCCTGGCCACTAGAGCCAGAAAATAAGCAGAACTCATAGTAGAATTATTCCCCATATAAGAAACACATTTATTAGTTTGTGGGGAAGATAGGACCAAAAAAAAAAAAAAAAAAAGACAAAAGGGCCAGGAGGCAGTGTGGTGAGGAGTGTCCATGTAATCAAGTTTGGGCCCAAAGTCCAGCTCTGGTTCTTCCCAATGGAGTGGCATTGGGCAGTCCTGTCCTGCCCTTTGTGCCTCAGTCTCCTCTTATGTAAAACATGTGATTAGCCCCTAACTCAGAGGGCCTCAGGCTAATAGCTGCTACTTTAAAGAGTACTTCCTCCATGCTAGTCACCATGGAAAATGCTCTAATACATCGGAACACTTTCTCCTCCCAACATGTCTTTGTGGTAAGTATGCTTATCTGAATTTTACCCTTCCAGAGAAGTCAGTCAACCTTGCTCAAGGTGACCAAACCTGACCTAGAGCTAGGTTCAAACACACATTGATCTATCTGGGCTCTCAAGCCCATGTGTTAGGAGCAACTGTAAAGTTGCCTCATAAACTGGGAAGTGTTAACATTAGCAAGGTATCTTATTTTGGGGAAAGAGAGAAAAAGCACGAGGACAGTAGGGAGTGGGAGAGTGGACAGGAGGAGGAAGAAGAGATCTAGGGCAAGAAGACTGGAGCAGGATCTCCTGTTTGTTTTCATGCCCTACACACAATGTAATGCGGGAGGAGGGCCTGGCTGGTGGGCAGTGCTCACGTGTCATGTGCCCAGTCAGGTGGGCAAGCACGGCTGTACTGCATATGTCTACTCTGTGTTTTGACAGTTTCTTCCAGCACATCCTGGGCACCTTGGCAGGCAGTTAGCCTCTTTGGGAAGGATACTACACTCTTGCAGCTGCCTGGATCTCACCCTGCTGGACTCAAACCTGCCAGGCTGATGTTAGGTGTGTCAGCTACTTCCTTTGAGAATCCAGATAAGTAAACATAATGTGTGGAAAAAGGAAACATTCACAAAGCTCCTGCTCTCCTGGGAAGCATGTTCACCAGAGACTGCTGTAGAAGGAGACAAAGGGCTTCTCAGTAGCTGCATCTGGAAGCCCCGTGCCGGGTACACTGTGAAGCATCCACACAACGGATTATTTCCCAGTACCTCTAGTATTACATGATATCTGAAATTCCAGCATAAGGTCAGTTAGCTAGAAACTGACCACCTGAAGAAAAAAACATTAAAAATCCTCATGCATTTTAAAACTCTCAAATAATCTGCTTATGTGATCTTTGTTCCTTCACACTTTATTAATTGCAAAGACCCCTACCCAGGTGCTTTCTCTGCTTTGCTTCTCATTTCAAAAGGAGATGGCTTCTTGGAAAGTAATTTCCATTTGCAGAAGGAGAAAAGGAGGATTTTTGTTTCTTTCCATTGCAGGTCAGAACCACATGAATAGTGACACCTTAACAAGCTGAGTAATCAATCTTCAACAATTGGGTATTTTCTATGGACACAGAGGATTTAATTGGACAGCAGCATTTTATAGAGACCAAGAAGTTTCTGATAATAATAACAACTAACCATTGACATTTATACAGTACTCTGTAGTTTATGAAGTATTTTCACAAGTCTCATGTAGTTTCATCTCCAGCATTTAATATACTTTAAAAAAGTAATAGCTAACACTCATTGAGTCTTGCTATATGTCGGGCAGTTACATCTAACCCATTCAATGAATTAGTTTATTAATCCCCAAGACATCCTTATGCTTTCTCCATTTCATAGATGAGAAAACTGAAGGTCAAAGGAATTAAATGACTCCCTCAATCAGTCATTCACACCTACAGGGCCTGCAAATGGCTGTGGTTGATTTATTGCCTGAGAGGCTAATCCACATCTTGATATTTGGATTGTCTCAGTAGGGGTGGGTCGTGTCTTACCTTGCCTCATTAAGTGTTTGGTGAATTCTCAATTCTACTGGGTCTGAGGTGTTCTATGGAAAAAAAGAAGGCTTCTGGGTCAAGTGAATTTTTGAACTGCTGAGCTATACAAAACTAAACACATATTTTTCCATTTTAAAAAGTTGCTTCTCAGGAGCTTCATGTTTCTCCATCTACATATTGGTCATGCTGACCTGGACTATTCCCCCAAAGAGAGTTCTAAAGGCAGAGCTGGGAGGTCAGTCACTTTGGCCTCCTAGGGTCTGGTAACACTCTTCTCTTGTGATCCTAGAAGACAGTTGAGAAAACACTGAAAGTGGCTTCACTTAGAAAAAGTGTATCAAAAACATTGCTGCCCAGAGCCACACCCTGCACCTGTTGTCTTCCGGCTTTCAGCTTCAGCTTCAGCTTTCCCTGTCAGGGCATCTCTCACCATCCCCACAGCAGCCCAGGGAGGATGTGGGACCTGGGAGGTAGATGACTTTGAGATCCACTCCCATTTCTACTGCCCTCCAGGAATGTGAACTTGGGTGAGTTATTTGCCCTCTGTGCTTCCATTTTAATATCTATGAAATGGGGATAATGATACCTACTTGGTATGGTTGTTGTAAAAATTAAGAGTCTGTAAGAAAGCTGCTAGTATGAAGTCTGGCACTGAGTAGGTGATCCAAAATGGTAGCTATTGTGGCAAGCTAGAAATAGGGCCTTCAAAATAGAAGCTGATCTTTGCTCTGGCCTTGGCCCTTGCATAGGAAAGAGATTTAGTAAATATTTGCTTTACTGACTCTCAGTAGTATTTTACATTAGCAACAGATCTCCATGTTGTCCCTTGACCAAAAAGTTAAAAAATGTAATGTACTTCTTACACACAGCAATAGGATCATAGTGGGCAGTCTTTATGGGAATCCTTTTGGTATGTCCTTAGCAAGAGGAAAGTGAGATAGAACAAAATTTCCCTCCAGTACCATAGCATGTTACCACTTGTAAGCACTTTCTTCTGTGTGAAACTTGAGTCTCTTATGGATCCTATCGACCTGATATCTCCTTAGTGTACCAGGGCTCAACCCAGACAATAGGAATTCCTCCTTGCAGCAACATTTCAAAGCAGCCTATTCCAGCTTCAGTCTTCAGTGCTAAACCTCACAGGTCCCTTCTTCTTCTTCTTCTTCTTTTTTTTTTTTTTTTTTGAGACAGAGCCTCACTGTCATCCAGGCTGGAGTACAGTGGCATGATCTTGGCTCACGGCAACCTCTGCTTCCCAGGTTCAAGCGATTAGCATGCCTCCATAGTAGCTGGGACTACAGGCATGTGCCACCATGCCCAGCTCATTTTTGTATTTTTAGTAGAGATAGGGTTTCACCATGTTGGCCAGGCTGGTCTTGAATTCCTGACCTCAGGTGATCTGCTCATCTCAGCCTCCCAAATTACTGGGATTACAGGCATAAGCCACCATACCTGCCCAGAGGTCCCATCTCTTGAGGTGAAGTCTCCCTCCTCCACAGTGTCTGGTTCTATCCCCAAGGGCCACAGAGAAGGAGATTGATCCCTCCCCTAGAACAGCAGCTGCCATGTCCTCCCTTCAACCCCCTCCCCATTTGTAGACAGGGAGAACAACAGAAAGGCATCCAGGTTGTTAGAGAATGCTCTCCTTCTCGACTAACTATACTATCTTGAATACTTTCATACCTTTTTCCATATAGGAGGGATTTTTCGAAAACCCAGAAAATGTCCTGACTCTTCTCAATTCCTATGGCCCACCAAGTGAAACCAAATCCCCTGGCCAGGCCTTCACAATCTAGTCCCAACCTGTCTTTCAAGTAACTCTTTCTGACCCATTCTCCTCTCTTCAGCTCTTAGCCACCATGGCAGATTCACTCTCTCTTCTCTGAATAGTGTATATCTTCTTCAATAGCATATATCATTGTATACATTAGTGTCTTGTTTGTGTTGCTTTCTTTGATAGGTGTATTCTATTCCCCTTCTCCGCTAGACATGCTACTATTCATTTTTAAAGCTCGGCTTAAATTTCACATTCACCACCTTCTCCAGGCAGTTATTTAAAACTTCTTGCTGTCTATTATAATAGAATATGAACACATCACTACAAGCATAGGACTCTAACACTCTGATACATTCAGTTGGTTGAGTTGACAATTGGCCTGTCTCACTGGACTGTGAGAGCCTGGTAGGTATGGGCAGTGACTTCCTCATCTTGGTGCCCCACACATTTAGTATAGTACCTGGAGCAGCTTGGTAGATGCTTGATACATTTTTGTTGAATGAATAAATAGAGTAGTAGAGTGAAAGCATCCTTCTACCTCAAAAGTTAACCAATAGCCAGGGGCTGGTTGGAGTCAGGAGGGTCTGGTGATTTGAGACTCAGTCTAATGTTCTGACTGTAGTCATTAATGTTGAGATAATTACCTCTCTGACCTGGCAATAGCAGGAGAATTTGTGGGTTGGAATAGGAAATGAATGGAGCTGGTGACTATGTCTTATGCTCCTACCCTGGCTGACTGGGAGGCCTAGGAGGGCCTTGCTGCTGCCTGGAGCATCTAGTGTGGTGTCCACTGCCAGAGTATTGAAGCTTCCTGAAAATTCAGACTTAGGGACTCTCTTACTCAGAGTAGCCCAGCCTTTCAAGTTTCTGAGGACTTGAAGGGTAAGTGACATCCCCCAAAAGATGGATCAGACTAATCAGAACAGAAGCCCCAGCCGACACAGAGAGGAAAGTGTTGCATTTAGCGGGTGAGGGCAAGCCGTTCCAGTTCATGCACGTTGTTGGATCCGTACACTGGATTTGCATGTTGGATCTCCCAGTCAGCCCAGCTCCTTGGTCAACGTTAAGAACAGTTCCGTGTAGAGAGATGGACTTCTCTTAAGTCTCCTCTGCTCAGGCTGACTTTAGGAAGTCTCTGTGATGGCAGAGGAGTCAGGACCAGAAAACAAGTCACACCCAATTAAGTGGTCCTATAATCTGAAACAGCAGCAGCTGCCAAAGAACAAAGCAGGTTTTCAGGCACCAGAGGGCCCCTAAGGAAATTAGGACAAAGCAGTTTCATTGGAAGTATGTAAATAAACTTTCTGACTTGATGAATAGGCATTGCGCCAAGTGGTCAGGCAAGGGGATTTGTTACCTTGGGGGTGGCTGTGGAATTTTCTTTCCTAGGGATTTTAACAGCAGGTTACATTTTTATTTGTCTAGAGCTGTGCAGCTGTGAGCCATCCTGGAAGCAGGGAAGGGGTGGCAGCTAGGAGAGATTAGTCTACCCTTAATTATGGAAACTGCTTAAGAGGAGGTATGAGGGGAATTGTGTATGATCTATAGATATATTTTTACACAGGCAAGTCTTCCTTCAGTTGGCCATAGAGGCATGACTTGTTTTCCCTGATGATTCAGAGTTCTTGGGATTCAACATGCTAAATGAGTCTCTTAATCAGTATCCGGAATAGTGTAAGAGTTCCAGAAGATGAGCAGATAGATATAAACCACAAAAGTTGCTTTAGCTCATCCTGTAGGCTAAAAACAACTTTTAAAAATCCTGAATTAGTAAGATTATAAACAGATTGTTAGAATAAGTAACTGCATATTTGAAGTGAGAGGTAGCATGGAGTAGCAAATTAGCTCTGGAGCCAGATTTTGTAGATTTAAATCTTAACTATACCACCTGCTAGCTGTGTGATCTTGGGCAAGTGTCTTAACCTCTCTGTGCCTCAGTTCCTTCTGTAATAAAGAGAAAATAACTGCTCCTACTTCAAATGGATATTATAAGTATGAGCTCAATCATGTAAAGCACTACTGTGAATAGTACCACATAAAAATTACTAAAAAATTACTAAATAAAATATTTTAGCTATTGTTATTACAATTGACAAAATATTCATATATCTTATGCCTCTGGTTTATCTATTTGAACATATTAAGAGTATAGAAATAAATATCTTAGAGATCCTCACACTGAGTAGAAAAGTCATTAGCCATGAGTAGGTGATTTGTCAAATTTATGTATTTAGCATAATTGGTAAGTATTGTATTAAAAAATATCCAACTCCTTCAAAAGGATTTTGGATCTTTGTACCCCGTTCCTTCCCTTCTTGCCTTATGCACTTCAGTCTGACTGGAGCTACTGTATTATTTCCCCTTTAGTCCTTTTCTTCAGTTGTCTGCTGTCTTGGAATCCCTCATTCTTCTCTGTGCTTCTCTGCATGTTAAAATCTCACTCATCCTTCCAGAGCCCCTCAAGCCCTACCTCTTCCCATGTCCTCCAGGCAGTCTTCCCAGACCTTTCTGGGGAAGCAGTGTCTTCTTCTTCCCTATCTAAGAATCTTTTACAAGTCTTTTAGGGGATTTATCTCTTTCTACATTGTTGTGTAGTTTATTTTTGCATTTGTCTGTTTTTTCCTGCTAGATGTGAACATCTTATATCGTCCATAACCCCTAGCATAAAACCTTCTATATCATAAGTCCTTGAAACCATTTATTGAGACTGAAGTCAATCTTATACTCTAATGTTTGCTATGAAACACTTCTATTCTTGGGGTGTCAGGGTTAAGTACAATCACTCATGGTTCTGGTAGCAGGTATTACTAGGGAAATTGAAAAAAGTTTATATTCTTAGATAGGAAAATGTGTTCCTCCAGAAAGAACAAAAGCCTTTGCACTGGGCTCTAAATCCATTAGGTTGGTGCAAAAGTAATTGCAGTTTTTGCCATTACTTTTAATACTACTAAATGCAATACTAAATACTATATGAATCTTCCAGTAAGTATATTTTCACATTGACATTGACCAAATAGGACATAGTCATGGGATAGTGTCCTGGGGAATACGAGTTCTGCTCTAAATGAAGAGGTGTGGAAACTGGGAATGTGCAGCCTGAGTGAAGAAAGCTCTTGCTGCCTTCGAATATTTGAAGAGTTGTCATGGTGATGATGAGGGTTAGACTCTGAAATGCTTCAGAGAACAAAACTAGGACCAGTGGGTGGAAATTACCAGGAGGTGGATTTCAGGCCAATATTAGAACATTCTAATAACTGCCACTGTTTGTCAGTAAAAGAAGCTGCCTGAAGCAGTCGTAAGCTCCCCAAGTGGAGTGTTTCAAATACGGGCTGGGTAATCTCCTGGCTATAGGAGTATTGGGTGGGAGACTGGGTGTCATGACCTCCAAGTCCCCTTTCACCCTAAAGATTAATTGATTTTATGGAAATCTGTATTTGGGCAAAGGGTGGTAGGATAAATATTCTGTTTTGTACTGCATTTTGAATGCTGACTGAGTTAGGGATGAAAAAATGTCAATGGCTTATTTCGTTGCCTTTCCCAAAGAAAGGGATATAAGCTTTCATTTAGGGATTTTAGAAAATCCATTTAGTTTGATTTTCTTGTCTCATGGCTTAAGTGCAAGAAGGTACTAGCTGGGTTTTCTACTTAGTGACAGGCTAAACTGTGTTTGCACAAATTGCTTCCTGTGAATCTTGTTTTTGGGTCCATATTTATAGGCTGTACTTGCTACCAGGGCTGTATTTCTATGTCTTGAAAATTGGTGCAAAGATGTTTTTGCTCTGCATGTTTGGAGAGGGAAGAGCTGTTTGTAATCTTGTACTAACCTGAATTTCTTGAGTAACTTGAACAGTTTTCACATTCTTTCTACACTCCTGTGGATAATGACATTGCTAGCTTGCTCCCATGCTGTTAATGTATTCATGTGTATTCTTAGGACAAAAAAAGTACACGGTGTGTTGTTGGCTGAAGGTTTCCCTTCATTTCCTCCTTCTCTGTCTCTCCTAGACAGAACAAAGTCTTTCCTGTTGTTGATCAAGACCATGTTTGCATTTTCAAAGTAATTAGCAGTAGATTCTTTTGCATTTTTTCTTTTTCTTTCTTTCTTTCTTTTTCTTTTTTTAGGAGTGGAGGTTTAATAGGAAGGAGAGAAGAGAATAAGAAACAGCTCTCTCCATAGAGAGAGGGATCTTCAAGTGGAAAATCTCTTTTGCGTTTTTTTCTATACTGCTTGCTGCTTATAGTTATACCATCAGGTGCATAGCTAGGATTTATACCCAGTATTTACTAAATCATTTCTATCAAAGATAGATTTCTATCAAAGTTATAGTGGATGTCTCCACTATAACTTTACCACTGGATGATCTGTAGTAGACATCTTCTCATTTACCAGGTTACTAGAAAAGCAGAAGCACTTCCTAATACTGATCTGAAGGAAACAATGTCCCATCTTTATCCCCAGCTCTGCACTATCTCTAGGCTCCCTCTTGAGTCGAATTCAAAGCAGTAAGATTATTCTGGAAATTCTGCTTGTCTCAGGGCAATTGGAAATGGGAATTGGCTTTAATTACATTTAAACACAAAATAAACAGTCCTTTGGTGGAGGGGCATTCTTCTTGCTTTTCACCTGCAACAATCTCAGCAG
Organism: Homo sapiens; assembly: GCF_000001405.40. Lineage (NCBI taxonomy): Eukaryota > Metazoa > Chordata > Mammalia > Primates > Hominidae > Homo > Homo sapiens. The sequence goes on along the minus strand of NC_000006.12, from coordinate 82,738,785 downwards.
AGCAGAGTAATTGCCTTCACCATGCTTATTTCAGGAAAAACTTTCTCACTACCAGCAGTTCTGACTTAATTAAACTGAAGGAGTTAATTTGAGCTACAATTTGAGCTATTATGTATGTATAATTAATAATGTTTATATTAATTCATGTTAGATTTAGAAGTTTTTTCCTTAAAATAATTATTGAATTTTATAAAAAAGAGCTTCTGAACAAACAAAAACACCTCAGACTCTAACCTAGAAGGGGAGGGTATAGGGGGAAGGAGATCCTTTTGTAATTATTCTCATATTACAGCTCTCAGTCCTCAACTCTAGTTGGGAGTATTTGTCCTTTTCCCAAATTCACTAATAACAGAAATAGGAAGAAAGGAGGTTTTGTTGTTGTTGTTGTTGTTGTTATTGGTTTTCTTTTTCTTTTTTTCCTCTATCTTTGGCTTAAATCAAATACAGACTGAATTTTCTAGTTCTTTCTTAGGATCAGGGGCAGCCAGATAACACATCTTTTCTCTCTGCTCTTACATTTTGTGCTGTTCTCAGTGTTTTATTTTGGGCCTGATTGGTTTCACATACCACCAGATAGGCAGAGAGAGAAATAATATCCCCAGGAGGTCTCCAAGCTATTAGGATATTACTATAGAATGTCAGCACTGACATTCTTACATATCAAAATTTGTTCATGTAGAAAATGAACTGTATAAAGCCATCCTGATTGCAGTATTTCCCCTCCTCCAACTGACCGAGCCATTGTCTGGTTTACATTTTGATGCCATTCTCATAACTATTTATTCCACTAAATAAAATTTGGTAGGTTTTCTGTTGTTTTTTTCTCTTTTTTTAACATCTGCCATCTGCAGTATATATAGTTGCAACCTGCATGCATCCTACTTAGTTTCTGCAATGTAATCAGAGATGCCGTCTTCTTTTATCGGTATTGGATCATGTTACCTGAACTTTACTTAGATTTTTGTGAGCAAAGTTGGAAGCTCATCATCACCAACTTTAATCCTAAGAGGTCAGGCTTGCTGCCACATGGTGGCAGGGGGGGCTTTTGGGAGGACATCTTTAGAGTAAAATCCCTAAGGCTTTAGGAACTCTTGGTATAGATATTAAGCTCAGATTTATATGCTTGCTAAATAACCCTAGCTTTGCAAGTGTCAAGGTGGTTTTAATAACTCTAACTAAGGGGAAAACTCAGAATAAAACTTTAAAAGTAAAAGAACAGAAAGGAAAATTAAGATTTCTACAATCTGATTTACAAAATGAAAAATGTATCTTACTTAAAAATGGCACGATGGCATTATTCCTTGTTTGCTTTAATATTTTTTCCCCAGTGACTTCTCTTAGTCTTTTTTAGTTTGGTACCACATTTTTGGTAATAGATTTTGCGGATTTCAGGGAGAGACTCCTTTCCTCTGGAATTACTGGAGTGCTTGGAACTTCATAGCACCACCACTCTCTGATTGTCATTAATATAACAGTACAAATAGCTAGATATGTTAAACACTGTATTTGGACTTCTGTTATTCCAATTATTATTTATTTATAGACAATTCAGTATCCCTGAAAAATAGTTTTCCTGACCCCTATTTTAAAAATCCACATCATCTTCTAGGAGGCTGACACCATCAGGCTCTCATTTACTCCATTTATACTGTGATTGATAAGAGAAACTGCCACTAGTTGCCATGTGTTACTTCTGTAGTCAAAGTCTGAATTGCTTATGGCTTGATGTGGGGTGGGGGGTTTCAAACAACAAGGATGCCAAGGTTAAGACTTCTCAACACCACGGGCCCTGTAAGTATAAGTAATACTACTAGACATATGCGTAGAGAAGGGCTCCAAGGGTGTCGGGGCAGATGTATGAGATTTAGAAGGAGAACCTAGGGGATGATGTACAGGAGGATACAAAATGCTAGAGGTGGAGATGAGCAAAAGGTAATGGGCCAAACCCAACGTAGAGCCATAGAGGTTTAATAAACTAGAGAATTTTGTCCTTATTTGCTCTCTATGTGAGAACCAGGTTGTAAACAGAATGGGGATGTCTGTGGCATTTTTCCTTAGTGTCTCTACGTGCAATTTCTATGTGCTTTCTCGTCTGTTTGAGTCTATGAACTTTGTCAGCTCTGTTTTCATATCTTTCTGAGTTCTGGTTGTACCATTTGTGAGTGTTCTATATTTAAGTTATGTTGTTCCTTCCTAGCTTCTCTCATTTTAATTTATTTCATTTTGAAATATTAGATTACAGCAGTCAGTTACTTTGTGATTTTTCTCTCTCACTCTCTCTCCATATATGTGTGTGTATTTATATTTCTAGTATGTGATAATTGTCTCAGTATATGATTTGGACAATTTCCCCTTTTTGCTTGTATTTGCTTGGGGCTCCATTTTGATCCTTTTCTGTTACTCATGGCAAAATATGATGGGCTTTCCTGTACGTTTAGGAGTTCCTTTGTAGGGGATGGGAGTGGGCCAGGAAAGTTTTTTCAACCTCATGGCTGTTGCCAAGCATTAAAACACATGGCCTTTCTCGGGAGCCACCTCCAATTCCCTGCTTCATCCCTGTAGTGTGCCCCTTGGATTATTTTCCCAGGGGTCTGCCTCCAGATGTGGCTTTGTTCTTATGGAGAGTTTAGCTGAGGATTCTGAGGGCTTCACTTCCTCAGGTCACCCCCTTCTCTGCCCCACTTTGCCTCTTCCCGCAGCCCCTCATGGGGCTGTTTCCACATATGCCCTAATGAGAGGCTGGGGAGCCCTGGCAGTGAGTGCAGTGAGCCGGGATCCACTGGAAGTGGGATTCACCCTCCTGAGAGTGAGCCCCATGGGGCTGCTCAGGGTCTCCCAGTTCACTACCCTCAGGGCTCTTCTGTGGCTTTCCTAACCCTGGACTAACCTGGACTGCGGGATCAGACTGCCAGGTTTTCCTGCTGATAGATGCTCTCCCTCTCCCCTGACCCCTCTCCTTCCCTCTCCCTCTGTTTATGTTAGTCTTTGCACGAGATGATTTGGAGAGATTCATAAACTACTCCAGGGAGCTCTCATCTTGCCCCTCTCTGAAGGCCCTCCTTCCCCTCTAGGTCTAAATCATTCCTTCTTTGGGTTCCAGGGTTTCAGATCACAACTTTCTTTGGGCCTGTACTTCTTTGATGTCTCATAATACATTTTTATGGTTCCCTCCTCTATCTACCCTTTGCATGCGGCCTTCAAGGAATGTGTTCTTGATACTCTTCCCCACACTTTTTCCGGGTAATCTGTACTGTACCCACAATTTAAAAAATCTTTCTCTCTTTGGTGAAGGTTTCTCTGATTCATGTCCAATTCCTAGTTCTCTGTCAAACTTCAGACTTGTGTTTCAGGTTGCTTGTCAGATGTACAACAGGCGAATTAAATTTGGAAAATCCAAAACCAAACTTTGCAGCTTTGGCTTCCCGCCAAAAACCTTTTTACCCTAATTCAATGGCTAGAATCAATTTCTCAGAATCATGGTAGCTGTTCTATGTTCTTTCCTAGCCTGACTCCTCTATTCTGGCAATCCCTAACTGCCTAAATTTACTATTATTATTATTATTGTTCTGAATTTAAAAATCTTTTCTTATCCTTCTGTGTTCACAGTATCCATCAGATACTGTGATCTCATGACTGAGCCATTGTGGTGTCCTTGACTCTTGGTTTTGACACTGTCTATTCCACTCCTACGTTCTTACCAGGGAATGAATTATTAACAACAAAAAAAATCAACTATACAAACTACCCTATTCAAAGCTTTCCAATGGATCGTTATGGCTTAGGGAAGAGGTTTTCACACTATTTTTGACTTGGCAGCAAAATATTTTGAACTTTGGCCCAATGTAGGTATGCCTATTTATTTATTTATAGGTGATATATATATATATCTATATACGTAAAATTATTATGATGTTAATAATGGTAATAATAACAAACATCTATGGAGCTCTTTTTTTAAAATCTCAAGGTCTATAAGTGCATTTAGCCAAATACATTATTTCTTTATTTACTGAAAGCTATTCACTTGTTTAATCATCATGGCACACATCAATATAATAGAAATGAAAAGGAATAGGAGGATAGTGAAGCAAACAATATTTTAGAATAATTTATTAAAATGGCTTATATTCAAAAGACAGGCAATAACAAATGCTGGCGAGGATGTGGAGAAAAAGGAACCCTTGTATACTGTTGGTGGGAGTGTAAATTAGTACAATCACTATGGAGAACAGTTTGGAGGTTCCTCAAAAAACTACAAGTAGAGCTACCATAGGACCCAGCAATCCCACTGCTGGGTAAATACCCAAAAGAAAGGAAATCAGTATATTGAAGAAATATGTGCACTCCCATGTTTGTTGCAGCACTGTTCACAATAGCTAAGATTTAGGAGCAACCTAAGTGTCCATCAACAGATAAGTGGATAGGGAAAATATGGTACACAATGAAGTACTATTCAGCCATAGAAAAGAATGAGATTTGTCATTTGCAACAACTTGAATGGAACTGTGTAGATCATTATGTTAACTGAAATAAGCCAGGCACAGAAAGACAAACGTTGCATGTTTTCACTTATTTGTGGGATCTAAAATTTGAAACAATTGTACCCATGGAGATAGAGTAGAAGGGTAGTTAACAGACACTGAGAAGGGTAGTGAGGGAGTGAGAGAGAGGTAGGGATGGTTAATGGGTACAAAAGTTAGAATGAAGACAATCTAGTATTTGATAGCACAACAGCATGACTATAGTCAATAATAATTTAATTGTACATTTAAAAATAACTAAAGGAGTATAATTGGATTGTTTGTAACATAAAGGATAAATGCTTGAGGGGATGGATACCCCATTTTCCATGATGTGATTATTATGCATTGCATGCCTATATCAGAACATCTTATTTATTTCATAAATATATATATATACCTACTATGTACCCACAACAATGAAAAACGTAAAAAAGAATAATTAAGAAACTTTTCATTTAGAAATGGTACAAGAAATTTTCTGCTCTCAAATTTTGGTAGGTTGCATTTATGTTCAGGATACTTAGTTGTTAATTGTCATACTCTTAATGATGTTATCATGTTATAATGTTACTATAATTTACCAGCATTGTATGTATTTTACTTATCTTTTATTTTATATGTTGTCCATCTCCCTCCAGTAGAATCAAAACTCCATGAAGCCAGCATTTCACTGTTTTGTCCATAGCTCTTTCCCTGGCATCTAGAGGAGTTCCAGATGAATAATAGGTGCTTCATAAATATTTGTCGAATGATTGAAGAGCTAATATGTTAATACACAAAATTCACTTAGAATGAGGATTGTTGTTAATGAGGGGATATATATTCTTTTTTTCTAATATTCCACTTGGCAATTTAAATTTTGGAGGTTCTAAGTTTTCATCATGTATGACTAGACTATTCTTTTTCTACTTTATGGTGTGGCTAAAGAGCTCATCATAAGTTAGAGTATCAGTTTGCTATATTCTTATTGTTTGATTTTTCTTGTTTATTAGTATGTCCAATCTATAGTTGGCACCTTCAAGAATATTTTTAGAGCCACAGATACATTTTATAAAGATTAGATTGGTTTCTAAGACTAGAAATATAATCTCTAAACACACAAATATACATGGGAAGAAACACATGACCTGCAATATGTGCTAATATACCGAAAGTTAACAAATGAGTGAGAATTCTGTCTGTATTAGTCCGTTCTCACACTGCTATAAAGAACTACCTGAGATTGGGTAATTTATAAAAAGAAGAGGTTTAATTGGCTCACGGTTCCACAGGCTCTACAGGAAGCATGGCTAAGAAGGCCTCAGAAAACTTACAATCATGGTGGAAGGCGAAGGGGAAGCAGGCATGTCCTACATGGGTGGAGCAGCAGGAAGAGAGCAAAGGGGGAGGTGCTACACACTTCTAAACAACCAGATCTCGTGAGAACTCACTCGCTATCACAAGAACAGCAAGGGAGAAATCTGCCTCCATGATCCAATCACCTCCCAGAAGGCCCCTCCTCCAACATTGGGGATTGCAATTCAACATGAGATTTGTGCAGGGACACAAATCCAAACTGTATCACTGTCTTCAACAATTCCATGTCTGTAACCTCTACCAGTTCTCCAACTTTTCCTATAGAATATTTCATATAACATATAATAATGATAACTTCCTTTTATATGATCCAAATGACGGTGTGTTAATCCTTAAATATTAGTAAATATCAATTGCTTTTTATGTTAGCTAAAATGATAAGTGACAACTAAAAATATGAGTTCTGGTTCCACTTCCACTAATGGCCAAGTAGGTCTATCGGATCACCTATCCTGCAAATAATATCTACACATTTTGGGCAAAATGTAAAGCAGCTATCTAAAGGCTATGTAGAGTAAACAAAAGCAGAAAAATACTGAAAGAGGGGTTAGATTTGAAGAAAAGAAATGGTACTGGGTGAGCTTCATTTTTTAGAGTTTCTAGCCTGAGGGTGAGCCCCAGATTACTAACACATAGGCTGTTAAAATATGGACAGAAATGCACAGTCTTACTGTTTGCGAGGAACCAGAGTTTAAGGTAATTGCAGTAGCTGGAAAGTGGGGGAATGCTAGAAAGGAGAACAAAAGTATACATTTCCAAAATCTCTAGAAAACACCTTTCGTGTGCAGGGCAGACTCCAAGCAGCCCAGCTAAGGCTAAAAGCACTGTTTCAAAGTTTGAGTTTGAATTCAGCCAAGTTAAATGCCTGCTGAAACAAAAATTAATATTCCTGTGAGGAACATAACAGAATCTACATTCTCTACCATGTATCATTTATAGTGTCCATGGTACCAGACAAAATTCCTAGGTATAATACAAATCCAAAGAAATAGAAAAAATAATACCATAATAAAGAGAAAAGGCAATCAATGGAGACTGATTCTGAGATGAAATTTAATGTACCTATTATAACTATACTTAAGGATGGAAAGGCTTATAATAACAAATCTCACAGAGATGGAAACTAAAAAAAGCAAATTCTAGAATAGAGAAATACAGTTATCTAAAATAAAAAGTTTACTGAATGAATTTAGTAGCAGATTGGAAATGAAAAAAGGGTTAATGACCTTGGAAATCAATAAATAAAATTATCTAACCTGAAGGTCAGAGAAAAAAGATTGAAGAAATGAATAGAGCTTTAGTGACCTGTGGGAAAAATCAAAAGGTATATTTGTAGGTTATATATTTGTAATTTATTTGTAAAATATGTAAGTATTTGTAAATGGCATCCTGGGGGAAAAGATAAAGATATTGGGGCCCACCCCAAAATTTTTAAGACCTAATGGCTAAAAATTTCTCAAATTTGTTGAAAGACATGAGTTCATGAATTCAAGCATCTCAGTGAATCCCAGGGAGGATAAATACAAAGAAAACTGCAAATAGATGCATCACAGTCAAACTGCTGGGAAGCAAAGATGGATAGAATATCCTGAAAGTGGACAGAGAAGAATGACACATTACACCTAGAAGAATGCTGACTTTTCTTATCAGAAAGAATGGAGGCCAGAAGACAGTGGAGTGATGACTTTAAATTGCTGAAAGTAAAAATAGACTGTCAAACAGGAATTCTATATCCATAAAAAATATCTTCAAGAATAACAAATATAAACAGAAATATACAAAAAACAGTAAAAAATGGATTGGTGTATGGATACAGCTATGAACAGATGTTTGATAAAGCAAATATATTAAAGTGTTAATTGTACAATTTAGGTGGTGAGTATATGGGAATTCTCTGTACAATTCTTTTAACATTTTGTGTGCTTAAAATTTTTCATAATATGATGTTGGGAAAAACAGAAGTTCTAATGTTTTCTTTCATAAGTCTCAATGATGATCTTAACTCTTTTTGGAATAACCCACTTGGAGGCCACTGCTGTAGAGGGTAACATCTAAACATAGAATAGCTTACTAGGACCTTCGCCATCTGACTGGTTTGTCTCCCAGAGATGCTTCTCCTTTTATTCCTTGTCTTGCATTTTAAGCTTTGAGAATACAGACTCTATGTAGTTCAACACACATGCTAGAGTTTCTATCCTATCTACTTGATTTCACTTATGCTTTCCTCCAGAATGCCCTTCTGACTCCTGACAAATTTCTACTTAGCTTATAAATCTCAGCTTTTGTGGACACATTTTGTGATTCCTTACCAGACAACACCAGAAAGAATGTTCATTCCCTCATGACCCCATTCCGATTTGTCCATCTTTATTCTCTTTGTACTGTAAGCTTACTGTAAGAATATTATGATTTTCTTTTATCCAACACAGTCCCTGATACATATTATGTGCTTAATAAATGTTTGTTGAGTTGATGAAATAGCATATTCTTGGGAGACTTTAATTAGAAGTTGGTCAAATTTTGCTTATATCCATGAACATAGTAAGAAAGATCTTTCTTCTTGAAGGATATCAGCCACATAGAAAAACAATTTGAGAACCATAATAGAATAAAAAATATTTTTTGTTTTTTTTGAGGCGGAGTCTTGCTCTGTCGCCCAGGCTGGAGTGCAATGGCGCTATCTCAGCTCACTGCAAGCTCTGCCTCCCTGGTTCACACCATTCTCCTGCCTCAGCCTCCCGAGTAGCTGGGACTACAGGCACCCGCCACTGCGCCCGGCTAATTTTTTTTGTATTTTTAGTAGAGACGGGGTTTCACCATGTTAGCCAGGATGTTCTCGATCTCCTGACCTCGTGATCCGCCCACCTCGGCCTCCCAAAGTGCTGGGATTACAGTAAAAAATATTTTAATTGAGAATTTTATTTTTTTTTAAAGAACAGGATAAAAAAGAACCCTACAAAAAGTTCCCTAATTGTGAAATTAAAAACAAGGAACAGAAAGCTTTATTCTACACATACTATTAAGGGGAAAATATTTGTTTAATTTCCCCAGTTTGGAGCTAGGGCAAAGGCTAGGAGAAAATAGATAGTAAAGAAGTGGTCAAGGGCAAGTGAAATGGAAAAATAAAGAGACGAGGGGAAAAATGTGTGTAGGGAGATCTTGCAATGACAGGTTATTTTCAGCAATATTCCTTCATTTGTAGCTCTTTCATGTTCTCAAATTTTCCTTCTGAAATTCCAATAGCAAACTTTAATGATAAAAATGAAAATAGAAATCGGCTACAAGTAAAACATTAGTATTATTTGGCACATATAGATATAGAGATAGATAAATACTAAAACAAAAAACATTTTACTGTGGTACTTGGGATTTTTAGAAGATAAACTGTCAGAAATCACTTTGTTAGAAAATTCTATTGCTTATGTAGATGATGAAGTTTACAGTGCCTTACCACCACTACATTAAATTGGATCTTTACATGTTTTGAATAAATGTACTTGTATGAAAGGTGTTACAAATCATTAAATTTTATTAAAAATTGAGCTTAAGTCTGTGTATATCAACTTAATTTTATAAACATCATTTTTCACATTGAGAATTGTTTTTACAACTTATGTTATTGTCTGAGCAATGCTTCAAAAGTATTTTTTACAACTAGAGATAAAAGGATTTAGCAGAAAAATATAGTAAATGTATTAGCCAAGGGGAATTCTTCAAGAATATATTGCTGTCTCGGATCAGTTTACTCTATAATATTGGTGGGAATCTTTTTTTTTTTCACTTTGAAATATTTTTTTCCCTTTACTTTCAATTTTGCTGGCAAGCAAAACACTGTTCAGAAGCTCACTATCATAAAAGGAAAAACATATTTCTGATCTTTTTCTTCTCTGAGTCAAGAGGAGCTTGTATGTCCTTTTTGGCATTCTCTTTTCTTGAAGCTTTGATTGTAGCCCCAATTTCCTCATATCGGAATCAATTTTTTTAAGCAGATTTTGTTTTCATTTCTACACACATTCAATACCTTTTCAATGTATGAAGAATCTTGTCCATTTCATCAACATTTTGATACAAAAAGCAAACTCTTATCACCAGCATTCTTATAATACTGTATTTGCTCCACCTCCCAACTCTCCCATTAAGTTAAAAATCTAGGGTGGTTGGTCTTTACCTTTATTCTGAAATAATTTAGTCCAATAAATTAGCAGTGATATCGCTAACTTTTATTGTTTAATTAAGAAGAACCATCTTTAAAACATAAAAAGTGATGTTCACAGCTAGCTGTCCTATCATTGTATATATATATAAACTTTAAATATTTAGCCTTTATATTTTGTTATTTTAAAGATTCCTTTAAATTCTTTATTTTTCAGCTTTAAACAAATTTTTTGTTCTGGTAAAGAAAATGTGGTAAACATTTTCTCTTAAGTAATATAACTCTTTTCAAAAGAAATGAGTAATATTAAAGCATTTGTAATCCAGTGCCATCTTAGAATTAAGGAAAGGAAAGCCATTGTAACATGTTTTGCAGAGAGAAGAGTATTTTCAAACAGACATGCTGGATTAATTGCAGAATAGAAAAATCAGCCTCTAGAAAAACTTAAACAGATTACTTTATAGAAACCTGATAAAATCTCATGCTAAAATGACCAAAGGAGGCTGGGCGCAGTGGCTCACCCCTGTAATCCCAGCACTTTGGGAGGCCGAGGTGGGTGGATCACGAGCTCAGGAGATCGAGACCATCCTGGCTAACACGGTGAAACCCCGTCTCTACTAAAAATATAAAAAATTAGCTGGGCGTGGTGGAGGGCGCCTGTAGTCCCAGCTACTCAGGAGGCTGAGGCAGGAGAATGGCGTGAACCCGGGAGGCGGAGCTTGCAGTGAGCTGAGATCGCGCAACTGCACTCCAGCCTGCTGGGCAACACAGCAAGACTCCGTCTCAAAAAAAAAAAAAAAAAAAAAAGAAATGATGACCAAAGGAGTCAGACATTTAACTCATTTTTAAAATTGGAATATTAAAAAAATTTACATGAAAGGAACATGTAATGAGCATTTGCATATATGAATAAAGAAATGCAAATGAATGTTGCAAAATCTAATGCAATCATTTTATATGCAAGAATGCTAGTGGAGAAGATTGATCACCTCTTCAAATTTGGTTGGCCTGACCCTTACAAGCTCTAAGACTTATGCTTTTTCAAGAATTTGGCTGAACTAAATTTTAACCTCCAACCTGCACCTATGAGTACATTGACAAAAGCCCAAACTTTCCTTATGGATATGTTTGTAATGTCTTTTCTTTTCCAGGAGTTGTAGGTTTACCCAGATGTGTTTTTCATCAGATCTTTAAAATTCCTGTTTAGATACATAATCTTATAGTGACATAGTATTATTGCAGGGAAACATTCTGGGCTTTGGAGTCACGAAAGTGATGAGAAGCAATATATAGTTCAGAGAGGGTAGGAGTCAGGATATGGCCGGATGAAAGTTAAGTAAAGAAGGAAGAAGGCAGAGATGTAGAAATGTATTGATATCAGCATTTTTATTGTTATTTTACATTAACTTCTGATTTCTCCCCTGAAACTTGCGTCTCTCTCCCCCTCCCCCCAGCAGTGGTCCCTATCCCACTAATACCTTTCATCTAGTTGCTCAGACCCAGAACTGAATCATCATTTTTTGGGGGACGTAGAATCTTTCACATCCTACATGCAATCCACCAGCAGATTCTGTTGACACTGCATTTGTAATTTATCACAAATTTGGTCATTTCTCACCCTTTCCACCTCCACCTCCATACTCTTTTACAAGGACTGTTGTAATAGCGACCTAACTGGCATTTTCTATTTCTGTTCTTGCCTTTATACTTGCTTTCTGGAGCCACCCAGCAGTCAGAATAATCTTTTAAAATATAAGTCAGGGTCGGGCGCATTGGCTCACGCCTGTAATCCCAGCATTTTGGGAGGCGGAGGCGGGTGGATCACGAGGTCAGGAGATCAAGACCATCCTGGCTAACACAGTGAAACCCCGTCTCTACTAAAAATACAAAAAATTAGCCGGGCGTGGTGGTGGGTGCCTGGGGTCCCAGCTACTCGGGAGGCTGAGGCAGGAGAATGGTGTGAACCTGGGAGGCAGAGCTTGCAGTGAGCCAAGATCGCATCAGTGCACTCCAGCCTGAGCGACAGAGCGAAACTCCCTCTAAAAAAAAAAAATATATATATATATATATACACACACATATATATATACATATATATACACATATATATACATATATATACACATATATATACATATATATACACATATATATACATATATATATACACATATATATATATATGTATATATATGTCAGTAATTTTACCCCCTGCTCAAACCCACCATGGCATCCCATCACTCTTAGTACAAAGCGTTATGGTCTACAAGGCTCTGCAGCAATGATTCTAAACATGTCTGTATATTAGAATCACCTGGGGAGGATTAAAAAATTACTGTTGCTTGGGTACCACTCCTGACCAACTCAAATCAAATCTTTGGGTTTGGGACCTGAACATTTGTGGATTGTCAAAGCTCCTCAGGTGTTCCAGAGGCAAAATAAAGACTGAGAGCTTTCTCTGGCTACCTTTCCAACCCCAGTGCTTACCACTCTCCCCTTTGTTCTCTCTGATCTGCCATATTGACTTCCTTGTTCCTAAAGCTTGCCAAAGATGCCCATGGCTCAGGACCTTTGCACTTAGTATTCTATCACTACAGCTGGCTACATGGCTGGGTCCCTCACTATATTCAGATCTCTGCTCAAATGTCACCTCCTCAAAGAGGCCTTTCCTGACAATCTCACCTAAAATAGGTGAGCAGCCCTTGTCTTGCTCTCCTTGTTCTATTTCAGATTTCTTAAGGGCAGTCTTAATATTATATCACAATTATTTATTTATTTATTTTTATTCTGCTCACCACTAGAATGTTAAATCCATGAAGCCAGTAAATTTGTCTAATTTGTTCACTGCTCTATTTCAACTCTGTAGAACAGTTCTTGGCACCTAGACATAGTAAGAGCTTAATAAATATTTATTAAATGAACTAATCAACAAATGTAGTTTAATTGCATGAATATATTTGGAACATCTACCATTTTGGAGACATTGTAGAAAGTTCCTCAGGCCATGAAAAACGACAACAACAACAACATATGGTTATCTATTTAGATGGGAGAGGCCAACAGGCCAATGGATAAAAATGGAATCCAGATTCTAGTATGTGCTAAAAACAATATGCTGATGGGCACAAAGGGACATTCACACTGATATAGGAACGTATATACTAGGAAGTTCCTAGTGTACATTTTTGCTGATATGGAACATAAAGTAGATGGCGTCTGGTCAATATCTGTTTGAAATTTAATTTCGTATTTTGTGACTGCAAAGGCTGGAACGTTAATTACATTTTTTTAACTCTTGCAGTTAGGCTTTTAGATGCAATTTATGTTGTTCCAATCAGGTGCATATATAGGAGACTGTAATTCAGAACAGAGTTAAGTGGGGAAAGAGGCAGTAGTACATGAACCATCCACATTGCTGGTGTGGATTGAGCAGTTACTACATGGCTCTGAAGTCAGCAGTTAATTTAGAAGTTTTTCCATCCTTAGATATCACTGTGCTTGTGATACTCTGTGCCCCGGGAACATTATGAAATAGTTCACTACTTCACCTAAGGTGCCATTGCTTTAGTTTTTGAAAGTAATTTTTGCTGGGTGTACCATTCTAGACTGACTTTTCCTCTTTGTGTTTTAAAGATGTTGCTTTACCATCTTTCTGTTTACATTGTTTCCAATGAGAAAATTGCTCTCATCTTTATCTATCTCTATGAATAATGTATCTTTTTTCTCTGTCTGCTTTTAAGATTGTCTCTTCATCACTGGTTTTGAACAATTTGATTATGATATGCCTTGGTATAGTTTTATCCATATTTCTTGTACCTGGGATTCACTGATGTTCTTGCTACTGTGGGTTTATAGTTTTCATCAACTTTGGATTTTTTGAGCCATTATTTTTTCAAATACCCCCCGCCTCCTTGAGGTTGTCCAGGAGCTCACTGATGCTCACACAGTGTGTTTTTTTTGATTATTTATTTTTCTCTGTGTATTTCATTTTGGATATTTTCTGTTGTTATGTTTCAAGTTCACCAATCTTAATATTTTTCATTTCATACCTGGTAGGCAGAATTCTAAAATGACCTCCCAAATTTTTTACCCTAATTCAGAATTGTTACTATAATGAGATATAATCCCCAATTTTGTAATGTTTTATGGCAAAAGGAATTTTTCAGATTTAATTAATTTTAGTAACTTCGGTTACTAGTCAGTTGAATTTGGATGAATCAAAAGGGATATTAACTGGGTGGGCCTTTAAGAGGAGTTTCTTCAGGATGGTAGCAGAAGAGGAAGTCAGAGAAATTTGAAGCGCATGAAGGATTTAAGCCATTGCTGGCTTGGAGATAGAGGGAGCCTCATGAAAAAGATCTGACAATGGCCTCCAGGTGCTGAGAGTGACCCCTGGTTACTAGTCAGCCAGAAGATGGGGACTTCAGCCCTATATCCACAATAAACTAGATTTTACTAACAACTACAGTGAGCTTGGAAGTTAATTTAAAAAATTATATCTATATTTTTGTAGAGACAAAGTCTCACTGTGTTGCCCAGGCTAGTCTTGAACTTCTGGCCTCAAGCAATACTCCTGCCTCAACCTTCTAAAGCAATGGGATTACATTCATGAGCCACTGTATTCAGCCTAGAAGTTAATTTTTTTTCAATGCCAGTGGGTAAGAACCCAGACCAGTGAATGCCATAATTTTAGCCTTGTAGGATCCTAATCATAGACCCCAGGCAAGCCCTCTCAGACTTCTGACCTATGGAACTGTGCACTAATAAATGGGTGTTGTTTTAAGCTGCCAAGTCCGTGATAATTTGTTACATATCAGTAGAAAACCAATACATCAGACACTGTAATTTTTATCTCTAGAAGTTTGAGTCTTTAAAAAATATCTTTCATGTCTGTACTGAACTTTTGAACATAGGAAGGGATATTACAAAAGCCATTTTAATGTCCTTGTCTGCTAGTTCTAATGTCTATGTCATTCCTGGGCCAGTTTCGTTTGCTTGATTATTCTAGAACCCCATTGTGGGCTGCGTTTTCCTGTCCCTTTTTGTGCCTTGTAATTTTTTATTAGATGCCAGACATAATGAATTTTAGGTGGAAGCAGAATTGTGTCTAGTCTGGGGCTAATTATTCTCCATTTAGAGGCAAGACCCTTCTAAATACTTTACCAGTTTACTGTGAGTTATGAGGCTTTCCAGTTTGATTAGTGGGAATAAGCATCATTCCTGGTCCTGTGTTAAGTACCATCTCCTCTAATTCTTTCAGCTGTTTTTTTTTGTTGTTGTTGTTGTTGTTTTATTTTTTGAGATGGAGTCTTACTCTTGTTGCTCAGGCTGGAGTCATTGGCACAACCTCGGCTCACTGCAACCTCCGCCTCCCGGGTTCAAGTGATTCTCCTGCCTCAGCCTCCTGAGTAACTGGGATTACAAGCGCCTGCCACCATGCCCGGCTAATTTTTTGTATTTTTAGTAGACATGGGGTTTCAAAGTGTTGACCAGGCTGGTCTCGAACTCCTGACCTCAGGTGATCCACTCGCTTTGGCCTCCCAAAATGCTGGGATTACAGGCGTGAGCCACCGTGCCCAGTCTCAGCTGTTTCTTTTACTATTGTTTTTCTAACATGTATGAGCAGAATCAAAATCAGGTTAATAGTTGAGATTTTAGACTTCTGTATCTGTGAAGCTGTCTCTTCTCTGGTACTCTTTCCTGTAAACTCTGGGATCTTCTGTCTCCCTGGACTCCTAGGTCTGTTTCTTAAACTCAGGGAGTCTATCAGACTCCACTTAGGTTCCCTCTCCCTGTGCCATATCCTGGAAATTCTCTCAAGGCTGTAAGCTGGGACAATCACAGGGTTTACCTTTTTTGTTTCCTATCTTTCAGGGATCACTAACCTTCATTGCCTGATATTCAGTACCTTGAAAAACTGTTGTTTCATATATGTTCTGCAGTTTCTTGGTTGTTTCAGATTCGATTATAAATTCATTCTCTGTTACTTCATCTTGGCCAGAAGCAGAAGTCTATTATTGATCTTTTGACATATAATAGTAAGATGAGATACACTGCTCATACCTAGAAAGCATATCTTTTAATCATAATATGTATTGTCATGCATAAATCAATGTGAGGCATGTACTATATACCACATTTATTTACAAAATAGATTCCATTTTTCTGTTGATTTGATGTTGAAATGTAAAAATATAAAACCACTCAAATCAGATGAACATGATCACCGGAAGACAGCAGAGAGAAAGGTAAGTTGTTAGATAGTCAGAGGTTGGCAGTAGAGGATATGGCAAAAAAAAAAAAGATGAGAAAAAAAGGAGGGCATATTGTAAGGACCAGTGAGGTAGAAGTTTGGAAGCAGGAATGGAAATAAAGATGAAGAGAAAAGGGGTCATCCTTGGAGGGCAGCTTTTGTGTGATGGATTTTTTTTTCACATAATAGGGTGGTATGGCTTTGTTCCCTACTCCACCCCCTTTATTCTGTGTCTTTTTACCAGTTTCCTCCATGCACCTCTTTTCTACATGCATCTATGGGCATGTAGCCCCAAATAAAGGATATGATAAATGAAGACTGTCATTCATTCCTTTAACATGTGATTTTTATTATCGATTCTAATCTAGATTGTGACAAGTGATGCAACTTTTAACAAGGCAAACACAGCTCTTTGTCCCAAAGATGGTAGATTCTAGCAAGGGAGACAGATAATAAGCCAGAACAACAGAGTTTGGTGTGTACTAAGATAAGGGTAAACGGGGCATTGGGGGAGCCATAGAATGCCACCTATTCTAAAGTTGGGATAAGGGTGCTCAAGGAAAGTATCTCTGTGCTGAGATTTGAAAGATGAAGAATTGGTTAAGTTAAGAAGAAATAAGAGGAAGGGAAGGGTATTTCGGGCTGAGGTAGCAGCAAGTATCAACAGGGCATGATTTTGCAAGATGGCAAAGCTCAGTACAGTTGGAGCAGGGACTAAAAGGGCTAAGGGGATCTTATTGTAAAGTTTGGAAAATGTGGCACAGATTTGGCCCCCACCTTTAGGATTTTGGCTTAAGTAGTAGCTAGAGATGGAAAAACACCCCTGCTCAGGGATTTTTGGCCACATATGTCATGTATATATAAACCTGTCTGCAGAAGAGGGGCACCTGAGAGTTGAGATTTCTTCCTACTTTGGTTTTCCTGGGTAAATCCCCATCTCAGCATCCCGTAGCTAGGAATGTACCTAGTATGTGGCAAAATGAGAATTCGCAAGGATTTTGTACTTTCTGACAGACTGCAGAAACTCAAGAAAGTGCTTTCATGTATTCCAAAGATCTGAATATGTTGCCTGCGACTTTTGCAAATGAAGAAACAAAGAAGAGGCAGTGTGAAGAAACAATGGAACCGTGGCTACATCTTGGCAGTTTTGTTTTCAGAAGAATATTTGTTTTTCTTCACTGAGTACCAGGATAAATGAGCTTCAAAGTGGGGCAGCTTAGTATCTTAAGTGCTATTCCCTTGATCCGGTGCATGGATTATGCCAGGCATAAAGAAGTGAAAATGAAATAGTAGCCAATGTATAACAAGTGAGGATGTATGATAGTGACTCATATTTTGGCATTTTAAAATGTAAACCAAGCAAGTTTTTAATTGTCTAAATATGCAGAGTTCAAGGAACAGGCTAAATTACCTTCTTCGATCACTTTAACAGTTATAAATCACTTAGTAAATATTTTAAGTACTTTTTGTTATTTACAGAAGGCCGATAACTTTTAATTTGCCTAATACCTCATAATAGTTTATTAAAAAATGATGCACAATATAAAAAGCAATATATCACCTAAATTACTTATGAGTAAAGCCATTTGCTTCCCCCAGCCTTGTTTTATTTTATTTTATTTTTTATTTTTTATTATGCTTTAAGTTTTAGGGTACATGTGCACAACGTGCAGGTTTGTTACATATGTATACATGTGCCATGTTGGTGTGCTGCACCCATTAACTCGTCATTTAGCATTAGGTATATCTCCTAATGCTATCCCTCCCCTCTCCCCCCACCCCACAACAGTCCCCAGTGTGTGACATTCCCCTTCCTGTGTCCATGTGTTCTCATTGTTCAATACCCACCTATGAGTGAGAACATGTGGTGTTTGGTTTTTTGTCCTTGCGATACTTTGTTGAGAATGATGGTTTCCAGCTTCATCCATGTCCCTACAAAGGACATGAACTCATCCTTTTTTATGGCTGCATAGTATTCCATGGTGTATATGTGCCACATTTTCTTAATCCAGTCTATCATTGTTGGACATTTGGGTTGGTTCCAAGTCTTTGCTATTGTGAATAGTGCCGCAATAAACATATGTGTGCATGTGTCTTTATAGCAGCATGATTTATAATCCTTTGGGTATATACCCAGTAATGGGATGGCTGGGTCAAATGGTATTTCTAGTTCTAGATCCCTGAGGAATCACCACACTGACTTCCACAATGGTAGAACTAGTTTACAGTCCCAACAGTGTAAAAGTGTTCCTATTTCTCCACATCCTCTCCAGCACCTGTTGTTTCCTGACTTTTTAATGATCGGCATTCTAACTGGTGTGAGATGGTATCTCCTTGTGGTTTCGATTTGCATTTCTCTGATGGCCAGTGATGATGAGCATTTTTTATGTATCTTTTGGCTGCATAAATGTCTTCTTTTGAGAAGTCTCTGCCCATATCCTTCGCCCACTTTTTGATGGGGTTGTTTGTTTTTTTCTTGTAAATTTGTTGGAGTTCATTGTAGATTCTGGATATTAGCCCTTTGTTAGATAAGTAGATTGCAAAAATTTTCTCCCATTCTGTAGGTTGCCTGTTCATTCTGATGGTTTTTTTTTTTTTTTTTTTTTTTTTTTTTTTTTTTTTGCTGTGCAGAAACTCTTTAGTTTAATGAGATCCCATTTGTCAATTTTGGCTTCTGTTGCCATTGCTTTTGGTGTTTTAGACATGAAATCCTTGACCATGCCTATGTCCTGAATGGTATTGCCTAGGTTTTCTTCTAGGGTTTTTATGGTTTTAGGTCTAACATTTAAGTCTTTAATCCATCGTGAATTAATTTTTGTATAAGGTGTAAGGAAGGGTTCCAGTTTCAGCTTTCTATGTGTGGCTAGCTAGTTTTCCCAGCACCATTTATTAAATAGGGAATCCTTTCCCCATTGCTTGTTTTTGTCAGATTTGTCAAAGATCAGATGGTTGTAGATATTTCTGAGGGCTCTGTTCTGTTCCATTGGTCTATATCTCTGTTTTGGTACCAGTACCATGCTGTTTTGGTTACTGTAGCCTTGTAGTGTAGTTTAAAGTCAGGTAGTGTGATGCCTCCAGCTTTGTTCTTTTGGCTTAGGAATTGACATGGCAATGCGGGCTCTTTTTTGGTTCCATATGAACTTTAAAGTAGTTTTTTCCAGTTCTGTGAAGATAGTCATTGGTAGCTTGATGAGGATGGCATTGAATCTATAAATTACCTTGGGCAGTATGGCCATTTTCACGATATTGATTCTTCCTACCCATGAGCATGGAATGTTCTTCCATTTGTTTGTATCCTCTTTTATTTCATTGAGCAGTGGTTTGTAGTTCTCCTTGAAGAGGTCCTTCACATCCCTTGTAAGTTGGATTCCTAGGTATTTTATTCTCTTTGAAGCAATTGTGAATGGGAGTTCACTCATGATTTGGCTCTCTGTTTGTCTGTTATTGGTGTATAAGAATGCTTGTGATTTTTGCACCTTGATTTTGTATCCTGAGACTTTGCTGAAGTTGCCTATCAGCTTTAGGAGGTTTTGGGCTGAGACAATGGGGTTTTCTAAATATGCAGTCATGTCATCTGCAAACAGGGACAATTTGACTTCCTCTTTTCCTAATTGAATACCCTTTATTTCCTTCTCCTGCCTGATTGCCCTGGCCAGAACTTCCAACACTATGTTGAATAGGAGTGGTGAGAGAGGGCATCCCTGTCTTGTGCCAGTTTTCAAAGGGAATGCTTCCAGTTTTTGCCCATTCAGTATGATATTGGCTGTGGGTTTGTCATAGATAGCTCTTATTATTTTGAGATACGTCCCATCAATACCTAATTTATTGAGAGTTCTTATTTGTCTATTCAGGGATTCAACTTCTTCCTGGTTTAGTCTTGGGAGGGTGTATGTGTCCAGGAATTTATTCATTTCTTCTAGATTTTCTAGTTTATTTGCATGGAGGTGTTTATAGTATTCTCTGATGGTAATTTGTATTTCTGTGGGATCGGTGGTGATATCCCCTTTATCATTTTTTATTGCGTCTTCTCTCTTTTCTTCTTTATTAGTCTTGATAGCAGTCTATCAATTTTGTTGATCTTTTCAAAAAACCAGCTCCTGGATTCATTGATTTTTTGGAGGGTTTTTTGTGTCTCTATTTCCTTCAGTGCTGCTCTGATCTTAGTTATTTCTTGCCTTCTGCTAGCTTTTGAATATGTTTGCTCTTGCTTCCCTAGTTCTTTTAATTGTGATGTTAGGGTGTCCATTTTAGATCTTTCCTGCTCTCTCTTGTGGGCATTTAGTGCTATAAATTTCCCTCTACACAATGCTTTAAATGTGTCCCAGAGATTCTGGTATGTTTGTCTTTGTTCTCGGTGGTTTCAAAGAACATCTTTATTTCTGCCTTCATTTCGTTATGTACCCAGTAGTCATTCAGGAGCAGGTTGTTCAGTTTCCATGTAGTTGAGCAGTTTTGAGTGAGTTTCTTAATCCTGATTTCTAGTTTGATTGCACTGTGGTCTGAGAGACAGTTTGTTATAATTTCTGTTCTTTTACATTTGCTGAGGAGTGCTTTACTTCCAACTATGTGGTCGATTTTGGAATAGGTGTGGTGTGGTGCTGAAAAGAATGTTTATTCTGCTGATTTGAGGTGGAGAGTTCTGTAGATGTCTATTAGGTCCGCTTGGTGCAGAGCTGAGTTCAATTCCTGGATATACTTGTTAACTTTCTGTCTCGTTGATCTGTGTAATGTTGACAGTGAGATGTTAAAGTCTCCCATTATTATTGTGTGGGAGTCTAAGTCTCTTTGTAGGTCTCTAAGGACTTGCCTTATGAATCTGGGTGCTCCTGTATTGGGTGCATATATATTTAGGATAGTTAGTTCTTGTTGAATTGATCCCTTTACCATTATGTAATGGCCTTCTTTGTCTCTTTTGATCTGTGTTGGTTTAAAGTCTGTTTTATCAGAGACTAGGATTGCAACCCCTCCCTTTTTCTGTTTTCCATTTGCTTGGTAGATCTTCCTCCATCCTTTTATTTTGAGCCTATGTGTGTCCCTGCACTGGAGATATGTCTCCTGAATACAGCACACTGATGAGTCTTGACTCTTTATCCAAGTTTGCCAGTCTATGTCTTTTAATTGGAGCATTTAGCCCATTTACATTTAAGGTTAATATTGTTATGTGTGAATTTGATCCTGATTATGATTTAGCTGGTTATTTTGCTCATTAGTTGATGCAGTTTCTTCCTAGCATCAATGGTCTTTACAATTTGGCATGTTTTTGCAGTGGCTGGTACTGGTTGTTCCTTTCCATGTTTAGAGCTTCCTTCAGGAGCTCTTGTAGGGCAGGCCTGGTGGTGACAAAATCTCTCAGCATTTCTTGTCTGTAAAGGATTTTATTTCTCCTTCACTTATGAAGCTTAGTTTGGCTGGATATGAAATTGTGGGTTGAAAATTCTTTTCTTGAAGAATGTTGAATATCAGCCCCTACTCTCTTCTGGCTTGTAGAGTTTCTGCTGAGAGATCAGCTGTTAGTCTGATGGGCTTCCCTTTGTGGGTAACCCGACCTTTCTCTCTGGCTGCCCTTAACATTTTTTCCTTCATTTCAACTTTGGTGAATCTGACAATTATGTGGCTTGGAGTTGCTCTTCTCAAGGAGTATCTTTGTGGCATTCTCTGTATTTCCTAAATTTGAATGTAGGCCTGCCTTGCTAGATTGGGGAAGTTCTCCTGGATAATATCCTGCAGATTGTTTTCCAACTTGGTTCCATTTTCCCCATCACTTTCAGGTACACCAGTCAGCCGTAGACTTGGTCTTTTCACATAGTCCCATATTTCTTGGAGGCTTTGTTCATTTCATTTTATTCTTTTTTCTCTAAACTTCTCTTCTTGCTTCATTTCATTCATTTGATCTTCCATCACTGATACTCTTTCTTCCAGTTGATCTAATTGGCTACTGAGGTTTGTGCATTTGTCACATAGTTCTCATGCCATGGTTTTCAGCTCCATCAGGTATTTTAAGGACTTCTCTGCATTGGTTACTCTAGTTAGCCATTCGTCTAATTTTTTTCAAGGTTTGTAACTTCTTTGCCATGGGTTCGAACTTCCTGTTTTACCTTGGAGTAGTTTGATCATCTGAAGCCTTCTACTCTCAATTCGTGAAAGTCATTCTCCGTCCAGCTTTGTTCTGTTGCTGGTGAGGAGCTGCATTCCTTTGGAGGAGGATAGGTGCTCTGATTTTTAGACTTTGCAGTTTTTCTGCTCTGTTTTTTCCCCATCTTTGTGGTTTTATCTACCTTTGGTCTTTGATGATGGTGACATACAGATGGGATTTTGTTGTGGATGTCCTTTCTGTTTGTTAGTTTTCCTTCTAACAGTCAGGACCCTCAGCTGCAGGTCTGTTGGAGTTTGCTGGAGGTCCACTCCAGACCCTGTTTGCCTGGGTATCAGCAGCGAAGGCTGCAGAACAGCGGATATTGGTGAACAGCAAATGTTGCTACCTGGTCGTTCCTCTGGAAGTTTTGTCTCAGAGGAGTACCCGGCCATGTGAGGTGTCAGTCTGCTCCTACTGGGGGGTTCCTCCCAGTTAGGCTACTTGGGGGTCAGGGACCCACTTGAGGAGGCAGTCTGTTTGTTCTCAGATCTCCAGCTGTGTGCTGGGAGAATCACTACTCCCTTCAAAGCTGTCAGACAGGGACATTTAAGTCTGCAGAGGTTTCTGCTGCCTTTTGTTTTGGCTGTGCCCTGCCCCCAGAAGTGGAGTCTACAGAGGCAGGCAGACCTCCTTGAGCTGCAGTGGGCTCCACCAAGTTCGAGCTTCCCGGCCACTTTGTTTACCTACTCAAGCCTTGGCAATGGCGGGCGCCCCTCCCTCAGCCTCGCTGCCACCTTGCAGTTTGATCTCAGACTGCTGTGCTAGCAATGAGCGAGGCTCTGTGGGCATAGGACCCTCTGAGCCAGGCACGGGATATAATGTCCTGGTGTGCCGTTTGCTAAGACCATTGGAAAAGCGCAGTGTTAGGGTGGGAATGACCTGATTTTCCAGGTGCTGTCTGTCACCCCTTTCTTTGACTAGAAAAGGGAATTCCCTGACCTTTTGCATTTCCTGGGTGAGGCGATGTCTCACCCTGCTTCGGCTCATGCTCAGTGCACTGCACCCACTGTCCTGTACCCACTGTCTGACACTCCCCAGTGAGATGAACCCAGTACCTCAGTTGGAAATGCACAAATCACCCGTCTTCTGCATCGCTCATGCTGGGAGCTGTAGACTGGAGTTGTTCCTATTTGGCCATCTTGGCTCCACCTCGCCCCCAGCCTTGTTTTATTGGAGCCAATTTGGTTGTAAAATAACATTTTTCTTCAGAGAATTTGTACATGCGTTTGTGTATTAGTTTTCCAAAGATGATATGAGGACAAGGAATAAATAATTCTAAATTCTCTATCCTTCAAGTGGCCAGTTCTTGGTGACAACATGGAGGCAAAATTAGTGTGATGGTCATGAGCATCTGTCTGGGCTGAAATCCCACTCCTGCAAACTTCAGCAAGTTATCTAAAATCTGTGGGCATCTGAGCATCAGTTTGCCCGTGATATGGTTTGGATATTTGTCCCCTCCAAATCTCATGTTGAAATGTGATCTCCAGTGTTTGAGATGGGGCCTCGTGGAAGGTGTTTGGGTCATGGTGGTAGATCCCTCATGAATGGCTTGGTGCTGTCGTTATGAGTGAATTCTCACTCTGTGTGTTCACATGAGATCTGGTTGTTTAAAAGAGCCTGGCTCTTCCTCCTTCTCTCTCTTGCTCCCTCTCTCACCCTGTGAAATACTGGCTCCCCATCAATTTTCTCCATGAGTGTAAGCTTCCTGAGGCCCTCACCAGGAGTAGATTCTGGCTCTATGCTTCATGCACAGTCTGTAGAACAATAAACCAAATAAGCTCTTTTCTTTATAAATTACCCAGTCTCAGGTATTCCTTTACAGCAATAAAAACAGACTAATACAGTCCATCTGTGATATAGGTACTTATTTTATCATTATCTACGGTAATATTTTTATCATACAATTGTGTTGAGAATTTAACTCATTTATGCTAGTACTAGGCATATGACAAAGGCTTAATAAAGGATGGCTATTATTATTATTAGCTCTTAGAATAATGGGGCTAAATGTTTTTGTTTTGTCTGAGATTTTTGTAAAAGCTATAGATATTTTCTTAGAAATGTGAATACACATGGTATTTTGCATATCTTTACAGGAATCTCATCAGCTCTTGAGGCTTTTTTCACAATTAAGAAACTTTTCACTTGAGCAGATGAGAAGAGTTGAGATCCCATGTACAAAAGGAGGAACTGTGAGATAAAAACAAGGGCAGTTGGTTTGTACAAAAAATTGATAAGTTCAATGATGGGAGGATGTGGAATTCTCTCCTGATGGCACCCATTTCCTCATTGAAATAAGAAGCGAAGCCATTGGTCGAGAATGAGAAGGGCAGGGAGTGTTGGAGGTTTAAGGAGGGAAAACTTGTGAATCATTGGGAGAGTAATAAAAGAAACTGATTAGGAGAATATAGCAGGATTGCCAGGCAGCACTGAAGGCCCACTTGAGATTTGTGATCACAAATTCAAAGTGAGACCAGACAACTGCTTGAACATGAATGGAGAGTAGAAGGATGGTTGAGTGTAATCAGGGTTGGATATTTGAGGTGAGTACAAAGGAAGGAGAGGCAAGGAAATTGAGGTGTATGATAATGTTTCTCATGTGACTTTACCTACCCCCTGTTACAGTCTTTGGAGAGGCATAGGCATAGGCAGTTCCTCTGTTACTGGTAAGTGGCAGGAGATGCATTGTAGGAGAGTCAGGAGAGCCCTCCCTTCCCTCCACTAGCCCGCTTCTCCTTTCTTCCTGTTTAGGAGCCAGAGGGCTGAGTACTTTCACCCTGCATTGCCTTGAGCCGAGAGAATGTCCTTCTGAGATGGGGCAGGGAGGAAATCTGTACTCCGGAATAGATATCCATGCCTCTTTCCACCAATGTTTTTTCTTTTTCTTTTTTTTTTTTGAGATGGAGTCTCATTCAGTCTCTCAGGCTGGAGTGCAGTGGCATGATCTTGGCTCACTGCAACCTCTGCCTCCTGGGCTCAAGGGACTCTCCAGCCTAAGCCTCCCGATTAGCTGGGATTACAGGCATGAGCCACCACACCTGGATATCAACCAATTTTTATTCTTAGGTAACTATATTACCTATGCTAATTCCATCTTAGGTAACTACATTTCTGATGATGGAGTCTTCTATTGAATGTATCCTTTTTGATAGTCACAGCATTTATGCATTTAATAAAACATTCTCCAAGAAAAAAGTACTTAGTCCATGACAAATCATGTTCATATTGAATTTCCTTTTTTATTGATACATAATCATTACACACATTTATGGGGTGCATGTGATATTTTAACACTTGCATAGAATGTGTAATGAATTCTCATGACCTAAAGGGGGAGCTATATTCTTTATTTCACTTGCCTCAAAAGGAAGTGTGTGACTTTCTTTGCTCTTGTGCTGATTTTTAAAATATATTTAACTCCACGGATAGTATTTTATTTTCTCCATCAATCAACCTTTTTTTTCTGTTAAGCCCTTGAGAATGGGAGTTGCTGACAGTTTCCTTCCCATTTACCTCCAGAATTTTCCTTGTTATAAAACATGGCCCAGGAAAGCCACAGAACAGAAGGAGAGCCAGCAGTTCCTGCCTCCTCTACTTCCGTAGGATCTGGGTTTCTCCTTTAAAGCCTGAGTTCCATGGTTAGGACCCTTTCCCTTTCTCTTTTATACAGCCCTCTGTTTCTCAAGCAAAAGCTCTTTACCAGCTGATGTGGAGATGCAGGGCACACCCTATTCGGGCAGGTAAACAAGATTGTGCTCCTTCCTGCTATTCACTGTGGAGAGGCTGCATGAGATAAGAATGGAAAAAGATGGACTTTCAAAATCAGCTAGACCCAAGCTGGAGTACTGATTCATTACAAGTTGCTTAATTTTTCTGAGTCTTACTTGTAATAGAACCTTTTCATTTCTTCTTGTCCCCCTCCTTCTCTTTCTCTTCTTCCTTCTTCTCACCCTCCTCCCCACCTTCCTTCTTTTCTCCAGGATATTTCAGCTATGTGACAAAAGTATCCAACTCAAACTGGCTTCAACCATAAGGATTTTACTGGCTTGTGAAACTGGAAGTCTAAGGTTGAATGGCTTCTGAGTGACACAACCTCATGGCCTTGTTTTTGTGTTTCTGTGGCTCTTCTCTCCTTAGTGGGCTGCATTCCTAGGCTGGCAGCGGTTCTGAGCTTGCATCATAAAGAACACTGAGGAGTTTCCAGGATCTCTTCCAGAAGGTGGGGGAAGAACTTCTGCAGAAGCTCTAGGAAGTCTCTCCTTGGTCTCAGTGGTCATGTGACCATTTACCAAGCTCTGGAAAGGAGGACGGGATTTCTTTTAAATTACTGAAACACACACTTAGAACTGGGCATGGGGTCAGCTTTTCCTGAGGCCCATAGGCTGCATGGAGGAAGGTAAACTGCATAGAAAGAAATCGGGACTCTGTTAGGAAGGAAGAAGGAGGGATTATCTGCAGGGCTGAGAGCTGATAGCATCCACTCTGCCCAGGGCTCACGCACTGCTCTTCTGCTTACCTGACAAGCAAGATCCCTTCTCTATTTGACTCCTGGTGAAAACAGGTTAGACACCTGGCCCCAGAGGTCCTTATGTCTACCAACAGCAATTCCCTGAAGCAGACTTTCTGGGTGCACAGCCTGTACTAGAGTTATAGTGATTATGCTCTCTTCACAAAGACTGTCACTCAGTCTTTCTTTGTGCTTTTGGTGGCCTGGCTTCCTGACCAGAACTCTGTGTTTCCTTTCGTCATTAATCCTCTTCTTGGCACTCCCACCATCTGAGGCTCTAGGCTCCCATTCAAGATTCCTGCACCCTGCGCAGAGAGTCGCCTCTCCCAGGCACCCATCTCCTGGTCTTTTCTTGTTACTGACATTGGCATTAGCTTTGAAAAATCAAAAACCCAATTCCGTTTGATAAATCCCCATCTGTTACACCAAATTCTTTTCAATTCCCATTTTATTTTTGTTCTCATCATCCAGGGCATGAACTGAGCAGAGGAGAGGATGCGAGGGTGGAGGAAGCAGCTGGGCATGCTCAGCACAGGCTGCTGCGAGGAGGAGCCCTGGGAATGCTGCTTTTAATGCCACAGCGGTGACTTTGCTTAGCAGAAGCCTTCACAGTCTATGGACTGCAGGAGGAGGCTCCACAATCCCCATCCTCAACACAAAGTGGAGGCCTGCTTGCTCTGTTTTAGGGAGTTGCTGCCTCTGAGGACAGGGGAAGCATCATGCTCCTGTAATTGCATCCTCACCATTGAATAATCAGGGAATTTTAAAGCATAGTCCCAATTTTTCAAAAACACAAATTAAAAACAGACTTACTGCAAGGTTGTTTTTCACTCCTGACAGTAACTATATGTCATAATCTGTCAGACTCTTTCTTTCCAGACAAGAAACTTGGGTTACTATGAATGAAGAGGGCCAAGGAAGCTCTTCTCCTATGTTCTCTTCCAGGGCCGATCCCCACCCCCACTTTTTTGTTCCCTGGGGAGAATAAGCACACTAATTTAGCACATATACATGCCAACTTTAAGCCATTTTTCATATGTTTAAAATATTTGTAAGAGTCAGGAGTCCAAATGACATCGTTTTCATTATACTAGCCAACATTAACTGTGTCCATACTATGTGCCAGGCATTGATATGAATTAACATACTTAGTCTTCACAAACTGTTATAAGGGTAAGTGGTATTATTATTCACCTATTGAAGCTGAGCCCAGAGAGGTTAAGTAATTGTCCTAAGTTAACCTAGTTGGTAAACAGCAGTGCTGGACTCAAATCTGTCACTCTGTCCCCAGAGCTCCTGCTTTTAACCACTTGCACCATAATTGGAACACTGCCCCCACCCCTTTAACAAAACATCCCTTGCACTTCACAATAGAACATGTCTTATTTCTCTTTCCTCCTTTATGACTATGTCTTTGCTGTCTCTTTTCTTGCCTCCATTTCCCTCTCCTATTGCTTTTCATGATTTTAGGGTGTTTTTCATGTGAAGAGAGGTCCATGCCATCAAGGAGAGGTCTGACAAGGGTGTCTGGGCTTGAGTGATGACCTAGGCAGAATTGAAAGAGGCGTACTGGAACACATGAATTAAATGAACAATAAATTAATTCCAAAAGATTAGGAAAGGTCCCAAGGGCCTAGAAAAGAGGGGTCCAGAGTCTTTGCAGACCAAATGGTATATGTAGCAGCCTTAGTAAGGAGTCAATACTACCGTTTTTTTGTTTTGTTTTGTTTTGTTTTTTTGAGATGGAGTCTCAGAGTCTCACTCTGTCACCCAGGCTGGAGTGCAGTGGCATGATCTCAGCTCACTGCAAGCTCTGCCTCCCAGGTTCACGCCATTCTCCTGCCTCAGCCTCCGGAGTAGCTGGGACTACAGGCACCCGCCACCACACCTGGCTAATTTTTTTGTATGTTTAGTAGAGAAGGGGTTTCACCGTGTTAGCCAGGATGGTGTCAATCTCCTGACCTCGTGATCTGCCCACCTTGGACTCCCAAAGTGCTGGGATTACAGGCATTAGCCACTGCGCCCGGCCAGGTGTCAATACTATTGTTAAGTCAGGTACTAGGGAATGGGGCCATGGACCTTCAAAAAGATACTGTGGCTTGGTTTTGGGGGCAAATTCTACTAAACGTTTAAAGGAGAATTAATGCCAATGCTTCTCAAGCTCTCCTAAAAAAATTGAAGAGAAGGGAACATTTCCAAACTCATTTTACAAGGCCCGCATTACCCTGATAACCAAGGCCAGACAAGGACACTACAAAAAAAAAAAAAAAATTACAGTCCAATATCTCTGATGAACATAGATGCAAAAGTCCTCAACAAGGTAAAACTGAAAACTGACTTCAACCACACATTAAAAAGATCATATACCATGATCAAGTGGGATTTATCCCTGGGATGCAAGATGACTCGACATACGCAAACAAATCAATGTTATATACCACATTAGCAGAATAAAAGATGAAAACCATATGATCATCTTAGTAGACGCAGTAAAAGCATTTGACAAAATTCAACATTCTTTCATGACATAAGAAAGGCCATATATGACAGGCTTACAATTAACATGATATTTAACTAAGATCTGGAATAAGACGAGGATGCCCACTCTCACCATTTTTATTCATTGTAGTAGTAGAATTCCTAGCCAAAGCAATTAGGCAATAAAAAGAAATAGAAGGAACTCAAATTGGAAATGAAGAAGAAAATTTGTCTCTGTTTGTAAATGATGTGATCTTGAAAACCTAGACACCACCAGAATAAAACCTGTTAGAACTAATAAACAAACTCAGTAAAGTTATAGGGTACAAAATCAACATGCAAAAATCAGTTGCATTTCAATACACTAACTATGAACCTTCAGGAAAAGAAATTAAGAAAACAATTTCATTTATAATTTTTAAAAAACCAACTTAAGAATAAATTTAACTAAGAAAGCAGAAGATGTATTCACTAAAAACTATAAAATATTGATGAAGAAAATTGAAGAAGACACATATAAATGGAAAGGTATCCTGTATTCATGGATTGAAAAAATTAATGTTGTTAAAATGTTCATACTACCCAAAGTGATCTACAGATTCAATGAGATTGCTATCAGTATTCCGGTGACTTTTTAAAACAGAAATAGAAATTCATATGGAGCCACAAAAGGCCCCTAATAATCAAAGCAGTTTTGACCAAAAAGAACAAAGCTGGAGGCATAACAATACCTGACTTTCAAAATATATACTATAAAGCCACAGTAATCAAAACAGCATGATACTGGTATAAAAACAGACATATAGACCAATGGAACAGAATAGAAACCTCAGAAATAAATCCTTACAGTTATGGTCAATTGATATTTTACAAAGGTGTAAAGAACAGAAAACGGGGAAAGGACAGTTTCTTTAATAAATAGTGTTGGGAAAACTAGATATCCACATGTAGAAGAACGAAAGTGAACCCATCTCTCATACCATCCACAAAAGTCAAATGAAAATGGATTAAAGGTTTAAATATAGGACCTGAAACTGTAAAACTGTTAGAAAAAAAAAAAAAAACAGAGAAAAAGCTATATTATTATTATTATTATTATTATTTTTTTTTTTGAGATGGTGTCTTACTCTGTCTCCCAGGCTGGAGTGCAGTGACTCAATCTCAGCTCACTGCAACCTCCACTTCCTGGGTTCAAGCGATTCTCATGCCACAGCCCTCTGAGTAGCTGGGACTACAGGCGCAGACCACCATGCCTGGCTAATTTTTTGTATTTTTAGTAGAGATGGGGTTTTGCCATGTTGGTCAGGCTGGTCTTGAACTCCTGACCTCGGCCTCCTAAAGTGCTGGGATTACAGGTGTGAGCCCCACAGCCGGCCAAGAAAAAGTTTCTTGATACTGGTCTGGGCAATGATTTTTTGGATATGACTTCAAACGCACAGGCAACAGAAGCAAAAACAGACAAATGGGATTGCATCAAACAGAAAAACGTCTGCAGAGCAAAGGAAACAACAAAGTGAAGAGGCAGCCTACAGAATAGAAGAAAATATTGACAAGCCAAATGCCTGATAAAGGGTTAATATCCAAAATATACAAGAACCCAAACAACTCAATAGCAAGAAAACAACCTGATTTAAAAATGGACATAAGACCTGAAAAGACATTTCTCAAAAGAAGACATACATATGGCTGACAAGTATATGAAAAAATGTTCATCATCGCTGGTTATCAGAGAAATGCAAATTAAAACCACAATGAGCTATCACCTCACACTTTTAGAATGGCTATTAACAAAAAGACAACAAATAGCAAGTGCTGGTGAGGAAGTAGAGAAAAGAAAACCCTTGCACATTGTTGGTGGGAATGTAAATTAGTACAGTCATGGAAAATGGTGAGGAAGTTCTTTTAAATATTAAATATAGAACAATCATATGATCCAGCAATCCCACTTCTGGGTATATATCCAAAGGAACTGAAATCAGTATGTTGAAGAGATATCTGCACGCCCATGTTCACTGAAGCATTATTCACAGTAGCCAAGATATGGAATCAACCCAAGTATCTGTTGATGGATGAATAGATGAAGCAAATGTAGTATAGGCATATACGTGTACATACAATGGGATACTATTCAGCCTTACAAAAAGAAGGAAATTCTGTCATTTGCAACAACATAGATGAACTTGGGGGACATTATGCTAAGCAAAATAAGCCAGGCACAGAAAGACAAATACTGTATGATCTCACTTAAATGTGCAATCTAAAATAGTAAAACTCATAAAAGCAGACAGTAGAATGGTGATTTTCAGGGACTGGGAGGGAGAAGGGAGTAGAAATGGGGTGATGTTAGTCAGTGGGTACATAGTTTGTTAGATGGGAGAAATATGTTCTGGAGATCTATTGTACAGCATTGTGACTATAGCTAATAGTAATGTATTATATAATTGAACATTATTAAGAGGGTATGTTTTAAATGTTTTTACCACTAAAAAGTGGTAAGTACGTAAAGTGATGGATATGTTAATTAGTTTTATTTAATCATTGCACAATATATACATGTATCAAAATGATTATATACATAAATATATGTTGATAAGGTTTGGCTCTGTGTTCCCACCCAAATCTCATCTTGTAGCTCCCATAATTCCCATGTGTTGTGGGAGGGACCTGGCAGGAGATAATTGAATCATGGGGGTGGGTCTTTCCCATGCTGTTCTTGTGATAGCCAATACGTCCCATAAGATCGGACGGTATTATAAGGGGGAATTTCCCTGCACAGCTCTCTCTCTTTGCCTGCTGCCACCAATGTAAGACGTGACTTGCTCTTTCTTGCCTTCTGCCATGATTCTGAGGTCTCCCCAGCCATGTGGAACTATGAGTCCAGTTAAACCTCTCTCTTTCATAAATTGCCCAGTCTTGGGTATGCCTTTATCAGCAGTGTGAAGACAGACTAATACAGTAAATTGGTACCAGTAGAGTGGGGAGCTGCTGAAAAGATACCCAAAAATGTGGAAGTGACTTTGGAACTGGGTAACAGGCAGGAGTTGGAAAATGTGGGAAAGTTTGGAACTTCCTAGAGACTTGTTGAATGGCTTTGCCCAAAATGCTGATAGCGATATGGACAATGAAATCCATGTTGAGGTGGTCTCAGACGGAAATAAGGAACTTGTTGGGAACTGGAGCAAAGGTGACTCTTGTTATGTTTTAGCAAAGAGACTGGCAGCAGTTTGCCCCTGCCCTACAGATTTACGGAATTTGGAACTTGAAAGAGATGATTTAGAGTATCTGGCAGAAGAAATTTCTAAGCATCAAAGCATTCAAGATGTGACTTGGGTGCTGTTAAAGGCATTCAGTTTTATAAGGGAGGCCGAGCATAAAAGTTCAGAAAATTTGCATCCTGACAATGTGATAGAAAAGGAAATCCTATTTTCTGAGGAGAAATTCAAACCAGCTGCATAAATTTGCATAAGTAATGAAGAGCCAAATGTCAATCCCCAAGAAAACGGGGAAATTGTCTCTAGGGCGTGTCAGAGGTCTTCATGGCATGCCCTCCCATCAGAGGCCCAAAGGCCTAGGAGGAAAAAATGGTTTTGTGGCCCAGGCCCAGGTACCCATGCTGTGTGCAGTCCAGGGACTTTGTGCCCTGCATCCCAGCCACTCCAGCCATGACTAAAAGGGGCAAAGGTACAGCTTGGGCCATGGGTTCAGAGGGTGCAACCCCCAACCCTTGGCGGCTTCCATGTGGTGTTGAGCCTGCAAGTGCACAGAAGTCAAGAATTGAAGTTTGGGAACCTCTGTCTAGATTTCACAGGATGTATGGAAACGCCTGGATGTCCAGGCAGAAGTTTGCTGCAGGGGCAGGCTCTCATGGAGAACCTCTGCTAGGGCACTGTGGAAAGGAAATGTGGGGTTGGAACCCACACACAGAGTCCCTACTGGGGCACTGCCTAGTGGAGCTATGAAAGAGGGCCACTGTCCTCCAGACCCCAGAATGGTAGATCCATCAATAGCTTGCACCACATGCCTGGAAAAGCCGCAGACACTCAACACCAGCCCATGAAAGCAGCTTGGAGGGAGGCTGTACCCTGCACAGCCACAGAGGCAGAGCTGCCCAAGACCATGGGAACTCACCTTTTGTATCGTTGTGACCTGGATGCGAGACATGGAGTCAAAGGAGATCATTTTGGAGCTTTGAGATTTGACTGCCCTGCTGGATTTGTACTTGCATGGGGCCTGTAGTCCCTTTATTTTGGCCAAATTTTCACATTTGGAGCTTTGAGATTTGACTGCCCTGCTGGATTTGAACTTGCATGGGGCCTGTAGTCCCTTTGTTTTGGCCAAATTTTCACATTTGGAATAGCTGTATTTATCCAGTGCCCATACCCCCATTGTATCTAGGAAGTAACTAACTTGCTTTTGAATTTTACAGGCTCATAGGCAGAAGGGACTTGACTTGTCTCAGATGAGACACTGGACTGTGGACTTGAGTTAATGTGGAAATGAATTAAGACTTTGGGGAACTGTTCCGAAAGTACGATTGGTTTTGAAATGTGAAGACATGAGATTTGGGAGGGGTGGAGTGATATGGTTTGGCTCTGTGTCTCCACCCAAAGCTGGTCTTGTAGCTCCCATAATTCCCACGTGTTGTGAGAGGGACCTGGTGGGAGATAATTGAATCATGGGGGTGGGTTTTTCCCATGCTGTTCTCATGATGGTGAATAAGTCTCATGAGATCTGACAGTATGATAAGGGGGAGTTTCCCTGCACAAGCTTGCTCTCTTTGCCCTCCACCATCAATGTAAGATGTGACTTGCTCCTCCTTGTCTTCCATGATTCCGAGGCCTCCCCAGCCATGTGGAACTGTGAATCCAATTAAACCTCTCTCTTTTGTAAATTGTCTAGTCTTGGGTATATCTTTATCAGCAGTGTGAAAATGAACTAATGCATATGTATAACTATATTTATGATTGTATGCCATAAATATCTAGTTTTCATTTGTCATTATACCTTAATAAAGCTGGGGGCAAAAAGATCCTACCACAGGTCCATCACTCACTCTTGGTTTCTGTCACTTTGCTTCTTTATGAACGCTTGCTGGCTTTGAACTTACTTTTCCTCTTGAAATCTGATTCTCTGAAGCACCACTGCTAGGAACTGATGACTCATCATGTTGATTCCATTTCTTACCATGGCTTGTTTACCACCTGATTCACTCTCCTTAATCAAAGTTCTAGTGATCTGATCATCTGTATGCCTTTCCCAGGATTGTTCCTTTGACACAACTTTATTTTGCTTGCCAATCTTGTTTGTCTTTATTATCTTGAAGGCTTTACTATCTTTATCCTGGAACTTCCTGGATGAAATTTAAAAAATGAATCCTAAGGCTGAAGCTATTTCTTAATTTGTTCACACATCGAGAATTTATTGAATACCTACTATATGTCTGGTCTTGCTATAGGTGCAGGAAGTTAGCCAGATGATCAAGACACCTCCAGCCTTTCTATAGAGCAAGCAGGGAACAGGAAAAGAAGACATTCTAATCCAACGAATGTATGTCCATGAGCAAACTCTCGTTCATGCCAGGTAATGAGGTTTATCTGAACCTCAAATCCAGACCAGGTGATAAAATTTGTTTGAACTTTAAATCCAGACCATTTCTTTTCATTAGGAGATTTAGTATTAGTCAATTGTCACTAGAATCAGAGCTCCAGGGACCAGATTTGTGTCTTCACTGTTGTATCCCAACACCCATCACAGTTCTGAGATGTAGCAGTGGCAGCAGCAAGCAGGCAGCATTTATTGAATAAACATCACTGTCTGTAAACCTCTTTGTAATGCCAGTATGCTTTTTGAGGCTTTCTAAAGCCTTTGTTGGTGAGAAGGACCCAAGAAAAAAGGGATGCTCCGAGAACACAACAAAAACTCTCTGGAGCCTTTTCCTGTGATGGTGGCAGTGGGAGACAGATGACATGGGAGTGAGTTCTTTGTGAAAGTTTTGTTTGGAGGCCCCTGGAGTTAAAATGGAACTAAACTTTCATCACTGCATGTGATGGAGTGTTACGTTTGTTTAATGAGCCCTTGCATTTTCTCTCATTTTCCCATTGTCTTCAGCTATAGATCTGAGGAGGGAGATTGTGCGGAAACAGAGATTTCGGAGAGGGAAGGCTCATGGCATGAATGAGACGTGCCTGAAAACGCTGCCTGGCATGTCTTCACAGCATCACACAGGTGGAAAGAGGGGAGAGGAAGAGACAAGGGTGGGGTAAAGGCTATGGGAGGAGGTTAGCTATTTGCTACTGCATGTTTTTATATCTGCTGAAAATGTACAATTACACAGCATGCTGATTTAAATTTGCTTTAGCACCAGAGATAAAATTCTCAGAAGAAAGATTATCAACTTGCCTGTTTATTAAAAATCAAGCAAGCTGTGGCTGAAAATGTTTAAACTAAAACTTAGACTCTTTGAGGGAAACCAAGTTGAACTATCATTGCTCAAGGGACTGTGTGCATTTTCTCATTATTGCTGGTGTACTTTGTCAGCGTGAGTGACACCCTTCTCTCCTCTGGCCTTCCGCTCCACTGGCTCGTGGCTATTATCCATTCTCAAGGTGAAGCTATGAATAAGAGTGTTGTCATTTGGAAGCCTGAGAGTGTGAGAATCTTTCCCTTTTGCTCCTGATTCTGAATAATGTTCACAAGCAATCCAAGCCCATGCTTTCACCTATGATGTCAATATAGTTCTCATGCTTTTATTTGTTTCACCTTACTGGGCCTCTGTTTTCTGATCTATTAAATGGAGAAACTAGATAGTTCTGTTTCCTTCTAGTCCTAATGTCCCACAGCATCTATGATGGGACTATATTGGGAAGAGAACAAAAAGAGATCATTAATGGGATGCCTCATTTTAAGTATGAAAAGTATGTGTCCAGAAAACTGTATTTTGAACCTGCCAAAAATGGTTTCTGAAAGAAATTTTTGGTGACTTGTTTTGGAAAGTTCTTTTCTCCAACCTCACCTAATTTGATTTGCTTTGATAGCTTGACTTAAAATAACCACTTATCTGTGGTTTTCTGTCTATAAAATGTATACTTGTTTTGCCATGTGCTTGTTAAATGATAAAAGCATCAATAAAATTCTTTATCTCCGTGGTGCTGTGTGGAAATCATCTGAAGAGAGTTAAATATACCATACCTGCCTTTGGGAATTTGTCTGGTGTAGCAGTTGCATGTATAGATAAAGGGCAAAAAACAAGTTCTTAAATTATATTATTTAAATTAAGTTATAAGAAACAGCAAATGGGTAATTCTGAGTGAATTTTTTATGTAGTGGAAGGGAAAAGGTGCCATCTCCTATAGTAAATCAAAGAGCACAGCATGAAGGACATCAGAATTTATGAACCACAAGGGGAAAGGGTGAAGCCTCATCAATTTGTAAAGAAGGAGGCTTGGGCATCTGATGACATCTGGAAGACTTGAAGACAGATGTGGCTTTAACTCATTTTGAAGATCGAACTCATTTTGAAGAAGATCTATTTACTATTATATTTTAATAGTGGTAGGTAGAATAATAGTCTTCCCAAAGATGTCCATACCCTAATTCCTGGAACCTGTGAATATGTTACCTTACCTGGCAAAAGGGGCTTATGCAGATGTGATTAAGGCTAAGGACCTAGAGATGGAGAGATTATTTCAGATTATCTGAATAGGCCCAGTCTAATCACATGAATCTAATCTCTGGACATCAGAGATGAGAAATCAGAGAACGTTTTGGAGCTGTGATCAGAGAAAAAGATATGATCACAGAAGAATGGTCAGGGTGATGAGATAATGCTGGCTTTCAACATACAGAAAGTGGGACTGGGCACAGTGGCTCACA
This sequence comes from Homo sapiens, assembly GCF_000001405.40. Classification (NCBI taxonomy): domain Eukaryota; kingdom Metazoa; phylum Chordata; class Mammalia; order Primates; family Hominidae; genus Homo; species Homo sapiens. The sequence continues at coordinate 82,701,510 of NC_000006.12, read as the reverse complement.
CCTGCAATCTTGGCATTTTGGAAGGCTGAGCCATGAGGATCGCTTGAGGCCAGGAGTTCAATACCGGCCTGGGTAATATGGTGAGACCTTGTCTCTACTAAAAATTAAAAAATTAGCTGGTATTGTGGTGCATGCCTTTAGTCCCAGCTACTTGGTAGGCTGAGATGGGAGGATCACTTGAGCCCAGGAGTTCAAGGCTGCAGTGAGTTGTGATTGCACCACTGTACTCCAGTCTGGGTGACAGAGACCCTGTCTCAAAAAGAAAAAAGAAGCAGGAAGGGGCCATCAGCCGAGGGATGCTGGCAGCTTCTAGAAGCTAGATGAGGCAAGGAAACAGATTTTTCCCCGAAGCCTCCATAAAGAAATACAGCCCTGTCAACAACTTGATTTTAGTTCATAAGACCTGTACCGGACTTCCAACCTATGGAAGTATAATATAATAAATTTATGTTGTTTCAAGCAGCTAAACTTTCATAATTTGTTACAGCAGCAATAGAAAACAAATGCGCATATTCAAGTTTATATTCACATAAATAAAACTGACATTTCAATGTGAAATGACTTTCCAAAGGAAATCTAGATTTCATCCTCAAAACCCTTATTATTATGCTCCAGTGAGAAAATTTTCATGTCTTGCAATGCTGAAACCAGATCAAAATAAAAATTGGATACTTCTTCGATTTCTCTGATTACTTATGATCTTTCCTTGACTCATGCTGGCTGACCATATGCTCCTCTTATCCTTCCTTGGCCCTTCCATTGCCAAGCTGCCCTAAAAGACCCTCAGTTTGTACTTTGCCATTTGAATTATTTTTGCTAAGTGTTTCAAAGATTTTTATGTAGGGCAAGAAAATCTAATCTTTCCTTGAGAATTCTTGCTTTAATTTATTGTGCTTATTATTTTAAAAATATATTTGAATGACCTCAATTTGCTGGGTCTTTGTTCTTGCTTTTACACCTTAGATGAATTTGAATAGTACTTTGCCTTTGAATATAATCTTAGACCAGGGGATAATTTAACTAAGAAGTCAAAATGAATAATATTCATGCTAACATTATAGTACTACTCTCTTCATATGCCTATAGTGCTTTATAAGACTTAAGATTTATTCTTATCTAATATTTAGTAGAATTTTAATTTTCATTTAAACTTATAGGTCATGGCTAATGTCTGTCAATTAATATGCATATATAACCCTAAGTTAGTTAAGTCTGGCCATACTTATACACTTATATGTTTCTTATTAACCAATGATTTCTGAATTGTCATTAGACATTGTTCCTGTATCAAAATGACATTCTTGAGTCTTCCAAAGTTTGTGTTTATCTTCATTTCCAAATATTACTTTTTAGAAAGCATTCTTTTGATATAATATCTATTTCTGTTGGGCCTGAAGCCATCTATTTGCTTTTTAGCAGTTGCCTTGGTTAAACCATTCCACTGCTTTAGATCTCTATTTGAAATACTACAGACATTTCCCCTCTGTCTGTCACTTAAAAGCATTGAATACATACTCAGAAACTGAAAGGATAAATTAGGCTGCACAAATTATAATGGACAGAAAAGGAACAGGACCCAACAATACTATCTCACAAAGCAATTGAAACTTATTGGACATATGCACAAATTAAGTAAGCTTGATTAAGCAACATGCTCTTGTTTCTTTTTCTTTAAAGAAAAAAGAGGCATAGTAACCTCAGGAGATGAGCCCATGATATTGAGATTGGCTAACGTCACTACATGCCTTTTACCCAAAGAAGTAGAAGCAAAGTTTGCATGATATCCTAGGAAATCCTCGCTACATCTTAAAACATATTTTTAATATTGTGGTAGTTAGAGCTGTGTTTTCCTCATTGAGTCTCTTCCACATAGCAATAGTTCTCAGTCCTTTCAATCACATAGGAAGCTCCTAAGAAATTTCAATACTCATGTTCCACCCCAGGCTAATCAGCATTTCCCCCATGTAATTCTAACGTGCTATCCGGAGTGGGAACCACTGACTTAGGGGTTGAATTCAATATCCATTCATTTCTAAGGATAACAGGATAATACAACTTATAAGGCATCTGGTGGGTTTCTTTATCTAGCCTGGTGGCTTGCCTAAGGAATTCAAAATTTTATGTAGAAATGGTTCTTATTAATTGGACCTCCTGAAATATTAATGATCTCCTAAGGAAGGTTTCTGCTAGTAACATAAATACAGCTCATAACTTTATTTTTTTTTTTGCATCTTGTTTGGTGAATTCAGATTCACACCTTTGACCATTCACCCATACAGTAGAAAATGACTGGCTAAAGAAAATTAAAGTGATGAGTTCTGTTAACAGCTGATGTACATCCTGACAGTTTCTTTAAGCTGCTCTGGAGGCTGCTGTGTTCTGTCATGGGAGGTTTTCAGCCAAAGTAGTTAATTAAGGCTCATTAGAATAGTCAAAATTGATTGTCTGTTTTGCTTCCATCTCACTGTCTTGCATCTCCATTAGTCTTATAGTCATAGCCTTGGCTGCTGGTCTCAGTTTTGTTTGAGTCTGGCCTGCTTCCTACATAGTTCTGTCAATTTCACCAATGCCAGTTTCACCTCTGCCATCCTCTCTAGGCATTCTCATCTGGCACCTTGGCGCCCTCACTCATTTTGCACTCTTGTTTCCCAAACTTGCCATTCTCGCTCCTGATTCTTACTTGCCAAAATCTTCCTTATCTACCTTGACACTCATCTGTTCTATGCCCTCCACTCTCAAGCCCATGTTCTGTATCTATTTCCTTTTTGACCCTTCTTGCTTCTGTTAGCCTCCATTCACTCTGTAGCACAATGATGAATTCCTACCAAATTATGTGAAAAAAAGAGTTTCCTTTCATAAAAGTGATTTGAATCAAGCTTCTGTTTTTGCTATTGCTCTGAAGGCTTTTGATATCTATGCCTGCCTACATCTTGGCAAAAGAGCCCATTGGCAGACAAATAGAAAATTCTCTAATGCACAAAATTACACATACTCATAGAACACAGGGGCAGCAGGGAGCAATCAGCCTGCAAAATACGACCTGCAATTACAAATAATAATGACATATGAGAGTGTTTAATTTTTCATGTCTTATAAAATACAACAAGGAAAATAAATCTGAAGCTGAAGTCTCAGGTCTGGGAGGAGTTATGTCAAGCTTAATAAGCATCAGTCTTTGGATAAGTGAGGTTTCTAATAAAAAGGCCAGATCTGGGAACACTTCTTCAGACTGTTATTTTCTGCCCTTATGAGCAACATGTCTGTCCACTGTAGGACTACATCAAAAGTTCAGAGTTGTGGATAAATTTGAGAAGCCCTGTAGTTCAGAGCTGTGTCAGACATTTTATTGGGAATTTCATGTGCAGTCTGGCTCTCTGAGAGAGCCTTTTTAGCTCCAATATTATATATATATGTGTATATATATATACATATATATGTATTTACATATATACATATATGTATTTATATATATACATATATATGTATTTATATATACATATATATTTATATATATATACATATATATGTATTTATATATATGCATTTTGCATATATATGCATCTATCTATCTATGTATGTATATATTTCCAATTAGGTATAATTGGAGTTATGGTTCTCAGCTGGCTTACAGAAACAAGGGTATTTGACCACTTAAACTTCTAAGTAGTGAGAGTCCACATGATAAAAACAATATACACCATTATAAAGTAAACACTTATTATTTATAGTGATCAAACAAAATATTTGACTCTACAGACAACTAATAGAATTGAAACTACAAATTAGGGAAGTTCAAGAGTAATCTTACCAAGGAAAGCTATGACTTAACATAAATCTTAAGTATTAGTGTTTGAAAGTTTAAAAACCTTAAATTTTTGCAGAAGATTTTTTAAAATTAAGCAGCTCTGATATTTTTATAGTGTCTAGAAAACAAGGCAGAAACCTGGTCCTTTGTGGGTACTTGGCAGAATGTGAAAATGGTGTTTTGTTTTGTTTCTTCTGTAGGGTTAAAAAGATAACGAGGCAATCCCACGTTCTCACATGGATTCTCCTCCAGATAATGGACAGAAATACAGTCCTCTTTATCTAATTTTCAATCACTCCAGAAAGGGAGCCTGATTTTTGCTTTGTTTTGATATTAAAGGAGGCCAGTTTAGGGTAAAAAAATAGAAATCCTATGGCTTTTTAAAAATCTTATTTTAGAGTATAACATCAAACTTTGAATAGAAAATGATGACTCACATTTTATTCAGAAGTCTCTGATTCCTGGAATTCTTAATAAAAATTCCATATGTTTCAGCAACAGTTTTCAATGCCTATAATTTATGCTATTAAGTTGCTCCTATAACTTATGTAATGAAACATAGGGAAACATCTTTTCTAAAAGCTTCCAGGAAAATGGTAGGCAAGCCATTCAAAGGTCCCATTAAGTTTGGGGTTATGTTTAAAGTATTCAGGGGGTTTACCTAGACCACTGGATCTCAAAGTGTAGCCCTTTCTAACAACAGCATTGTCATCACCTGGGAATTAATTAGAAATGTAGATTCTTAGCCCCCACCCTAGACCTACTCAATCAGAAACTCTTCAGGTGGACCTCCACAGTCTGTTTTAACAAGCCTACTAGGGAATTCCATTGCATGCTAAAGTTTAAGAAATGGGGTCAGGTGCAGTGCCTCACACTTGTAACCCCATGGGAGGCTGAGGCAGGCGGGTCACGAGGTCAGGAGATCGAGACCATCCTGGCCAACATGGTGAAACCCTGTCTCTACTAAAAATACAAAAATTAGCTGGGCATGGTGTCATGTGCCTGTAATCCCAGCTACTCAGGAGGCTGAGGCAGGAGAATCACTTGAGCCAGAGAGTTGGAGGTTGCAGTGAGCTGAGATTGTGCCACTGCACTCCAGCCTGGTGACACAGCGAGACTCCATCTCAAAAAAAAAAAAAAAAAGAAAAGGGAAAAGAAATGGGTGGGTGTGTCTGTCCATTCATTCAACAAATATTTATTGAAACCAACTACGTAGCAGATATTCTTCCAAATTGGTATGAAGAAATGCGAGACAAAGAGAGTGATAGAAAAAGCAGAGATCAAGATTGTATTTCTAGATCACCTTTGGAGATTCGTCAAAATAAAACTGCTTGAACCCCACCTCATATACATGGAACCACCACATTCCTTGTATTAGCCATGCTTCCATCCAAGGAGTAGGGATGGGCAGAATGGTGCAAACTTTCCTAGCATCTGATGAAAGGACAAAATATTGATGGAAGATTCCTTCTCTGTGGGCTGAGGCCGAATACAGAAGTATTCCCACTAGAGGCAATATTTGATGGCAAGCTTGTCTACTACATTTGCAGTAAGGAACAGGAACCAGAGACAACAGTGTTTTTAAGTAATGGGCATAAGTTTCCAGGCATCACTCTGCTCAGAATATATTTTATACCGTAAATGTTTATAAAACTCTTCCCAGCACTTAGGGACAAAGCACAGGCTCTGGCAGAGCATACATATAATTTTATGAGGACTGTAGTTTCCAGCCAAATTGGACCATTATTTTTTTCCTTATCATTTCCTACCTACTCCAATTTCCTAGACTTTGATAGACATTTTTCTGCCACATGGAATGCCTCCACCTCATTTCTGTGTGTCAGAATCCCATAAATTCACTAAGGCATAGTCCAAAACATCCAGTGGCGGCCCAATCGCTCTGCTCCCCCAACTTAATACAGTGTCTCCTTCCTTCAGTGTCCCCATATTTGGTGTGTATCTTTTGTGTTGTGCGCACCATGTACACACTGACTCGTGTGTAGAAATAGAAGCAGTTTCCTATAAATGGGTCTAACTTACTCATCAGCCACCAATCAGTTCTAGAAAACACATGATCTTGCCTCTTCAAGTTTACTCAATCATTAGTGAAATCAGGACTTAAATTTAGTCAATCAAGGTTCATGTTCCCCACTAGGATCGGTGTCTCCTCATAGGTGTTCTCCCTTCTCACTTCCAGCACATGGAAATGAAGCATGGGCTTCTCGTGGCAGGGGCAGGCAGGTGGGCCTGGCTGGCTTTGTATGAAGTCTCTCTGTGTCTGTTTTGAAGGCTTCTCTGGCTGGTGTAGCTTGTTCTTTTCTTCTCTTGGCACGGCCACGGTCCCTTTCTGTTCTCTCCTCCCTCAACTCTGCTCTCACCAGTGCTGCTGACCCTGTGAGGCTCACTGATGGACCCATCTGTCTTCTGGCTTTGAGCTGTCTACCTTGCAGCCTCTGTGAATGGTCCCCTTTCCCTATGATGCAGCATTCTTCAAGCAGGCATAAGGACTCATCACATTCTGTTATTTATTTATTTATTTATTTTTCTCAGATGTCTTTCTTGCCCCTCTGCAGTGACTCCAGGGATTTTCTGGATTGGTTTCACTCTGAGCTGGAGTAAAGATTAGGGATCTATCTCAGACCCTCTCAGCCTAAATGCAATTCTACTTGACTGTGGCCCAGGGTGGCTCAGTTAATTTGCGAAGAGGTCCCCTCCAAGAGGTCCTGAAGGGAACTGATGCTCAAGCCTCCTACACTCTGGATTCCCAGCCATCCTGGGTTCTACATCCCCGACAAGGCTCTCAGCCCCAAGGTGGCCCAAGACAAGCATCTCAATTTTCTGGGCGGCTCCTGCAGCCACAGGATGGGCTTCCTCAAATGCCTGCCCCATTCCCTAACCTGCATTTCCATACTCTGTGTTTACAGTTAGAACTCTATAATCCAGTCTTCTAGGCTTGGCCAATTGGAATTTCAAAGCCCATCTTTGAGATTCCCGAGAAACTGGCTTTCTCTTTCAAGCATCCAGCTCTTTCTATTGAAAGCCAGAGGGTTTTCTGTCTATTGTGAACCCTCTAAATGTAAAAAAATCATAATGTTCCTGTGTCTTCTTTATTCTAGACAGATCTACCTTCTCCCTGAAAATGGTAAGCATCTCAGCCTCGGTGTGTGGAAAGTCACAAGATGGCAGCTTTGGAAGTAAAAAAATACAGACATTGAAAAACAAATAAAAAATATGATTCTTGCTACATCTCTTCTGGTTGATCCCGTTCTGCCTTTTGTCATGCTTAACTATCTTCTGATATTTGAGTATTTTTTCCACTTTTTGCTACCTCTCACTCAAATTGTCAACTTTAGTTAAGGGTAGGCCCAAGTCCTTTTTATCTCTATAACTCTTCAGCACCTAACATGGTATCATTTCTCAAAAGTATTTTGCTGCATTGCATTGGGTTGATTCTTAATATTTTGTTTAGACTTTCTCCTATAAAATAGCTGTTTGTTTATTATTGAAAACATTCTCCTTTGCCTCTCTTTTCTTTTTGAGTTGCTTATTTAAATCCTGAGAAAATAAAATTCTCTCAGGAATTTACCTTTGATTCTCTGAAGCTTAAACTGGCATTATTTATAATAATTATACCTAAAACCACCACCTGGACACCACTACTAAACAAAAAAAGGGCATGGGTACTCTCATTAGCTTTGCTTACTAAAAGAGTGCTCAAACATGATTCCCACAGCCATTAATTTCCTCTGTGCACATACCTTCTCTCTCCTTTTGGCCTGAATATGCATTTTAAATGCAGGTGTATAGACCCAGAGGAGCTCCTTGAACACGCTGGTGTCTGAAGGATGAGTTAGGCAGTTATGATGATGAGTAGGAATAGCTGGCTTGCTCATTTGGGATTTCACATTGTCTTAGCTTCTAGTGGGGTCACCAAGAACCCTGAGTCTTCTGGTCCATGAAATTTGCAAGATTAAAAGAATATTAGCACTTTTTCTTGGAGTAGGACTCTGAAAACAGGATTATATTGTTCAAACTAACAAAAAATGTGTGGGTACCAAAGGAAATATCTACCTATCTGTAGCATTTGTATGGCTAGATATTCTTACCCGTATGGTATTTGTTGTCATTTAATAGGTCAAGAGTTGCACCTTTAGCTCTCAGTTATTTCAATCATCATATGAAACCCACAGGTATCAGTCAGGGTCTTAGTTCCAGCTAACTTAAGCAGAAGGGGGATTTATTGAAAATATAGTGGGTCATGGATAGAATTACCAGGAATCTGCAGGACCTGGCTCAGGCTCAGTGGCTCCATAAAGACCTTTGTCACTACAGCTGCAGAGTGGTAGTGGATGCACTTAGGTTGCCAAAGTAGACCCTGCTGGCACAGAGCCGTGCTTACTGCTGATACTACTGTTGCCCTGGGAACCTGATTTTGCTGCTGCATCTGGCACTACAAAAACAGCATTTCCCTTCCTCTCAAATCCTTGTGCCTTTACATTGCTGGCTGGAGCAGGTGCACCTGATTTGGTCAAGTGCCAGCACTCTACCTGCAAGATTGACTTGGGAAATTATGAATCTGACAGCCTCAGTGCCTCAGCCTATGTAGTGAGAAATAACTCTCCTTCCCAACAGGACTTTCAAAGTGGGAAATTTCTTAGACAAAGGAAGAGTGGGAGGTAGTTTGGATGAATGGCAGCCAAATGAGAAAAGATATGAACTCCAGTCCAATTAGAAAGATGGTGGTGGCAGGATCTGCATGCGAGCCATGTGTGTCAAACAAAAGCTTATCCTTACCCAGAAGAAGATTGTGTGCTTTTGTTCTTAGAATATAACATAGAAAATATTGTGAAGAAATAAACTCCTATGTAAAGTTTGGTATCTATTTTACTAAATCCTAAGTATTTTCTTTCCTCATAATTTTCCTGCCTGCCCTTAGCATTCTAGAAAGAAAACTTGGGGTTGAAATCCCCTTCTTACATGCAGACATTAGCTTTTGATGGCATAATATCCTTCAACACTTTGGGATTCACTTTCTATCTCAGTTTCTCCCTCTGTTATTTAGTGGAGATAGTGTATGAAGCCCAAAATGTTGAGAGACTGCCAGGGAGAAAAAGAAAACAGTGTTTCCTTTTGGCTTCCTGCCTTAGCTTTCCTAACTTTGTATGTATTAGGCATCTAAAGAAAGAAAGAAATCATTTAGGTTAGAATTCATGCTGAGAATATGAAGAAATATACATATGACAGGCTTTTTCCAACTAGAAGAGAATAATTTTCTATTCTCACCTAAGAAAATAAACAACAATCTTTCCTCTACTAATAAGAAGCTCTATCAGTTATAAGATAGGAGGTAAAAGTAACAATGTCTCTGCCCAATTCTCCTCTCAGAAGTTACCACACAATAACAAGAACAGTAACAACCACAGCACAATTACAGGTGCTCAGCTTTATCTTTAATGAAACCAGGAAACATCTAAAACTCCAAACTATAACACATGAAGATTGCACATGGTTGGGTGAATTTCAACCATTGGGCAGATCAAAGGTCAAATTTACAAGTGTGTATGTGGAGGGGAGGAGGGAGGTTACCACTGAGAAGCTCAGTAGTTTACCCTGCCAGATTCCAGGAATTCTCAGAAATTGGAAGCCCAAAGCCTGGAAGAGAGGAGGCTGAGAACAAGGGGACTATTTGTTTAAGGAGCAGTTGGATGCCAATGCCCACCTTCATTCTGAGAAGTTAGATGACTACCCTTCCTGTGCCCTAAGAGAGCTGAGAGATCCATTTCTTAGAGGAATTGCAGAAACAGTTTTTGGAATTGTGGATACCAAGCACAGATGAGAGAAGTGATTCGATGCTGGATAGAAAACCAGGGAAATACAAGAAACATGTTGTATCTAATGAGGAGGTTTTCCATCATCTAAGCTGAGCGTACTAGTAGCCAGCCTTCTATCCCAAGGACGAGATTGGAGGATTCTTCTCTTAGGAATCTCAGGAACTGACTAGACCTACAAATAAAAACCTAAAAGAGCTGGATGCCTGCTCATTGCTCTACAGTGAGATTCACTAGTTGTCAAGCCCTACTGCTGTGGTTTGAATGTGTCGCCTCCAAAATCCAGGTGTTACCAATGTGATGGTATTAAGAGGTGAGCCTTTAAGAGATGATTAAACTGCAAGGGCTCCTCCCTCATGAATGGGATTAGTGCTCTCATAAAAGGCCTTGACAGAGGGAGCTGGTTCCCTCCTGCCCTTCTGCCTTTTATCACGTAAGGATGCAGTAAGAAGGCCCACACCTGATGCCACTGCCTTGATCTTGGACTTCCCTGCCATCTAAACTGTGACAGAATACATTTCTGTTCGCTCTAAATTAGTCAGTGGCATTTTGTTCTAACAGCACAAAATGAACTAAGATGCCACCAATAGAGTGGGGCTTCCAATCATCATTTTAATGTCTTGTTTTTAAATAGGAGAAAATAACCAGATATTTAAGGAAAACCTTCAACATGAAAAGTAAAGGTACAGTAAAGTAAAAGTAAAGGTAAAAGTAAAGGTACTCCTGCCCCAAAAGGTAATAATAAAAATACACTAAGAGTTAACAGAGGCAAATCAAGGAATGGAAAAAATGCTATAAAGTATTGCTTTTTCATATCTTTAGTGACATAAAACAAGAATGCAAATTAATGAAACCAGTCTGGTCAGAGCAAAAAGCACTTAGAAATTAAAAATTATAGTTGAAATTAAGAATGCTCATCATTCAAGAAGATGAAGTCAAGGAAAACACCCAGGAAGAAGTAACATTAAAGAAATAGATAATAAGGGAGAAAAGCTAAGATAATTAAAGGCTTAATCTAGGAGGTTCAGTATCCTAAGAAAATAGGAGTTTCATAAAGAAAAAGCGGAGAAAATAACAGAGAGGACATTTTCAAAGCATTAACAAAAGATAGTTTCCTTGGAAATCTTGAGTAGAGTCCAGTCTGCTTCTGTGGGGTAGATAACAACCCCTTACACACGCTATATTTATACAGTTTTGTTACCGTTGTTATTTTGTTTTGTTTTCTTCACATTCAGTGTACATATGTAATGGGAATTGTGGTCCTGCATATTCAGAGGCTGTGAATCTCAGGTACATTTTTATCTTTATCTTGGGCTACAGTGGTGCCTGCAGAAAGTGACCTCAAGTGTAATGCTAGCAATACTGCCACCGAAGACAGAGGTGAGTGGACTTGGAACCCATGGGAGGAGACGGTAATAAACGCTAGCTCACAGTAGGATGCGCAGGCACCAAGCTATGTTGTATTTTAATATAACAATAATGAAAGTATTTTAAAAACCAAAGTATTTTATCTCTTGCTATGAAGGCTCCTAAAATTTTGAGTAATAAAAAAAACCGCATATGGGAAAAAGCTATGTTCTTCTATCTTATGTATAAAGAAAATTTATTTGCTATTTATAGGTTCATTAGTAAGAGGTAGATCTCATTCTTTGTTTTTTAAACAAAAATTACTTTTCCAAATGTAAAAAACAGGGGTTGCAAGTAATATGAATGATAAAATCTTATGAAAAAACAGTTTCTTTTAAATTTATGAGTATAAAAATGTGGAAAGATACAAAAAATACCTTTCCAGCAGAGTGGAATTGGTGAGGAGTATGTTAGAGAAATTACTAACTTTTTCTTCATGTGTTAATTTCATGCTCTGTTAAAATGAAGATCTTTTCCTTTTTTTTTTTTTTTTTCTTTTCCTGAGATAGAGTCTCACTCTGGTTGCTCAGGCTGGAGTGCAATGGTGTGATCTTGGCTCACTGAAGCCTTGACCTCCTGGGTTCAGGTGATTCTCCTACCTCAGCCTCCCCAGTAGCTGGGACTACAAGCATGCACCACCAGGGCCAGCTAATTTATTTCCTTCCTTCCTTCCTTCCTTCCTTCTTTCCTTCCTTCCTTCCTTCCTTCCTTCCTTCCTTCCTTCCTTTCTTTTCCTTCCTTCCTTCCTTCCCCTCTCTCTCTCTTTCTTTCTTTGTTATTTTGAGTAGAGAGACGGGGTTTCACCCTGTCGCCTAGTCTGGTCTTGAACTCCTGGCCTCAAGCAATGCACCCGCCTCGGCCTCCCAAAGTGCTGGGATTACAGGGATGAACCACTGTGCCCGGCCATCTTACTTATATAAATAAAAAAGATAATACATTTAAGGTGATATTCCTTTTTACCAACATTTTATATTTTCAAACATACCACAAAGTTGAAAGAATTTTGCAGTAAACTTTTGTGTATCCACCATCAATCCATCTTATGTTTTGGTGTATTTCAAAGTAAATTGCAAACATTAGTATACTTCCCTTCTAATCACTTAAATGTGTATATCATTAATTAGAATTCTTTATTTGTTTACATTTTTTAAATGACTTTCATTATAAAATATGTATTTATCATAGAAAATTGATAATTACAGATAAAAAATCTGCAGATCTATAAGTTAGTTTTTGTTTGTACCAAATACTGTGCTATGTACTTTATTAAAACCATTTCTTTTAATCCTTTAACAAGCCCTAAGTAGTCACATTATCCCCATTTTACAAATAAGGAGTCTGTGAGAAAATTGCCCCAGTTCCCAGAGTGGCAGAGTTAGGATATGCATCCAAGTATGTTCAATCCCCTTACTCTTAACTGCATGCCATCCTGCTAGCCTTGTGTCCACCCCACTCTGAGATAACCACTGATGACTCCTCTCTAAACCCTTTTCTAGGTGTATGTATTTCCACTAAACTGGGGCTATATTGTATGTGTTGTTTCATAACTAGCTTTTTCTCACGTATAAACCTCTTCCTCCAGCTCCTTGTTAATGGCTGTAGAGTATTCTGTCAAGTGAAGATACCATATTTAATAACTACTCATTCTTGTATATTTTTCCAGTTTCTGCTATTATCAAATCTTCTTGCGTGCTACTAATTTTATCCTTAGGATCATAAGTAGAATTGTTTACTGAGAGATTATGCATAGTTTCTACTGTTAATATAAATTCCCCAATTTGCTTTTACCAATTTCCCACCAGTAGAATGTTGGGAAACCTGACTAACAAGTTTCCCAACATTCTACACTGACATCAAATATAACTTTAAAAAATCATTTCTAGTTAGATAAGCAAAAACATGTATGTTTTGTTTAGCATACCTTTGATCGTTAATGAGGTTGAACGTATTTTCACCTATTTATGTATCGTTTAAGTTTTCCCTTTCAGATACTTCTTGTTCAGATTCTCGGAATTCATTTATAAATTAGTCTCTTGAAGAATTCCAGCCCATTTCACAGTAAAGCTGATGTTAAGACCGAAATTTTATTTTTCATGCAGAGTTCACTCTTGGAGAGTTGCAGTAAAGGCAGTCACACTTGGAGTACCTCAGTGACGGCAGAAAGGTTTATGTTTTCCTCTTGGTGACAACATAAATCTCTGTGAGATTGCTGTAAAGGTAAGGAGGATTTTAGAATTCATTTGCACAGAGGTTCCCGGAGCTTCCAATTTGACACGACTGGCCTTGGAAGATTCGCCTGGGCAAATCACAAGGGCAGATAGTTGGCTGGTTTAGTGATTGGCTTTGAAGCAGCACCAGATGCTGTGGACACCGGGAGGCCTTTTGCTGCCCTTCAGGAAAGCAGCGGAGCAGCAGAGGAGAGCGCCATGGGAGAACATGGGCCACCCTGGGTGAGGACAGGAAACAGGCAGAGGAAGTGAAAGAATTCTTTGAGGAGCAGAGGAGAGAGAGCTGGTAGTTCATCTCACTTTCTCTGATTAATAATCCTCACCCCTTCTGCCTGCGCAGCTTGACTGTGAGCAAAATAAGAAATGTGCAGCTCATGATGTCCTGAGTCCTGCTTCCATGTGGGTGGTTGGTGATGGGGCACAGTACCTCTTGTCCAGCATTAGATCTCAGAGGACTTGGGGGAGAGCATCTTTTGGCTGGCTTATTTAGGAAAAATATTTGGCTAAAATTCACTTACAGTTTCAACTACTTTCATTTTCCTATAATACAAGTTACAGGAGAAAAAAGGTGAAAAGAAGCCTATTTAAATTGTTAATATAGGTATTTATGAGTGATTAATTTTACTCCTTTCTGTTTCTCTTTATATTCTATAATGGGCACATTTACATATGTAATAGAACTACTAATAAATTGTATATATAATTTCTCCCCCGGGTGAGAACTCATCTTGCTGCTAAGTTAGGTTCAAGAAACAAGAAATCCTGTTGTTTGTAAACATCCCTTTAAACAGAAGTGAATGCTTGTGAGTATAGGTTCTTCTGTATTGCTATATTGGCAATTTAAGCCTTAATAGAAAAGGGCAGTAGTTTGGTAGTGGTGGTAACTTAAAGCCAGGATGGAGTGTTCCAGATCCCCCAAGATTCTGTGTGGACAGTGTGACTGGCAGCATGTGGGCTTGTTAGGGACTCTGGTACCAAGGCAATCCGTGCTGAGATCTGTTATATTTGCTCCAGTCCAGTGTGGTCCTTAGCTTAGAGTATGTAGCTTAATCCTGGTGGCCGTGGATCCTAAAAATTCCATCAAAAAGGCTCTATTAGGAGAGGTTACATATAGGGAAGATTGCATAATGTAATGTCATTATTTCCTCTCATGAATGGTCCCACTGAGTGAACAGGAAGGGTGGGGCCCTTCATGAAGCTTAAAGCCAGTCCCTCCAGTGAGGTTGGTATCTGAGCAGAGAGGGCCAGAAGTGTAAGAAGTGCTTGAAGTGGGCATGAAAAAGTTCTTCAAAGCTGAAAAATGGTACCATTGTATCTTTTGTTGGCTTGAAATTTCTGGCATGTTAATTAGACTATAAAAAGGGCCTCGACAATGTCATAAGGCAAGTTCTAAAAGCCTCAGGCTTTTAAACTTGAAGTAGCACAGTGAAGGACGGACCTCATGCAGAATGTTCACAATGAATCGCAAAAAGTGACAAAAGTTGATTAATTACTTATATGAAAACTAATTTGCAGTGATGATATTAACATTCTGAAGCCAGCCGTTTCCTTCCATTTGCTTCTTGTGGTTGGGACGTATATTCCTTCTTTGTTCATTTCTTAAAGGAACCATCTTTCATTTTCCCTCTTTTTTTGGTAACCTGTTTCTTCCAAGGACTATAAATATCTGAGATTCACTGATCTAATCAAGACTTCCTCCTTGATAGAAATTCTTAGAGAATTCAGTGGCAAAAATGAGCTCTATCTTTGAATCAAAATCTAAAATTATTTTTTAAAAGAAGGATAAAAATAGAAAATAGCAAGTTATTTAACTTGGGTATGATGTTTGTGACAATTCAGAAACCACCTTTGCAAAAATAGTAACAGTAAGAAAATTATGACAGTGGAGGATATCTGATCTAGACAACCCCCTCTTGCCTTTAGCCTTCAAGCTGACTTAATTGTTCCTGGGCATAGGCTGGGCTAACTTTGGGAGACATTTATAGTTTATATGATAATAGCCCTTCCCCCAAACACAGCCATCTTTGTAAAGCTTAATGAGACCACCAGGCTAGGAAGATAGAAAAGCCTGGATTCTGCTAACATATGAGCATTGCCAGCCATTTCTTCTGGAGGTCACAAGATATACAACTTTCTCAATTACTTCTGCAGATAACATCATTATTGTAAAACCTAAGATTGCCCTTTGGAGATAACTTTTCAGGTTTTTTGCATGTCTAACACCAATGATGGCTCTACCTGGACCTGCTAACCACTCCTGTGTCTCCACCCAGAAGCACTTCAGCCAGCAGGAGGATAATTTCCTATATCCCTATGATTGCACCCCCAACCAATCAGCAGTAAGTACCCATTGCCTAGCCACCTCCACCTCTTCCCCCAAACTACCTTTGGAAAACCCCTAACCTAAGATGAGATTTATTCGAGTAATAACTGTCCCCCACATGGCATGGCCACCCTTGTGTCCATTAAACTCTTTCTTTACTGCAATGCTATGGTCTTTGTTTGTGTATTGAGCAGGAAGAACCTGTTGGGATCTTTCAATTCTATTAAGTAGATAAATTAAAAGACATCACCTCGTGTCAATCCCTCATTCCCTCCACCTAATTTTAATCAACTAGTTGAATTTAAGAAAATAATCTTAACACTAAGTTGGTTACCAGCAAGTGTTCTATTTTTAAAAATCATCTTTTATACATCTAAAAATGATAAAGATGCTTAAACTTTAAACAATTTAAGGTATGTAAAGTGCCTATCAGAATGTCTTATCTATAATAAATGTCCAATTCAAAGTAAAAAGTTTTGCATATTGATGGAGACATTTCGGTCTTGCCCTTGGTTTGAGTGAGGTTCAACAAACATGAGAATCTACTTTCTCTTAAATGCTTCAGCTGTCTGGGGCACCAGCGCCTCCTGGATGAGTAGCATAGAAAGCTAAGAACTCTTTATTGCACTTGTTCATTTTTGGGTGGTCTGCTGGCCAAAGCTTGCTATATTCTATGGAGCAGAATTTTCCAGAATGTATTCCATACAACACCATCCCAAAACAGTCTCCATGAAAAAATGCATTACTCAACTGAGCTCGCAAAGCATTACTGATATGGTTTGGCCCTGTGTGCCCACCCAAGTCTCAACTTGAATTGTAATCCCCACGTGTTAAGGGAGGGACCTGGTGGGAGATAATTGGATCATGGCAGCAGATTTTACCCTTGCTGTTCTCATGATAAGAGTTCTCACAAAATCTGATTGTTTGATAAGTGTGGGGCTCTTCCTCCCCTTCTCTCTTTCTTTCTCTGTCTCGCCTGCTGCCGTGTAAGACATGCCTTCCTTGCCCTTTGCCTTCTGCTATGATTGTAAGTTTCCTGAGGCCTTCCCAGCCATGTGAAACTGTGAGTCAATTAAACCTCTTTCCTTTATAAATTACCCAGTCTTGGGCAGTGTCTTACAGCAGTGTAAAAACCGGCGAATACAACTACTGAATGAATATTATTGAGTAAGTTTAGTATTCTCTACTTAACCTGAAAGCCAATCATTAGGCATGTCTGACTGGTGCTGATGAATACTAATGGTAATTTACTTTCCCATCAGTGTTCGTGTGGTTACGATGCAGGGAATCCTTGTGTATCAGGTGCCTGCCTCCTAACTGCAACCAGACTCCTTCCCACCAGCTCAGTTTTTCCCTCAGACCTCACCATTGCAATCTCCACAGACTCCAGCAAGGTTAACAAAGCCAATTAGACATTAATGGACATTGTCACAACTCTGGCATGCATCTGCTGGCATAATAAAACACTCTGTGTTTTAAATCAATCTATGGTGCAGCATTAATGATAAGATCTTTCGTCTCCAGGAAGCTTTTCAAGTGCACATTTCTCAATGAGAACAGCCTGGTCAGGAGGGAGACAGTGTTTCATGACCATCTCGCTTCAGACTACAGAGTCTGACTCTGGGTTTGCCGTTACACATTACATTATACATAATTAATGGCTGAGTTTGCCATTAATTATGTGATCTTGGGAAGTTACTTAAATGTACCATACTTTAGTTTCTTCACCTGTAAAATGGGAATGATAATGGGATCTACTTTGTGTAGGGTTGTTACAAAGGTTAAAGGAGATAGTACTTACACTAGAACAGTAACTGGGATGTGATTAACAATCAATAAGTAGTTGTTATCATCCTAGTGCTGTTATGATTATTTTCTCAGAAGTTGGGGTTGGAGTTAGCATTCATCTGATACCGTTTTTGAGAGTGTGCCTATAATTAAATCTTTCTGATCTCTTTTGGAGGGCATATTACATTTAATAGGCGTATAAGACTTGGTTAGTCTGCACTTAGACTGCTGAATCTTGAGGAATTGATGTTGAAAGGTTAGCACTTTGGAGCTGGATATGACTGCAAAAATGACCGGGTCTCACTCTTATTTTGCAGATCAAGAGCCTTAGGTCCAGAGAAGTATTTTTCCAATGCTATAGGTGGGGTTGCTATAGGTGGGGTTGACAAAAGAACCTAGGACTCCTAATTCCAGGTCTACTACACTATTCCACACTGCCTTAGTGCAGGAGGCCTCAGTGTGTGTAGGATAATGCATTATTAGTTATTCTGTATTCTGCTTAAATTTGTAGATTGTTTCTTATTCAAGGTTGATATTCCTCAAGCGTAAAGAAGCAATTTGAAAGGAGAGGAAGAAAGACATGGAAGAGACACAGGCTTTAGAGCCAGAGTACTGAGTTTCGATCCTATTATCTAAATGTCTAACTCTCAGTGACTTAGTGAATTTCTGTGACTTTCACCTTCCTTGTGTGTTTGGGGATGATATTTTCTTTTCAGAATTATTGGGAAAATTAAATGAGAAAATATATAAAATTGCTTTGAATGTGGTAGGTACTCAAAGATGGCAATTTTACAGATGTTCCCTGACTACCATGGGTTTATCTGGATAAGTTGAGGGGTGTACTGAATGCCTGTCGCTTTCACACCATCTTAAAGTTGAAAAATCCTAATTTGGGGACCATCTGTGTTAACATTTATGGCTAATGACAGCTTTAATTTAACATTTATGGCTAATGAGAGCTACCTGAGAATAACAGGCTGGAGACAATGTGCAGAGTTTACTTAATCCCATGCTTCTTGAACTGCCGTATGTATAGTCCAGTGGTAAATAGCTATGTGCCAAAGTGAATGAAATGGTATGTCATTTAGGAGTGTCAATTTTATTTGGAAAAAAAAACTTGAGAAACTATTAAGTGATTAGTAAGTTAAAACACTTGAAAAATAACATGGATATTCTATGGAATAAAATTCAAAGTTAAACATCTTAAGTAAAAAGCACAAGACTTCAAATAAATTTTAGTTTTGCAGCAGACAGCTCCAAAATATTCTGCCAGCCTTCTATTTCACCACCCTTCTGCCCCAAAATCCAGAGTGCTCACCCTTCATGGCTGTAGGGGATATTCTGATGAAAAGTTGAGAAGGATTAATTTAATCTATCCTCTTACTGCTGCTTTGTAAAAGTAACCACCCAAGAAAAGATAAGCTGAGATGATGTGTTGCAGGTGCTGCCAGCTCCTCTACTAAATGATGTGGGAGTGTCACATGGAGGGCAGTGACATCAAATCGTGTTGACTCTGAACCCATACACCTGCCTTGCTAACTTCTCATGCCATTTCTGAATGCCTGGTCCTCATTTGTGGGTTCTGTTTGAGGTGGCATCTATTCTTTTTGCCTGCCAGTCATCCAATCCATCCTTTCTTCTGATAATAGCTCCTGTTTTTTCTCCACCCTTCTCCTACTTGGTCTGTGAGTCTTGGCTGTGACTAGTCCTGACCCCTGGATTCAGGGTAGCTATGTGACTGTAGCCTGATTGTTAACTTATGCCTTTCTTCGTGGCTCCTGTGGTGCTTTCTTTCCCCTGAACTTGAACCTGTGAGGATATAAGCCTGGAGCTGCCTGATGCTTCTGTCAGTGAAGGAAGCTATATAGAGACTCATAAATTATGTCCTTTATTTGTTTTGTTTTGCCTTAAAGTTGTAGAGTTGAGTTTTCTTTTATTTGTATCACTCTGCATCTGTATTTACTCTTGCCTTTTCTACCCTAATCAATTACAAGAACTATCTACCTGTCCTTATTGCAAAGATTAATATTTACTTCTTCATGTTTCATGCATTTGTTTATTCACTCGCTTATACTTATAAAGTATATAGAATACCTACTGTGGCAGAGCTGATAATTGTATACTCATTCTTTTCCACTTTTTTTTTGCCAATTGAACTGCAAGTTTATTCACAGCAATGATGTGCCACCTGAGGCCATGGGTCATGATTGATCTAACGTTCTAACTTAATCACACCAATCCTGTTCTAGGTGAATCACACCAATCCCATCCTCTTCTTTCCCAGCCCCCCTTGTAGCTAGTGGTGGCCATGTGGCCCAGTTCTGGCAAATGATACCTCTTAGTAGAAGTTTGCAGGAGAATTCTGAAAAGATTTGCTTTACTGATTAAACAGCATATGCACAATTTGTACAACTACCTTCTTCCTCCTTCCTGTGACTGTGATGTGCAGAGCTGCAACCACTATCTTGCAACCATGATGCCCCCCAGGTATGAGAGAAAGGCCAAGAGAGTCACAGAAAAGACAGCCGTGACATTGTTGAGCTAATGAAACCTCACCAGTAGCCACTTCCCTCAAGACTTTTTATTTGAGAATTACAAACCTCTATTTGTTTAAGCCTGTGTTGGCTTTCTGTTACTTTTAGTGGAAAGCATTCCTAAAAGACACACCCAGAAATAATCAGGCAATGGGCTAAATGCTGGAAATAGATAAATGAAAAAGACATGCCATTTCAAGAAGTTTGGCACAGAACTGTTCAGTTAGTACAGTGTGATGATGTAATTGCTACAGAGTATAGACAAGGAGCCAAGGGAGCCCAACAGAAGGCAGGCTTGAAAGACATGAGCCTTGAGCTGACCCTTACATGGAAATGAGGGTTTTCTAAGTGGACCTTGGCATGGGGTTGGGGACTAGAGCAGTCCATGGAAGCTGGAACAACACGTACCTAGGGCTGGCTCAGTAGCTATAAGCAGTTGTAAGCGATAAAATGTGAGGGAGAAACCAGTAGCAGGAGACGACTCTGTAGAGGTAGACAGGGGCCAGATCTTAAGGACCCTTTTTTTCCACACTAAGGAATTTAGAATTAATCCTGTATGTCAGTGGATCAGCACCTGTATGAGCCACACATGGGCTTTAATGACAGTTTCTCAGACCCTAGCCTAGACCTACTGCTTTGGAATCTATGTGTTAAATCCCAGGAATCTGTATTTTTGAGAAGTTTCGCAGGTCATATAGGTTAAGAATTAATCACACAGATGATAACAAGATAGTGAAAACTTTTGGTCAGGGGAATGAGAAGATCAGATCTGTCTTTTAGAAAGATCCAGTTGTGTGCCTATCATATTTGATGCACAGAATACATCATTTTTTAACAACTGCCTCCTCTATATGACAACATTAATTTTAGTAATATTTTTCTGATTTTTTTTAAAAAATCAGAAAAATAAGAATAAATTTTAATTTTAAAGATATTATTCAAATTCAATAAAATATTTTCTGTATGAGCTTAGAATTTACACCTACCAAAAAAACCTCACAGTTTGTTCTCTTTTCACTGTTTGAAACATTAAACACAAATCAAAACTCCAAGTAGTCACTTAGAATGACTAACAGAAGGAACTCGAGTTCTGTTTATTCATCTTGAAATCACTATACTGTCATTGTTTGTTGTGAATCTCCTTTAGCAGTCCTTATGTTGTACAGTTCTGATGGACAAGAATTTCAGTTATCACAGTGCAGTTAAATAGCACCAGTCCTGCAACAACAAGGTTCACATTTCAGTTACCAGTTCAGTTTATTAACTGTGAGTAATTGCATGAAATACAGACTTTACAGCCAGCCCTTCAGCTCAAAAATCACTACGTAAATAAAAGATTCACATCATGATTGGTGACCAATCATGATACTTCTTTAAGAGTCTGTTAGTGACTGGTCACCGTGCATCTGTTATGTAGTACATGCACAGATAGTACAGTGTGTAGTTGTGTTACATCCTTCTTGTCCAGTGATAGTCCACAAGATATTTTTACAAAAATGGATAGTCAAAACAGTATATTGGTCAACAAAGATGAAAGTGTAACAAAGGAACAAAAGTGATAATGCTAGAAATGAAACTGACATCAAACATGAATGGAGTTCTAGAAGAAATAGCTGACCACGGGAATGCTGACACAGCCATCATTTGAGACTTAGATATGCAGCCAGAGGAACTTGGTGAAGGTGAATTTATGGACATAAATTAGGCAAGTGGATGTGACAAAAGAAATATAAAGATGTCTCTGAGGAAGTGACACCAGGGACTTCACATGAAGGGGACTCTTGGAGATATTTCATGATGTTGAAAATGCAAAGGATAAAATGTTGGAAGCTGATTCAAACTTCAAAATAGTCTAACAGTTTGTCAAGGGATAGAAAAAAATGCTCATTCCAAAAATAAATTGTAGGAGAAAAAGAAAGAAAACACCATTCAAACTACTTGTGATAAGTTTTTTTAAAACAAAGAAATAAAACACTAATTCACAATGTTTCTAATGTTTTAAATTACAATGTACTAAACAAATATCAATTTTACTATTTTTCATTTCTCTATTCTTTAGAACTGAGATTAAGAGGGCTTTTAAAGTCTCAACCAAAAAGTTTAGAAGTCACAGAAGAATCTTCTACCTTTTGATGATGAAGATCTTTTTGCATGGTTTCTGCTTACATGACAATTTTTTCAGTTCCACAGTGCTGTGCAAACCAAGGACTGCCTGTATTTAAAAGTGGGAATGTATGACGCCTTAGAAGTTAGACATAAAAACTGCTCTTGAAAGGAGCTTGAAAAATACTTGAATTGTTACAAGCTTATGACGGAAACACATTTTAGGGTGTTGATTGTACAATTGGAAATTCTCTGATGAATTTCTATGTAAAAAATGTTTATGAAAGTAAAATGTCTACTAAATACACAATTAAAAATGTGCTAATTTGAAGCTCATGTATACAATATTAAAACTCATTAGTAATCACAATTGTTTAGAACTTAGGCCAAGAAAGTATTTTTGGGGTAGGAGTAACGTATCAATGATGTTGTTTAGACTTACATACGCATGGATATGATGAAAGGCAGACTGACTTTTAGTTTTATTATTGTTTTAAATTCCCTTTGTATTTGCCCACCTTAGGGCTTGCACTGGGGTGAACTGCTCCCACTGTCCTGCCATTGGTACACCACTGGAAACATCACTGAAGAAGCACTGTGGTGGAGGTGGAGGATGACACGAAGGCAGTGAGACAGAAGCCAGGTATGTACATAGGAATGGCAGAGAGACTGATTAGAAGATGAGCTGAGGCAGTCACAATGGAAATGAACCTATTTTAGGCTATTGGTCTTTGTCATGATGACCAAGTTTAATTCCTGCCTGAGATGACCACTGTCTCTTACAATTTCTCCAGCAATCTATCTCTTTCAGACCCATCCTTCTGTAGCTGGCACTGCTGATTATTCTAAATCTCCCCTGAATGTAGCCGTGAACCTGCTGAATGCCCTTTACCCTATCACTGACCTCCAGCTCTCCCCTACCCACATTTGACCCTCAAGGAGATTTGGCCATGTCCTCAGTTGGGTCTGACAGTCTAAAATCACAGCCTATTATTCTTACAAATTATAAGTGAAAGAGATTCTAGATTCCCTTATATTTAACTTCTTTCAGAATCTACTAATTTTGGAAGTACAGGTTTTGCCCCCATCTCTGTCCTGAGATGTCTTTTTTTCTGGAGATGACTATTCTTATTTTTCTTTTAGTTCATCATTCTGAAACTGGCCCAATTGTCCTACAGACCTGAGGTTTATGGTTTCTTTTGAGTAAACATAGAAATTGAACCTCCCAGTCTTAAAACTTGAGAAAGTTTGATTTGTCTTATCTGAGTTCCTTTCTCAGGAAATCAACCATCAGTCCTCCCAGATTGTAATAAGGAACTGAAACTTACCAGATTATCACATCTGGACAATGAGATGCCAGACCCCTCACCTAGCATGACTGCCTAACTGGCCACTTGCTTCCTGTTGACCAACTCCTCTTTCTTACCCCTTCCTAATTTCTGTTTTCCCACACAGGATTACACTTATTTCCTGCATATAAACCCCCAATTATAGTCAGTCATGGAGAAGGATTTGAGACTGATCTCCCATCTCTTCAGCTGCAGCACCTGATTAAAGCCTTCTTCCCTAAAAATACTTGTTGGCTCAGTGATTGGCTTTCTGTGTGATGAACAGCAGGACCTAGACAGGACCCTTCGTGTTTTGGTAACAATTCTGCAACAACCTTTTCTGAATTTGATTCTTTCATCACACTGAAGACACATATATTTTAATTGTATATTTGAACATCCTGGAAAAAGCCTGACAACAATACACAATTAAAACCCAGAATTATAATGGTATAATTAGGCCAGAAGTTATAAATTAATTGCCTTTAGTACAAATTAATATCACAGATATATGTCATTTGGACCATGCAGTGTTTTACATTTTTTTAAACCAATGCTAATATTTCAAAACCTTCATGACAAAAATCAGGCTTTTCTTCTTTTTCTTAAAAATACCCATTAATATTGGGTCTACATTTCCACAAGGTAGAAGTCAATTGGTGCTAATGGTCACCACTACTTTTAGACAGGATCTGTCTAAACTTGATTTCTATTTTCCTTGATTCCTGTTTTGTGATGTCTACTTAAACCTGGTAGACATTTGAGTTTGTAACTCATGATTTCAAATTTAGAGACTTCATTCTTATCAAGAGCAACATTAGCCAAAGCTATTTTCTTCAGAATAAATAACCAGACTATTGATTGTCTACTCCTCCAAAGATCACCTAATAAATTTAGATTTGACCAACACATTTATCTTGTGGTCTTTTCAGATCTCAGCACCCGTATATAAGAACAGCGTCAATTTTGCTTGGCTTTGGAGGAGAATTTGGATGAAAATGCAGAAGGACATGTCTCTTCCCAATTATGTGAGTAGAAATAAGTATTTGTAGAGTATGTTTTAATTTCCTCAATAGTCAACTATAATTAGATGTTGCCACAGCCTTCACTAGTCCAGTCTATGATGGTGTAGTATCTGGCAGTTGATCTGCAATTGTTTATGTGTTCTTCCTGAGGTCTTCTCCAGCTTGACTTCTCATCTGTACCAGGACACACAATAATTTAAACCACTCATACATATTCTTTGCAAATTAAAAAAAAAAAGTCTGCATAGTCATAAGTTGGCCAAACTTATTACATAGCTAGCTTACCTAACCAGACAGCTAAGCTTCTTCCTCTGAAATAGCTATCATTTGGGTTATTTCACTGCACTTAGGTTTTCCGCAAAAATGAAAAATACATCCTTGTATTATATTTGCATAACTAAGATGTCTATTGTATTGATTGTCCCAGAGCAAAGCAACTTTTAATTCAAAGTTTCTTATTTTAGGAAACATACTGAAACTTGCTCTCACATGAACAAAATTAAATAAAATTTTCTTTTAGAATAGTTTTAGGTTTACAGAAAAGTTGCAAAGATAGTACAGAGAATTCACATGTACTCCTCACCCAGTTTCCCCTGTTCTGAATGGTACATATGTCACAACTAAGGAACCAGCATTGGTGAGTATGATGAATGTCACACTTTATTTGGATTTAACTGTTTTTTCCCCAACAGACTTTTCTGTTCCAGGATCCAGTCCTTTTTTCTCTCTTCCAGGATCTCATTAGATAGAAAACACATTACTGGAAAACACATTATATTTAGTTATTATGTCTCTTTAGACTTTGCTTGGCTGTGATGAGTTTCTTAGATTTTTAAAAAATTTTTTGATGACTTTGATAATTTTGAGGAGTACTGGTTGGATATTTTGTGGAACTATCTAAATTTGGGTTGGTCTGATGTTTCCTTTTTACAATCAGTCTGGGATTATGAGATTTTAGAAATAATACCACAGAGATAAAGTATCATTCTTATCACATAGCATCAAGGGTATATGCTATCAACATGACTGGTCAATGATGATGTTAACCCTGACCACCTGTCAAGGTAGTGTTTGACAAGTTTCTCCACTGTAAATATAGTCTCCCTACTCCCCAACACTTGAAAGCAAGTTAGTAAGTGCAGTCCATATTCAAGGGATGGGAAGTTAAACTCCATTTCCTTGACGGGTAAGTATCTATGTAAATTATTTGGAATTTTTCTACATGGGAGATTTGTCTCTTCTCCCCCTTTGAATAATCTCAGGTTAATTCATGTATACCTTTGGCAGGTCCCCATCATTTTGTTTATTTAGCATATCCTTACTTTCTGGCACTACATGATGTTCCAGGGTCATTTGTATATTCTCTGTCTCAGCCTTAGAGTCAGCCATTTCTCAAGGAGCCCTGGTTCCTTTCATTGGAGAATGGTGTTAGAAACCAAGATCTGGGCATTGGGTGTGCTCATTCATCCTGGGATGTTATTGCTTCTAGAAGGTCCTCTCAGAGGGCAGAGCTAGGAAATATATGTATGTATACTAACCCATGTGTTCACACATATACAAAATCATTTCTGTATTTATCTATCTGTATATATTTTAAGTTAAAGATGAATTTACACTGATGTCTTTGACCCCAAGCCCACACCACATGTTTCATTCTGACTTCCAACTTATCTATAACCTCTCAGCAGAGAGAAACCTGGATCCCACTGTCCACCATCAATTTACTTATTTGTTCAATCCCAGTATAAGATTTTCTTATCTCCCTAGTTTCTAGTTATTATGGGTTCAAGTGAGATATTGGGCCTTAATCTCAGATAGGAAAACCCTTTTAGTTCTTTCAATGATGTAAACAGCGAAGCATAATTTGGCCACACTGTGAAATAAAAACCCTCAGCATGTTTCCTCAATTCATTGAAATAGATAAGTATGCATTAGCAGTTAACACATCTGTGCACACCTGGAATGCTATGAATTTTAATTAGGGATATCAGGTCTAGAGGATTTATGAAGGCAAGTGATTAAACAGGTAAATATAGATTTTAGTCATTCAACATTTCAGGACTACAAATTTTGTTTTTGTGTAAAACAGAAACCCCTTGGGAACTTTAGTTCTACTCATTACTTGTTTGCAAAAAAAGATTTTTATAAAAAGATATTTTGCAAATTTGCACAAATGAGATTTTATCCTTTGGGAGTAACAAAAACCAAGGTGAATGATACTGAGGGAATTAAATTACAAAATGAGATAGCATAGGTTTGGGGTATACTGAACTATTGCATTAAGAGTTGTTTGAATGCAGAAACAACTTAATGTCTTTCTGGAGTAAAACAAATTCAAATTTCAGGGTTTTTGGAAAAATGCTAACGCAAACATATTATAAAAGATTTTTCTATCATTAGACGGAAGCAGCTAAGATAATGACTGTGCTTCTGGGTAGGCCTACAGTACTTTTGGAAGAATTGATCATGTTCTCCATTGTAAGTTCTGCTCTGGGTGCTATAACTATATCAGATGTGGGGGTGTGATGTTACCTTTAGTGCAGAGAGATAAAGGGATAACATTATCAAATGAAAGGAAACCATTGAAAAGAGGCCGAAGAACACCTCTAAAGTTTGCAATAATGTAAAGTGTTGATACAATATGGTGTATAAGGTGGGACTATGATGCTAGGAAATGATTCCTTGAAACTTTTATAAAAAATATGGCTCATAGCCTATTGCTGTAATTAGTGATCATTTTGTCTAAAGCAATAGCCAGCTAGGTTGGTGAATGACACTGGGAAATTATAAATGGCAACATTAATTTTCTTTTTTTTCTCACCACATATCTGTCTAGGTTTATTTCTAGAGGTTTTATTTTGTTTTATTTTTTGGTCTTCAGGAAAGCTTTATTATGATTTATTTGTTTCTTTTCTTTATTTTTTATTTCAATAGGTTTTGGGGAAACAGGTGGTGTTTAGTTACACAAATAAGTTCTTTAGTGGTGATTTCTGAGATTCCGGTGCACCCATCACCCAAGCAGTGTACACTGTACCCAGTGTGTAGTCTTTTATCCCTCACCTCCTCCCATCCTCTCCCCCGAGTCCCCAAAATTTATTGTATCATTCTTATGCCTTGTGTCCTCATAGCTTAGCTCCCACTTATCAGTGAGAACACATGGTGCTTGGTTTTCCATTTCTGAGTTACTTCACTTATAATAATGGTCTCCAATTCCATCCAAGTTGCTGGGAGTGCCATTATTTCATTCCTTTTTATGGCTGAGTAGTAGTCCATGGTATATATAGACCACATTTTCTTTATCCATTTGTTGATTGATGGGCATTTGGGCTGGTTCCATAGTTTTGCAACTACAAATTGTGCTGCTATAAACATGTGTGTGCAAGTATTAATATCTTTTTCATATAATAACTTCTTTTCCTCTGGGTAGATCCCCAGTAGTGGAATTGCTGGATCAAATAGTAGATCTACTTTTAGTTCTTTAAGGAATCCCCACACTGTTTTCCATAGTGGTTGTACCAGTTTACATTCCCACCAACAGTGTAAAAGTGTTCCCATTTCACCACATCCATGCCAACATCTATTATTTTTTGATTTTTTTGATTATGACCATTCTTGCAGAATTAAGGTGGTATTGCATTGTGATTTTGATTTCCATTTCCCTGATCATTAGTGATGTTGAGCATTTTTTACATGTTTGTTGGCCATTTTTATATCTTCTTTTTAGAATTGTCTATTCATGTCCTCAGCACACTTTTTGATGGGATTGTTTTTTTCTTGCTAATTTGTTTGAGTTCTTTGTAGATTCTGGATATTAGTCCTTTGTCAGATGTACAGGTTGTGAAGATTTTCTCCCACTCTGTGGGTTGTCTGTTAACTCTGCTGATTATTTCTTTTGCTGTGCAGAAACTTTAGTTTAAGTCCCATCTATTTATCTTTGTTTTTGTTGTAATAAACGGCAACATTATACTTTCAAGTAGTGTCTTGGTGGTATCTCCAGTTTGGGACTTTTTAATCCATTAGGTTGCCAACACTCATTTCTGTTGGGAACATATTTACTGCCCATCTTTTGTCATCTCATAATAGTTAGGGTTGAAAGGGTACTTAGAAACCCAAACACTACTGGAGAAAGGCTTTGAGAAGGAAACTACCTGGGTTGGGTTAAGTTAAATTAGATAAGAATACATGAAATGAGCAAAGAAGATATATGTGAACTAACATGGAAATCTCTAACAGATATATTGAAATTAAATAAAGAAAATTTCAGAAAAAATGTATACCTGTATTAAAGGGAGAGACTAGGGGATCATGTGGAGAAACTTAGCCAATTTTTTTGTGTGGTATATTCCTACAACATTTGATACAGTTTTGAAACCTATTCCATATTTTATAATGGATGACTTATGAAATAAACAGCCTTATCAGGCTACTTTAATTTGGATAACCACAAACTGACTGACCAGATGAAACTAGTGCAATAGTTTGAATTAGTACATTCTCAGGCTGTGTGATTGTGTGCCTATTACTGATCTTACAGTCATCGCTTTGGGAATCAAAAATGAATTACAGAAATTAAAATACTGATGTGCCTTTCTAGCTGTTAAAAACTGAATCTTTCAAAAGTATGGTTCATCTTTGTTACAGTAAAAAGGGTTTTAAAATATTTCTTATTGATGTGTCATGAATCTGTCAAATTTGGTAAGTACAAAAATTGATTTTATTTCTTTATTCTCAGTGGTGAAATTTTCCTTTTATTATTTCAAACCAAGAAAATAATGTTTTATATTTTACTACTAAATACTTCCAAAATATGATGTTTACATAATGATTTCCTTTTTACAAAGTATTTGCACAACTATTATTTCATCTGGAGTCTCCAAACAAGAGAAATGTTAGGATCTAAAACATATGTTCTTAGAAATTCTGAAATGAAAGTGTCCTTTTAAATGTTTTATTAACAGTTTTTCTATTCAGGCATTTTATCTTCTAACCCCAAAGTTTGTTATATTCTTATAGTTTTATTTCTAAGGTAAGATGAAGTTTTAATGACATAGAAACTTAGCAATACAATGACTCCTCATTATAGAAAATATTTTCATTAAAGAAAACTTTCATTTTAATTTAATTCAGTTCGATTCAACCATTACGACTGATTGTGTGTGCACTGTAGAGGATGCTATGCTGGGAGCTGCAGGGAATATTATGAGCAAAGCATTGTCCTGCTTTCAAGGAGCAATAATTACACATAAAATATAAGCAGTTCAATGAGGAGCTTATCGCTCTGTTGTGGTGAATGTAGGAGAGTCAAGAGAGAAAAATAATAAATTATGACACTAAGCAGAACATGATGATATGAGGGAAATGAAAGCAATGTGTCATGGGACTTCAAAGGAAGAAGATGATGCCCTGAGTTGGTAGGATTGGAGAAGGCTTCATGAAGGTAGTAAGTATGAAATGAGCCTTGAATATGCAATAGAGTTTAAAGAAATTAGGAAGTTTAGACATAGTCTTGGGAAAAACCAAAAGTATTTCAGTTGAGGCTATCTCAATGAGTTAGCCTTTTTCTTTTCTGTTGAAGATATATATAAATCATCTTATCAGTGAATGACATAAAGTAGGGACTCCTTTTCTTTGTCCTAAGTCTTATGATAAGAGTTATCATCTCATCCAAGTTTTTCAAGAAACTCTGATCCAGAGAAATTAAGTGCCATTCTGTAAATCCCCAGCACTTGGTAGAGGAGTCAGACTTAGAGCCAGTCTTTTTATTTCCAAGCCAGTGATGAACTCAGTTTACTTAAAAAAAAACAAAACACTACAAATATCAGTGACTCTTGGATGTTTCTTTTCATTATTTGGGATGTCAATATAAAGAAAAATGCAAGTGACTTTTTTTGGTGATGTGAGACTTTTTTCTACATTATGTCACAGTCTTGACTAAACAGAACGAAATAATAACAGATGCCATTACTAGGAGGCAGGCATTTAACAAATGTTTTCTCATTTAATCTTTACCATAAACAGGCCCAATTACCATAATTATCATTTCTATTATGAGAAAAATGATACTAAAAGAGTGTAATTGATGTGCTTAGTGTCATATCCTTAGCATTGGTGAATTCAAGACTCAAACTGAGGTGCCGAGCTATTAATCCACATTGCCAATTTGGAACAGTTAAGTACAGCTCTTGGTTAGAGGAAGGTGAGAGATCCTTCTAATAATCCCCTTAAAACTACCTTCTCCTTTCTTCAAGGCAAACAAAGTGTTTAGGACACACAAATCATTTAGGTTATGCTTCCTCTAATTTCGATCTATAGGCTTTTGGGAAAGACAAGAAGGAGTCATTTCTTCACTTAGAAATGAGGAAAACACAAAACATGGTGATAAATATATGGGCAGTATTTTTTTTAACCATTCATATCAGTTGGAAGGGTTCCAGAGCCTCAAATCACTTCCCGCCACCACCAGCAGCACCATCACCACCACCACCACCAACATCAACAACAACTGTTGTACAGCAGGGCATCCTCTACTAGTTGATCCCAGTTATTTCGCCTTTGCTGGTGACAGTGCTAGACTTAAGCATGGGGTAAATGCTGGTGTCTACAGGCAGGGAGGAGGTACCTTCTAGTCTTTTAAGAGGTGAGCTTTCTTGAAGGCTGAATGTAAAAAAATGTGCAAAAGAGATGTCCATGGAAAGTGAAGCTTTCAGTCACATAAAAAATGGAGAAAAGTAAAATGGAGATTTCCAGAATAAGGTTTCAAATGTACAAACAGATGTCCAGATGAAGGCAGGCAATTTTCTCAGCATATTTCTCTTTGTTTATTTCTAATTATGGTGAGTTTTGAGGTTAGTCCTACTCTTTGGTTATACTTTTATTCTCTCAATTTTGTCTTTCTGTGTTATGATCCCCTTAACAAGCAAGAAGAAATAGACATTTAATAAACCAGATGTCACTCAATAAATCCTAAGTGTTATTCTTAGTATCAGAAAAGCAAATGCAAACCAGTAAAGAAAAAAAAAAGTGGCGGGTGGGGGCTGGATTTTAAAGTTATTCATTTGGCATAGTTTAGAGTTATTATTGACAATGATGCTCTTCAAACTAAAAAAAGTTCTTTTAAATGTGGCATAGAAAAGGACTTCTTATGGGTGAGATGAGCAGTATGCTAATGAAAAGCTAAATAGTTATATATTTTTCTGTCTATTTACCTATCAATTTATTCGCTATAGTTTATTCCTAAATTGCTCCTTTCTTCAAATAAGGGTGATATTTTAGAGTAAGACTCAGCATGACAAAGTGAAATATTGAAAGGCAGCAGGCACTTTAGATTTAGTCAATGGCCATTCCCCTTCTTTGAAAATAGAACGCTGGTTTTTGTTTGCTCTCCTCCTATGAGCATCTCTTTCAAGGATAGCTGGACTCTTCCCCAACCAAAGAGGTAACCCTTAATTGTTTTAAGCTAATTACAGTGGTCTCATTATTTTTTTTCCAAGTAATTGGTGAAACCATGTGTAATTTACAAAGTTTTGGCCAAGAAAACATGAAAGGATATCTCCCGAGAGCGTCTGGGAAGGTTTTTATCACTGTATTAAAAAAAAAAAAAAAAAGGACAAAGACAGGGTAGATGTATCCTCAAGGAATACTTGAAACTGAGTCAGATATCTGGAGGCTATGAGGGGGAGTCAGCCTAAGAGTCAATATCCTGGGAATCAGCAGATGGCACAGCAGAAAATGGAAGGAACCTGCTTTTATGATGACCTCATTGAACTATTTGATTACCCATCCCTAAAACTGACCTACTTATGTGAGATAATAGTGTCCTTGTAAATCTCTTCTGGCTGTGATTTCTCTGATTTGCAGATGAAAGCACTCTGATTGGCACAAGTGTCAACTTTTTTTTTTCAGAATTATATTTAACTATTACCCAGTTTGAACTTATTCCTAATTTTGCCTCGTATTCTCCACCTAAAATGCTCTTCTTGTCTTCTTGGACCATTCAGAGCCTGAAATCTCTGTATGTATGTATCTCCGAAATCTCTCAGTATGTATGAAACCTTCCCTAAAACTTCCTGCAGGAGCCCTCTCTTCTTAACGTCTAGAAAAATGCTTCTCAAACTTTAATGTTCATTCGTGTCATCTGGGGCTCTTATAAAAATGCAGATTCTGATTCAGTAAGTCTGGAGTGGGACCCAAGATTTTGAGTTTTCAAAAGCTCCCAGGGGTTACCATGCTGCTCATCCAGGGAGCACACTTTGAGTAACAAGAACACTCTTACTGGTAACACTCACTTGATGCTAGATCACATGCAAGCAATAATGCATGTTATTTAGTTTCATGAGTTTATGTTTCCTCTTTCCAACTAAATTTTAAATTTTTCAAGGGCAGGGTTTCTCATTTTTTGGTTTCATGACAACACTCAACACAGTGAATCTGTTAAGCAAAGAAGGGATGAATCAATTAATGAAAAGGAAATTAAGTTAAATATAACCATGTTTTTGATAAAGAGGAATCCACTATCTTAAATAACTATCAATAAGATGATTTGTTCTGTCTTTGGTAATTGACAAAATACTTACAATGCTTCTGTAGAGAATTAAAAATTCTAGACAAAATATTTTAAAAAATTATTTGCCTGATGGCACTGGAAAGTGAACAAAAGCAGGCAAATACTGGAGGGGAAGTGACACTAAATTAAATAAATATCATTTAGTGATATTTTTTCTTTTTGCCTGAGTACAGGTCCCAGTCTGCTATGCAGGGTGGCTATTAAAGTACTTCATACAGTCTTACTGTTTAAAAGAAGTAAATGACAGAGTTCAGAGAAACCACAGCCACTGGAAAATGAAGGAGAAATCTTGGAGAAGAAAGAGCCAGAGATGGGGAGTCCACAATGCTGTTCATAAACTCTTTTCAAATTTCTGGGTGGTCTCAAATCATGCATGTGGGACAGACTCCTAGCAGCTCAGCTATGGTAAAGGAATTGAACTGGTAAAGGAATTTGAGCTACCATTCACCATAGAAAATATAGAGTTTTCAGTCTGAGTTCAGCCAATTTAACTGACTGCTCTAACAACAAAATTAATACTCCTCAAAGGAACATAACAGAATCCAGAGTCTGTATAACATATTATTCACAGTGCTCGAAATATAATGAAAAAGTACTTGCCATACAAAGAAATAAGAAAACTTAACCAATAGACCTTTCTCATGAAAAAAGACAAGAGACTGACCCTGAGATAATCCACATGTTGGAATTAGCAGATGCAGATTTTAAAGAAACAATTACACCTATTTTTGAGTATATAAAGGAAAATTTTCCCATATAATAAATTAAAAGGTAATAATTCTTAATAGAAAAATAGAAATTATAAAAAGGTATCAAATGGGGATTCTAGAACTGAAAAATACATTCTCTGAAGTTTAAAAATTCCACTGCATAGGCTTAAAAGAAGAATGCATATGATAGGAGAAAAAGTCAGTTTATTCTGAAGCTAAATCCTCCGAATTCAATGAGGTGATTTGGTTCTATGATTCCTAGTTTGAACCTTAGAAATGACAGTTATGGCTGGTCTAAAGATTTTCCAATTACTTTTTTTTTTTTTTTTTTTTGAGATGGAGTCTCACTTTGTCACACAGGCTGGAGTGCAGTGGCGTGATGTCGGCTCACTGCAACCTCTGCCACCTGGGTTCAAGCGATTCTCCTGCCTCAGCCTCCCAAGTAGTTGGGATTACAGGTGCCTGCCACTGCGCCCAGCTAATTTTTGTATTTTTAGTAGAGATGGGGTTTCACCATCTTGGCCAGGCTGGTCTTGAACTCTTGACCTCGTGATCCACCTGCCTCAGCCTCCCAAAGTGCTAGGATTGCAGGTGTGAGCCACTGTGCCCAGCCTCCAATTACCTTTTTAAGGACCCCAGGAATCCACTCTTTTTCTGGGTCAAGGATCTTAAAACTCAGGAAAATTCAAGGAGTTTTTAGTGTTCTTACCTTTGCTAAACAACAGTTGGAAATCTTCAGTGAGCCTAGAAGAGATATGCCAACCAGGGATTTTTCAAGTATCTGCTTGATGGCAGCCCCATTAGCAATGCCCTAGAATGTACTGAATGACACAAACCTAATTAGACTGATTAGAATCTGATCAGTTCTGAGAATGCAATTAAGCAATGCTGCTGCTTAGTTAGTGTTATATCACTCCCAGAATAACAGAAATATTTGATGTTGCTGAAAGAGAAGGGAGAACTTGAAAGGAATTAAAAAGTAGACGCATCACCAGTTGGCAGCCACTGTAGTAATAATAATTTTAGCCAAGAACCAAGAAAGAAACTAATGGTTGAAAATTTGATGAAAAATAGGACATTTACATCACATCAAAGTAGGTCTCCAGAAGGTATTTATTAATTACAAAGGGAAAAAAGATTTACACTGAGGAAACATGGCAGAAATCACCTTAAGTGATCAAAGTAAATGTCACTAATGAGACAGAGATATCATGTGCTTCTTATTATTATGCTCTGAAAAGGACACAACACTTTACTTCTGTGCTAATCCTTCCATAAATGCATAACCTATTTATGAGGAAACATCAGATAACCCCAAACTGAGGGCTTGTATACCTTGAATGTCGAGGTCATGAAAGACAAAGAAAGATTGAGGAATTATAAGGTGATAAAGAGACATGACGACTAAATGCAATATATAATTCTGGATCAGAAAAAAAAGACATTTTCTTCCTTTTGCTATCAAGGACATTAGTGGAATAATTAGTGAAATTTGACTAAATTCCGTAGATTAGATAATAGTCACATAAATAGTAAGTTCTTGATTTTGATAATTAAACTGTGCTTGTAAAAGAATGCGCTTGCCCTTGTTTTCTAATTAATAAACTTTTAGTTTTAGTTTCACAGTGCAATTGAGCAGATAGGACACATACCCCTGTCCTCACATATGTACAGCCTCCCCCACTATTGACATCTTGCACCACAGTGGTACATTTCTTACAAACAATGAACCTGCATTGACATATCATTGTCACCCAAAGCTCATAGTTTACATTAGGGTTCACTCTCGGTGTTGTACATTCTATGAGTTTTGACAAATGTGTAATGACATGTATTCACCATCATAGGCCCTAAAAATCCTGTATACTCTGCCTATTTTTGCCTTCTTCCTCCCAACCCCTGGTAACCACTCATCTTTTTACTGTCTCTATAGTTTTGCCTCTTTCAGAATGTTATATTGTTGGAATCATACAGTATGTTAGCCTTTTTGGATTGGCTTCTTTCAATGATAGCAATGTAGATTTAAGGTTCCTCTGTATCTTTTTGCGGCTTGAGAGCTCATTTATTTTTACTGTTAAATAATATTCCATTGCCTGAATGTATAACAGTTTATTTACATATTCACCTACTGAAGGACATCTTGCTTGCTTCCAAGTTTTGGCAATTGTGAATAAAGTTGCCATAAACATTAATGTCCTGGTTTTTATGTGGACATAAAAGTTTTTAAATCATTTGGGTAAATATCAAGGAGCATGATTTCTAGATCACATGATAAAAGTATATTCAGTGTTGTAAGAAACTGGCAGATGATTTTCCAAAGTGTCTTTTCCATTTTGCATTCCCAGGAACAATGAATGAGAGTTTCTGTTGCTCCACATACTCATCAGCATTTGGTGTTGTCACTGTTTTGGATTTTAGCCATTCTAATAGGTGTGTAGTCATTGTTTCTAAGAAACATACATGAAAGTATTTGGCATTGCAAAGTAAGGAGGCATTACAATATAATCTTACATGGGTCTGAAAAAACATGCATTTCTGTGCATGTATAGCGCACACTAGGCACTCACAAAATAAGAGATCTGTTATGATACACATATGTTTCCTAGCTTCATCTGGTTTTCCTCCTTCTCCTAATCTTCAAATTCTCTCTCTCTCTCTCTGTGTGTCACATCCAGAATAACAGAGAGGAGGTATTATTATGGCCAGGGCTAGTGGAAGTAAGAGAAACACATTCTAATTCCTTATGGCTCTGATCATAAATTCTGGAGCAATAGTTTTCAAATATGGCTGCACATTGGAATCATCTGAAGTGTTTCAAAAAATTCAGATGCATAATATGAACCATGCATAGGTAAAAACATTTATTCAAAATATAAAATAGAACAATAATATAATGTAACAAAATATACAAAGTTCATTAATATTGTTTCAGATTTCATATTGCAACTAATATGTAAGAAACTACCATTTGTAGAATTTCGATGTAATATCAAGAACACCCACAGCTAACTGAAAATACTCCTTTCTTTTCCAACTACATGTCATGTGGGCCAGTTTTTCTTCAAATGTTTCAACCCAACAATTTATTGCAACATATCGAGTGCAGAAATGGATATGAGAATCTAGTGTTCTGTTTTAAGCCAGAAATTAAAGAGATCTGACCGGGTGCAGTGGCTTATGCCTGTAATCCCAGCACTTTGGGAGGCTGAGGCAGGCAGATCACTTGAGGTCAGGAGTTAAGAGACCAGCCTGGCCAACATGGTGAAACTCCGTCTCTACTAAAAATACAAAAATTAGCTGGACATGGCGGTGCATGCTTGTAATCCCAGCTACTCGGGAGGCTGAGGCAGGAGAATCACTTGAACCCGGAGGCAGAGGTTGCAGTGAGCCCATATTGTGCCACTGCACTCTAGACTGGGCTACAGAGAGAGACATCATCTCAACCAAAAAAAAAAAGAAATTAAAAAGATTCAAAAATTGCTAAATAATATGTCTGTTCACATTTGAGGAGAAAATATGGATTTATTTTTATAAAATATGTTATTTATGCCAATATGAAATGAGTATATTGTTATTTTAGTAAATTAATAGATAAATTATTTTTCCATTTTAATTTCTTAAATTTTGATAGGTATGATTAATATAAATAAAACCCTTTGGGGTCTTCAGTAAGTTTTAAGAATGTAACGGCATTATGAGATTATGCTGATCCAACAATCTTCATTTGGGAGTATCAGGAAAAACTTCCTAGCATTTGATAGAGCTTTTGTGGCTTGGCTGGGGATTTGGCAATTGAAGATTAGGGTTGGGCATATAAGAGGATGTTCTAGACAGAGGGATCAGTATGAGCTGAGGCCCAGAGGTGTGAAAGTTTGGAGAGAATTTGGGAAACAATGAATAGTCAGTCCATTTCAATTCAACTATCTACAGAGCACCCTTTGGGTGGTAGGTGGATGCTGTGTGTAGTGCCAGAGAGTAAGACACTATCTCTACCCTCAAACTCACAGTTCGTATTGGTGGGAGAATTATATTTTGAGTGGAAAAGCAGTCAACAATACACGTGGCCTGACCTCAACATTATTTTCCCAGGTGCTTTCTTTTTTTAAAAAACAATTTGCTTAATTTCATAATTCCTCATTTATGAGACTATGCAACAACTTAGATTTAATTAACTATAATGACTTTAGACTTTATTGTTTAGGCAACCTTTTTAGCAACAATGTCCATTTTTCTTTGTGGGCACCTTTTTCTTTATGCAGCCAGTTTTACAAGAAGCAGGTGAAATTCTTCAGCTGATATATGAGCAAGTTATGTCCATTAAAATTAATGAGAGCTGACTATGTGCACTGAGGGAAGAATATACTTCAAAAAGTTAATTTACACAATGTTTCTTGTTACGTTTTCATTGTAGGATTTCTTTTTCAATTATGCTTAATGAATTGTATTGAATGCCCTGTCTCTAAGGTTAGTGACATTAAATATGCTTCTAGTTCTGTTTCATGTCTTAGGCTGTCCAAAGCAATCTTTTAGAAGTGGAATTAATCTTATCACCTATGATGTTTAGACAAATGTAATGGTTTTCAATATAGTTCAATACCAAAGTCTCCACAGAAAGAGAATTCGATTAAGAGACTAGTAAAGGAGACAGAACAGATTGCTTGTAAAACATGTGACTTTTGGAGATAATAAGTGACACTTTATTTATTAAAAGAGCATTTCTGGTTAGAAAAATAAACAAAACCATCACATAACTGTGGGGATCTTCAGGGGAGGAAATGGGCCTTTTCTCCCAGGGATGCTTTCACGGGTTGTGCACAGTTTGTCAATAAACCTTGGTTTCATTAAAGAGTGTTCATCCTCATACTAATGAACCAAATTTGCCGAGAAACCCCAGAACAGCAAAATGGCAAACCTAACCCACACATTTATGTTATTGTCTACTTATTGGCTTCTGGATACAAATTGATCCTCTGTTGGCCTGTCTGTCTCAGACCTTCTAATAGGCTCAGGAACTGCCTGGGGCTTTCACTTACAAGGAGCCAATGAATCTGGTCATCCTTGGTGGTTGTTATTCTTAATAATCTTTTCCCCCGTTCTTCCAAAGGGACACCTAATAAGTGCCTTAACGCTCTATCAACATCACTGACATTATTATTGCAGAAACTTTTTACTGTTTCCTGCTTCTGGTAGCTTTAATAGGATCTTGGAGAGCACAAAGGTAATATTTCTGCTTGTCAGAAGGATTCCTTGGATTGAGCTTCTGTAATTTGAGCATTTGCTTTTGAGGCAGCAGATATGGGAAAACTATGAGCTCTTGTGTTGAATCTTTAGCCTGGTGGTTCCACAGAGATGTGCTTTGCGAATGGTGCTATTTTATTATTTGTTTTCACTTTCAGCCAGCATGTATCCATCATTCTAGTTTCAAAAGGGATATTCATGCCTTCATTAACTTATCTGGTATATAAGGAAGCAATCGTTAACACATAGACACTTGCTTTAAGGAGCTTTTGGTTTAGTTATCAACTGAATGCATACACTTTATTTTCAATGAAAATTAAATTTAAAAGATTGACTCTGTACTCTGTGAGTGATATTTTGGTTGTGACACTCATAGTGGCATATTATAAGGAGAATCCTGATACAAAAGAGGCAAGCCAACATATGTCTCTTAAATAATGCTACTTTTTTTACTTGTTTGTTTTAATAAGCAATGTCCCT
This sequence comes from Homo sapiens, assembly GCF_000001405.40. Lineage (NCBI taxonomy): Eukaryota > Metazoa > Chordata > Mammalia > Primates > Hominidae > Homo > Homo sapiens. The sequence goes on along the minus strand of NC_000006.12, from coordinate 82,662,150 downwards.
TTCTAGGAAGGTATTTTGCTTCAGAGGATCTGCTAGCTGAAGTGCCACTGTGCTCCTCTGAGCACAGAACATGGATGCCTTTGGTCCCTGGTAGGAGGAGTGATGGGCCACACTTACAGATCCCAGGCGCAGAGCAACATTTTGCATGCACCCCTATTCCTTTTCCTTTAATTTTAACTCATCTGCCCTATTCTCTAAGACCCCTCATAGAGATTAGAGGATATCTAAATGAAATATTTTAGTGCTTAATTTTATTTTTGTGCTATTCCTTTTCTTTCTTGGTCTTTTAAAAAGCACCCTTGACCTCCTATATATTTTTGGTACCAATGTTTCTGAGGATGTGCTCTTTTCAATCACTACAGGAATTATTTCACAGAGAATGGGTCCAAGCTACCTGTAGTGTGACTTTAACATTGCAAGGAACCAAACCAGGGCCCAAACTGGGTGCTGAGGCCTTGTGGGGGCTGAGGGGGTAGAAGCTTAATTTTAACTTAAAGATTCAAGATTTGAGCTGAAGTATTTTTTGGGGGAAAAAGCACATGTATCAATAGATTTGGGCACAATGATTGTTTGAATAATGGCAGACATGAAGGTAGAGAAAGGAAACTATATTTAAACTTACTGTAAGGTCTCAAAACAAAGTACTTGAATGCAGAGATGAGACACTAAAGGAAGTGGAAAATGTGTAAATGTCAACTGTAAGATATATTAAAACGTAAAAAGAGTCTTTAATGGAAAGAGATTGGGAAGCACTAGTATAAGCAACCTGCCTATTTATTTTTCTTAACAAATCTATTTAAAATACTGTTAAGTCAATAAATCTCAGGTTGATTGTACATAGAAAAGTCAGATGGAGAAAATCCCATGATGAGAGAAACAATTAATGATGTGATTTCTTTACAGTTCAACCAGCAATTTTTAAGAATTGCACTCTCTGGATTCAGTTCTGAACTGGTCAGTGCAGTGGATATTGTTTGGTTTGTCAGTCAGTAAAAATGTTGCATCAAAATTGGAAACTTTTCTCTTATTCTAGGAAACTACAGATATTTTGATTTAAAAAATACCACTTTAAACATTTATATTATTTAGATTTGGGCACCATTGTGATAGCAGAAATGAAGAACAGACAGATAAATTCAGAATATATAAAAATACTGTCTACGCAGCACCATTCCAGTTGCAACATCTATACAAAAGCCAGTCTGGTAGTTTTATTTTTATATTGCAATTAGAGCTTGAGGTAAAATTTAGAGCTACCAGTATGTTTCCTTACTCAGGTATTGGATGCTCAGAAATGGACTCCTACATGGGTCATAAATCAGAAAAATGATTTGTGATGCCTTTTACCAAGGCTTGCTTTCAGAATTTTGGGACCTCCTCAGCCATAGATTTTTTTTTTTTTTTTTGGGTGAATAAGTAGCTCCATTATGGCTGTGACAATTGTGTGGATTCTAGAGTCTGTGCTGTATCTCTTTTATCTGCTGCTTTTCACCACATTCTGAATTTCACCCTCTCATGTATTTGTGTTTTTGTTCCTCTCTAGCCCTGTTCTTAATATTCATCGTTGTCGTCATCATGATGATTATCTATCTGATATTCATATAAGAGAACAGCATGTTTGCATGTTCTAGTATTTTAGAAGTTTAATTAAAAACCAGGGACTTTTAAGCTCAGTTTGATCTGTTCTTTTAATCTTTTGGTCTTTGGCAATAAAATCCTCAAAATAAAAGCATTCTAGCTATTTTTAATTCATAGATTTTTACTTATTTGAATTGTAGATTTAAGATTTTTATCAAGTGTTTGTTACGTTTCTTTAAACTTTGAGATTTCCAAAGCTTCTCTGCAGACTAAAATAGAATCCACCTGCTTCCCTCTACCACTATCATGCATTATAAAGGGTGCTTTTATCCCCCTCTTAGATGGACACCTTTGAAAAATTCTAGTGAAAAAGTAGGATGTAAAATATGGTGATTTCCTTCACAGGCAGTCTTTATGGGACTGTATCTATTTTGTAAGGTAGAAAAAATTAGTTTTACAATCAGGGCCACCCCTCTCAGTGAAAAGGGGTTCAATCCAGCCTATGATCTAGCCCTGGTCCAGCATGGAGAAAGGAAAACTCCTTTTTCTACAGGGTCCATCCAAAGAGGTGACTTTTTCCTAATTCCTACAAACCACATGGCACATGCTAGAAGCAGCCATAGTAAGATACATTGAAGCAATTAAAAAATTTTTCTACAAAAGATAAAAATTGCCCCTCATTTATCTTTTTATACAAATCCAACAATGAAGTCATTGCCAAGTACGGCAACCATAACCCAAAGTCTCTTATGTTCCTGGGAGCATCAGAAATGTTTCCATTCTCCCAAATACACACATATGTATACACACACATAAACACATATATGGAGTGAATTCATTTTCAGTATGGCTGTTGCCCTATATTTAATGATATGCCAGAAGGTTGAAGGTACTAACATTTCTGCTATACATTCATATTGGGAAGAAATTAATTATATAAAATGTTATGTTGCTTTAAATATTCTTTGACTTTAGAAAATGATTTTTCTATAAAAAACTGCTAATGTTAGAATCATAACTAAATTTGTTTATCTGGAATCCAGAGTTATAGTCTTTTCAGTGTTAACTTGCATAATCTATTCTGTTTTGATGAGGAAGAGACAATGGCCAGTAAACAAGTTGACGACAGAGAATTCTAGAAATCAACTTTCAGACTGCCATAAACTAGATGACTATATTGATTCATCATGAAATTTATCTTCCAAACCTGAGCACTTTCGAGAGTGAAAGAGAGAACTATGCTTGGACTGTAGTGTTAACTGGGACGTTCCAGGTAAAGTGAAATATATGAAGACCCTGGTTATAAATCACAGAAAAATCTTAGTTAATAATTTAACATAGACTGTAAGATATAGTATTTCACTCTTTAAAAATGTCTTAAGCATGCACTAAATGTTTTATGGTGTGCTAGTTCTTTGTTAGTGTGTACAAACATGAATCTAATACACAGGTCTCAGCTTACAAATAGGAGATAAAAGATAGGCATGTGCAGCATGGTTTGGCTCTTTAAGATGCTGCTTCTGGCCCGGTAAGATGTATCAAGGCAGCCAGAAAAACTTATAATTCTCAGAACCAAGCGTTCAATGCTCTTTTGTCACTTCCTGGTTTTGCTCCCACCTTCCTCTTCCTCACTTCGTGATCTTATCCTCCCCAACCCAGGCTTAACAGGACCTGACCACTCTTTGCCTCTCTCCTCCAACGATTCTGGAAAAATGGCAGCTTACAACATGTTTTATGGATTTCTTTTTAGCCTTTTATAGCATGAGTTAATTTTATTTGCATATGTACACTGATTTGTTAGTGTGTGGGAGATTGTTTATTAGTCAATTTTCTCTTCGATGACTTATTTAAGATTTTCAGACCACAGCTGCAACTCATTTTGTGTTTTATTATGTATTATAATTTTATTTTAAAATTGTACCATGCATGTAGAATTCTCTCCTGTCTTAACTTATTTTTATGTCATCTCTCCTTGGCAAAAGTCATGATTCTTTTATTATAATCTGTCCAATAGAGAAGGAAAACAATAATAAACCAATTAAAAAGGAGGCAAGCTTTAAATTTCTCACTGACATAGTAATACTAGACCTACTGAATCTGTTCCTCGAATCTGTTACTGTGAGACTCCTACAATATTAGATATTCATTATTTATTTCTTAGCATACAGCATTTGGAAGACAATGATTGTAACTAAAGGAAAGAGAGCTAATTGCAGAAAGTCCAATATGAGATCCAGTGATGACTGGTTCTATATTGCCCCAAGAGAAGCAGCTATTTAGCCATTATCTCTTCGATCTGATCATTACAGACAGTCAAACTAGAAAATTAAAGCCTCAAATAAAGAGCTCTCAGAGAATCTCTGGAAGGATCATTTATAAACTTGATTCAATTCTAAGAGTTTGTAATTTCAAAAGTGAGAGTAGAAGTCATATTTAGGAAAATATGAAGCCTTCAACTTTAAAGATAATCAATTCTTCCCTGTTTATTGTATGCCTAGCAATGTAGAGTGCTGGAGTTTTAGCAGCAAATAAAATAGTTCACTTCCCTGCCTTTAAGGCTTTTCACTGTAGCAAAGAAGACATTGCACATGCATGTTTCCGAGGACACATACATGGATGCATAAGAGCTATGAAGATGAATCATAGGCTGATAGACATTCGAATTTGGAGGGAGCATTTTGACTATGCAATGCCAGTACCAAGTGAAATTGTTTCTAAGAGGTGAGAGTGTTTCAGCAGGTGGAGTTAATGTGGCTGGGAAGGCAGAGGTCATGGGCAAAGGAATGAGGGAAGGGCTTGGTAGACTATAGAAAATAGTATGGTGTCCCTCAGAAAATTAAAAATAGAGTTACTATATGATTTGGCAATTCTACTTTTTGGTATATACCCAAAAGAACTGAAAGGAGAGTTTCTAAGAAATATTTGTATTCCCATGTTCACAGCAGCATTATTCACAATAGCCCAACGGTGGAAGCAACCCAACTGTCCATTGATAGATAAATGGATAAACAAAATGTGGTGTATACACACAGTGAAATATTTTTTCAGCCTTAAAAAGGAAGGAAACCCTAACACATGCTACAACTTGGAGGAACCTTGAGGACATTAAGCTAAGCAAAATAAGCCAGTCAGAAAAAGGCAAATATTGTGTTTTTCATTGATATGAGGTACCTATAGAATGGTCAAATGCATAGAGACAGAACATAGAATGGTGGTTGACAGGCTGGAGTGAGGACAAAATGTGGGGTTGTTTAAAGGGTCTAGAGTTTCACAACATGAAAATAGTTTTGGAGATTGGTTGCACATACTTAACAATATTGAACTGTACACTTCTAGTGGTTAAGATGATAAATTTTATGTTATGCATATTTTATCACAATTTTAAAAGAGAGAGAGAAAGAGATATGCTAGAGTGTGTCCATAGATCTTGAGCAGTGGAGACAAAAAAAAGGGATCAAAGTTAGCTTTAAGATTTTAAGCTTATATGACTGACTGAGAGAAAAATGGCAACATTAGTGAGGGAGAAATTGGGTGGAGAAGGTTGGTGTGGGTGGTTGGGGTAGAAAGGTTTGGTGGAGATGATGACTTGGATTTTAAAATGTTCACCTGGAGGATGTGGTGGGACATCTTGTTGGTGGTAATTTGAGAAGAAGAGCTAAAAATATGTCATTTATCCTTTTCTTAGGTTAATAAAACTTACCTATCATGTATTTGGTAAGGTTATTTATCATGATGTAAAAATGACTTTTTGAGTAATTATCCTTTTCAGGTAAAATTGTCAAAGGTTTATGGTTATGTTGCTTCAGAGTGATTTTAATGACAGAAATTCCAGGAAAAATAGCAGGGCATATGTGCTTGAACAAAGTCTTTTTATATTCCTTAGATGATACTTGATGAACAGGGAGTGACATCAGTATCCAACTTTATAACTTGAGTCAAAATTACTCAGCCCAACTATGATGGGTTTTCCCTCTCCTATAGTCTTAGATGATCTTCTGACTTTTGCCGTCCACCTGCTGTGAGGGGAAAAACAACATAATTGGTTTAAGCTCCTTGGATATTTCTCAATGAAATGGGGGTCATAATATTATATAAACTATAAAAATATACTATTATTGTGATTATTTCTACTTTTTCTCACATCGTATGACCTGCTTAGGGGAGGGGCCGTATCTTTTTTGTCTTTGTAATCCTGAGAACTAGTAAAATGCCTGGCTCACAGCAGGAATAAGTTCACAGCCTTTGATTAATTGCATCATAGATGGGTAAAATGGAAGAAACTGGAGGGGCCTCCCCTTTGCTGTCACACAAAGAGGTGAAGCTCAGACAGACAGGCTGGCTTGCCCAAAGAAGTACTAGTGGGCTAATCCAGACTAGAGCCTGGATTGCCTGACTTCTAGTCCAGTTTAACTTCCAGCTTACTTCATCATTTCATGAAAGTTCCTGAAGCTCCCAAACCTCGAGTCATATCCCATTGTACCCTTGTTAGTGCCCAGCATAGCACCTTGCACTTAGTTTTCAAATAAATGTTTACTGGGTCTTTTCCAAAGCAAAAATCAGATGAGCGGAGAAGCAGCAGCAAGAGTAACACACTCCTGAATGGTACCTAAGGTAAGCTTTTATTTGAATTGATATTCTAATACAAAGAGTTAGATGCTCAGTTATTAAATCAAATTCTGGATTAGCCTGATGAGAATGGAGTTTTTTTAATAAGCAATTTTACTTACACCAATCTTACTAGCTGTGTGTGGCAAGCCAATTGGCCGTACAGAAACTCTTTGGCTCTTTTTGGCAGATAAAGGAAGCTGCTGGAGAAAGTTAAAATCGATAAGGGTAAACACCTCCTCATAATTGCAGTATCACTTATTTATAGCAGCAGGTCTCAGATCAAATTCTGCTACACATACAGATATTTTTAAACAAATATAATTAGAAAGCAAGCATAAAATTGCACATACAACCAGCTGTGTAATCCCAATGAAATCCCTTCTGTCTGTCCTTTGGCATATTCTAACCCCTGTCTTACATGCAGAGTTTATTGGGGACAAACACAACCATACTCCAGCAGCAGGAATCCATCCTTTTATAGGCAGTATCAGGCAACTAGAAAGCCTCCTAAACCAATGGCTGAACACAGGACCGGCTAGTGGAGTGTCATCCTCGAAGGTGAAAACATAGATCTCACTGGATTTTATACCCTGTTCATAAGGAGTTGAGTGTCACCAAAATGCCTTAAACTAACCCATACCTAGATACCTTCAATGTAATCAGTAAGAGCTGGTTCTAAAATTTATCATGCTACTCACCAGGTCACTGTTTTTAATCAATAAAAATCCATTGCTGATATTCATTAAGCTAATAGCAAAGTGTTGGTTATTGGCCGAGATGTGAATCATTCAAGTTATTACGGTAGCTGCTTTGGGGAACAGATTTCCTGGGTGGAATGCCAGAAGACCATCTGGTTTGTGCATTCTTGATTAGTGCCTGACTGAAGCTCACTGTAAGTAATATAAACATGATATCACACTATGTATGTTGAGTATTTTAAAGTGCATTATAGGACAGCATAATACTATCTCAATTTTCTTTTAATTAGGTCATTTTAGATAAAATGGAGGGTTTGGGAACCAAGATGGAATTTGGGAGCTAATTTTAGTAATTAATTGTCTGAACTGGATACTTTTTTCTAATGAATGTCAATGAATTGATATCATACACATATGACATAAATGGAAACTGAACCACAGCTTAGTTAAGTGACTTCTTGAAGTGTAGATAAAATGGTATAGAGTAAGAACCAGGGACAGAATCCAGAGCCCCTGGTTTCTTTGCCAGTGTAAATTCCATGTGGGGGCCCATGGTACGAGCAGGGACATTTCTGGGAGAGAATTAAGTGAGACACTAAAATTAGGTTACCCTTAAAAACCTTTCTCTTCTCTATTGGAACTGGGGAGGCTTTAGATTATGCACTTTAGTAGACATTTATCTCTGTTCTTACCTTGGGGAGTATTATCAAATGCAATTGCCCTTTCTGCCTGTGAGGCTAGGGTCCTCCTCACCTGAGCTGAGAGATCTGATGGATGTAGCCTTCATGGATGTGCACTGAGCCCCTGGGGTTATGCTTTCCAGCCACAGGATGGTGGCAGCTATGAGGACAGTGGCTGTGATGACAGTGACTTGGCTGATTGTAAACCAAACTGTCTGGAGTTATTTCCTCCATTTTGCCTAGAGAATCCTATGTCAACATTGAACTTATCATTAGCTTTATGGTGCCCCAGATTCTAGTTGTAAACATTAAACTAGCACAACTTTTGAAATCCCAATTTTTTTTTTAACTGAGACAGAGTCTCGCTCTGTTGCCCAGGCTGGAGTGCAGTGGTGCAATCTCAGCTCACTGCAAGCTCCACCTCCCAGGTTCAAGCAATTCTCCTTCCTGAGCCTCCAGAGTAGCTGGGATTACAGGCGCCCGCCACCACAACTGGCTGATTTTTGTATTTTTAGTAGAGACAGGGTTTCACCATGTTGGCCAGGCTGGTCTCGAACTACTGACCTCAGGTGATTTGCCTGCCTTGGCCTCCCAAAGTGCTGGGGTTACAGGCATGAGCCACCACGCCAGGCCTGAAATCCCCTTTTGAAGAGTTTTATTCAAAAGTCTCTACTTCCAAGGTTTACAGACACAGAGTGACCTCCTGAGTTTCTCCCATCACCACCCCCATCCCAAATGTTGGAGACATGGAGGCCCATGAGATGGTATGGACAGAGTGGGGATTTTTTAAAAATTATGTTTTTATGCAGAAGAAGGGGCAGTCCTAACAGACTCAGTACTTTCCCATCCCCATTTCAGGTGTTTAAGACCACATAAGGAGGTAAGAGAATATTTATTGCTGCCACTGTTTGATGACTATCTTCAGTGCCCAAACTTGGTATGGGTTCTCTAATTTTGATAAATATTTTCCATCCCTTAGCCTGTACAAACATTTTAAAACCTCAGTAATGCCATAGTCATGGAAATTACTGTTTTAACCAAAGCTTCTGAGATCTTGATTGACTTCAAACACTGCTTCAAACATCTATGTCAATGACAGGGCCTTATGCCATTATTTCTGCATTACATTCTAGGCAGTGATTTACTGATGAGATGCTACCTGGCCAAAATTGAATTAAGTCTCATCCTGCATTTGAAGACTGAGGTTTTTATATAAGTTCAACTTTGTTATATAAAGTATCAATTTGTTTACCTTTTAAAAAGTGGCACTACATAGAAAGCACAGTAAAATCAAGTGACAAATAATATTTGAAAATACCAAATTATAAAATATAACTTCATCCAGTAACTATTATAAACACCTTGTTTAATGGAATTTATGAAGTTTCAGAATGCATAATTAAGTTTCTGGAAAATGCAATTTTTCCTAACATTTTTTGAGATATAAATCTATTTGGTCTTAGTAAAATAAAAGATACGTTTTTGTTTTTAAACCACTGGACTTCCTAGTTGGGTAAGTTTTAGATAATAGCTCTTAGCTTTCAAGTATGGATTCTCTCTTGTTCTCCTGTTCTCTTCTGTCAAGTCCCTCCATTCTAGTGATGATGGTGATAAAAACTAAGGTTTTATTGAGTATCTAATATTTGCCAAGAACTGTAGTGAGGATTTTATATACATAATGCCATTAAATTCCCTATTTTAGAGATGAGAAAACTGAAACTTAAAGAGGTTAAATAACTGATCTCAGGTCTTCCAGCTGGACCACAGTGGAAAAAGGATGCATACGTTGACCACATAAACTTTTGTTTTTTCTAAATTTTGTAACATTTGCTGGATTGCAATTTCTTATCTAACATTGGGATGGAGTCTCCACAGATTCCCTAGTCATTTTGAAAAAAACCCTTTTTAGTCCAGCTGTAGGTACTCCCAGCCTGGATAATTCTATCCAAGTAAGATTCTACTTAGTGGCCTTTTTGGTTGTATCAAGCAGATTTCTGAAAAATATACACAGCTCTGTAAGAGAAAGAGCCTAGTTGTATCTTAAAGATGCTCAACATAGTCTCTCTCCTCCTTCCTTCCGTCTTTCCTTTTTTCTTCTTTCCTATGTTTTGTTTTCTAAAAAGATACAAGCTTTTTTGTATTTGATTTCTTCCCCCAAATAAATACTGTAATTTAGTATTTCTACTAAATACTCCTTGTATTGATTCCTTTATAAAGGCACAGGGACTAGGCAAAAGACAGCATAGGACATGGAATGGGTTATCTGAGAATTGCTAATACGCGATGGCTTCCATGTGATTTATCATCATGTTAATTAAACTTTGACTCTATCGGTCTGCCAAAGAAAGTTAGACTCCCCTGAGCAGAGGACACACACTTGATCTTAGAATGAGAAGGGTAGATGAGTCATTTCTGTTATAAATCGATCTTGACAGGCAGTGTCAGAAACTCAGGGCCAATAAGTCAGTGTCACTTACTGAGCCCTAACCTGGCCACTGTATAATTACTCTCGGGCTTTTCCTCTTGAGTGCACCACTGTCTTTGTACTTGACAAGGTATTAATTACCAGACCTGGGAAATTCAATGTGTCTGATTTCACTCAATCACTCAAACTCATGTCATTCTCTATGCACATTACAATTAGGCATGAGTAGTAAGGCTAGTGGAAAATAAGGACTAACTTCAGCTCCACAATTCCTCCAGGCAAGCCTAAAAAGTATATGTACTCAGGTGTCAGAAAGTTTTTAGTAATTCATGCCATTCTGTGTTTTCATTGTAATTGTCACTACTATTATTGTCATCACTAGAAAATTTGCCACATGGTAAAATGATGTGATTTTTTTGGTTACATTCCTAGATCAAATGGAGTGCAATTTTTGAATTTGGAGAAAAAAAAAAGGATTTCTGCAGGTTTTCTCCAGTTTATAAAGCATATATTCTGGAAGGTAAAATGTGAGATAAATTTTATATAGCTAAAGACTCATCTTGGAATCATTTCTCTGTGAAACCGTCAATGAGCTTCATGTTTGCCTTTGACAGAGTTAGACCCCTGCCCTTTGTGTCTCCATTATACCCACAGTCTACTTCTTCTTTTTTTAATTTTTTATTATACTTTAAGTTCTGGGATATAAGGGCAGAATGTGCATGCTTGTTACAAAGGTATACACATCCCATGGTGGTTTGCTGTACCCATCAACCCGTCATCTACGTTAGGTATGTCTCCTAATGCTATCCCTCCCCTAGCCCCCACCCCCAGAAAGGCCCCAGTGTGTGATGCTCCCCTCCCTGTGTCCCTGTGTTCTCATTGTTCAACTCCCACTTATGGATGAGAACATGTGGTGTTTGGTTTTCTGTTCCTGTGTTAGTTTGCTAAGAATGATGGTTTTTCACCTTCATCCATGTCCCTACAAAGGACATGAACTCATCCTTTTTTGTAGTGGCTGCATAGTATTTCATGGTATATATGTGCCACATTTTCTTTATCCAGTCTATCATTGATGGGCATTTGGGGTGGTTCCAAGTCTTTGCTATTGTGAACAGTGCTGCAATAAACATACGTGTGCACATGTCTTTATAGTAGAATGGTTTATAATCCTTTGGGTATATATCCAATAATGGGATTGCTGGGCCAAATTGTATTTCTGGTTCTAGGTCCTTGAGGAATTGCCACACTGTCTTCCACAATGGTTGAACTAATTTACACTCCCACCAAGAGTGTAAAAGCATTCCTATTTCTCCACATCCTCTCCAGCATCTGTTGTTTCCTCACTTTTTAATGATTGCCATTCTAACTGGTGTGAGATGGTATCTCATTGTGGTTTTGATTTGCATTTCTCTAATGACCAGTGATGATGAGCTTTTTTTCCATATGTTTCTTGGCCCCATAAATGTCTTCTTTTGAGAAGTGTCTGTTCATATCCTTCGCCCACTTTTTGATGGAGTTGTTTTTTTCTTGTAAATTTGTTTAAGTTCCTTGTAGATTCTGGATATTAGTCCTTTATCAGATGGACAGATTGCAAAAATTTTCTCCCATTCTGCAGGTTGCCTGTTCACTCTGATGATAGTTTCTTTTGCTATGCAGAAGGTCTTTAGTTTAATTAGATCCCATTTGTCAGTTTTGGCTTTTGTTGCGGTTGCTTTTGGTGTTTTAGTCATGAAGTCTTTGCCCATGCCTATGTCCTGATTGGTATTGCCTAGGTGTTCTTCTAGGATTTTTATGGTTTTAGGTCTTATGTTTAAGTCTTTAACCCATCTCGAGTTGATTTTTGTATAAGGTGTAAGGAAGGGGTCCAGTTTCTGTTTTCTGTATATGGCTAGCCAGTTTTCCCAACACCATTTATTAAATAGGGAATCTTTCCCTCATTTTTTTTGGTCAGGTTTGTCAAAGATCAGATGGTTGTAGATGTGTGTTGTTATTTCTGAGGCCTCTATTCTGTTCCATTGGTCTATATATCTGTCTTGGTACCAATACCATGCTGTTTTGGTTACTGTAGACTTGTACTATAGTTTGAAGTCAGGTAGTGTGATGCCTTCTGCTTTGTTCTTTTTGCTTAGGATTGTCTTGACTATATGGGATCTTTTTTGGTTCCACATAAAATGTAAAGTAATTTTTTCTAATTCTGTGAAGAAAGTCAATGGTAGCTTGATGCGGATAGCGTTGAATCTACAAATTACTTTGGGCAGTATAGCCATTTTCACAATATTGATTCTTCCTATCCATGAGCATGGAATGTTTTTCCATTTGTTTGCGTCCTCTCTTATTTCCTTGAGCAGTGGTTTGTAGTTCTCCTTGAAGAGGTCCTTCACATCCCTTGTGAGTTGTATTCCTAGGTATTTGATTCTCTTTGTAGCAATTGTGAATGGGAGTTCACTCATGATTTGGCTCTCTGTTTGCCTATTATTGGTGTATAGAAATGCTTGTGATTTTTGCACAATGATTTTGTATCCTGAGAGTTTGCTGAAGTTTCTGATCAGCTTAAGGAGATTTTGGGCTGAGATGATGGGGTTTTCTAAATATACAATCATGTCATCTGCAAACAGAGACAATTAGACTTCCTCTCTTCCTATTTGGATACCCTTGATTTCTTTCTCTTGCCTGATTGCCCTGGCCAGAACTTCCAATACTGTGTTGAATAGGAGTGATGAGAGAAGGCATCCTTGTCTTTTGCTGGTTTTCAAAGTGAATGCTTCCAGATTTTGCCCATTCAGTATGATAGTGGCTGTGGGTTTGTCATAAATAACTCTTATTATTTTGAGATACGTTCAATTGATACCTAGTTTATTGAGAGTTTTTAGAGTAAATGGGTTTTGAATTTTATCAAAGGCCATTTCTGCATCAATTGAAATAATCATGTGGTTTTTGTCATTGGTTCTGTTTATGTGATGGATTACATTTATTGATTTGCATATGTTGAACCAGCCCTGCATCCTAAGGTGAAGCCATCATGGTGGATAAGCTTTTTGATGTGCTGCTGGATTCGGTTTGCCAGTATTTTATTGAGGATTTTTACAGCGATGTTCATCAGGGATATTGGCCTGAAATTTTCTTTTTTTGTTGTGTCTCTGCCAATTTTTGATATCAGGATGATGCTGACTTCATAAAATGAGTTAGGGAGGAGTCCCTCTTTTTTATTATTTGAAATAGTTTCAGAAGGAATGGTACCAGCTCCTCCTTGTACCTTTGGTAGAATTCAGCTGTGAATCCATCTGGTTCTGGGATTTTTTTGGTTGGTAGGCTATTAATTACTGCCTCAATTTCAGAACTTGTTATTGATCTATTCAGGGATTCAACTTCTTCCTGGTTTAGTCTTGGGATGGTGTATGTGTCCAGGAATTTATCCATTTCTTCTAGATGTTCTATTTTATTTGCATGAGGTGTTTGTAGTATTCTCTGATGGTAGTTTGTATTTCTATGGGATCAGTGGTGATCTCTTCTTTATCATTTTTTATTGTGTCTATTGATTCTTCTCCCTTTTCTTCTTTAATAGTCTGGCCAGCGGTCTATCTATTTTGTTAATCTTTTCAGAAAATCAGCTCCTGGATTCACTGATTTTTTGAAGGGTTTTTCATGTCTCTTATCTCCTTCAGTTCTGCTCTGATCTTAATTATTTCTTGTCTTCTGCTAGCTTTTGAATTTGTTTGCTCTTGCTTCTCTAGTTCTTTTAATTGTGATGTTAGGATGTTGATTTTAGATCTTTCTTGCTTTCTCCTGTGAGCATTTAGTGCTATAAATTTCCCTCTAAACAATGCTTTAGCTGTGTCCCAGAGATTCTGGTGCATTGTGTCTTTGTTCTCACTGGTTTCAAATAACTTATTTATTTCTGCC